>NC_000009.12:75720552-76345552 GCF_000001405.40 Homo sapiens
AGCAAGACTCTGAAAAAAAGAATGAGCAGGTGTGAAGAAAAATCAAACTAAAAGTTTTGAAATAAAAAAATAGTGGTTTAAATTAAAGCCTCAATATACTGACTAATTAGACCGTACTGAAGAGAAAATTGGTGCAATTAAAGAGAGATCTAAGCAATTTTCCAGATGGTAGCTTGGATAAATGAAGAGTTGGAAAAAAAAAAAAAAAGATTCTGAGCACCATGTAGGATGTGATGAGAAGGTCCAACATTATCTAAGAGGAGTTAAGGAGGAGAGAATAGAGAGAATGGTCATTGGCAATATTCAATATACTATTCAATATTCAATGATTGAATAAATTTCCAGAACAGACAGAAAATGTGTATTTTCAGGTGGAAGACATGTAAGTCCCAAAGAATTTAGATAAATACAAATCTACACTAATTTAAGGAATGTTTTGGTTAATTTAGACAGATTCTTTTCTACGCCAGTATCAAATCAATTAAAAATATATTATGGCAATAAATAAAAGGCTCAGAAATCCAAGAAAAAGTCACTAGTCAAAAGAATTTTTGAACAAGTTCATTTATACTCTACATAAAATAACAAGTAATCAGCAGATATTACTTCATTGCTTCCAAATGTCACTTTCATCATTTCATAGCCTTCTGCTGTTAAGATTTGTATCTTTTCCTTGTTTTCTATTTCTATCTGTGCAGAACTGAAGGATATCCACCCCTACAATTGCCATAGGATCAACAGACCAAAGGAAGTTTGTCCATGGTAAAGCTTTGTGAACACAATCTAGCTACTGTTTCCCCCAGCAAGACCATGCTTATGTCCTAGAAAACCTGACAGATTCAGAAATGGTCACAGATTATATAACTTCTAAATGAATCAGGTAAAAATGGAAGGGAAGAAAACTCAAACCAATGGAAAACACTAAAGAAATAGAAGAAAAAAAGTTCAAAAAATACAAGGTAATATGGAAGAAATAAATTCAAATATGGTATTAATCACAATAAACGTCAATGGGCTACACTTGCTAGTTCAAAAACAAAGAGTCTCAATTTGCATTAAAACATACTGCTTTATTCTGTTTAGAGAAGACATGCTGAAGACATAAGGTAACCAAAAAAAGAAAAAAATGCTGGGAAATATATACCAGACAAATACTACGCAAACGTTAGCATTAAGGAGAGAAGCTGCATGCCTTCAGATGGACCATGGCCCAAGGGCAAGGACCACGCGGGTAGCAGCTAGTATGAACTAAACATCAGAGGTCTCTCATCAGCTTTTATAAAATATGACTATTTCACAATTCATACACAAAACAGCTAAAAATATCACTTTATTATTCTTTTTACAACTTATTTTCTCAAATTGGATACTTAGCTCATTAATTTTCAATCTTCAAACTCTCTGCTTTCACATGAGTATGTACACACGCACATATATTAATACATGCTGTAAATTTTTCCCAAAGTACTGCTATATCCCATGAATTTTAATATGTATTATTTTCACTGTCATTTACTTCTAAACATTCTAATTTCCATTACATTTTCTTCATTTGAGAAGTGAGAATGTCCATTTCCAAATATTTGGGTTTGGCTATGTTTTCACTTTTAATTATATTTTACATTGAAGTATAAATTACATATAGTGACAAAAGAGGCAAAGTCCCTACTTCATGAAACTTATATTCCAGTGGAATAATATATGGGTTATTATACAGGAAAGATAATATACAGGTTATTAAAAGTAAACAAGATCATTTCAGACCATGACACATCTATAAAGCTGATAAGCTAGGATGTGTAGTAGACCTTATATGAAAAAAATAGTTTTATAGTAAAGTAGCCTGGGGATAGATTTTATACTATACAGCCTCCTCTTAGAGATTCACTGTGTATATTAATACACGAAAGAATGTGAAAAGATGTGCAGTTAAGCAACCTAGCAATTGTTTTTATGTATTCCAAAATTATTTAACCAGCTGTCTGTTTATAACATTGCACCAATTACAATAGAAGCTATTGATGCCCTACTTATATCCTTTCAAAACTCAAAATTCCAGTGTGTGCCTATAACTACGAGCAGTTGAGAGCTTTCTTTCATAGGTGAGAGGAAGGCTGGAAATGCGAGGGATGCAAGGCCCTTGGGAGCAGCCCTTAGGCATTGATGAATGACAGTTAAATGAGTTAACTTTTGGGTAGAAAGCATGTTCTTTAATACCTCGCAGAGTGCCCCTGTGAGACCAGACCCCCAAGTGCCCACAGAGGAAACCCCCTTTATAATCCATATTTTCTTGACTTTCCTCCATTTCCTGTCTCATTTCCCTACTCTATTGGTACTCTTGAGAATTCAACCCAAAACATCAATTAACAACTTAAGATTAAATGATTTTAGTGTTCTGAAAGAAACAGAGTTTTAGGAATGGAGCACTAAAACATTGGGCTACCATTGTAGTTTCATGATTTACTTTGCTTTTTTACCAGAGATTAGAGGAATTTATTTATGTTCAAGAAATAAAAAACCATAGGCATGTCAGGGAAACTATTTTATCCCAATGGAGAGCTTATAGTCCCTCATTTTACTTTTAGAAAACCTGAAACTTTTAAAAAGTTATTCTATTTTAGAATACTATATATTACATATTACATAGAATATGTAATATGTATGGATTATATATATTATCTATATATGTAATTATATAGAATATGTAATATATATACAATCTATATATATTATAGAATACTATATATTACAGAATATTGTATTTCCTAATGATAGAGCACAGGGTTCAATAACAAGAGAAAACCCTTATGTTATCTGTGAAGAACATATCATGAGTTGTGGTGTAGAGGAATGAAAAAAGCACATCTCCATTTCATATTGATATTGTTTTCTTTTTTGTGTATGCTGGAACCATTTTGATATAATTATATATATCTGCCAAATGCAAGAAGAAAAGGTTTATGCATATATAACTTTTCCAAGTTTAACATTTGCAAGTATAAACAACAATGATCTCAATTTAATAATTCATCATCATCAGAGCAATTGACCAATATCTCTTTACTGCTAGGCTTACCGACGGTAAATTACAGATGAATTAATGTCCTTTTGTTTCTCTTCTCTCACTCTGCTTGTCCAGAGACATTTTGTCATAAAGTTTCAGTCCAGCTCACCTCTAGCCAGAGGTAATCTTTTTATTAGGTTGGTGCAAATGTTATTGCGGTTTTTGCCATTGAAAGTATGGCAAAAACCACGATTACTTTTGCACCAACCTAACAGATCAGTACTCAGTTGCTCTGAATTTTGCTTTTTATTGTAACCTATTTTGGCTGGGCATGGTGGCTCACACCTGTAATCCCAGCACTTTGGGAAGCCAAGGTGGGCAGATCACCTGAGGTCCAGAGTACGAGACCAGCCTGGCCAACATGGTGAAACTCCGTCTCTACTAAAAATACAAAAATTAGCTGGACATGGTGGTGGGCACCTGTAATTACACCTACTTGGGAGGCTGAGGCAGGAGAATCACTTGAACCTGGGAGGTGGAGGTTGCAGTGAGCCAAGATCACGCCATTGCACTCCAGCCTGGGCAGCAGACTGAGACTCAAAAAAAAAAAAAAAAAAAAAAAAAAAAAACTACACGCATGAAGCTCTGTATCTTTCCTGAACTACTGGAGATGGCTTCTTTATAGCAGGTCTCGCTTTGTTTTGACTTCCATTTTGTTGTTACTGCTGTGGTCGGCGGCACTCAGCTCTTCTTCATTCCTTAAACCATACCTGTACCCTGGACTTGGGCAAGTTGAGTTTCAGCACTACCTCCTCCCACATGGAAATGGCTGAGTACTGGGTCTTAGCAAACAGCAGTCCCACCACATGTCGTTGCTCCCAGGTGAATGTTGTCCTCTCCCTGTGTTGTTTCCAGGAGGATAGCCGGATAGCCACCAAGGGGTGCAGCAAGTCCATACCCAAAGTGCTCAGGCTTAGCCCATTGACTGTGTAGGGTGGTTACTTAAGATAAGACATCGTGCCAAGGTTGTCTGGAGGAACAAAGACACAAATTCAGCTCACATGGGCAGGAGGTGGGTGGTGTGGGGGACCCAGCTAGAAGGTCTCTATGTGCATGGAGTGGACAGGTTCAGAGTCTTGGTGGGTGGGTTTGGAGTGGTAGAACCAAGAGCAAAGCAAACAAGCGGAGGTGCTGCTTTCCTGCTTGGGAGCCATCAGCTCTTCCACATTCTACTACTAACTTCAAAAGACTACTAAGTATTAATATTTTCTAAAGAAAGTACAACTGGCCAATTTCAATTTAAGTTCTGCATTTAAAAAATCCTTTAAAAGGAAGAAGTGGGATATATGGAATCGGCAGCCATCCCTCTGCATTTTGGATGCTACTTCTTGAGGCAGTCCTATGTAGTACTGTGTCTCAGCAACTTGGTATTTAGCATTCAGAAAATGAAATGTCTAGAAACAAAAGAGCAGGAGGAATGTGTGTGCATGCCTGCAGACATATGTATGTGTCCTTGTGTGTTTGTGCTGGGATTTGTGTGTTTGCATATGTGTGAATTAAGAGGATAAGCACAGACATGGCAGTGTGGCATTTCATCCTGGAAAATCTACCCTCCCTCAGTACAGCAGAAGGAAGGTGATAGAAAGAGGAAGGGTCCTAGCAGCAATGTGTGCTGGGATTGTCGCTTTCATGCACCCCAGTTCTCATATCAGGTATAAGGGAGAGAAAGGAAGATAGAAGGAAGGGAGGGGACAGTGGGCAGAAATTTCTGACGTGGATCTGCAGGTATAGCCTTAATAATTTGGGGGTAATTCCTGGCACACAGCAAGACATGTCAGGATCTGGATTGTGGGCTCAGGAATCCCTATAAATGAATGAAGGATCACAACTGAGCATGTGGAAAGATAACTGACTCCTAAGAGTAAATGATTATAGCTGTAACCTCTCTACTAAAAGATCAATAGCATGAGTATTTTATTTTCTTAATTGAGCTTTAATCCCAAAATGGCACAGCAAGATTTTAAGCTTCAAAGAAACACAGAGAAAAAAATCTATTTTTCAGACATATATAGAAAGATATTATATAGAATAAAGCCAGATGATTGCCACTGATTCTCTTATTAGGATCTTAGGATCCCATAAGTACTGTCTGAATGGGTCTAATCCTCAATAATACGTAGAACAATAGTTAAGAGCTTAGATCCTGGAGCTAAACACCTAGGGTCCCAATCCTGTACCCAGAATTTTTACTTGTGTTTCTTTAACAAGTGACTTTACCACTACACCTAAATTCATCTGTCTATAAAAATGAGAAGGCGAGGGAAGGAAAAATAGTATCTACCTCATGGAATTGCTCTTTTTAATGAGTTAACATGCATTAAATGGTTGATTCGAGCCTGACTGGCAATATTATAGAATTGTTAGACCCTACTTTCCCAAATTTCCTCTTTTTATAACTTCAAAGTGCTTGCTTACACAGCAAACTGACCTAATAAGAAAGAAAATGCTAACTGGTTTTATTTTCTCTTTTTTACTTCCCCACGTCCAGAAAAAAAGACGTCGTACTTTATTTCCCTTAAATGTTACCCCCAGGGAAGTATAGGAGGTTGTGTTATTGTTTTCAATTTTTCAGTGCCTCTCCCAATGAGTGATGTACTTCCCTACCTATCAGCATCAAGCTTGGCCATCTGATATATTTTGGACAATAAATTGCGAGCAGAAATGATGTACGCAATTCCAAACCAAAATTTGAAGGATCATTTCATGGTTGTGGTATTGCCCTTTTTCCCTCCGCCTTGAGACCAGGTAGGAGCAGCTCCAAAAATCTGGATCTACTAAGAAGGCATGATTTAGAGCCACATCCAATCTACAACGAACATGAAAAGGGCAAGAAACAAACCTTTATGTTGTAAGCCCACTGAGCGTTTGAAGTTGCTGTTAGTACAGCAAAATTCGCCTAAAATGGCAGATACAAGGGAGGATGAAGAAGAATGTTAGTCATGGCAGAGGCAAAAACTGTCTATCTGGAGGAGGGGGAAGCTATCCAAAACTGGAAAAGGGTATTTTTTTCAGGGCTCCCCACCTACTCCTCTCGCCCCGCCATTTCTCTGTCTTGAGTAGAGGACTAACCTGAGGAAAACAAGCAGTTTGATACATTGAAGTAGAAAGAAATGTTAGTTGTAGGGACTTCTAGCCTCCACAAAGATGCTCTTGGGCACCCATCCTCAAAAGAACCAACCATGTTAACTTTTCTAAGTAGGCGTATCACAATGACCTCTGTGAATTGACAGCTAAAGGTGACTCCATGAAAGATCTGGACTGTGTAAGCCTCACTCCAGGACTTCAGCCTAATTCTGATGGAATTGGGATCTCTAGGAAGGACTGAGATTGATTTTCTCACTACCCTAACAAGATTAGAAATCGGATTTAGAAGAGTGAATTAATGTGAAATATCTTGCATGAAACTGTGGTAGCCATGAATCCATGCCTGCTGTTTGCTTGCTTCCAGAAACATCACTTCCATTTTAGAAGCTTCTTTGAAATAGTGATTTTTTTAAATATTAGCACTATATTTCCTACTTTTTAAAATTTTATTTGTAAAAATTCCAGGATACATGTACAGAACATGAAGGTTTGTTGCATAGGTAAACATGTGCCTTGATGGTTTGCTGCACCTATCAACCCATCAACTAGGTATTAAGCCTTGCAGGCATGAGCCATTTATCCTTATGTATTTCCTATTTTTGAAGCAATAACTGAATTAAACACCATTATAGTACAGTCCCTTTGGTGGCAATTTCCAACTTGGCAATTTCTTACTGATGAGTCACATATAATTATTGTTTTATTGACAGATATCTTCTCCACTTTCTTTAGAAGGCTTTGGATTGTTGACCTATATCCAAACAACTTTCCCAGCCTAGGGAGCTATTTTTAACTTCGTCGTTGGCATTTTTAACATCCACCAGTTTCTTTTACTATTGTAATAATCCCAAATTCATTTATTCAATGGAAAGCATTTAATTATTTTCTGTGTGTATAAAGATATTCCTGAAAATAGGATGTTAGTAGTAGAGTGGCACAGCAGAGTAATGTGGAGGTTGTCAGTAACTTTTGATAAGAGACATTCAAGTGGAGTAAAGTGACGGAGTAGGGTAAAAGCTATGTGAATGTGGATTCTCTCTCTGTCTCTCAAAATATCTTATTGTACTGAACCTACCTATTTTCGGACTACAGTTGGCCATGGATAACTGAAACCATGGAAAGCACAACTGAAGATAAAAGGGGACTACCGTGAATATCAGATGCTCAATAAATATTTGCTGAGTTAATTAATGTATAAATGAATGAAGTGTAGCACAGTGCTCTAGCAGGCACGGGCCACAGCTGACGCCCCCTATGCTCACGTTTGACTGACCTGAACTACAGGGAAGTAAACCTGTCCTGTAGGCTCTGGGGTCTTCAACGCTGGATCAAACACCTGCATGACCCCAAAAGCAAGGGTCTTCTTAACACCTAGGCACCTAATTGACCTCACCTAGTCCTGGCCCTCCCCATGTGTGATAGAGTCTGATTTTTTACTAAACATGTGTAAACAGAGAAGATAATAGAGAAACAACAAAATGTGTCCTAGTGAACTTTGATTTTTATCCCCCATAAATTTAGGAACATGCTTTTTTTTCATCTTTTCATTGAGTACTGTACTAATCAGAACAGAAATAGAGAAAAGAATGCACTTTCTTCTCGGGAATGCAGGTGCCTTGAGAAAGGGAAAATCTATGATTGCCATATTTTTATTAGAGGTTATTTGAGTCCACAGTAATAAAAAAGTTATGAAATTGCACAGTAAATTTTGAAAACCTTTAGAATATAATTGTTTTCTCTACTTGCTACTGTTAGACTTCATATTCAATACAATTCAGTGCAGTTCAGTTCAATTATTACCACTTTGCTTCTCAAATATGCAAAGGTCATTTAGTTATCTGGGAAACTTTTCCTAGGTTTGAAGAGTTAATATTCAAAGACTAGCTGAGAGGTGGCAAGCTGTAGGCATCATTCACACATTCAGAAACCGTACCTTGAACCTCCACCTGGCATGAACACTTCTGTATTCAGATCATAATATTGCTGTCTGCTCAGATTTTTAAACTGAATTCATCAAGAAAAGCCCTCCAAAAGAATGCATCATCTGGCCTTGTACTTCTACCATAAATAAAATGCTATTATCTACTTCTTAGTATAAAGGTTCACAAGGAGAAAAGGGAATGCCTTAAGTTTTTGTTTGTTCCTTTGCTGGTTTGTTTCCTGCTGTTGTAGCAATTGCAGCAGAGATCTAGAACCTCAATAAAGAGAAAGCTTGCTCCTTTACCAAATTAAAAATCCTTCTGATTACTTTAATGTGTGTGGTTTTATCGTTTTCTTTTATTTAAGTCACAAACTGCAATTGGCATTTAAAGTGCCATAGCATTATAATTAATACTAATTATAATGGCAATAACCTAAGAGCCAGGAGGTAGTGTGGGAGGGAGCACAATAGTCCCTTTTCAGGACACTTATTAAAAGCAACCTGTCACTGGCCTTCCTTGTGGCTGCAGTTCAATCTAATTCGGTACTGAATGGAAATGGTCACCTCTCCTGTGCAGAGCCCTGAGCTTGTTTTTGGACCCCAGTCCTTCATTCATGCATAACCTCAGCAGCCACAGAATAAAGCTTCCTATCTGTACTGGCACCACCTTCAACCACACGTGGAATATTTCTGTACTTTGTAAATGACAAACCAGAGGTCCAGGCCATAAAACAGACCATGAGCTGTTGTTTCAAAGTGTCTTCACAGAGAGGTCACCACAAAGAAAAATCCAGCAGAAGCATATGTTTGTACATGCTTTTTATATCACAAAGTGGAAAAAGGAGGGGGGCGCTGTGAGATTGCAATTTATATTTGGATTATTTATTTATACATTAAACACAGACTCCCTGGGAAAAGTGTTGCTTCTAACTCACACAGTGGGCAGAATGGCCAAACTGATACGAGTACACCTTCCTGCTCTGCAGATTTGGCATCTCAGCCACCCACTGTCAAGCAAACAGGTTTGCCTTATGATTTCCAGGTTCCAGCCACACTCGCTCCTTGTGTCTCCTAAATGGATGCTAAACTTACCCCGTGCCTAAAACACAGATCTACAATAAACTACCTGCATATACACCTATTCCGACACTTGCTAATTTGATGACTTTGGACACGTGGCTCTATGACTGTAAATCTCAGTTTTCTCATCTGTGAAATAAGGGTAATGAGAGCTCTTATGTCATATGGTTTGTTTCTGGGCCACGTCCATGGAAGGAGTTTGGCTCAGTTTTCAGCACAAAGTACTTAATAAATACTAGCTATTATTATTTCTTACTGACACCATAGAACGGCTGCTTCCCAGTTTTCATAAAGAAATCATCTAAAATTTTGGTATGTGCTAAAGATTTCTTGGTCTCTGCCTAGTTTGGGTTCACACAAAAAAAGACCCTGATGCAAAGAGTTAGTTGATTTGGGAGGTGATGTCAGGAAGCATGGTGAGAAAGTGGGGAAGTGGGGCACGGAAGGGAGGAGAGCCAGCTAAGGGTGCATTAACGTCACGGTCCTTTGCAGAAGCCAGGTTATACCCACTGGTAAAAGCCAATTGTTAATTTTTCAGGACTTTTGCAAGCAAGTTGTTAAACACAGCCATTGTTAAAAAATTACATTATATAAACTTTCAATTAGTTAAATTATGTTTAAAAAACAAAGGTGATCATCACTTAGAATTATTTTTGCTCCTGTTTCTTGAGGTCCATATGATGGGAACATAACAGCGTGCTTCTGCACATCGCCTCCCTACTCTGCACTCAGTGATAGCGCACTGGCAGCTTCAAGTCAGTCATGGTGGAGACTGGCAAACACTATAACATTGGGGCACGTTTTTTAAGAGAGCCAGTTGTTCGACATTTACCAGCACCCCGCCGGACAATCTAGGGGTTACTGCTGTGGAAAACTAAGTTCAGTCCAGCTGGGAATTCTCTGAGAGGATGTATGGAAAATGACAGACCCTTACTCCATTGAGGGGGCGAGGAAACAGGAGAAATCGTCCTTCATCGATGAAGTTTGTCACAGTGGGAATAACCCAGCCTGCCCCTCCCGTGGCTAGAAAACAGCCACAAGCTGAGGCCAAGAGGCCTGTAGAATGTACTGCAGTGTGTGCTATCTGCAGTTGGAGGATACAAAATGAGATTTTTTTAATTAAAAAAAGTTTTATTCTGAACTGCTCTTAGACTTACAGAAGTTGTAAATAGTATAGAGAGCTTCTGTACAATGCTGATTCACCTTCCTTTAATGTTAACATCCTCCATGAACATAGTACAGTTATCAAAAACTGGAAATTAACTTTGGTACAAGACTATTAATTAAACTATACATCATATTCCAATTTGACCAGTTTTTTCCCTAAAGTCTATTTTCCATTCCAGGATTCTATCCAGTATCTCACATTGTAATTAATTGTTATTTCATCTTAGTTTTCTCTAATTTATGAAAGTTTCGCATTCTTTCCTTGTCTTCCATTTTCTTGATGCTTTCGTGTCAAGTATACTGATTTAATCATAAAGATAGTAACTTTACAGTGGAAAAACAAGGAGACACCACTTGTGATGAGGAATTTTCTGTGTCAGCTTGACTGGATCATGAGGTGCCAGATATTTGGTCAAACCTTATTCTGAGTGTGTGAAGGGGATTCTGGATGAGATGAATGTTTGACCTGGTAGACGAGTAAAGCAGAGTGCTCTCCTCAATGTGGGTGGACCTCACTCAATTAGTTAAAGGCTTGAATAGAACAAAAAGGCTGAGTGAGAGTACTTGCTCCTGCCTGACTGCCTTTGAGCTGGGACATTGATTTTCTCCTGCCTTCAGACTTAAATGGAAACATCAGCTCTTCCTGGGTCTTCAGAGTGCCAGTTTTCAGACTAGGACTTATACCATTGGCTCTCCTGGTTCTTGAGCCATCAGGCCTTGGATTGGTACTACACCATTGGCTCTCCTAGGTCTCCAGGTTGCCAACTGCAGATCTTGGAACTTGTCAGCCTCCATAATTGTGAGAGCCAATTCCTTATTTTTTTCCTCCTCTTCTTCCTAATTTGTTTCCCTGGAGAACGCTGACTGATACACCACCCTAACCAAGTGATCAAAGCTAATATCACTAGTCATAAGACATATTGACATCATGAAACTCTTGACATGATGCACTGGGAAGGGGAAACCTCACTGCTGTGGTATTTTCTTTTCTTTTTTTTTAATTTCTTTATTATTATTATTTTTTATTATACTTTAAGTTTTAGAGTACATGTGCACAATGTGCAGGTTTGTTACATATGTATACATGTGCCATGTTGGTGTGCTGCACCCATTATGTGGCACTATTCACAATAGCAAAGACTTGGAACCAACCCAAATGTCCATCAATGATAGACTGAATTAAGAAAATGTGGCACATATACACATGGAATACTATGCAGCCATAAAAAGGATGAGTTCATGTTCTTTGTAGGGACATGGATGATGCTGTGGTATTTTCATTCCAATCATGAGAAACGTTAGACAATCTCAAGTTGGCTTTTCTCTTGGTGTTCAAATTTCAGTGTCTGTGAACCAGAAAACACGGTTTTCTTCTGGGATTCTCCAATCCCCACCTCCAACATTCAGGATTTCTTAGCATGGCCCAGGCATCAAGTCTTTTCTCTTTTACTGTCCAAAGCATACAGTTACTGAGACAAACCCTTTACAGTGAATCTCTAAAATTGTTGATCTCAAGAAATCTTCGTGTGTTAATCTCTCTTATTCTCCCCAGTGTTATACTCAGTTTCAGGAACCTCAGGCCAAAGTACGTCTTGGCTCCTCATTCTATAGATATTATTAGCCAACAATTCCAGTTCAAACTCCTGTGAAGCTCTTTCCTTAAAGACATACCCAGAGTGCCAGGGTAAATGGGGCCAAAAGAGATTCAGACACTGTACCCAGCAGAGCTTCCTGTATCAACATGAGCCCTGTGATTAAGTGCAGCTCATCAAATCAAACTTCTCCTTTCTGGATAATAAATTTAATCTTAGAGTGGGATGGCTTGTTCTTCCTGACACCTGATATCAATCAGGACTATTCCAGCTCATCAGACATCTCCTAATACCCTAATAACTTTGACTGTTCAAAGAGATATATCCTTAGTATACTCTCCTTCTGCACCTCCCCTCATCATAATACATTATAAAAATTCCTTGTGAACATTAATGGCAAGTATGCACCAGGATCTTGTCAAGGCAAAAACTCCTGGAAATGCTAGTTTTTAAATCGGGCTTAGATTAAAAGAAACAAAATTATTGATGACCTTATGAAGAGGATGTAGTTACTCTAATTCTCCATATCCAAACCATAGTAACAGTTTTCAGAATAATAGGTGAGTTTCATAGCATCCTACAGAAGTGAACAATTAGCTTTTCTAAGTATTATGAACCCATGGTTTAAATGTATCAATGTGTTTTAATCTTTTGCAGTTATCACTCTTTTTTTTTTTTTTTTTTTTTTTTTTTTTGAGACAGAGTCTAGCTCTGTCACCCAGGCTGGAGCGCAGTGGCATGATCTCGGCTCACTGCAACATCCAACCCCTAGGTTCAAGTAATTCCCCTGCCTCAGCCTCCCTAGTAGCTGGGATTACAGGCATGCACTACCACACCTGGCTAATTTTTGTATTTTTAGTAGAGACAGGGTTTTGTCATGTTGAGCAGGCTGGTCTCGAGCTCCTGACCTCAAGTGATCTGCCTGCCTCAGCACAAAGTGCTGGGATTACAGGTATGAGCCACCATGCCCAGCCACAGTTATCACTCTTATTGGTGCTCAGTTGTTGCTTTTGCCAATGGGAGCTTTTTCAGGTTGGATTCTCAATCCTTTTGTCGTGACCACAGTAGTCTTTGGTAGAATCCTTGCTCTCTAGTATGATAAGATGCTCCACACTCATCTTGGACATTTCCTGCACCTGGCCTGGAATCAGATTTTTGCTCAAGAAGTTCTCTTTTCTTTCCATGGGAAGTAGTATTTCCAACACCACCATCTGGACTTCAGGAAAGCCCATGGCTATGAAATTAATCCTTTTTTTCTAATCCTTTTCAGTAGACAGCGACAGGATTATCTCTTGGGTTTATACTAACACTTCCAACTCAAATTCACGACTGCAGGGATTTTACTTAACATCTTTTGTTTTAAACTTGCATCTTCTTTCTTTAACACTGAGAATTTGGGTTCTTAATATGACAGAGGATAATAAAATTTGAGTATCCTATAATTTAGTTTATTTACACACATAGGACAGTCTCAACATAATAATACCAATACCATAATTACTAAAAAGGTAAATATATATGTGTGTGTGTGTATATATATATGTGTATGTGAGTGTGTGTATATACATATATATTTGCATGTGATCTCCTGTTCCCCTCTTTTATGCATGTGTGATTATATGTATGTGTGTATGTGTATATATATATATGCACATGTATACACACACAATTGCACTGCATCTATAGTTTTGATCTGTTTTAGTGGCATGTCTTTCTGAAGTTCTTTTATTCTCTATGGGAATGTTCTTTGGCTTCTTATTCTCTCTTTTTATTTAATAATTTTATAGAGATTTGCCCTTGATAAATTCCTTTGATAATTTTTACATAAAAGAAGTTTTACTGAACATTTAGAGAAAGATATGTTTCAGAAGAGCTTCCCTAACTTCACATTCTCGAGCTTTTCCATCAGTTGCTTTTGTGTTACGTTTAAAAATATGGAGATTTTCTTTCTGAAATCTCTTGCCTCTCTTCACAATTTTTATCTAGATTTTATCTTTCCTGTGTTTCTGTTGAACATATGCTGTTCAATGTGAATTTCATTCCCATCAGTTTTGCCTCAGGTAGATCTTTGTACTGGAGAGACCACTGGGCAATGAGATTTGAGATTTCATAGGGCTCAGGTTGCCCAGCCCTCCCAAACCTTGCTGCAGACTTGCCTGCTATTGTAGTGCTATACTTCCACTATCACCCTGCACTATAGTTATTGTTTCACCTTTCTGTAACCCACATTAGATTATAAACCCTGGATGCAAAGTGCCTGTGTTTGCTCATCATCATTGTAAATTTCAGTTTTTGGCTGCTGGCCCTTAGAACTTTCCAAGGAGCCCCTATTTCAGATGCACTATTGCTTCCCTTTGCTTCCTGTGCAAAGATGCTCATTCCATGCAGGTCTTATACCAGTCAGTAGTTTTTCTTCACCAGGTAACATTTTCAGGCTCATAGAAATGCTTTGCCACCTAGTTTTATTTTAGATGCTGACCACAGATTTTTATACCAGTCTCTGTTTTCACAGGGATATTCAGAGAGATTTAAAAAGTATGTCGCAATAAAGATGCAGCATCTTTATCAACAGTTTTTACGAAGCTGAACCTTGTCTCTTTAGTTATAGAATAGAATTCCAGTGGCGCCTCTTAAATATATGGTTTCTAGACCAAAGATTCAGACACATATAAAAAATTCTACTTGGTATGCCAGAAGCCCCTCAAAATCACCAATAATCTCCCAAAACATGCTTTCTTCTGTGTTGCCTACTCAGGGAATTAGAAATGAAATGACAATTGACTCAATTACTCAAACTGGAAACTTTGAGATTATCCTTGGAGTCTTCTCCTCTCTTACTCCAGCATATAATCACTCAGCAAGTCCTGTTGTTTCTATTAAATATATTGAATTCTCTCCAACCTCATTGCTACTATCCAAGTCCTTATTTCACCTGTGCTATGAAAAAAAGCTTCCTAATGAAACTTCCTGCCTCTAGACAGTCCCCGCTTCCACCCACTCCTCATTTTGTGGTATACCTCCTTTGGGTGGTGTGTCTCAAACACAAATTGTATCCTATCTCTCTACTGCTTACAATCCTTAAATATTCAGAATCCTTATGATCTGGCATTGCTTATCTCTTGAAGCTCATTCATTCCTCTGTCTCCTTACAACCTACCATTCAACTATATTGAATTTATTTCAGTCCCGTGAACGATTCAGCTCTATTTCACTTATAGGACATTGTACAAAGATCTCCTCTGCTTTGAACACTGTCCCCTCACTCTGTATCTGAAGAAGTCCTAGTCATCTTTGGTTCTCAATTTAGACGGAATTTGAAATCTGGTCCCCAGATTAGAATGAATTCACCTCCTGTGTACTCATAGCTTCTTTGTTTCCAGTTATTATTTTACTCTCCTATAACCTTCATTAGATTATAAACTTTGGGAAAGAAGTGCCTGAGTTTACTTTACCTTCTAAAACAAGCTTCTAACATGGTCCCTAATATATAGTAAGCATTCAACAAACATTTGCTGAATAAATGAATTGTAGAAAACTGTTATCCATAACTCATGATTCTTTTATTCTCATCATTACCAAATAACTATCCAGGCAGTCAACAATAGAAACGAGTCAGGAGGTGCTGGTTGTGGAAACTGAGTTTTTGAGGGTAGTTCTAGGAGAATTTATAGTTCTGTAACTATATTTCTTACTGATTTTTCTAGCTGGTGTTTTTATTATTATATTTTTCCTTTATTACACTCCTGACACTTGGAGTTATTTTTTCAATATTTGCATTTGCCTCTAGACTTCAAGATCCAAGAGGCTCTTCCAAGAGGAAATTTGTCCTATTTTTAAAAAATTTTTGGTGGTTTTTAAATTAAATAAAACTGTATTTTTAACTATCTGTATGATCACTATAAATAAGGGGAATTTTTTTATTCTGTTCATTCAAAACAATACTTTCTCTAGATTTGTTTCTCCAAACGTATTGTAGTTGTGATCACACTATATTGTTTTCAAAACCACTATTCATAAAAAACTTCTTAGTGGATACATCATATTCTATTATTTGACCTGGAATCATGAGCTGAAATCATTCATCTTTTGATTCAACTGCTCAAACTATTTCTAGGAACATCAGAAATGTTGAACTGCAGTTAACATAAGCCTGAATTTCAAAGAAAACTATTCTGCAACATATTACCTTCAGCTGGGATATAGACTAAAAGAATAGAATATCTCAAAGTTTCTAATCAAAGAACCTCCTGGCACTTCTTAAGAAATTAGTCTCAGGTCACACACCTCTCTCTATTACTTTTAGAATCCCCAAGAGAGGAATGTGCAATTTGTAGTGCCTTTAGTCTTATAAGATGCTAGAGCAGTAGAAAGGACAGTAAACTAGGAGTCACCCAGACATAAAGTCTAGCCCTAGCTAACTCTTACCTAACTCTGAGACCATTCAAAAATTGCTTACTATCTCTAGGCCTCAAGTTTTCATACCACAAAATGTTGATTCTATTTCCTACACTATCTCTTCCATAGGAATGCTGACCAAATGCACTGCAAAATTAAATATATACCACTGTTTTGAAATTTACACAGCCCTACATGGGCATGGTTAAGATCAGACAAAGGGTACAAATCTATCATTTATATTTGCATGGTTTAATCAGTAGCATTGCACTCTTGCTCCTTTTACAGTTATGATGGTAAACTAATTCTAAATGCTTTTGATTGAAATTTTTAATCAAGCAGTGGTAACTCACACATAGGGTGTATTAGTCTGTTCCCACACTGCTAATAAAGACATACCTGAGACTGAGTAATTTATTGGTATTATTATTATTTTGAGATGGAGTCTTACTCTTGTTGCCCAGGCTGGAGTATAATGGTGTGATCTCAGCTCACTGTAATCTTTGCCTCACAGATTCAAGTGATTCTCCTCCCTCAGCCGCCCGAGTAGCTGGGATTACAGGCACCCACTATCTTGCTAGCTAACTTTTTTTTTGTTTTTGTATTTTTAGTAGAGACAGGATTTCATCATGTTGGCCAGGCTGGTCTCGAACTCCTGATCTCAGGTGATCTGCCTGCTTCAGCCTCCCAAAGTGCTGGGATTACAGGCGTGAGCCACCATGCCAGGCCAAGACTGGGTAATTTATAAAGGAAAGAGGTTTAATTGACTCACAGTTCAGCATGGTTGGGGAGGCCTCAGGAAACTTACAGTCATGGCAGAAGGGGAAGCAAACACATCCTTCTTCACATGGTGGCAGGAGAGAGAATGAGAGCCGAGCAAAGGAGGAAGCCCCTTATAAAACCATCAGATCTCATGAGACATTACTCACTGTCACAAGAGTAGCATGTGGGAAACTGCCCCCATGATTCAATTACCTCCCACCAGGTCTCTCCCAACACACATGGGGATTATGGGAACTACAATTCAAGATGAGATTTGGATGGAAACACAGCCAAACCATATCACAGAGCAAAGCTTCTATTTAGATAAAGTCTCAGTTTTCCTTCTCTTCTGAAAGTAACATTTTGGCAAATTATGAGAATCTGCAGAAAGACTGACACCTTCAAAAGCACTGGGGACAGCAAGGGACACAGTGGGTAGCAACTGGTCAGAAGCAGTCCTGCAAGCAATGAAAACATTCTGTGCATCTTGGGTTCATCTGTTGTGTTCCCCAAATTCAACAAACAGCATTTACGGTTCCTTTTTTGTTTTTTTAAGACAAACCTTTTAGCCTGAAGACAACCTTTAAAAGTACTAAAACTCCTAAAAGTATTTAATAGTTGGAGTATGCTTACAAATTTTTTTCATACTTCTCATTAACTGCACCAACACTGGTAAATAGAGCCAATCTTCTACCTCTGTTTCCCTCATTACTGTTTTTCGAGTACTTAAAAATGAAGACCTGCTATGGGATCACAAAGCTTAACTGGTTTAATGGTTTAAAGTAATATATGAAATCTTAAATATTCATATTATATATAATACATAATATTTATAATATATGAAGACTCTGCTATAAGACCCTAAATGACTATTAGTTCTCATGGAGGCAACAGATCATAATGGCAAGAACATAAGATTTGGAGTTAGATAGACAGGGTTTCAAATCTTCAGTCTGCCATTGCTAACTGCAGTGATTTCAGGCAAGGATTTTATGCCCATAGGTGTCAGTTTTCTCATCTGTAAAACAGGAATACTAGTGCCACGTCGGCAGAGTTAGAAGAGATAATTGAGGTATAATAATGGTGCAAAGAAGGTACACATGAAAGATTGGTTCACTTCTCCTATCACTGGAACTGACGTTTTATGTCTTTCATTTACCCTCAAGAGTTTTCTATCTGTTGCTGTATGGCAACTTTCATTCAATTTTGCTGACATGCTGACAAGATAGATTTTTTTCATCTTTCACATTTCAAGCTTTTGTTTGGGAAGCCAGCCTATTGTTCACCTGTGATTGCATTTTCTTTCTGTTTACGGGGAAAAGAAAAGAAATTATCAAACAAGTTAAGGGATCAAAAATAATAATAAAAGTGCCTTTGGCATGAACAAAAAGCATATATCAATTAACGCAGCCCAGTAGAAGTAAAAGCATGTGACTGGTGCCAAGTACTCCACTCACTTCATCTACAACATTGTGTTTGTTGAGAGTCTGCAGTTTGTATGATATCATTCCAGAGGTTTTAAGTACTGAATATCATTTTTAACGCTACCATGTCTCCATTCTCAACACAATTGCCCCTTAATTTTGCTTACTATTTATTTCTGTGTCGTTTCCTTGACCTACACAGCCTTCCTTCTCCCTTTATCCTCCTCCATCTGTCTAAATCCCATTCATCCTCCCAGGTTATGCCTTAAATAATATCCCTCTTTGGAATCTCCCTGCCTGCTTCAAATTCAGTCAGCAATGCCTTTCTCTGCACGTCTCAGTTTCTGAATTTGTGAAATGGAGATGATAATAGTATCTGTCACATAAGATTGTAGTGAAGACACAATACAACAATGCATATAAATCCCTTAGCCAAGCACACTGTGTTTAAAAAAAATGTAGCTATCATATTGTTCATATTTTATCATTACCCTTATCATCATCGTCTTTATTATTATAATACTTCTGCACGTCTGTAGTATTTTGCTTGTACCTTTATCTGGTATTTGCTTTATTCTATCAGATACTAGTGGAAACTGCATGTGTGTTTCCTGTTTAACAATATGCATCTCTGGCAACCAAGAGCAAAACTCTTCCCTTACAATCTTGCCAGTGCCTTGTCCAATGCCTGGTGAAGAGGAGATACGTATCAAATGTTTACTGAAAAAAAAAAATGGACAAATCTTTTTGTTTCCATAAATGAAAATTTTAAGTGTCCTTGTCTGTGGTTTAAATTTAGCAATTCTTACCATAAAATGTGTCTTGAGTATGCAATGTGATTAAAAGAGGATTTTCTATGTTGTCTTTTCTTTATTAAATGTGTTATGGCAAATTAACTTTTCCTCTTGCAAGGTAGTCCCTGGAGACCAAGGATTTGAGAAAAAAAGTGTGTGATTGTGCAGACTTGGAATAACTTATGCTCTCTTCTGCCAGGCCTGACTCTCACTTTGGGAGTTAGCAAGGCAACTTGGGAGGCTCACTCAGGCATTGAGATCCCTCAAGAACTGTGCAGTTCAGGTCTGTCAAACTCGGGGCTGGTTGCTGGGCTGAACGTTTTTTGAAAAATCTGCTTACCTGAACTCATTTCATTAAAAACTCTTAGTCTTTGGAATTTAAGATATTTTTAAAGAGCTGGTGTTATAGTTACAGAAATATTTCTTGCACTAAATAGTATTTTGTTATGCAAGCCTGATTTGTAGATTTAGCAATTGGTTTTAACACATTTAGTAGGGAGGGCCTGGGTTACTCTGTGCTAACCAGTTCCCACGAGTTTGAAGACTGAGGAAGTCAGAAGGATCTGGCTCTAGCTGGAAGGGATATTACTTCTGTTCAGGCTGCCAGTGGAAGACTGGGTCCCCTGGGGTTGGCTGTGGCAGGTGGAGACTGATCTACCGCCTGCACTGAAAGACTCAGCATTCTTATACTTGGGAATCCTTTTTTCTACAGAAGTTGCTAAGAGCATTTTTGAAATTGTATCCTAAAACTGAATTGGAGTTTTGAAACATTAATGGAAGAATCATAATCTCAAACTTTCAAGTGTTATGAGAAGTTGGGAACTTTGACTTGCTCTTTGGAGCAAATAGTCCTTTTTTATAAAACCCATTGCTATAGACTTTTGGTAGTGAAAAGGAAAAAAAAAAGCAAGGAGTCTAAGTAATGTTATTAAAATATCAAATTTATATTCCTTGTGGTGAAGTCTAATCTCTAGATATGACTTCCTTTAGAATTTTTTTCATAAATGTGGATTATAATTACACTTCATTTGAAATTGCTTTCGAAATGTGTATGTGTTCTCATTCAAGCAGTTACCCACAGACAACTGGGATTAGAATCCAGAAGATGACAGGGATAATTCAGGGACATACTCTTATCTTATGCTAGTAGAAGAAGCATAAAGCTGCCGGATGATTTTGATTGCTGACACCCAAAAAGAGCCATATATTAAAGTTGTATCCCTCAGCAATGTTATTCCAAACCAAATTTTCTAGATATGGATGAAAGTGTTGATATTAGGTATTTGTGATGTGATACATAATCCTGAAGGGATAATCCTAGGGTAAGGCCAAGGATAACTACCATGGGTAAAAAGCATTAGTTTTTGTTGTTGTTATTGTTGTTTTTCCTGACAATGAAAACAGTGAGTGTCCCAAAAGCCAATTATCTCAGAAGGAGCAGGATCTAGGCCACAAAATGAGGACTCAGAAAGCAGCTTTGAAGCAGGTGATTATGGCCTTGGACACAAGAGGACCTAGAGCTTGTTCTCTCTCTCTCTCATTTCCAGATAGGTTGGCCAGCTTTCTCCACATGGAAGTAGACTCAGAGCTGGACTGTGAAGTATCCAAGAAGGGTCCCAAGGAAAGGGGCTTGACCTTTATGGATATGAGATCAGTCATATCTACTATCTGGACTTGAGTTCCTGTGTGATGTAATTCTCTCCTGTTATACCAAAGTTTTCAGTAACATTTTGCTGAAGATTTTTGATTGGTTTGGGCAGCATAGTGTGTAAATAATTGTGTCCATGCTTAGCACATTAGTAAAGAAGAAAACAGTTTTCCCCTACCTCACTCCCACTCCTTAACCTCACCTTTTCTGAAATCATTGTTGTGGCTACTGTTCAAAGAAGAACTGATGTCTTGGAAATCTGTGAGATGACATACTAAAAAGTGATCCATGGCAGGGAGAGGACAATGATGTGGATTTAGTCAGCAATGAGGGGACAACCTATTTCCTAAATAGGTAGCAAGATATCTCTACCAAATTGTTAAGAGATACATTTGTTCAGCTCAATTTAGTCATCAAATTTATATTACCTTAGATGTTGTTCTATCTGGCTAACATGAACTCTACCTATTGTTGCTCTAATGATTAACCAAAAACAGAAATTATTTCTTTCTTATGTGTCATATACATAATCAGCTCTCAATAATTTTCTGATAGACTTTTTACTATGTTTTTGATATATACAATAGGATGACATGGTAAATGAAAATCATAATCTCAAAGTTGGTGGGTGAGACTATTATGAAGATCATCCTTATTTTGGAAAATGGTTAAACCCCGCAGATGAGAACAAAGGGGACTACGTGCTCCATGATAATTTCAAAGTCCTGCAAGTTTTAGGAATGAGATAACAACCCACAGGATTTATTGAGAGACGTCATCTTGGCATAGTGAGCACTCCCACCACAGCCACAGCTAATGGACTACTTAATATGTAAAATGGCTGGGAGGGTAACAAAACTTCTGGGGAAAGTGTAGTGTCTCCTTTGTTCCTCTTCTCATGGGCTATGAGAGAATTCTCAAAACTGGTCCCCACTCTCCCACTAGCCTGGAAGATAAGAGGAAGGTCCTTCATGATAAATGTTTTTAAAGTCTGAATGGGATCCCTTCAAGAATGGGATCCTGGCATCAGACTTCATGGTGGTATATCTTCCTAGCTACTGAGCCTGGTGGCATATCTTCCTAGCTACTGAGCCTGGTGGCATCTCCCAGAGCAGTGGAAAGACCACTGGAGGGATGAGGAATCATGATGTCAACAGAAGATAAGCAACGCAACCGCTCCCAAAGTTATGTTTTTGAGGAGTATAAAAGTAGACGCTTTCCTTTCTTCATGCCTTTCTGAATTGGGACCGCAGAGGAATGATGAGCTTGGAGGCTGCAGACTGCTGGGAACCACTACATGGAAAATGGGGGTAGAGTATCAGAGGACCACGGTGTAGGTCCTCCAGCTGGACATCAAAGTTCTTACACAACTATCTGATCACTGAGAATTAGCTCTTAATGACCAGGTCTTATTGAAGAAATTACCAGTCCTTGCAGAACTTATAGATAATGAGCTAAATTTGCAGTACTAATTATCAGAAAAAGAAGAGCAGTCTTGCCATGGCAGGCATGGAAGGAGTTCTTTTTTACTTCCTTACTCTCCTTACTGCTCAAACACCTGGTACAGCTGGTAAGGCCAGAATTATGTAACCCTCAGTATAAAAATGAGAGTATATACCCAGATGAATAAAATCCTTCACCTATAGCAGGAAAAAAGTGTATTTAAAATTCTCAAATGTAAAGTACGACTATAAAATTTTGATGCAGGTGCCACAAATGACATGGAAATCAGCATCGTTAGTATAGAGCAGGGAATAGCAAACTATAGCTTGCAGGCCAAATCTAGCCCATTTTCTGTTTTTCTATGGCCTGTGAGCTAAGAATAGTTTCTCCATTTTAAATGTAAAATTGCAAAATATTAAGGGATTTTATGTCTGGAGTCATGGCATGAGAATCTCTATGGATCTGTTCCTCAGCAAAACAACTATAACTGGTGAAAAACATTAACACCAAAATCAAACAAAAACATTTAAAGCTGCTGGAAAGTGTCTTAATTGTATACACCAAAATGAAGGAACATTTAACGAAGAACATTTACTAAATCTTGGTAAAAATGAGTCAGAGTTTGTGGAACTTGAGCACATGCCACCACCCCCGGCTAATTTTTGTATTTTCAGTAGAGACGGAGTTTCACCATCTTGGCCAGGCTGGTCTCGAACTCCTGACCTCAAGTGATCTGCCTGCCGTGGCCTCCCAAAGTGCTAGGATTACAGGTGTGAGCCACCATGCCCAGCCACAGAGGCTAAATTCTTGTCAAATGTGGCAAAGAGGTCAAGGCTCTCTTTTTCCAGATAACCCCTACTCATAGGGCAGAGGATCTATCTGTGCCAGGCATAGTAGACCACCTCACCTACAAGGCAGAGATTTTATGCCACAATAGACAAGCTGAAATAGCAGAGGTTAACATTACTGCCCAGAGCCCTGTTTGTAAACCAGGAGTATTATTCCTGCTTTCAGCTCTGGAGCATAGCTCTGAGTTTTGTGTAAGGGAAGAGGTAATACAAAAGAACAGAGAACTCTGAGGCTCTCCCCAAAAGAAACTGATTTTATCTGAAACAGTGTAGGGAAGTTCAAGCCTAAAGGCATTCTAAAAGACAATGGAGACTTTAGTGGTATGCAGTTAAGAGGAAGCTGCTAGCTCCATGAGAGCATCAAGTAAATCACAGGACTGCTAGTTTACCAGAGAGAACCAAAAAAAAAATAAAAAAAATAAAAAAAATTAAAAAACCCAGCGAGTCCTCCTGGGATTAAAAGAAACCCCAAAGACTGGCCTCAAAATTTGCCCCTGAAAACGGCCCTGAGTTTAACTGGACTAGCTTGGGGGAAAATTTAAGCCCAAGAGCATTGCCAAAAGCAACAGAGCAATTTGGTGGAAATTAGTGAAGCCTAATAATGTAACAATGAAAGGATCCATGAAGATTTAACTATTAGAAACATATATGCATCTGACAACAGAGGCCCAAAATACACAAGTCAAAACCTGACATAATTAAACTGAGCAACACACAATTCAATAATAAAGCTAAAGACTTTAATACTTCTCCCTCAATGATGGATAGAACAACCAGGCAGAAGACCAATAAAGAACATAGAAAATTTGAATAAGTCTATAAAACTAGACATGACAGACATCTATAACACACTACTCAACAATAGAAGGCTACACATTCTTCTCAAGTGCACATTATTCTCCAAACGATACATATAGTAGGTCATGAAACAAGCCGCAGTAAATTTAAAAGCAACAAAAATCCTCAATAAAATACTGGCAAACCAAATCCAGCAGCACATCAAAAAGCTTATCCACCATGATCAAGCGGGCTTCATGCCTGGGATGCAAGGCTGGTTCAACATACACAAATTAATAAGCGTAATCCAGCATATAAACAGAACCAAAGACAAAACCCACATGATTATCTTAATAGATGCACAAAAAGCCTTTGACAAAATTCAACAGCCCTTCATGCTAAAAACTCTCAATAAATTAGGTATTGATGGGACGTATCGCAAAATAATAAGAGCTATCTATGACAAACCCACAGCCAATATCATACTGAATGGGCAAAAACTGGAAGCATTCCCTTTGAAAACTGGCACAAGACAGGGATGCCCTCTCTCACCACTCCTATTCAACATAGTGTTGGAAGTTCTGGCCAGGGCAATTAGGCAGGAGAAAGAAATAAAGGGTATTCAATTAGGAAAAGAGGAAGTCAAATTGTCCCTGGTTTGCAGATAACATGATTGTATATTTAGAAAACCCCATCATCTCAGCCCAAAATCTCCTTAAGCTGATAAGCAACTTCAGCAAATCCTCAGGATACAAAATCAATGTACAAAAATCACAAGCATTCTTATACACCAATAACAGACAAACAGAGAGCCAAATCATGAGTGAACTTCCATTCACAATTGCTTCAAAGAGAATCAAATACCTAGGAATCCAACTTACAAGGGATGTGAAGGACCTCTTCAAGGAGAACTACAAACCACTGCTCAGTGCAATAAAAGAGGATACAAACAAATGGAAGAACATTCCATGCTCATGGATAGGAAGAATCAATATCGTGAAAATGGCCATACTGCCCAAGGTAATTTCTAGATTCAATGCCATCCCCATCAAGCTCCCAATGACTTTCTTCACAGAATTGGAAAAAACTAAGGTTCATATGGAACCAAAAAAGAGCCCGCATTGCCAAGTCAATCCTAAGCCAAAAGAACAAAGCTGGAGGCATCACACTACCTGACTTCAAACTATACTACAAGTCTACAGTAACCAAAACAGCATGGTACTGGTACCAAAACAGAGATATAGACCAATGGAACAGAACAGAGCCCTCAGAAATACTGCCATGTATCTACAACTATCTGATCTTTGACAAACCTGGCAAAAACAAGAAATGGGGAAAGGATTCCCTATTTAACAAATGGTGCTGAAAAACTGGCTAGCCATAAGTAGAAAGCTGAAACTGGATCCCTTCCTTACACCTTATACAAAAATTAATTCGAGATGGATTAAAGACTTAAATGTTAGACCTAAAACTATAAAAACCCTAGAAGAAAACCTAGGCAATACCATTCAGGACATAGACATAGGCAAGGACTTCATGTCTAAAACACAAAAAGCAATGGCAACAAAAGCCAAAATTGACAAATGGGATCTAACTGAACTAAAGAGCTTCTGCACAGCAAAAGAAACTACCATCAGAGTGAACAGGCAACCTACAGAATGGGAGAAAACTTTTGCAATCTACTCATCTGACAAAGGGCTAATATCCAGAATCTACAAAGAACTCAAACAAATTTACAAGAAAAAAACAAACAATCCCATCAAAAAGTGGGTGAAGGATATGAACAGACACTTCTCAAAAGAAGGCATTTATGCAACCAACAGACACATGAAAAAATGCTCATCATCACTGGCCATCAGAGAGATGCAAATCAAAACCACCATGAGATACCATCTCACACCAGTTAGAATGGCAATCATTAAAAAGTCAGGAAACAACAGGTGCTGGAGAGGATGTGGAGAAATAGGAACACTTTTACACTGTTGGTGGGACTGTAAACTAGTTCAACCATTGTGGAAGACAGTGTGGCGATTCCTCAGGGATCTAGAACTGGAAATACCATTTGACCCAGCCATCCCATTACTGGGTATATACCCACAGGATTATAAATCATGCTGCTATAAAGACACATGCACACGTATGTTTATTCTGGCACTACTCACAATAGCAAAGGCTTGGAGCCAACCTAAATGTCCAATAATTATAGACTGGATTAAGAAAATGTGGCACATATACACCATGGAATACTATGCAGCCATAAAAAGGGATGAGTTCATGTCCTTTGTAGGGACATGGATGAAGCTGGAAACCATCATTCTCAGCAAACTATCGCAAGGACAAAAACCAAACACCACATGTTCTCACTCATAGGTGGGAATTGAACAATGAGAACACATGGACACAGGAAGGGGAACATCACACACCAGGGCCTGTTGTGGGGTGGGGGGATGGGGGAGGGATAGCATTAGGAGATATACCTAATGTAAATGATGAGTTAAAGTCACATGTATACATATGTAACAAACCTGCATGTTGTGCATAAGTACCCTAGAATTTAAAGTATAATAAATATATATATATTTAAAAAAAGCATTGCAATCATACAAAGTATGTTCTCCAATCACAATAGACAGAAATTAGAAATCAATAACAGAAATAAATTTGGGAAGTTCACCAATATGTGAAAATTAACACACTCTTGAAAAACCCATGAGCAAAGAAGAAAACAAAGAAAATTAAGGCATACTTTGATATAAATAAATATGAAAACAATATAGTAAAATTCATATGATGCAACTAAAGCAGTGCTCAGGGATAAATTTATAGCTGAAAATGCCTATAAGTCAATTCTTGACTTACAATGACTTAACAATGATTTTTCCATGTTATGATGGGTTTATCCAGATGTAATCCCATTGTAAGTTTAGGAGCATCTGGACTTACAATGGTTTGACATGATTTTTGACTGTATGCCAAAGTAGCAAGAAGCCTAACGTTAATCCCCAAGACCATGAGGAAAATGTAACCTGGGCAAGTCAGAGACCTTCACAGCAGCCCCTCTCATCACAGGCCCAGAGCCCCAGGAGGAAAAAGTGGTTTTGTGGGCCAAGCCCAGGGTCCCCATGCTGTGTGCAGCCTAGGGACTTGGTGCCCTGTGTCCCAGCCTCTCCAGCTGTGTCTGAAAGGGGCCAGCATACAGTTTGGGCTGTGGCTTCAGAGGTTGGAAGCCCCAAGCCTTGGTAGCTTCCACGTGGTGTTGAGCTGCGAGTGCAAAGAAGTCAAGAATTGAGGTTTGGGAACTTCTGCCTAGATTTCAGAAGATGTATGGAAATGTGTGAATGTCCAGGCAAAACTTTGCTGCAGGAGTGGGGCCCTCATGGAGAATCTCTGCTAGGGCAGTGCAGAAGGGAAATGTGGGGTTGGAACCCCCACACAGAGTCCCTACAGGGGCACTGCCTAATGGATCTTTGAGAAGAAGGCCGCTGTCCTCCAGGCCCCAGAATGATAGGTTCACTGACAGCTTGCACCATGCACCTGGAAAAGCCACAGACACTCAACACCAGCCAGCAAAAGCAGCCTGGAGGGAGGCTGTACCCTGCAAGCCACAGGGGCAGAGCTGCCCAAGACCATGGGAACCCACCTCTTGCATAGGCATGACCTGGATGTGAGACATGGAGTCAAGGGAGATCATTTTGGAGCTTTAAAATTTGACTGCCCTGCTGGATTTCAGACTTGCATGAGCCTTGTAACCCCTTTGTTTTGGCCAATTTCTCCCCCTTTGGAATGGCTGTATTTACCCAATACGTGTACCCCCGTTGTATCTACGAAGTAAGTAACTTGCTTTTGATTTTACAGGCTTATAGGCAGAAGGGACTTGCCTTGTCTCAGATGAGACTTTGGACTGTGAACTTTCAAGTTAATGCTGAAATGAGTTAAGACTTTGGGGGACTGTTAGGAAGGCACGACTGGTTTTGAAATGTGAGGACAGGAGGTTTGGAGGGGTCGGGGGGGGAATGATATGGCTTGGCTGTGTCCCCATTCAAATCTCAACTTGAATTTTATCTCCCAGAATTCCCACATGTTGAGGGAGGGACACAGCGGGAGGTAACTGAATCATGGGGGCCAGTCTTTCCCTTGCTATTCTCATGATTGTGACTAAGTCTCACAAGATCTCATAGGTTTATCAGGGCTTTCTGCTTTTGCTTCCTCTTCATTTTCTCTTGCCACTATGTAAAAAGTGCCTCTCACCTCCTGCCATGATTCTGAGGCCTCCCAACCATGTGGAACTGTAAAACGGACTAGTACACTGGCCAAACACAAAATATAGAAGGCTCAAATTACCAAAATGAGGAATAAAAGAGGGCACATAACTATCATACTTAAGATATAAAAGTAATTATAAGGTGGCCATACGATGACTCACACCTGTAATCCCAGCACTCTGGGAGGCCAAGGCAGGTGGATTGCCTGAGGTCAGGAGCTCAAGGCCAACCTGGCAAACATGGCGAAACCCCATCCCTACTAAAAGATACAAAAATTATTTGGGCCTGGTGGTGTGTGCTTGTAGTCCTAGCTACTTGGGAGGCTGAGGCAGGAGAATCTCTTGAGCCCGAGAGGTGGATATTGCAGTAAGCCAAGATCATGCCACTGCACTCCAGCCTGGGCAACAGAGCAAGACTCCTCAAAAAAAAAAAAGTAATTATAAGAAAATGCTATGAACAATTGCATGCTAACAAGTTAGATCAGTTAGTTGAAATGGATAAATTCCTAAGAAGACACAACTACCAAAACTGAGCTCAAGAAGCATTAGAAAATTGTAATAGATGTCTAACAAATAGAGAGATTGAGCCAGTAAACAAATAAACAAAAAAATCACAAAAGAAAGCTCAGGGACAGATAAATTCACCAGGGAATTCTAACAACTATTTAAAGAAAAATTAACACCAATACTTCACAAATTCTTCTAAAAAATAAAAGAAGAGGGAATATTTTCCAACTCATTCTTTGTAACCAGTATTATCCTAATACCAAAACCAGATAAAGACATCACAAGAAATGGAATCTACAGACCAATATCCTTGTGAACACAAACACAAAACTCCTCAAGAAAATACTAGCAAACAAATTTAGCTGAAAATGAAGTGATTATACACCATGACCAAGTGGGATCTATCACCAAATGCAAGGCTGCTTCAACATATGAAAATCAATCAATGTAATTCACCATATTCATAGAAGAACAAAGACCACTTTATAACCTAAATAGATGCAGAAAAAGCATCTTCCTCAACCTGATAAAGGGCCACTAACCCACAGCTAACATCATAATTATAATGAAAAAACAAAACCAATTCACATAAGTTTAATAACAAGACAGGGATGTCCCCTGTCACCACTTCTATTGAACTTTGTACTAAAGATTTTAAACAAACTAATTCAACAAGTGAAAGAAATAGAAGTCATCCAGATTGAAAAGTAATAAGTAAAACTATATTAACAGATATCGTATTGCATATACAAAATCCTAGGAATGCACTAAAAGTATTAGAAGTAATAAACAAGTTCACTAAGGTTGCAGGATACAAGATCAATGTACAAAATTAAATTGTAATTCTTTTTTTAAGTATTTTGCTTATTTTGAGGAGTAAAGATTATATATATGGTGTTTAACGTGTTTAGTCGTATGTATACATTGTGTAATGGCTAAATCAAGCTACTTAATGTATGCATTGCCTCACTTACTTGTCATTTTTTGTGATAAGAATACTTCAAATATATTCTTTTAGCAATTTTCTTTTAGCAATTTTCAAGTATGTAATATATCGGTATTAACTGTACCTGACATACAGTAGATCTCTTGAACTTATTTCTCATGTTCAACAGAAATTTTGTGTCATTTGGTCAACATTTCCTCAATTTCCCCACCCCCTTCTGATAACCACCATTTTACTCTGCTTCCATGAGTTCAACTGTCTTATACTCCAAATATGAGATCATGTGGTATCTGTGTCTGGCTTATTTCTCTTAACATAATGTCCTTCAGATTCATTCATGTTGCCACAAAAGAAAAATATTTCCCTCCTTTTAAAGGTGGAATGGTATTCCATTTTCTATAAATATACCACATTTTCTTTATTCATCCATTGATGGACACAGATTGATTCCACATCTTAACTATTTCCAACTATATTCCCAGTATATTTCTATATACTACAATGAACAACTCAAAAATTAAATTAATAAAACAAATAATTTCATTTACAAAGCATCAAAAAGAATAAAAACTAAGGAATAATATTAACCAAAAAAGTCAAAAGTTAAATTCTGAAAACAACATAATATTGTTGAAAGAAATTAAAGAAGACCTAAATAAAAGGTATTTTATTTCATGGACCAGAATATTTAACATTGTTAAGATGACAATGCTCCCAAAATTGATCGATAGATTAAATGCAATCTCTATCAGAATTCTAGCTGGCTTTTTTGCAGTAATTACTAAGTTGCTTCCAAAATGCACGTGGAAACTAGAGGGACCCATAATAACCAAAACAAAATGATCTTAAAACAGAAGAACAAAGTTGAAGGACTCACACTTCTCAATTTCAAAGCTTACTACATAGCTACACTAGTCTATGCAGTGCTAGCATAAGGATAGATAAACAGATTAATTGAATGAGGGATTCCAAAGATAAATCCATGTACATATATGGTCAACTGACTTTGACAAGGGTGCCAAATAATTCCATGGGGAAATAAGCCTTTTTGACAAATGGTACTGGGACAGATATCCACATGGAAAATAATAAAGTCAGGTGCTTATCTCACATCATACACAAAAATTAACTTAATGGATTCTAGATCCAAATATAAGAACTAAGATTATAAAATGCTCAGAGGAAAAGAGAGACATCATCTTCATGACCTTGGATTAGGCAACAGTTTCTCAGATAGGACACCTAAAACCCAAGTAATAAAAGAAAAAACAGATAAATTGAACTTCATCAAAATTAAAACTTTTGTACTTCAAAGGAAGAAAGGATAAATGAGAAGATAAAATGAGAGAAAAGATTTGCAAATCATATATCTAATAAGTGGCTTGCATTAAAAAAAATATAAGAAACTCCAACAACTCAAAAATAAAAAGACAAATACCCAATTTAAAATATCAAAGGATCCGGCTAGAAATTTCTCCAAAGAAGATATTCAAAAGGCCAATAATCCCATGAAAAGATGCTCAACACCATTAGTCATTAGTAGAATGATAATCAAAACCAAGTGATACCACTTGATTTGTGTTGGGATGGCTGTAATTAAAAAAAAAAGATGGAGAATAACAAGTGTTAGCAAGGATTTAGAGAAAGGGGAAATTTCATACACTACTGGTATGAATGTAAAATGGTACAGCCACTTTGGAAAATGGTCTGGCCATTCATCCAAATTTAAACAAGGAATAACTATGGGATCCAGCAATTCTACTCCTAGGTATATATCCAAGAGAATTGAGAATGCATGTCCACACAAACACACACAAAAAAACTTGTATACTAATATTAACAGCAGCATTATTCATAATAGCCAAAAAGTAGAAGCAACTCAAATGCCTGTTGGTTAATAAATAGGTAAATAAAATGTGGTATATCCATACAATGGAATATTACTTGGCAATAAAAAAAAGCAATTACGGACACACATTATAACACAGAGTAAGCTTGAATACATTATGTTAAGTGAAAGAAACCAGCTACAAAAGATCATGTATTATATGATTCTATTTATATAAAACATCCAGGATAGGAAAATATATGGAGACATAAAATAGATTAGTGGTTACCTAAGACTAGGGGGTTTTGAGTAAAAATTGGTTGTGACTGCTATTAGGTACAAGGTTATTTTGGGGGTGATGAAAATGTTTGCACAACTCTGTGCAAACATCACCACAATAAATTTTAGAACAACCGTTGCATTTCACACTTTAAGTTGGAGAACTGTATAGCATGTGAATTATGTCTGAATAAAGCTATTATTTAAAAAAAAAAAAAGATGATTAGCTTTTGGTGAGAAAAGTTGCTCCAACTGTTGAGGGCACTGCCTCTTGCATTGCAAGGTCTAAAATAATTACTCTCCACCCCTTTATGGAAAAAGTTTTCCCATCCCACTATAGAGTCCCACCTCATGTGGGAAAGTAATATGGTTCATGTAAATAGAGAATGAGAGTGTGTATTATAATATTATTGGGGTCTTAGAACATTTTTAAAGCAAAAAATGGTAAAGAAACACTTGACAGGTAAAATTATTAGCACAGCCTTTTCAGATGATGTTAGACTTGAGACAGAGTTCTAAAAATACATATTTAAGAAGAAAAGATTACATTTTACTCTCCTTGGTACTTTATTTATTCCTTAAAGTCATCCTAAATGGGCATGTCCATGTTTTCCTGAGAATTTGTATGAATTCTAATTTTTATTCACTGAGATTTGCAGGAGGGTATAGAAGAGAAAGAAGGACACTAATCAGACATTTAGAAGCAACAATCGGTATTTTTTGCTTCAAGGAAGAGAGAGTGTGCTAGGAGCAATGGTTGATCTTGAGTGGAAGGTGAAGTTAACCACCTATCGCCTTTTAGTTGTTAGAATATGTCCCATTAATTTGAACTTGGCTCTCCCTCTTTTTCAATGACTCTTTGGATATCATCAAATGAAAGTGCTGTTCATTTTTCATAAAGAGGATCAGCCAAGTGTTTCTGTTGTTGTCGTTGTTGTTGTTTTTGAGACAGAGTCTCGCTCTGTCGCCCAGACTGGCGTGCAGTGGCATGATCTCAGCTCACTGCAACCTCTGCCTCCTAGGTTCTAAGCGATTCTCCTGCCTCAGCCCCCAGAGTAGCTGGGATTACAGGCACACACCACCATGCCCGGCTAATTTTGTATTTTTAATAGAGACGGGGTTTCACCATGTTGGCCAGGCTGGTCTTGAACTTCTGACCTCAGGCGATTCACCCACCCAGCCCAAGCAAGTATTTTATTGTGCATAGCTCTAGCTTTCAGTTATAGGTCTCTCTGCATAACGGAGGAGTTGCTGGGGCCATCAGAATTTGTCATCTACTAATGGTCTCATCACAGTTATACCTCTGGGTTTAGAGCTGGGGCTGGGATCTTGGGAAAAGGAAAGGGAGAAACTGAGGCCATTCTCACTCAAGTCCAAATTTAGAAGGCCTCTATGGCCAACATCAAATGCCAGATTATAAGAGAGGACACCTTATTTGAATCTGTATAAAATCTCAAATTCTTAAAAGTCATGATGTCTAAAAGAAGAAAAATACAAAGGCATAGTAATAATTATATTTTTAAGGTCATGCCACCAGCCATGTCACCAGCCAAATGAAGAATTGGAAATAGTTTCAGACATCTGCCCAACTAGACCAATTATAATATCCCTTTTATTTACCTCGAAAAAAAAATCTGTGATGAATAGAGAAAGCGGTACAAGCATGGAAACAAGCATCCGAGGTTAAGAAGAAAAGGCACATACAAGGTAAAAGCCCTTCCCAGTGCATCTGTGACAAAAGACATCTGTGCAACTTGGTCTACAAAGTGGCTGTGATAATTCAGAGAAATTATTTAGCACTCAGGAAAACATTGCCACCGAATGATGGAGGGGTCTGGCAGAGAAATTGTCAAAAGACTGGCATCAATCACAGTTAAGTGTGGTGTCTCCACTGATTACATGTACCCTGCAGCGAGCCTGCCAAAACAGATCTCTCATACTGCAATGACACGTTGATAGGTGAATGTGAGAATGACTGATGGGGCGGCCTGCCCACATGTGGGACTAGAAGGAGTGAATTGCCATTGCTGAGTGCTTAAATGCAGAGTAATTCTTTGTGATCCAGGAACCAATTCCTTGAAGCTAAATGTACACAAGGAGAAAGAGAAGACGTCCTGTGGCCTGGCTTTCCATGTGAGCTTATCTTCATTATTTGCCAGGGAAACCAAAGGTTTGGATGGCCCAAGATTTGTCTAAAGTATCCTAAGAATCTACAAAAACAAAGAACAAAACAAAACAAAAAAAACTCTTAGAATTTTTCTGATTCAAACCCATAAAATGTTTATTATGTTTTCTTTTTTTATTATTATACTTTAAGTTTTAGGGTACATGTGCACAATGTGCAGGTTTGTTACATATGTATACATGTGCCACATTGGTGTGCTGCACCCACTAACTCATCATTTAACATTAGGTATATCTCCTAATGCTTTATACTTTTTAATGAACGTAAGAATGATAGCAACTACCACATTTTGACAATCATTTCTGTGCTATATACATTATATATTAATTCAAACCTAACACCCACCTTACTAGTTAGATATTAATAAGCCCATTGTATAGCTGTGGCAAACGAAGTCCACAGAAATTATGTTATTGGACTGAGGCCACCCAGCCTGTGAGTAATACTCTGTCCCTTGAATTCAGAAATGCCTGACTCCGATGACAGTTCTCTGCCCACTTTGTCACACTACCTTTTCTCAAAAAACTGTTTATAATATTCTCTACACTGGGTCTCTTAAGAGATTACATAAGCAGTGATGCCTCAGTTTTGAAGTCATTGTTTTGAACAATTAAGCTTCCCATAGGTGCGAAAACTCAAATAATAGTTCTCTTGTTCACTACCAACCTCAGTCTCTTTAGAATTCACTTCGTGAGGTTAAACCTAATTAGGCCTGTTCATGTCCTACATTAGGCAGAAGAGCAAGCAAGCAATAGCTCATATACCTATTAATTGTTTATCAGATTTACTGTGGTCTAAATCAGTGCTGTCTAACAAAAATAGAATGCAAGTCACAAGTGTTAGTCATACAATATCATTTTAATTATTCTAGAATTTTTTTAAATAAAACACATAGAATTTATTTTAATTACATATTTAATTTAACCAAATATACTCAAAGGTTATTTCAAAATGTAGTCAATATAGAAAGACATTGTTCACTTTTTTTTGTTATGTCTTTGAAGTCTCATAAGCAGAACATTTCAATTTGTACTGGCTACATTTCAAGTGGTTAATAGCCACATGTGGCCAATGGCTACCAGTGGACAGCATAGTCTTGATAGTTCTTGGCTTAACTGACCCAACTCCCTATATTCAGACCATACCTCTACTTTATCTAGAGATCCATTTATCTATCAACTGATTGATTTATTGATACATCTTCTCAAAGAATTTGAGAAGAGCTGGCACTTCTCTAAATATCCTCTGTCTTACCTATCTGTTCTTAGGCTCTGGTTAACTTCAAACTCCTAAAACCCTGACTTTGATGTAAAGTCAGAACCTCTTCCTCTTCTTCTGAGTTTAGCTGTCTGGCTACCACCCTGAAGATTCTGCCTGACCCTAAGAAAACTGTTAGCTTTCTTTTCACTTAATTGTACTTTTTTTGTAATGTGCACAAATCATAAGTGGGAGGCTCAATGCACTCTCACAAAGTGAGCTTACCTAAGCAACTAGTACCCAGATCAACAAATCTTGCCAGCACTCTGAAAACTCTCTTGCATGCTCTTCAGTCATTGCCACCTCCAAGGAAACCACCATCCTAACTTTTAACACTGCAGATTCATTTTGTCTGCTTTAATATTACATAAGTGGACTCTTTTAGGGTTTACTCTTCTTTCAGTTACATTATACATGTGAGATTCATCCATGTTGTATGTAGTTATAGTGTTTTCATTCTTATTGTTGCAAAATATCCTATTGTATGACCATACATACATACAACAGCTTGTTCGTCTATTCTACTGTTGATGTATATTTGAGTTGTTCTAGTTTCTATAATAAGTCATGCTGCTATAAAGATTTTTTAACATGCCTTTGGTAGGAAAAAAAATGCCCACATTTGTGTATGTGTGTGTTTGTGTGTATGTGCACAATGGCTGGATCATCATATAAGGTGATTGTCTTAGGCAGAATAATTGTCCTCCACACATAGCAGGTCCTAATTTCCAGAGCCTGTAAATTTCACCTTATGAGAAAGAAGGATCTTTGCAGATATGATTAAATTAAGGGTTTGGATGTAGAGATTACTCTTCAGGTCCTAAATGCAATCACATGTATCCTTACAAGACAGAAGCCAGATGGGGACTTTACATATGCAGCGGAGATGAGAAGGAGATTTGAAGAGGAAGCAGAGACTGGCATGATGTGGCCACAGGCAAAGAATGCCAGCAGCCACTAGAAGCTGGAGGAGGCAAGATAATTCTCCCCTATAGCCTCTGGAGGAAGCCTGGCTCTGCCAACACTAGTTTTGGACCAATGGTACTGATTCCAGGCTTCTGGGATTCAGAACTACAAGAGAATAAATTTCTGCTCTTTTAAACCACCCAGGCCGGCCTCGGTGGCTCATGCCTGTCATCCCAGTATTTTGGGAGGCCCAAGGCAGGCGGACCACGAGGTCAGGAGATCGAGATCATCCTGGCCAACATGGTGAAACCCCGTCTCTACTAAAATACAAAAAATTAGCCAGGCGTGGTGGCCTGCACCTGTAGTCCTAGCTACTTGGGAGGTTGAGGCAGGGGAATCGCTTGAACCCAGAGGCGGAGGTTGCAGCGAGTCAAGATCATGCTACTGCACTCCAGCCTGGTGACAGAGTGAGACTCTGTCTCTAAATAAATACATAAACAAACAAACCAACCACCCAATTTGTGGTAATTTGTTGCAGGACACTAATGCAGTGTTAAGTACTTTTCCCAATTGACAGTTATCTGTTTAAGAGAAAAAAAAAAACTTAGTTATCTAATTGCCAACAATATAAAAATGCAAAATATTAATATATAATATACACTCTAAAGAGGAAAGTTAAAAAGGAAACAATCTTGGCCAGGCATGGTGGTATGTGCCCACCTACTTGAGAGGCTGAGGCAGAAGGATCACCTGAGCTCACGAGTTCAAGGTTACAATGAGCTATGATTTTACTCTTGCACTCCAGCCTGGGTAACAGAGTGAGACCCTGTCTCAAAAAAAGAAAAGAGAGAGTAAGAAACTATCTACAGAGTAAAATTATTTACCTTGGTCACTATCCGTGACTCTTCTCAACTACTATTTCACCAACTGGCTTTATCCCCAGAGTTCACTGTGATGCTGCCCAGAACCTTACTATTTCCTTTAAATTTGGGAGAAGAGAAGCCTAGGTGACTGGTAATTTGCCCCAATACTTTCTATTCTATAACAGACTCTCTGTTTTTGAGTGGAAAGTTTTATTAGTTGGGGTAAAATATATGAACCATAAGTTTACCATTTTAACCATCTTAAGTATATAGTTTAGTGATATTAAGCGTATTTACAATTTTGTGCAATCATCACTACTGTCCATTTCCAGAACATTGTCATCATCTCAAACAGAAACTCCATACCTCTGCATTTCTGTCTTCCACCAACCCCTGGTAACCTCTCTCGTACTTTCTGTCTCTATGAATTGGTTTATTCTAGGTATCTCATTTAAGCAAAATCATACAATATTTGTTTTTTGTGTCTGGCTTATTTTATATACTATAATATTTTCAATTCATGTTGTAGTGTGTATCTAAATTCCCTTCCTTTTTAAGTCTGAATAATATTATATGTGTATACCAAATGTATTTATATATTCATATGTTAATGGGCATTTGGGCTGTTCTCACCTTTTGGCTATTGTGCATATATGTTGGTGTACAAGTATCTACTTGAGTCCCTGCTTCCAATTATTTGGGGTATATGCCTAGAAGTGGAATTACTGGGTCATATGGTAATTCTATGTTTAACTTTTTCAGGCACCTCTGTGCTGTTTTCCACAGTGGCAGCACCATTTTGCATTTCCAGGAACAATGCATGGGGATTGCAATTTCTCCACATCCTCACTAATGCTTCTTATTTCCTGGTGCTTTGATAATAGCCGTCCTAATGGGTGTGAGGTGGTAACTCATTGTGTGATTGGCATTTCCTTAGTGATTAGAGATATAGAGCATCTTTTCATGTGCTCATTGGCCATTTGAAAAATGTCTATTCAACTCCTTTGCCCATTTTTGTATTAGGTTGTTGTTTGTTCTTATTGTTGTTGCTGAGCGGAATATCTTTTTCTAAGTGGAAAGTAAGTTAGACTAAAAATCCAAAAATAACCATATATAATAGTCAATTAGTGTCATTTACTGCCCTTTTATTTTACATATGAAAAATCTTGAAGGGAGGCTTGAAGGAGATGAGTGACAAAAGGATAGCACCAAGTGACTCCAAGTGGCATGGATAGCAAGTATTTCCTAAGCCCTTTGAACAGCCTGGTCTTTATGTTTAATAACCCATGGAAAAAAACAGCAGTTCTTCGTGTATCCTCTCCTCTCTACTTTGACTGAAAGACCACCTAATGCCAAAACTTGAGATAAATATAAACAAATGATAGGGCTTCCACTCATAGAACACCCTGGCTGTATACCCTACCTCTGGTTCTGAATCAGTTAAAAAAAAACTAGGCCAATATTCATAGACCTCTTTCTGGTTCTGAAAAGTACTCTTTCCCCATTTTTCCTTCCCAATCTCCATGGTCCAATAACAAGGCAGATATTAGAAATCCCAGAAAGCAAATGATAAGAAGCCAGATGGAAATTAATGATAATACAAATATTCTAAGAATTATTGTAGATTTATTTTATATATATATATATATATTTTTAATTATACTTTAAGTTCTAGGGTACATGTGCACAATGTGCAGGTTTGTTACACTTGTATACATGTGCCATGTTGGTGTGCTGCACCCATTAACTCATCATTTAGCATTAGGTATATCTCCTAATGCTATCCCTCCCCATCCCCCCACCCCACAACAGGTCCCGGTGTGTGATATTCCCCTTTCTGTGTCCAAGTGTTCTCATTGTTCAATTCCCACCTATGAGTGAGAACATGTGGTGTTTGATTTTTTGTCCTTGCGATAGTTTGCTGAGAATGGTGGTTTCCAGCTTCATCCATGTCCCCACAAAGGACATGAACTCATCCTTTTTTTATGGCTGCATAGTATTCCATGGTGTATATGTGCCACATATTCTTAATCCAGTCTATCATTGTTGGACATGTGCGTTGGTTCCAAGTCTTTGCTATTGTGAATAGTGCTGCAATAAACATACGCGTGCATGTGTCTTTATAGCAGCATGATTTATAATCCTTTGGGTATATACCCAGTAATGGGATGGCTAGGTCAAATGGTATTTCTAGTTCTAGATCCCTGAGGAATCGCCACACTGACTTCCACAATGGTTGAACTAGTTTACAGTCCCACCAACAGTGTAAAAGTGTTCCTATTTCTCCACATCCTCTCCAGCACCTGTTGTTTCCTGACTTTTTAATGATTGCCATTCTAACTGGTGTGAGATGGTATCTCACTGTGGTTTTGATTTGCATTTCTCTGATGGCCAGTGATGATGAGCATTTTTTCATGTGTCTGTTGGCTGCATAAATGTCTTCTTTTGAGAAGTGTCTGTTCATATCATTCACCCACTTTTTGATGGTGTTGTTTGTTTTATTCTTGTAAATTTGTTTGAGTTCATTGTAGATTCTGGATATCAGCCCTTTGTCAGATGAATAGATTGTAAAAATTTTCTCCCATTCTGTAGGTTGCCCGTTCACTCTGATAGTAGTTTCTTTTGCTGTGCAGAAGCTCTTTAGTTTAATTAGATCCCATTTGTCAATTTTGGCTTTTGTTGCCATTGCTTTTGGTGTTTTAGACATGAAGTCCTTGCCCATGCCTATGTCCTGAATGGTATTGCCTAGATTTTCTTCTAGGGTTTTTATGGTTTTAGGTCTAAGATTTAAGTCTTTAATTCATCTTGAATTAATTTTTGTATAAGGTGTAAGGAAGGGATCCAGTTTCAGCTTTCTACATATGGCTAGCCAGTTTTCCCAGCACCATTTGTTAAATAGGGAATCCTTTCCCCATTTCTTGTTTTTGTCAGGTCTGTCAAAGATCAGATGGTTGTAGATATGTGACATTATTTCTGAGGGCTCAGTTCTGTTCCACTGGGCTATATCTCTGTTTTGGTACCAGTACCATGCTGTTTTGGTTACTGTAGCCTTATAGTATAGTTTGAAGTCCGGTAGTGTGATGCCTCCAGCTTTGTCCTTTTGGCTTAGGATTGACTTGGCAATGCGGGCTCTTTTTTGGTTCCATATGAACTTTAAAGTAGTTTTTTCCAGTTCTGTGAAGAAAGTCATTGGTAGCTTGATGGGATGGCATTGAATCTAGAAATTACCTTGGGCAGTATGGCTATTTTCACAATATTGATTTTTCCTACCCATGAGCATGGAATGTTCTTCCATTTGTTTGTATCCTCTTTTATTGCACTGAGCAGTGGTTTGTAGTTCTCCTTGAAGAGGTCCTTCACATCCCTTGTAAGTTGGATTCCTAGGTATTTGATTCTCTTTGAAGCAATTGTGAATGGGAGTTCACTCATGATTTGGCTCTCTGTTATTGGTGTATAAGAATGCTTGAGATTTTTGCACATTGATTTTGTATCCTGAGACTTTGCTAAAGTTGCTTATCAGCTTAAGGAGATTTTGGGCTGAGACGATGGGGTTTTCTAGATATACAATCATGTCATCTGCAAACAGGGACAATTTGACTTCCTCTTTTCCTAATTGAATACCCTTTATTTCTTTCTCCTGCCTGATTGCCCTGGCCGGAACTTCCAACACTATGTTGGATAGGAGTGGTGAGAGAGGGCATCCGTGTCTTGTGCCAGTTTTCAAAGGGAATGCTTCCAGTTTTTGCCCATTCAGTATGATATTGGCTGTGGGTTTGTCATAAATAGCTCTTATTATTTTGCGATACGTCCCATCAATACCTAATTTATTGAGAGTTTTTAGCATGAAGGGCTGCTGAATTTTGTCAAAGGCCTTTTCTGCATCTATTGAGATAATCATGTGGTTTTTGTTGTTGGTTCTGTTTATATGCTAGATTACGTTTATTGATTTGCAAATGTTGAACCAGGCTTGCATCCCAGGGATGAAGCCCACTTGATCATAGTACGTAAGCTTTTTGATGTGTTGCTGGATTCGGTTTGCCAGTATTTTATTGAGGATGTTTGCAGCAATGTTCATCAGGGATATTGGTCTAAAATTCTCTTTTTTTGTTGTGTCTCTACCAGGCTTTGGTGTCAGGATGATGCTGGCCTCATAAAATGAGTTAGGCAGGTTTCCCTCTTTTTCTATTGATTGGAATAGTTTCAGAAGGAATGGTACCAGCTCCTCCTTGTACCTCTGGTAGAATTCGCCTGTGAATCCGTCTGTTCCTGGACTTTTTTGGTCAGCAAGCTATTAATTATTGCCTGAATTTCAGAGCCTGTTATTGGTCTATTCAGAGATTCAACTTCTTCCTGGTTTATTCTTGGGAGGGTGTGTGTGTCGAGGAATTTATCCATTTCTAGATTTTCTAGTTTATTAGCATAGAGGTGTTTATAATATTCTCTGATGGTAGTTTGTATTTCTGTGGGATCGGTGGTGATATCCCCTTATCATTTTTTATTGTGTCTATTTGATTCATCTCTCTTTTCTTCTTTATTCGTCTTGCTAGTGGTCTATCAACTTTACCGATCTTTTCAAAAAACCAGCTCCTGGATTCATTGATTTTTTGAAGGGATTTTGTGTCTCTATTTCCTTCAGTTCTGCTCTGATCTTAGTTATTTCTTGCCTTCTGCTAGCTTTTGAATGTGTTTGCTCTTGCTTCTCTAGTTCTTTTAATTGTGACGTTAGGGTGTCAACTTTAGATCTTTCCTGCTTTCTCTTGTGGGCATTTAGTGCTATCAGTTTCCCTCTACACACTGCTTTAAATGTGTCCCAGAGATTCTGGTACGTTGTGTCTTTGTTCTCGTTGCACACCAGATATATTTCAATGCGAGAATTGAAATATATCTGGGACCCACTTGAGGAGGCAGTCTGTCCATTCTCAGATTTCAAGCTCCACGCTGGGAGAACCACTACTGTCTTCCAAGCTGTCAGACAGGGACATTTAAGTCTGCAGAGGTTTCTGCTGCCTTTTGTTTGGCTATGCCGTGCACCCAGAGTTGGAGTCTACAGTGGCAGGCAGGACTCCTTGAGCTGCGGTGGGCTCCACCCAGTTCGAGCTTCCCGGCCACTTTGTTTATCTACTCAAGCCTTGGCAATGGTGGGCGCCCCTCCCCCAGCCTCACTGCCACCTTGCAGTATGATCTCAGCCTGCTTTGCTAGCAATGAGAGAGGCTCCCTTTCTGTAGGACCCTCTGAGCCATGCGCGGGATATAATCTCCTGGTGTGCCGTTTGCTAAGACTGTCAGAAATACGCAGTATTAGGGTGGGAGTGACCCGATTTTCCAGGTGTTGTCTGTCACCCCTTTCCTTGGCTAGGAAAGGGAATTCCCTGACCCCTTGCATTTCCCGGATGAGGCGATGCCTCACCCTCCTTTGGCTCATGCTCGGTGCGCTGCACCCACTGTCCTGCACCCACTATCCAACAATCCCCAGTGAGATGAACCTGGTACCTCAGTTTGAAATGCAGAAACCATCCATCTTCTGCGTCGCTAACACTGGGAGCTGTAGACTGGAGCTGTTCCTATTCGGCCATCTTGGAACCACCCCCCTGAATTATTGTAGTTTTCTGTGTCAACTTAGAGGAAAAGAAAAGAAAGAAACCAGGAATAGAATAAGATAAGGGACACATGTGCAAAAACAGCAGGGAGCTAGAAGTGAGAAACTTTTTTACAAACTACACAGTCAAGCTGTCCATCAGGTGTGATTTGGAAAATTTGCTGGACCAAAGATAATCCAGTCTGGGGACAAACACTGAGCTTGAGCAGGTTGAATGAAAGATAAATAGGAGAACAACAAACATGAGGCCTGTTATGGCTTCATATGAATATTGTTCCCCAAAAAGGGACACAGTTGAAGTCCTAACCTCCAGTACCTCTAAGTGTGAACTTATATGGGAATAGGGTGTTGCAAATGTAGTTAGTTAATTCAAAGTGAGGTCAGGCCAGGCATGGTGTCTCACACCTGTAATCCCAACACTTTGGGAGGCTGAGATGGGCAGATCACTTGAGCCCAGGATTTCAAGACAAGCCTGGGCAATATGGCAAGACCCCCATCTCTACTAAAAATATACAAAAAATTAGCTGAGTGTGGTGATGTGCACCTGTAGTCCCAGCTCTTTGGGAGGCTGAGGTAGGGAGATCACTTTTTGAGGAGGCAGAGGCTGCAGTGAACTGAGATCGCACCAAATAAATAAAATAAATAAAGTGAGGTCATACTAATGTAGGGTGGGTCCTTAATCTGACTGATGTCCTTATAAGAAGACAGAACTTTGGAGTCAAACACACAGGAGAATGCCATGTGAAAATAGACACAGATGGAAGATGCTCACAGAGGTTGGAATGATGCGGCCACAATTCAAGGCTCTCCTAGACTACTAGAGGCTGGAAGAGAAAGAAAGATTCCTCCTCTAGAGGCTTGGTGGGGTGTGGGGGGACGACCCCTATCACCACCTTGATTTTGGGCTTCCAACTTCCAGAACTGTGAGAGAATAATTTCTGCTGTTTTAGCCACCAAGTTGGTTTTACTTTCTTACTGCAGCCCTAAAAACACTAATACAAGACCTATTAAAAAGTTCTGCCTGAATAAAGGGAAAAATCACCATTCGGAGAGCTCAAAAGAAAAACATACTCAAAAACAAATTTGTTGAAGAATACACATAAAAATTTCAGTAAATTTTTTAGCATCCTGTATAAAATGTGAGCAAATTTGGATTATATTATAAGGGGAAAAAAAGACTTGGTAAAAATGAGATGAATTAGATTTGGAAAAATTTAAAAATAATCCAAATTACAGCATCTTAAGTAAAGGAGCAAGGGGAATATGGGAACTGTTCATAATGTCTTTATGATTTTTCTGTAAATGTAAGGCTATTATAAAATAATACAAAGTGGTTTTTTTTTAAGAAAAACAGGAGAATGGTCAAAACAAAATTCAACATTACGTTAACTCCTGGTAAGAAGTATGGGGCATGGAGTTGGTGAGGAGCACACCTTCAAAAGTATTGGTAGTGTTCAGCTCGTAAGATGGATGTTAAATTATGAGTATTTATTATGTTCAATAATGTGTATGCTTATTACATTATTTTATGTGTTAAATATTATGTAATAAAAACTTTAAAAGAGTGTCAGAATAAAAACACATGATTGAGTAAAGACTAGATCTGATCCTATAGAAGAAAAACTTTAATACTTTCCTGTGAAGAAAAGAATATAAGAAGAAAAGATTTGAAAGGACTTACATACAGAAAATGAAGAGCTCAACCCTAGAATGAATGTAATAGTAGAAAAACGATTTTTCCTGTATTGAAGGAAGAGCTATGTATTGAACACGCTCACTCCAGACAAAACTAATTAAGAGACTTATTTCTAAATGCAGACCGGAAAGTTTTTTTGAGGTACAGAGATAAAGACAAAATACCTCACCAGCATTCTGGCAGAATAAAAAAAGTGTTTCTAACAAAGAAATAATAATCAAGTTACCACAAACTCCTTTTCTGTAACATTAAATTCCAGAAAATAATACAACAACACCTGGCGTTCCAGGAGAAATGCTATGACCCAATAATTTTATAATAAAAAAATACCATTCTTACAAGAAGGTAACAAAAAGACATTCTCAGACATGAAACAGCCCAGGAAATAGGCTACCCACAGACTCAACTCAGAAAAAAATTTTTAACTTTATATTCCAATCAACTGAGATGAAGCAACACCAAGTGCTTCAAAAATTGGGAAGTCAGAATATTCAAGGGCTGAATAATATTCATATTTTAAATTTCCGAATAGTATTATAAAGCTATTAAAGAAGACATGCAAAAACAAAGAATTATTTCAAGAAAAATATGTGTAAAATAATTTTACAACAATTTTCTGGATCTTAAAATCAAAATATAGTATCTGGATCTTAAATATAGATAAATATAGATATAGATAGAAATATATACTTTCTATATAATTATCTCTCCATATTAGATATAATCCATATACTTCTATCTCTATATGCATATTATCTATGTAATTATTATCAAAATATAGATCTCTATATATATTTATAGATAGATGAAACTATATCTATCTATATCTACAGCTCAAAGACTGCTAGTAATTTTCCCTAACAACCACAATTGGTAAGAATCTTTCTTATCCCTCCTTACTGTTACTGGCAACCAAACCTAAGATACCATCAGAAGTAATCTTATTATGCTCCATTCCTGGCATCAGTCACTAAAAGAAGCCCAAGACTTTGAGGTCATCTTTCTTTACTGGGACTCTAATCCTCATATAGCTTTGCACATTTCTTACACTGATCTAATCTCCTACTCTTTTCTTTATTTTAATCATATTTATTTATTTTATTATAGTTTAAGTTCTGGGATACATGTGCAGAACATGCAGGTTTGTTACATAGATATACATGTGCCATGGTGGTTTGCTGCACCCATCAACCTGTCATCTACGTTAGGTATTTTTTCCTAATGCTCTTCCTCCCCTTGCCTCTCACATCCCAACGGGCCCCAGTGTGTGATATTCCCCTCCCTGTGCCCATGTGTTATCAATGTTCAACTCCCACTTGTGAGTGAGAACATGTGGTGTTTGGTTTTCCGTTTCTGTGTTACTTTGCTGAGAATGATGGTTTCCAGCTTCATCCATGTCCCTGAAAAGGACATGAACTCATTATTTTACGGCTGCATAGCATTCCACGGTGTATATATGCTACATATTATTTATCCAATCTAACACTGATGGGCATTTGGGTTGGTTCCAAGTCTTTGCTATTGTGAACAGTGCTGCAATAAACATATGTGTGCATGTGTCTTTATGGTAGAATAATGTATAATACTTTGGGTATATACCCAGTAATTGGATTACTGGGTCAAATAGTATTTTTAGTTCTAGATCCTTGAGGAATCGCCACACTCTCTTCCACAATGGTTGAACTAATTTACACTCCTAACAATAGTGTAAAAGTGTTTCTATTTCTCTACATTCCCTCCAGTATCTGTTGTTTCCTGACTTTTTAACGATCTCCATTCTAATTGGCGTGAGATGTTATCTCATTGTGGTTTTGATTTGCACCAGTGATGATGAGCTTTTTTTCATATGTTTGTGGGTCATATAAATGTCTTCTTTTGAGAAGTGTCTGTTCATATCCTTTGCCCACTTTTTGATGGGGTTGTTTTTTTCTTGAAATTTGTTTAAGTTCCTTGTAGGTTCTGTATATTATCCCTTTGTCAGATGGATAGATTGCAAAATTTTTCTCCCATTCTGTAGGTTGCCTGTTCACTCTGAGTGTAGTTTCTTTTGCTGTACAGAAGCTCTTTCGTTTAATTAGATCCCATTTGTCAATTTTGGCTTTTGTTGCCATTGCTTTGGGTGTTTTAGTCATGAAATCTTTGCCCATGTCTATGTCCTGAATGGTATTGCCTAGGTTTTCTTCTAGGGTTTTTAATGGTTTTAGGTCTTAAGTTTAAGTCTTTAATCCATCTTGAGTTAATTTTTGTATAAGGTGTAAGGAAAGGGTACAGTTTCAGTTTTCTGCATATGGCTAGCCAGGTTTCCCAGCACCATTTATTAAATAGGGAATTCTTTCCCCATTGCTTGTTTTTGTCAGGCTTGTCAAAGATCAGATGGTTGTAGATGTGTGGCATTATTTCTGAGGCCTCTGTTCTGTTCCGTTGGTCTACATATCTGCTTTGGTACCAGTACCATGCTGTTTTGGTTACTGTCCCTTGTAGTATAGTTTGAAGTCAGGTAGCATGAAGCCTCCAGCTTTGTTCTTTTTGCTTAGGTTTGTCTTGGCTATACAGGTTCTTTTTTGGTTCCATATGAAATTTGAAATAGTTTCTTCCAATTCTGTGAAGAAAGCCAATGGTAGCTTGATGGGACTAGCATTGAATCTGTAAATTACTTTGGGCAGTATGGCCATTTTCACGATATTGAGTCTTCCTATCCATGAGCGTGGAATGTTTTTCCATTTGTTTGTGTCCTCTCTTGTTTTCATGAGCAGTGGTTTGTAGTTCTCACTGAAGAGGTCCTTCATATACCTTGTAAGTTGTATTCCTAGGTATTTCATTCTCTTGTAGCAATTGTGAATGGGAGTTCCCTCATGTTTTGGCTCTCTGTTTGTCTGCTATTGGTGTATAGGAATACTTGTGATTTTCGCACATTGATTTTGTATCCTGAGACTTTGCTGAAGTTGCTTATCAGATTAAAGAGTTTTTGGGCTGAGATAATGGGGTTTTCTAAATATACAATCATGTCATCTGCAAAGAGAGACAACATGATTTCCTCTCTTCCTATTTGAATACTCTTTATATCTTTCTCTTGCCTGACTGCCCTGGCCAGAACTTCCAATACTATGCTGAATAGGAGTGGTGAGAGAGGGCATCCTTGTCTTATACTGGTTTTCAAAGGGAATGCTTCCAGATTTTGCTCATTCCATATGATATTGGCTGTGGGTCTGTCATACATAGCTCTCATTATTTTGAGATATGTTCCATCAATACCTAGTTTATTGAGTGTTTTTAGTATGAAGGGGTGTTGAATTTTATCAAAGGCCTTTTCTGCATCTATTGAGATAATCAAGTGGTTTTTGTTATTGGTTCTGTTTATGTGATAGATAATGTTTATTGATTTGCGTATGTTGAACCAGCCTTGCATCCCAGGAGTGAAGCCAACTTGATCGTGGTGGATAAGCTTTTTGATGTGCTGCTGGATTCAGTTTGCTAGTATTTTATTGAGGATTTTCACATTGATGCTCATCAGGGATATTGGCCTGAAATTTTCTTTGTTTGTTGTGTCTCTGCCAGGTTTTGGTATCAGGATGATGCTGGCCTCATAAAATGAGTTAGGGATGAGTCCCTCTTTTTCTGTTGTTTGGAATACTTCCAGAAGGAATTATTCCTTTGTACCTCTGGTAGAATTTAGCTGTGAATCCATCTGGTCCTGGGCTTTTGTTGTTGGTAGGCTATTAATTACTGCCTCTATTTCAGAACCTGTTATTGTTCTATTCAGGGATTTGACTTCTTCCTAGTTTAGTCTTGGGAGAGTGTATATGTCCAGGAATTTATCCTTTTCTTCTAGATTTTCTAGTTTGTTTGTGTGGAGGCATTTATAGTATTCTCTGAGGGTAGTTTGCATTTCTGTGGGATCAGTGGTGATCTCTCCTTTATTATTTTTTATTGTGTCTATTTGATTCTTCTCTCTTTTCTTCTCTATTAGTCTGGCTAGCTGTCTATTTATTTTGTTAATCTTTTCAAAAAACCAGCTCCTGAACTCATTGATTTTTTTAAGGGTTTTACATGTCTCTATCTCCTTCACTTCTACTTTAATCTTAGTTCTTTCTTGTCTTCTGCTAGCTTTTGAATTTGTTTGCTCTTGCTTCTCTAGTTATTTTAACTGTGGTGTTCGGGTGTCAATTTTAGATCTTTTCTGCTTTCTCTTGTGGGCATTTAGTGCTATAAATTTCCCTCTGAACACTGCTTTAGCTGCGTCCTAGAGATTCTGGTACATTGTGTCTTTGTTCCTCTTGCTTTCAAAGAACTTCTTTATTTCTGGCTTAATTTCATTTTTTTACCCAGGAGTCATTCAGGAGCAGATTATTGAGCTTCCATATAGTTGTGCAGTTTTGAGTGAGTTTCTTAATCCTGAGTTCTAATTTGATTGCACTGTGGTCTCAGAGACTGTTTGTTATGATTTCCATTCTTTTGCATTTGCTAAGGACTGTTTTATTCCAATTATCTGGGCGATTTTAGAATATGTGCTATGTGGTGCTGAGAAGAATGTATATACTGTTGATTTGGGGTGGAGAGTTCTGTAGATGTCTATTAGGTCTGCTTGGTCCAGAGCTGAGTTCAAGTTCTAAATATCTTTTTTAATTTCCTATCTCATTGATCTGTCTAATGTTGACAGTGGAGTGTTAAAGTCTCCCACTATTATTGTATGGGAGTCTAAGTCTCTTTGTAGGTCTCTAAGAACTTGCTTTATGAATCTTGGTGCTCCTGTATTGGGTGCATTTATATTTAAGATAGTTAGCTCTTCTTGTTACATTTATCCCTTTACCATTATGTAATGCCCTTCTTTGTCTTTTTTTATCTTTGTTGGTTTAAAGTCTGTTTTATCAGAGACTAGGATTGCAACACCTGATATTTTTTTCTTTCCATTTGTTTGGTAAATCTCCCTCCATCCCTTTATTTTGAGTCTATGTATTTCTTTGCACATGAGATGGGTCTCCTGGATACAGCACACCGATAGTCCTTGAATCTTTATCCAATTTGCCAGTCTTTGTCTTTTAATTGGGGCATTTAGCCCATTTACATTTAAGGTTAATATTGTTATATGAGAATTTGATCCTGTCATTATGATGTTAGCTGGTTATTTTGCCCATTAGCTAATGCAGTTTCTTCATAGTGTCGATGGTCTTTACATTTTGGTTTGCTTTTGCAGTGGCTGGTACTGGTTTTTCCTTTCCATATTTAGTGCTTCCTTCAGGAGCTCTTGTAAGGCAGACCTGGTGGTGACAAAATCCCTCAGCATTTGCTTGTCTATGAAGGATTTTATTTCTCCTTCACTTTTGAAACTTACTTTGGCTGGATATGAAATCCTGGGTTGAAAATTATTTTCTTTAAGAATGTTGAATATTGGCCCCCACTCTTCTGGCTTTTAGAGTTTCTGCAGAGATATTTGCTGTTAGTCTGATGGGCTTCCCTTTGTGGGTAACCTGACCTTTCTTTCTGGCTGCCCTTAACATTTTTTCCTTCATTTCAACCTTGGTGAATCTGACGATTATGTGTCTTGGGGTTCCTCTTCTCAAGGAGTATCTTTGTGGTGTTTGAATTTCCTGAATTTGAATGTTGGCCTGTCTTGCTAGATTGGGGAAGTTCTCCTGTATAATATCCTGCAGAGTGTTTTCCAACTTGGTTCCATTCTCCCCGTCACTTTCAGGTATACCAATCAATCATAGATTTTTGGTCTTTTCACATAATCCCATATTTCTTGGAGGCTTTGTTTGTTCCTTTTCATTCTTCATCTCTAATCTTGTCTTCATGCTTTATTTCATTAAGTTGATCTTCGATCTCTAATATCCTTTCTTCCACTCGGTTGATTCCGCTATTGATACTTGTGTATGCTTCACGAAGTTCTCATGCTGTATTTTTCAGCTCCATCAGGTCATTTATCTTCTTCTCTAAACTGGTTATTCTAGTTAGCCATTCCTATAACCTTTTATCAGATTCTTAGCTTCCTTGCATTGGGTTAGAACATGCTCCTTTAGCTCAGAGGAGTTTGTTATTACCCACCTTCTGAAACCTACTTCTGTCAATTCGTCAAACTCATTCTCTGTCCAGTTTTGTTCCTTTGCTGGTGAGGAGTTGTGATCCTTGGGAAGAGAAGAGGCATTCTGGTTTTTGAAATTTTCAGCCCTTTTGTGCTGTTTTTTTCCTCATCTTCATGGATTTATCTACCTTTGGTCTTTGATGTTGGTCATCTTTGGATGGAGTTTTTGCAAGGGCATCCTTTTTGTTGATGTTAGTGCTATTCCTTTCTGTTTGTTAGTTTTTCTTCTAACAGTCAGGCCCTTCTGCTGCAGGTCTGCTGGAGTTTGCTGGGGGTCCACTCCAGACCCTGTTTGCCTGGGTATCACCAGTGGAGGCTACAGAACAGCAAAGATTGCTACCTACTCCTTCCTCTAGAAGCTTCGTCCCAGAGGGGCACCCACAAGATGCCAGCCAGAGCTCTCCTGTTTAAAGTGTCTGTCGACCCCTGCTGGGAGGTGCCTCCCACTCAGGAGGCATGGTGGTCAGGGACCCACTTGAGGAGGCAGTCTATACCTTAGCAGAGCTCAAGTGTTGTGCTGGGAGATCCACTGCTCTCTTTAGAGCCAGCAGGCAGGAATGTTTAAGTCTGCTGAAGCTCCACCCACATCCGCCCCTTCCCCCTGGTGCTCTGTCCCAGGGAGATGAGGGTTTTATCTGTAAGTCCCTGACTGGGTCTGCTGCCTTTCTTTCAGAGATGCCCTGCCCAGAGAGGAGGAATCTAGACAGGCGGTCTGGCTACAGTGGCTTTGCTGAGCTACAGTGGGCTCCACCCAGTCCAAACTTCCGAGTGGCTTTGTTTACACTATGAGGGGAAAACCACCTACTCAACCCTCAGTAATGGTAGATGCCCCTCCCTGCACCAAGCTCAAGCATCCCATTCGACCTCAGACTGCTGTGCTGGTAGTGAGAATTGGCTCCCTGGCTTCAGCCCCCTTTCCAGGGGAGTAAATGGTTCTGTCTCACTGGTATTCCAGGCACCACTGGGGCATGAAAAAAAACTCCTGCAGCTAGCTCAGTATCTGTCCAAATGGCTGCCCAGTTTTGTGCTTGAAACCCAGGGCCCTTGTAGTGTAGGGACCCAAGGGAATCTTCTGGTCTGTGGGTTGCCAAGACTGTGGGAAAAGTGTAGTGTCTGGGCCGGATAGCACTATCCCTCACAGCACAGTCCCTCATGGCTTTCCCCGGCTAGGGGAGGAAATTCCCTTTCCCTTTGCACTTCCAGGTGAGGTGACGCCTCACCCTGCTTCTGCTCGCCCTCAGTCGGCTGCACCCACTGTCTCATCTCATCTCACCCACTGAGATGAACCGGGTACCTCAGTTGGAAATGCAGAAATCATCCACCTTCTGCATTGGTCTTGCTGGAAGCTGCAGGCCAGAGCTGTTCCTATTCGGCCATCTTGCCCGGGAATCTAATCTCCTACTCTTTTCAACAGCTCAAAACCTTCCTTGGTACCCTATGTTAGGTTGGTGCAATAGTAATTGTGGTTTTTGCCATTAAAGTAATAATAAAACCACAATTACTTTTGCACCTACCTAATAGATCTCACCTTTTCTTATCTACAAATTCCCATATATTCAGCTTTTTGCGGAATTTTTTTTTCACATCTTTACTATAACTAAGACCTGGTCATCTCCTGAGAATACACTGTCAGTCCTCCCAAAGAGTGCTGCTTTCTCTCCCGACACTTGTTCGACCCACTGGGCACGAAGTTAGGATAGATGACATCTTTGGTAGTCATTCTTTGAAGATTTTACCAGCTGGATCACTGTCACCCTCTCCAAAATTATCTTGTCATATTTGTTGACAATATCAATATCCATGTTGATCAATCCAATAGACTTTATCCAGTAATGGGAAGAGTCTCTCTCTGCACTCTCTAAAATGGTAGTCACTAGACATATGTGGCAATTAAGCACTTGAAATATGACCAGTGCAGCTGAGGAACTGGAGTTGTACTTTTGTTTAATTTTAATTAATTTTAAATAGCCAGGTGTGCTACTGGCTACAATTTTGGATAGCACAGATGTCACTGATAATTTAAATAACCAATGCTCTCAATTTTTGGCCTCTATTCTTTGAATGTGTTTGTCCCCCACACTGCCTTAGGCATCTACTTCCAAATCCCAGAATGTGTCATTACCAATGACTACACCTTCCTTCAAAAATTCAGTTTCAAACATCTCACTCACCAACCACCATATCTCTCTGTACAGCTCATTTCCCCTCATATACTCACTCCAACAATTGCATTAATTTACCTAGATATCTCTCCAGTACCCTTGCCCGTCTGTCTTCATTTTATCAAATGACAAAATACTAATCCTGACTAAATTCAATTAGCAGTCTCTTCTCATCAGCACTTTGTTGACTGAATGTAAATGGTAAAAAAAACGCATAGCTGTACTGACTTGTTTCATTTTAAGTTCATGTCCACCAACCACCTTTAGCTATCTTGCAATATTACTGCATTTCTATGGTCCATTTATTCTTCCACTCTCCTAAACAATTATTTTACATTCTGTCCCAGTTCCTCTAAGTTTCGACACCTCCTGCCACTGTTGATTCTCTGCTGAAGATTTGATTTCTGTTTCACTGAGAAATTAGAAGTAATGAAAACAGAAGTTCTCTATGCTTTTACCAACACATCTTCCAGTGCACCTGCAGCTATTTCTACTGCTATATTTGACTGTATTTGAATGTGAGTTTGGGTGCCCTATAGCAACTATCTCCCATATCTCCTGCATCATAAATTTCTCCCTCTTCTGAATATTCTCATCAGTATGTAAATACCCTGTAATATCTCCCATATTTAAAAAAATTTAAAGCTTTATTTCGTTCATTAGACTCATATTCCCCTTCAGCTATAATTCCATTTCTCTGCTCTTCTTTACAGCAAAAGTCCATGAAAGAATTGGTTTCAATTGTTGTCTTCATGTTCTATTTCCAATTATCTCTTGAACTCATGCTTGTCAGTTTTTGTCCCCAGTACATTCACTTAGATATTTCATGCAAAGGTATACAGTGACCCCCATGTGACAAAATTTGACTGTCAATTATTTGTCCTCATCATACTTCACTTCTCAGCAGCATTAATAATAGTTATCACTTCTTCCTACTGAACAGTTTTCACTTGGCTGCCAGGGTTTCTCTCTTGGTTTTCTTGCTACAGCACTGCTTCTTCTTGGTCTCTTTGCTGGTCCCTGCCGATATCTCTGAACTTTAAACACTGAATTTCTGCAGACTTCACTCTTCTGATCTCTTCTCTTGTCTACTTACATTCACTGCTGGTAGCACATGAACCTGAGCTCATGACTCTCTAGGCGTTGACAAATACCCACCTTTATTTTTTCAGTGTAATCCCTCCCTTGAAGTCTAGACTCACCTTGGCCTTCATATCCAACTGCCAGCTCAACATCTCCATCATCTTCATAGCATACCTAATAGCAATTCACATGTAACACACTGAAAACTGTCCCATAGATTGTATCATCTCAGTTAATGCCAACACTATCCTCTCAGTTGCTCAGGTTAAAACCCTCAGTGTAAGTCTTCAATTCCCATTCATTCTCTCTCTCTCCCCCTCCCTCTCTCTCCCCACCCCCAACCATCCATCCTGTATCCAAAGGATCAGCAAATCCTATGTGTTGCATTACTTTCAAAATATTTCTTCAATTCAAGCACATTTTTACCACTTTCGTCATCATCATCCTTCACGTAGATCACAATTAGACATAATGATAGTTTAAAAATAAGTCAGATTCAACCATTTCACACCTCAAACCCTGCAATGGCTCCCATCTTACTCAGAGTAATCTTTGAAAAGACTTAAAAGGTCTTATATAACATGGCCTCACCCCATCATCATCTCTGTGACCTCCTATCCTATGAGTATCTTTCTCTAGCTTAATCCTTTCTGACAACACTGACCCTTTGCTGTTCTTTAACAACAAATTCTAGAAAGCGTGTAGCAAGATGGTGGAATAGAAGGTCCCACTTCTCTTCTCCCATGCAGAAATACCAAATTCAACAACTATCTACACAAAAAAGCACCACCTTTATAAGAACCAAAAATCGGGTGAGCACTCACAGTACCTGGTTTTAACTTCACATTTCTGAAAGAGGCACTGAAGAGGGTAGGAAAGACAGTCTTGAATCACTAATACCACACTTCCCCTATCCAGAATGACTATGTGGCATGGAGAAATCTGTGGGTTTGGGAGAGGGAGAGCATAGCAATTATGAGTCTTCTTATTGGACTCAGTGCTGCCTTGTCATAGCAGAAAGCAAAACCTGGCTGAATTCAGCAGGCGTCCACCCATAAAGGGAGTATTCAGACCAGTCCTAGCTGGAGGGGAATCACCCATCACAGCAGTCAGAACACAGTTCTGACAAGCCTCACCACAACAAGCTAAAGTGCGCTGGAGTTCTAAATAAACTTTAAAGCCATTCTAGGCCACAAGGACTGCAAGTCCTAGTGCTGGACTGGGCTCAGAGCCAGTGGACTTGGGGGGCATGTGACATACTGATACACAAGCCAGGGCAGCTGAGGGCTTACTTGCACCACCTGTCCACCAAACCTAGGGAGCACAGCTTATGGCTCCAAAAGAGACTCCTTTCTTCCACTTGAGAGGAGAGAAAAGAGTAAAGAGGACTTTGTCTTGCATCTTGGATATTAGCTCAGCCACAGTAGGATAAGACACTTCAGAGTTGTGAGGCCCTCATTCCAGGCCCTAGATCCCAGATGACATTTCCAGACACATGCTGGGCCAGAAAGGAACCAATTTCCTTGAAGGGAAAAACCAAATCCTGGCAGAATTCATCACCTACTAACTAAAAAGCTCTTCATCCCTGAATAACCAGCAGCGATACCAGATAGTAGGCCATGGGACCTGGATGAGACTCTAAGAGGTGCTAGCTTCAGGTGAAACCCAGCACATTCCCAACTGTGGTGATTACAATGAGAGACTCTTTCTACTTGCAAAAAACAGAGGGAAAAGTAAAGAAGACTGTCTTGCACCTTAGGTACCAGCTCTACTGCAGTGAGGTAGAGCACCAGGCAGGCTCTTGGGGTCCCCAGCTCCAGGTCTTAGCTGTTAGATGGCATTTCTAGACCTGCTCTGGGCAAGAGGAGAGTCCAGTGCCCTGAAGGGTGAGTCCCAGGCCTGGCAGCTTTCACCACAAGCTGTTTGAAGAGCCCTTGGGCCTTAAGTAAACATCGGTGGTAGTCTGGCAGTACTCCCTGTGGGCCAGTTGTTTTCATGACCATGAGATGAGGCTCTTCTGCCTGTGGAAAGGAAGGGAAGAGAGGAAAGGATTGTGTCTCATGGTTTGAGGGTCAACTCAATCACAGTAGACTAGAACATCAGGAAGACTTCTAAGGTTTTTGACTCTAGTCCTTAGCTCCCAGATGGCATCTCTGGACCCATCTGGGGTCTGGAAGAACTCAATGACCTGAAGGGAAGGATACAAGCCTGGCTGGCTTCACCACCTGCTGATTGCAGAGCCATAAGCCCTTGAGTAAACATAGGCAGTAGCCAGGTAGTGGCTACATCAGGCCTTGCACAAGACCCAGTGCTATGTTGGCTTCAGGTCTGACCCAGCACAGTCCCAGTGGTGGTGGCCACAGGGGTGCTTGTGTCACCACACCCCCAGCTCCAGGTGACTCAGCACAGAGAGAGAGAGAGAGAGACTGGGAGAAAGTAAGGGAAGAGAATAAGAGATACTGCTTGTAATTTAGAGAATTCTTCCAAATCTTACCCAAGACCACCAAGGTGATACCTCTATGAGTCTGCAAGAACCACAGCTTTACTGGGCTTTGGATGCCCTCTAATGCAGATATGGCTCAGATAACAATACCCAAGTCCTTCTGAATACCTAGAAAGCCTTCCCAAGAAGGACAGTGCAAACAAGTCCAGGTTGTGAAGACTACAATAAATACCTAAGTCTTCACTGCCCAGACACCAACAAACATCCATAAGCATCACGTCCATCCAGGAAAACAGGACCTCACCAAATGAACTAAATAAGGTGCCAGGGTCCAATCTTGGAGAGACTGACACATGTGACCTTTCTGACAAAGAATTCAAAATAGCCATTTTGAGGAAACTCAAAGAAATTCAGGATAACACCTAGAAAGAATTCAGGATTCTATTAGATAAATTTAACAAAGAGCTTGAAATAATTTTTTTTAAAAGCAGAAATTCAGGAATTGAAAATGCAATTGAAATACTGATGTTAATGAGCAATAAGAAATCATCTGAAGGTACAAAATACACTGCTAATAGTAAGTCCACAGAAAAACACAGAATATTATAACACTGTAATTGTGAGCTATAAACTACTGTTAAGTAGAAAGACTAAACAACCAATAAAAAAAGCTACAACAACTTTTCAAGATATTAACAGTGCAATAAGACATAAAGAGAAATAAAAAATTTTAAAAGTGGGAGGACAAAGTTAAAGTATAGAGTTTTTATTTTTTTTTTTTTTTGCTGGTTTGTTCATTTATGCAGCAGTGTTAAGTTGTTATCAGTGTAAAATAATGGGTTATAAGATAGTATTTGCAAGCCTTACGCTAACTTCACATCAAAAAACACACAACAGATACACAAACAATAAAAAGCAAGAAATTAAATCATATCGCCAGATAAAATCACTTTCACTAAAAGAAGACAGAAAAGAAGGAAAGAAGGAAGAGATGCCACAAAACAACCAGAAAACAAATAACAAAATGGCAGGAGTAAGTCCTTATTTATCAATAATAACATTGAAGGTAAATGAACTAAACTCTCTTATCAAAAGACATAGAGTGGCTGAATGAATGAAAAACAAGACCCATTGATCTATTGCCTACAAGAAACATACTTCACCTATAAAAACACACATAGACAAAAAATGAAGGGATGGGAAAAAGCTATTCTACATCAATGGAAACCAAAAAAGAGCAGGAGTAGCTATACTTAGGCAAAATAGATTTTAAGACAAAAACTATAAGAAGAGATCAAGAAAGTTATGATATAATAATAAAGCAGTCAATTCAGCAAGAGGATATAACAATGATGAATATATATGCACCCAACACTGGAGCCCAGATAAATAAAGAAAATATTATTAGAGCTAAGGAGAGAGAGAGACCTCAATACAATAATCGCTGGAAACTTCAACACCCCACTTTCAGCACTGGGCAAATCTTCCATACAGAAAATCAAAAATTAAACATCAGATTTAGTCTGCACTATAGGCCAAATGGACCTAATCCATATTTACAGAACATTTCATCCGATGGTTGCAGAATATACATTGTTTTCTTCAGCACATGGATTATTCAAAGGATAAACCCTACCTTAGGTCACAAAACAAGTCTTAAAAGTTTCAAAAAACATGAAATAATATCAAGCACATTCTTTGACTACAATGAAATAGAACTAGAAATTATGAAACATACAAAAATCAATCAATGTGCGACATCATATTAACAGAATGAAGAACAAAAACCATATGATCATTTCAATTGATACTGAAAAGCATTTGATAAATTCAATATTCTCTTATGATAAAAAGCCCTCAAAAAACTGTGTATAGAAGGAACATACTTCAACATAATAAAAGCCACATGCAACAGACCCATAGCTAGTATCATACTTAATGGGGAAAAACTAAAAACCTTTCCTCTAAGGTCAGGAACTTGACAATGATGCCCACTTTACCACTGTTATTCAACATAGTACTGGAAGTCCTAGCTAGAGCGATGAGACAAGAGAAAGAAAGAAAGGGCATCCAAATGGCAAAGAAAAAATTCAAATTATACTTGTTTGCAGATAATGTGATCTTATGTCTGGAAAAACCTAAAGACTCCACAAAAAAAAACTATTAGAGGTTATAAACAATTTCAGTAAAGTTTCAGGATACAAAATCAACATACGAAAATTAATAGCTTTTCTCTATGCCAAGAGTAAACAATCTTAAAAAATGAAATTTAAAAAATAAGTAATCTCATTTACAGTAGCTATAAATAAATTAAATACCTAGGAATTAACAACCAAATAAGTGAAATATATCTATAATAAAAACTATAAAATATGAATTTTATGTTCATGAATTGGAAGAATTATTTTGTTAAAACGTCCATACCACCTAAAGCAATCTACAGATTAAATAAAATCCCTAACAAAATTCTATGACATTCTTCACAGAAATAGAAAAAAAAAATCCTAAAATTTATATGGAACCACAAAAGACCCAGAATCGCCACAGCTATCCTAAGCAAAAAGAACAAAAATGGAGGAATTACATTTCCTGACTTCATATTATACTACCGAGTTATAGTAACCAAAACTTCATGGTAATGGCCTAAAACCAGACACATACATCAGTGGAACACAATAGAGAACCCAGAAATAAGTCCATATATATATACAGTGAACTCACTTTTGACAAGATGACAAGAACATACATTGAGGAATGGACAATCTCTTCAATACATGGTGCTGGGAAATCTCGATATGAATATGCAGAAAAACTAGGTGCCTATCTCTTGTCATATAGAAAAATCAAACCAAAATGGATTAAAGACTTAAATCTCAGTCCTCAAGCTATGAAACTACTAAAAGAAAACATTGGGGAAACTCTCCAGGACATTGGAGTGGACTAAGGTTTCTTGAGTTATTACTCAAGTTATTACCTCATAACCACAAGCAACCAAAGCAAAAAATAGATGAATGGGATCACTTCAAGTTAAAAAGCTTCTTCAGAGGAAGCAATCAACAAAGTTAAAAGACAACCCACAGAATGGGATAAAATATTGGAAAACTACCCATCTGACAAGAGATTAATAACCAGAATACATGAGGAGCTCAAACGACTCTATATGAAAAAAATCTAACAATCTGATTTTAAAATGGGCAGAAGATCTGAATAGACTTTTCTCAAAAGAAGACATACAAATGGCAACAGGTATATGAAGACGTTCTTCAACATCATTGACCATCAGTGAAGTGAAAATCAAAACCACAATGAGATATCATCTGACCCCAGTTAAAATGGCTTTTATCAAAAGATGGAGAATAAAAAATGCTGGTGAGGATATGGAGAAAAGGAAACCCTTGCACACTGTTGGTGGGAATGTAAATTAGTAAAAGCACTACAGAGAACAGCTTGGAAGTTCCTCAAAAGACTAAAAATTAAGTTACTATATGATCCAGCAATCCTACTCCTAGGTATATACCCAAAAGAAAAAAATCAGTATGTCAAAGAGATATCTGCACTCCCATGTTCACTGCAGCACTATTAACAATAGCCAACATTTGGAAGCAACCTAAGTGTCCATCAACACTCAGAATGGATAAAGAAAATGTACATATACACAATGGAGTAATATTCAGCCATAAGAAAGAATGATGTCCTGTTATTTGCAATAACATGGATAGAACTGGAGGTCATGATGTTAAGTGAAATATGCCAGTCATGGAAAGACAAACTTCACATGTCCTCAGTTATTTGTGGCAGATTAAAACGATTTAACTTACAGAGATAGAGAGTAGAAGGATGGTTACTAGAGGCTGGGAAGGGCAATTGGGGATGTGTGGGAGTGGGGAAAGTGGGGATGGTTAAGGGGTACAAAAATAGTTAGAAAGAATGAATGAGACCTAGTATTTGCTGGCCTAACATGGTGACTATAATTAAAAATAATTTAATTGTACATTTTAAAATAACTAAAATAGTATAATTGGATTATGTATTACACAAAAGATAAATGCTTGAGGTAATGGATACCCCATTTATCCTGATGTGATTATTATGCATTGCATGCTTGTATCAAAATGTCTTATATATCCCATCAGTATATACACCTACTGTATACCCACAAAAATTAATAATTAATAAAAAATTTAAAAAAAATTTTTTTGAGACGGAGTCTCGCTCTGTCACCCAGGCTGGAGTGCAGTGGCACAAACTCGACTCACAGCAACCTCCGCCTCCCAGGTTCAAGCGATTCTGCTGCCTCAGCCTCCTGAGTAGCTGGAATTACATGTGTGTGCCACCACGCCCGGCTGATTTTTGTACTTTTAATAGAGATGGGGTTTCACCATGTTGGTCAGGCTAGTCTCAAACTCCTGACCTCGTGATCTGCCCACCTGGGCCTCCCAAAGTTCTGGGATTACAGGCATGAGCCACCGTGCCCGAGCCTAAAAAATAAAAATTTTTAACCTCAGGATGTTGGCACTTAAGGTTCGGGTTACCTAGAATGCCCTTCTCCAAGAAACCCACAAGAACTGCTCCCTTACTCACTTCCAGGCTCTGCTTAAATGATGCTTTATTATAGAGCCTTTTCTGACCACCTCATATGTAATTTCTGCAACTCCCACCCATTTTCCCACATCTCCTTTTTACCCTGCTCTATCTTTCTCCAAAAAACATGTCTCCAACTAAGCTAACTCTATATCTATATTATATCCTTATCTGCATATATGTCCACCTATATCTATGTATCTATGAGAGAAAGGGAGATAAAGAGAGACATATCTGAGGGCAGAAACTTTGTATTTTTTTCAAGCTCTATTTCCTGGCACATATTGGCAATCAATAAATACATTTTGCATGGGTGAAAGAAAAGCAATAAAGAGGGAAAGAAAGAGAGAAAAGAAAGAAAGAAAGAAAAGAAAGAAAGAAAGGAATGACTATATTCTAAATATTTTAAAGTTATATATGCTTTATATAATATTTAAAGAGATACATTAAGAAATAGAAATTTCAGGGTATTTTTTTCACAAATAGAATTTCTAGAAATGAAAACCATACTCATTGCAAATGGAAAAAACAAATACAATATATGGTTTGAACACAAAACTAGACATCTTAAGAGAGTATTAATGAAAAGATTCATAATTAGAAATCACCAAGAATTCAAAAGAAATAAAGAGATGAAAATCATGAAAGAGAACGGATAAAATAATAAGAAGCTTTAAAATATGCCTAAGAGAATTTCCAGAAAGAAAAAAGGAATGGAGAGGCATTACTGAAGAGATAATGTATAACTCAAAGAAAATTAACTCAAAGAAATACCTACAGCATATTCAAGTATGTTAAAGAAAAAAAAGAGAACTCATAACAAAAACTATAACATATCAAATATTAAGAATCATAACAGCTATCAAAAGTAATAAAATCATCTAAACAGGTAAGATCTTCAGATAGGCAGCAGACTTTTCATCAGTAAAAACAGAAGTCAGAAGTAGAAGTAAGAACATCTTCAAAGCACTAAGTGGAAGATAACTCTCAACTATAACATTCCTACCAGCAATGGAGGATTCCAATTTCTCCACAACCTTACCAACAACCGTTTTTTTAAAATTGCAACTATCATTGTGGGAGTGACGTACTATCTTATGTAGTTTTGATTCACATTTCCCTAATGACTCAGGATGTTGAGCATCTTTACATGTGCTTATTGGCACATTTGTGTATCTACTTTGAAATAATGGCTATTCCAAGTATTGCCCATTTTTTTCCTCCAACTTTTATTTTAGGTTTGGGAGTACATGTGCAGGTTTGATACGGGGGTAAATTGTATGTACAAATGATTTCAGTGAGCATAGTACCTAACAGGTAGTTTTTCTATCTTCAACCTCCTCCCACCCTCCACTCTCAAGTAAGTCCTGGTTGCTATTGTTCCCCTCTTTGTGCCCATGTGTTTTCAATGTTTTGCACTCACTTGTAAGTCAGAAAGTGAGGTATTTGGTTTTCTGTTCCTGCATAATTTGCTTAGGATAATGACCTGCAGCTGTATCCATGTTGTAGCAAAGAACATAATTTCACTCTTTCTTATGGCTGTATATTATTCCACAGTGTATATGTATCACATTTTCTTTATCCAAACCACTGTTTGATGGGCATCTAAGTTGATTTCATGTATTTACTACTGTGGAAAGTGCTGCAGTTAACATAAGCATACATGTGTCTTTATGGTAGAATAATTTATATTCTTTTGGGTATATACCCAGTAATGAGACTGCTGGGTTGAATGGTCATTCTGTCTTAAGTTGTTTGAGAAATCTCCAGACTGCTTTCCATAGTGGCTGAAATAATTTACATTCTCGCCAGCAGTATATAAGCATTCTCTTTTCTCTGCAACCTCGCCAACATCTGTTATTTTTTGACTTTTTAGTAATAGCCATTCTAATTGGTGTGAGATGGTATCTTGCTGTGGTTTTAATTTGCATTTCTCTAATGATTAGTGGTGTTGGGCATTTTTTCACATGCTTGTGGGATGCATGTATGTCTTCCTTTGAGAAGTGTCTGTTCACATCCTTTGCCATTTTTAATGAGATTGTTTGGTTTTTACTTGTTGATTTGTTTGAGTTCCTTACAGTTTCTGGGTATTAGACCTTCGTTGGATGCATAGAAGCTATTTAGTTTCATTAGGTCCCCCTTGTCACTATTTGCTTTTGTTGCAACTGCTTTTGGAGTCTTCATCATGAGATCTTTGCCAAGGCCTATGTCCAGAATGGCATTTCACATATTTTCTTCTAAGGTTTTTATAGTTTTAGGTTTTACATCTAAGTCTTTGATTTGTCTTGAGTTTATTTTTGTATATAGTGAAAGGAAGGAGTATAGTTTCAATTTTCTCCATATGGCTAGCCAGTTATCCCAGTACCATTTATTGAATAGAGAATTCTTTCCCCATTCCTTGTTATTGTCAACTTTGTCAAAGATCAGATGGCTGTAGGTGTGTGGCCTTATTTTCTCTAACCTATTCAACTGACCTATGTGTCTGTTTTTTACCAGTACCATGCTGTTTTGTTTACTATAGCCTTGTAGTACAGTTTGAAGTTGAGTAGTGTGATGCCTCTGGCTTTGTTCTTTTGCTTACTATTGCTTTGGCTATTCAGGCTGTTTTTTGTTTCCATATGAATTTTAGAATAATTTTTTTTCCAATTATATAAAAAATGAGGTTGGTAATTCAACAGGAATAGCATTGAATCTATAAATGGCTTTGGGAAGTATGGCCATTTTAACAATATTGAGTCTTCCAGTCCTTGAGCATGGAATGTTTTTTCATTTATTTGTGTCATCTCTGATTTCTTTCAGCAGAGTTTTGTAATTCTCATTGTATATATAGTTCACCTCCCTGGTTAGCTGTATTTCTAGGTATTTTTTTTGTGGTTATAGTGAATGTGATTGCCTTCTTAATTTGACTCTCAGCTTGGTGATATATAGAAATGCTACTAGTTTTTATACATTGATTTTGTATCCTAATACTTTACTGAAGTTGTTAATCAGTTCTAGGAGCCTTTGGGCAGAGACTATGGGATTTTCTATGTATAGACTCTTACCACCTGAGAAGAGAGATAGTTTGATTTTCTCTCTTCATATTTGGATGCTTTTTATTTCTTTCTCTTGACTGATTGCTCTAGTTAGGATTTCCAGGACTATGTTGAATAGGAGTGGTGAGAGTGGGCATCCTTGTCATGAACTGCTTCTTAAGCAGAATACTTCCTGCTTTTGCCCATTCAGTTATGATGTTAGCTCTAGGTTTGTCATAGATGGCTCTTATTATTTTGAGGTATGTTCCCTCAATGCCTAGTTTGTTTAGGGTTTTTAACATGAAAGGATTTTGAATTTTATTGAAGACCTTTTCTTTATTGATTGAGATGATTGTGTGGTTTTTATTTTTAGTTCTGTTTATCTGATGAATCACACATATTGACTTGCACATGTTGTAACAGCCTTGCATCTCAAGAATAAAGCCTACTTGACCCGCGTGGATTAGCTTTTGATGTCTGCTGGAATTGATTTGCAAGTACTTTGTTGAGGATTTTTGTGACCATTTTCACCAGGGATATGGGCCTGAAGTTTTCTTTTCTGGTTGTGTCTCTGCCAGGTTTGGTATCAGAATGATGTTGGTCTCATAGAATGAGTTAGGGAGGAGTCCCTTCTCCTTGACTTTTTGGAATAGTTTTAGTGGGATTGATACAAGCTCTGCTTTATATGCCTGGTACAATTCAGCTGTGAATCTGTCTGCTTTAGGGCTTTTTCTCGTTGGTAGTTTTTGTTTGTTTGTTTGTTTTAAGTTGTGGGATACATGTGCAGAATGTGCAGGTTTGTTACATAGGTATACATGTGCCATGGTTGTTTGCTGCACCTATCAATCCATCATCTAGGTTTTAAGCCCTGCATGCATTCCTTGCCTCCCACCCACCGACAGGCCCTGGTGTGTGATGTTCCCCTCCCCATGTCCATGTGTTCTCAATGTTCAACTCCTACTTGTGAGTGAGGATATGTGGTGTTTGGTTTTCTGTTCCTGTGTTAGTTTGCTGAGAATGATGGCTTCCGGATTCATCCATGTTTCTGCAAAGGACATGATCTCATTCTTTTTTATGGCTGCATAGTATTCCATGGTATATATGTGCCATATTTTCTTTATCCAGTCTATCATTGATGGACATTTGGGTTGGTTCCAAGTCTTTGCTATTGTAAATAGTGCTTCAATAAACTTACATGTGCATGTGTCTTTATAGTAGAATAACTTATTATTGCTGATTCAATTTTGGAATTCATTATTGATCTGTTCAGATAACCAGTTTCTCCCAGGTTCGAACTTCAGAGGTTGTATATTTCCAGAAATTTACCCATTTTTTCTAGGCTTTTTAGTTTGTATGCATAGAGGTGTTCATAATAGCCTCTGAGTGTTTTTTGTATTTTTGTGGGGTTGGTGATAATGTCTTCTTTGTCATTTCAGAGTGTGTTTATTTGTATTGTCTCCTTTTTTTCTTTATTAATCTAGTAGCAGTCTATCAATCTTATTTATTCTTTCAAAAAAACAACTTTCGGTTTCATTTATCTTTTGTATGGATTTTTGTGTTTCAGTTTCATTTGGTTCATATCTGATTTTGGTTATTTCTTGTATTCTGCTAGATTTGGGATTGGTTTGCTCTTGTTTTTCTAGTTCCTCTTGGTGTGGTGTTAGGTTATTTGAAATCTTTCTGACTTTTTGATATAGGTGTTTAGTACTAGTAACTTCCCTCTTAACACTGCTTTAGCTGTGGCCCAGAGATTTTGGTATGTTGTATCTTTGTTTTCATTAGTTTCAAAGGAGTTTTTGATTACTGACCTTATTTCATTCTTTACCCAAAAGTCATTCAGGAGCAGGTTGTTTAATTTCCATGTAATTGTATGGTTTTGAGAGATCTTCTTGGTATTGATTTATATTTGTACTGCACTGTGGTCTGAGATGGTGGTTGGTATCATTTTGGGTTTTTTGAATTTGTCGAGAATTGCTTTGTGACTGAGCATATGGTTGATCTTAGAGAATGTGCTGTGTGTGGATGAGAGGAAGGTATATTCTTTTGTTTTTGGGTAGAGTGTTCTGTAAATATCTGTTAAGTCCATTTGGTCAAGCATCAAGTTTAGGTCCTGAATATCTTTGTTAGTTTTCTTCCTTATTGATCTAACACTGTCAGTGGGATGTTGTACTCTCCCACTATTATTATGTGGTTATCTAAGTCTCTTCATATGCCTCTAAGAACTTGTTTTTATGAATCTGGGTTCTCCATTGTTGGTGCACATATATTTAAGATAGTTAAGTCTTATTTTTGAATTGAATCCTTTATCATTATGTAATGCTTTTCTTTGTCCTTTTTGATCATTGTTGGTCTAAAGCTCATTTTGTTTGAAATAAGAATGACAACCTTTGCTCTCTTTTGTTTTGCATTTGCTTGATAGATCTTTCTCCATTCCTTTACTTTGTGCCTATGGGTGCCATTGCATGTGAGATGGGATTCTTGAAGACAGGATACAGTTGGGTCTTGATTCTTTATCCAACTTGCCACTCTGTGCCTTTTAAGTGGAGCATTTAGCCCGTTTACATTCTAGGTTAATATTGGTATGTGAGGATTTGATCCTATCAGTGAGTTGTTACGTTAACTGGTTGTTATGTGGACTTGATGGTATAGTTACTTTACAGTGTCAGTGGGCTAAGTAAGCACTACAGTTTGTGTTTTTGTGGTGGCAGGTAGCAGCTTTTTGTTTACATGTTTAGCATTCCCTTAAGAACCTCTTGAAAGGCAAGTCTCATGGTAACAAATTCTCTTAGCATTTGCTTATCTGAAAAGGATTTTATTTCTACTTCACTTATTCAGCTTAGTTTGGCTGAATATTTAATTCTCGTTTGAAATTTCTGTTCTTTGAGGATGCTGAATATAGGCCCCCAATCTCTTCTGGCTTGTAAGATTTCTGCTGAAAGCTCTGCTGTTAGCCTGATGGGGTTCCCTTTGTACGTGATCTGCCTCTTCTCTCTAGCGGCCTTTAATATTTTTATTTCACATTGACCTTGGAGATTCTGAAGACTATGTGTCTTGGGGATGGTAGTCTTATGTAGTATCTCGCAGAATTTCTCTGAATTTCCTGAACTTGCATGTTGACTTTTCCAGCAAGGTTGGGGAAATTTTCATGGACAATATCCTCAAATATATTTTCCAAGTTGCTTGCCCTCTCTCCCCCTCTCTCTTTCTAGGTTGCCAGAGAGTCATAGGTTTGTTCCTTTACATAATCTCGTATTTCTCAGCCATTTTGTTCATTTTTTAAAATTCTTTTTTCTTTTCTTTCTTTTCCTTTTTTTTTTTTTTTGAGACAGAGTCTCACTCTGTCATCTAGGCTGGAGTGTAGTGGTGCAATCACAGATCACTGCATCCTTGAGCACCTGAGCTAAAGCAGTCCTCCCACTTCAGCCTCCTGTATAGCTGGGACTACAGGTGCATACCATTATACCTGGCAGATTTTTTTTTTATTATTTATAGTTCTCACTATGTTGTCTGGATAGGTCTTGAACTCCTGGGCTCGAACCATCCTCTTGCCTCAGCCTCTCAAAGTGCTGGGATTACAGAGATGAGCCACTGTGCCTGGCCTCTTTTTTCTTTATTTTTGTCTGACTGAGTTGATTCACAGAACCAGTCTTTGAGCTCTGATATTCTTTCCTCAGCTTGGTCTATTCTCTTGTTAATACTTCTGATTGTATTATGAAATTCTTATAGTGAGTTTTTCAGCTCTGGAAGATCAGTTTGGTTCTTTCCTAAAATGACTATTACATCTTTCAGCTCTTGTATCATTTTATGGGATTCCTTAGATTCAGCTTTCTCCTGAATCTCAATGATCTTCATTGCCATCCAGAATCTAAATTATTTGTTTGTCATTTCAGCTATCTCTGTCTGGTTAACAACCATTACTGGGGAGCTAGTGTGTCATTTAGAGGTAAGAAGACACTCTTGCTTTTAGAATTGCCAGAGTTGTTTCACTGTTTCTCATCTGTATGAGTCAATGTTCCTTTAATCTTTGAAGTTGTTGTCCTTTGGATGCGGTTTTTTGCTTTCATATTCTTTGATTCCCTTGAGGATTTGACTGTGGTAAAAGTTGGGTTTAGTCAATTGGCCTCATTTCTGGATGATTTCAGGGGTCCAATGCTCAGCTCAGCACTCCTGGACTTCATGTTCTAAGCCTCGAGGGATGAGACCAGGCCTGCAGTTATTTTCTCTGGCCCCTTGAGGTTAAGCATCTGCTGTGCTGGCGGGGCCAAGATATTCCCAGTCTGCTGGCAACAACACTGCTGTGAAGCATGCCAGCAAAAATGATTTAGCAAGGAGGTGGTGAGCAGCAGGGGGTTCCTGCACATGCCCACCATTGGCAGTGGTCAACAGAGGTTTCTGCACACGTGTGCATGCCTGCGGCAGTATATCAACCACTTTAAAGCTGGATTATTTGTCTTACTAGAGTTTTGAGTAGTTTTTTGTATTCTATATAAAAGTCCCCATCTGATAAATTTTCTCCCATTCTGTGGGTGTTTTTTTTTTTCACTTTCTTCTTGGTGAGAAGCACAACATTTTAAAGGACAAAATTTTTTAATTCTGGGGAAGTACAATTTATCTGTTGTTTTCTTTTAGTTATCTTTTAGTCTTATTGCTAAAAAACTGACAAACTCAAAGTCAGAAAGATTTACTCCTATTTTTTGTTTAAAAGTTTTATAGTTTAAACTTTTACATTTAGGTCTTTGATCTATTTTGCATTCCTTTTGTGCACAGTGCAGAGGTCTAACTTAATCCTTTTCCAAGTGGATATCCAGTAGTCACAGCACCAATTGCTGAAAAGGCTATACTTTCCCTCATGTAACTGTCTTAGCACCCTTTTCAAAAATTAATTAACAATAAAAGTGAGAGTTCATTTTTGGACCTCATTTTCATTCCATTGATCAATATAGCCATCTTTATGCCAGTACCATGCTATCTTGATTACTGTCGTAATAAATATAAAGTAAGTACTGAGTACACTTTGTAGTAAGTTTTGAAGTTGGGAAATGTGGGTCCTCCAACCTTATTCTTTTCTAAGATTGTTTTAGCTATTCTGATTTCCTTATATTTCCATAAGGATTTTAGGGTCAGCTTTTCAATTTCTGCAAAAAGCCAGCTAGCAGTTTGATAGGGATTGCACTGAATCTGTAGGTCAATTTGGGGAGTATTGACAAGAATATTAAATCTTCCAATTCATGAATGTAAATGTCTTTCCACTTATGGAGGCTTTCCTTAAAATTTCCGTGTACAAATCTTGCACTATTTTGTTAAATTTATTTCTAAGTATTTTATTCATTTTGAGGGTATTGCAAATTGAATTGTTTTTAAAATTTTATTTTCAAATTGTTACTTTTCTACAGAAATACAATTGATTTTTTATATTATTTGTGTATCATGGACTCTTGTTTAATTTGATTATTGGTTCTGATAGTTTCTAATAGATTCTGTAAAATTTTTTAAGTGCAAAAAAAATCATGTCAACTGCAAATAGAGTAGTTTTATTTCCTTGTCTCCAATCTGGAAGTCTTTTTCTCTTACTTGCATAATTGTTCTAGCTAGAACTTCCTACACAGTATTGAATAAAAGTGGCAAGAATGGATGCCCTTGTCTTGTTCCTAATCTTAAAGGGAAAGAAAACATGCTGGTGTTCACCATTAAACCTAATGTAAGTTGCAGGTTTTTCATACATGATCTTCATGATCTTTGTCAGGTTGAGAAAGTTTCTTTCTTTTCCTGGTTGGGATTTTCTCAAATGCTTTTTCTGCACCTATTATTTTGTCCTTTATTTTAATAGTATGTTGTATTATATTGATTCATTTTTGTATGTTGAACCAATCTTACATTCCTGAGATAAATCACATTTGGTAATGGTGTATGATCCTTTTTCTACGCTGCTAGATTCTTACCAATATTTAGTTGATTTTGTTGATTATTTCCTCATTTGCTGTATGTACTAATACAATTTCCATGGACTTTACATTTTTGTGTTTTACAATTTTCACTGGTTAAATTGTTGTTTTACTGAAAAGAGAGTCGGCCAAGCTCCTTATTCTGTCATTCTGAAAGATTCCATTTCATTCTTTCTTATTGTTATACAGTATCCAATTGCATGATGTTCTAAAACTTATGTGTTCAACTTTTATGGATAGTTGGTTTGTTTCCAGTTATTTTGGTTACTATGAATTCTGCTTATGTCTCCTGAAACAAATATGCAAGAGTTCTATACTGTATAAATATACACACATGTCAGTTATGGTATATGTACATCTTCAATTTTATCGGATAATGTCAGATTATCCAATGGTAAGTGCTTATAGAGTTCATGCTATTACTTATCTTCCCAACACTGCATATTGTCAGACTTCTTAGGTTTTACCAATATGGTGGGTGTGAAATGTTATCCTGTTGTAATTTTAAGTTTTATATACTTGAATACTACTGAGGTTAAGCATTTATTTATACCATTTTATTAGCATTAATGCCTTTGCTTCTGTTTATGTATCTAAACACACACACACACCCACACAGACATACAATCTTTCCATTGGATTATTTGAATTTACTGATTTGAAGTTATATTTTCTAGACAACAAATCTTTATTGAATATATGTATTAAAAATATAAATATTTTGTCCTCATTTGTTATTTGTCTTTTCATTTTCTTTGTGTGTGTGTGTGTGTGTGTGTGTGTGTGTGTGTGTGTGTGTGTTTCTTTTCTTGTTATATTTTGTTTTATTTTAAGTTCTGGGGTACATATGCAGGATATGCAGGTTTGTTACATAGGTAAACATGTACCATGGTGATTTGCTGCACAGACCAACCCATCACCTGAGTATTCACCCCAGCATGCATTAGCTATTTTTCCTGATGGTCTCCATCCCCCTGCCCCATGCTTTGTGTGTTTTTTAATCAAAAGTAAATCTCAACTTAAATGTATTTTAATTTATCAAGACTTTCCTTTGTGGTTTCCATTCTGAAGGTTTTATTTAGGAAATCCTTTCTTACACTGAAGGTTTTATTCTGAAGGTTTTATTTAAGAAATCCTTTCTTACACCATAGTCACCAATATATATTTGTACCTTTGCTTCTACTAATATAAGCTTTAAAATTTGGGCTTTCGCAAGAAAATTCTTAAGCCACCTAGAATTAATTTTTGGATATGATGTGAGTTAGAAATTTTATTTCTTTTTGTTTGTTTGTTTTGTGTTTCTTCTTTTAGATAAGAAATTTTCTCAGTACAATGTATTGAATAGTCGTTTTTTAACCCACTGATCTACAATACCAGTTTTGTCATATCACGAGATTACATATATACCTAGATCTGTTTCTATACCCTTTATCATACTGGTCTATGTGCTGGTTAATACTGTCAACTTTATTGGATTGAAAGATACAAAGTATTGATCCTGCGTGTGTCTGTGAGGGTGTTACCAAAGGAGATTAACATTTAAGTCAATGGGCTAAGAAAGGCAGACCCACCCTTAATCTGGTTGGGCACAATCTAATCAGCTGCCAGCGAGGCTAGAATATAAGCAGGCAGAAAAATGTGAAAAGAGAGACTGGCCTAGCCTCCCAGCCTACATCTTTCTCCCGTGCTGGATGCTTCCTGCCCTCAAATATCAGACTCAAAGTTCCTCAGTTTTGAAACTTGGACTGGCTCTTCTTGTTGCTCAGCCTGCAGACAACCTATTGTGAGACCTTGTGATCATGTGAGTTAATACTTAGTAAACTCCCCTTTTTATATATATGTATTTCCCATTAGTTCTGTGCCTCTAGAGAAACCTGACTAATATAGTCTATTTGTCTCTTCTTGAACCAGTATGACACTGTATTACTTATAACTCTGTAACAAAGTCTTGATAATCTAGTAAGATAAGTGTCTCTGTCTGATTCTTCTTCAAAATGGTTTTGTCTATTCTTGATCCTATAAGATTTTATAAATTATAAAATCACACTGCAAGTTCCAAAAATTTTTTTTTTAATTTTTATTGGAATTACATTAAATTTCTATATTGAGTTTGGGATGATTGAACCTTCCTTTGCATGAATATGATATTTCTCTCCGTTTATGTAATTTTTAAGTACAATATAATACAATTTTTTATTTTATTTTTCAGCTTTTGGAAATGTTTTGATTAAGTTTATTCATAAGTACTTTGTGGGGTTTTTTTTGGTTCTTTTTCTAAGTTGTACCTTTTTTAGTTCATTTTCTAATTGTTGTTAAAGGCACTTAGGAATGACATTGATTTTACACATAGCTCTTCTACCTGTCAATCTTGCTAAACTTCTTTCTTGATTCTACAAATCAGTCGGTTTTGGTTTTCTATGTAAACAATGATACCATTTGGACTTAATCACAGTTTTTCTTCTTTTACATCCTTATGAATTATTTTTCTTCTTTTAATGTGGTCATATTGACCAGAAGTGGTGATAGTGGTCATTTCTCCTTTGTTCTTGACTTTAAGGCAAATTCTTTAAACTTTTCATCATCAAGAATGATCTTTGCTGTGAAATATTTGTAGCTACTTTTATCAATTTAGAAATTTCCTCTCTGTTTCTAGTTTTCTACCATGTGAATATTAGCAAATGGTAAAATCAGCATGCTCAGATGGTTTTTTTCCTTTAATCTGTCAATGTGGTGAAGTAAATAAATTTTATAACATTAAACCAAACATATATTTCTTATGTAAAACCAGCTCAGTCCTTATTTATTATCACTTGTTGATGTTTCTGGATTTTATTTATTAGTATTTTGATTGCATCTACATTCATAGATATGATTGGCCTATGATTTTATTTCTTGTATTGTCCTTGTATCTGGGTATTATATTACAGTTATATCAACTTCATAAAATGAGTTAGAGAATTCCCTATATTTTCTGTTCTCTGGAAGCATTTATGAATATTTGGAATTACAATGTTTGTTAGAACTTGCCAGTATAACTTGCTAGGAAGCCTTTAAATTTTTGATTCTGTTCTTTTAATGATCAGAACATATTTGCATTTTATATTTAATTTTGATACTTTCTTGAAGATATATTTTCCCAAAATTTGTTCATTAGGCCAAAATTTTAAAACTTTATTTATATAAAATAGGACACTATTTTATTAAACTATTTTTTACTATTTTTTATTTTTTAAAGTTCTGTTTCCTATGTATTTGTGACCCTTTTAATTTCTCTTATTATTTCTTACTCCATTTTTTTCTTTATTACTCTCATTAGAGTCAATCTTATTGCACTTTTCAAATTTTTTTTTTTTCTGAGGCAGAGTCTCACTCTGTCACCCAGGCTAGAGTGCAGTGGCACAATCTCAGTTTACTGCAGCCTCTGCCTCCAGGGTTCCAGAGATTCTCCTGCCTCAACCTCCCTAATAGCTGGGATTACAGTCATGTACCACCACACCTGGCTAATTTTTGTATTATTGTAGAGACGGAGTTTCACCATGTTGGCCAGGCTGGTCTCAAACTCTTGACCTCGTGATCCGTCCACCTCAGAATCCCAAAGTGCTGGAATTACAAGATCTGTTATTTTTAACAGTCTATTAACTCTCTTGATCCTCTCTATTCCATCTTCCCTAATTCATTAATTTATGTTCATATTTATTATCTTCCCTAGTCTACTTTTTTTGGTTTTATTGCTCTTACTTCCCAAGTTGAATACTTGGCTCATTAATTTTTGGCCTTTCTTGTTTTCTAATATAAGGCTACATATTTCTACATATTTCTAAGTTCCACTTTATTAGCATTTTTCAAATTTCAAATTATTTACTAGAAGTATCTTCAATATCACTCAATTTTAATTATGTTTTAAGTTTCATCATGGTTTTTTTTTAAGTTTTTTGTTTCTAATTACAAGAAGATTTTTAAAGTTATCTTTATTTGTACTGGAATTCTTTGGGGTTCAGATAAAGCTATGTTTCTAATTACTCACCAAGGATCACCTTGTAGGAAATCCATTTCCTTTTCACTTGAAAACCTCTGGTCTCCCTGAGAGCTGCTTTCTATAAGTTTTCCTAACAGTCACAGGTCATATAGAAATCTGTCTCTAATCCTGGCTTCTCTCTTTTTTTTTTCTTTTCTGTTCCTTCCTATCTTAGTTTTCTGCTGCTATAACAGAACACCACAGACTAGGTACCTTATAAAGAATAGAAGTTTATTTGGCTCATCATTCTGGAGGCTGCAAAGTCCAAGAGCATGGTGCTGGCATCTGTCAAGCGTCACCCTATGGTGAGAGGCATCATATGACAAAGAAGCACATGCAAGAGAGACAGAGAGAGAGAAACTGGGGACCAAACTTATCTTTTTATCAGAAGCTCACTTCTGAGATAACTAACCCACTTCCAAGATGACAACATGGATCCTTTTACGAGGGTGTAGCCCTTATGACCTAATCACCCCTTAAAGGTCCCACCTCTTAATATCATTGCACTGGGGAACTAAGTTTCCAACCCATGAACTTTGGGGGAACACACTCAAACCATAGGAAATTCCCATGTTCCTCTTGAGAGCATCTGTAACCTAATGTCTTAAGGTCTTCACAGGTGTGTGTGTCTTTTTCACTATCTCTTAGCTTTCCCCTACTGCCATTCAGAGTCAAAGGCAATGCCAGAAAGCTCCCAGAAATCCCTGCACTTAGTCCTGATGCTCTTTGACCTTTCTTATGTGACGAGTTGCACCTCCAATCTTTTTATGCTTTGAAACCTTTTTCATCCAGTTAGTTGTGTTTTTGTCCATTCCACTGTCATGGCTTCCTATCTTGGGTCCTGATTCACTCAACTTCTCCAACTTCCTTCATGTTAGTTTCATATATAATTAGAAATGCCACCCCAAAACACCAAAACACACAAATACACACACTCATACTTTGCAATTTAGCCTAGTTTCCATGAGTACCACTGGCCATATGCTTTCTATGTTTCCTTCCTAAGCCTGAGTCTTATGTTTCTATGGTTTGTTCCTTGTAATTTTCCTCACCCACATTCTTTTATTCCCTATACTTTTCCTTTATTTATATTTCTTATTCTGTATAGAAATGAAATGTTACAGTTTTTAAAATTTTTTTAAATGTGGGTACATAGGAGGTGTATATATTTACGGGGTACATGAGATGTTTTGATAAAAGCATGCAATGTCAAATAAGCACACCATGGGGAATGGGGTGTCCATCCCCTCAAACATTTATCCTTTCAATTACAAATAATCCAATTATATTCTTTAAGTTATTTTGAAATGTACAATTAAGTTATTATTGACTATAGTCACCATATTGTGCTATCAAAAAGCAGGTCTTATTCATCTTTCTAATTTGTTTGTACTCATTAACCGTCCTCACCTCCCCCCAGCCCCCTACTACCCTTCCCAGCCTCTAGTAACCATTCTTCTACTCTCTATGTTCATGAGTTCAATTGTTTTGATTTTTTAGCTCATAAATAAGTAAGAACATGCAATGTTTGTTTTTCTGTGCCTGGCTTATTTCACTTAACATTGTCATCTCCAGTTCCATCCATGTTGTTGCAAATGACAGGACCTCGTTCCTTTTTATGGGTGAATATTACTTCATTGTTCAGAGGTACCACATTTTCTTTATCCGTTCTTTTGTTGGTGGACACTTAGGTTGTTTCCAAGTGTTGTTTATTGTCAATAGTGTTGCAACGAACATGGAAGTGCAGATATCTCGTCAATGTACTGATTACGTTTCTTTTGGGTATATACCCAGTAGTGGGATTGCTGGATCATATAGTAGCTCTATATTTAGTTTTTTGAGGAACCTTCAAACTGTTCACCATAGTGGTTGTAAATGCTACAGTTTTAATTCTTAATGGCAGTTCTTACTATTAGTATGTACCAGGTACTACTCTTAGCTCTTTACAACTATCACCTCAGTTAATAGTCCTGCCTCAGGGATAGGAAATATTACTACCATCCCATTTTATAACTGTAGCAACTGAAGCAAGGGAGAATGAACAAATTGTCCAAGGGAAACAGCTAGTTAAATGGTGGCACTGAGATTTAAACCCAAACCCAAGTAATCTGGTTCTAATAATCCTCTTGAAGGCTACTCCATGGTGCCCTTGTGAAGCCCTCTCTTGCCATTACTCAGAATTGCTCTCTTCCTCCTCTGAGCTCCCACTGAACCTTACTGTCTTGCTACCAGGTGCGGAAGGGAGACTTTCTTATAAGTTAGTTCAGTGTATGTCTCTTATGCAAGGTAATGTGGTCCTCAAGGGCAGAGATTGTTCTACACCCATTCTCAGAACCAACTCTCAGGTTGTGCACAGTATAACCATTCAACAAGTGCTTATTGAATAAATGAAGACCTTTAATTATGAGGTCACTCAGAAGGCCGCAACAGTACAAGAGAAAAAGAGAGAATTTTGATTTGGAAAAACCAAGTTAGAATTCAAGTATTTGATAGTTATATAACCTTGCATAAGTCACCTTATCTTCATCCTCTCAATTCTCTTAAGAAAAAATAGAAATAATGTCATCTAATTCATGCAATCTAAGTGTTTGGTTTCATATGTATTTTACATGAATTGTTACACAATCCCCCAGTCTTTCCTTTTCCTAAACCATAGGTCCGTGAGCCATTCTAACAATCCTTTGTTAACTCTGCAAAGCCCTCTCCTATTGGAACAAACTTAGATTCACTTCTTCCCTGCATTCTATAATAACTCCATTATATGGGCTGTAAGTTTTTAAGCATGCCAGGAGCAGCAATGTTTCTATATTGAACATTGTAGTGCTAGATTGTGCTACTGTCACCTTGGTTACATTAGGAACTAGGATTTCTTTCTCCCTTGGTAGCTGATTAGAGCTGACCAAAGGAGAAACTTGCATGATATTTGAGAGACAATGTGAAGCAACTATCATTACTCTGAGAAAACCTTTTTCAAAACCAGGCACTATCATGGAAAGATGCAGAAATGCCTAGCAGTTCCTATCTTGCCTCAAGTTTCCTGTGCTCAACATCCAGTTGTTTCCTTGAATGCTGGCTATGCTAATGAATAGCAGACCAGACCCACCCCAGACGCTCAATATAGAGGCAACATAGATCCCTTAACAGACTATCTTTAGTATTAGAATACACTCAGTTTCTTGGATTTCCCTGCAAGCACCCACTTGTCCACACATGCCAATCTCCTGATAACTGGATAGTAGCTCAGTCTCTAATATTCCAACTGCCCCTTTCCAGATCTTTGCTTCCCCAGCTCCTCCCACATTTGTACAAGGTCAAGATATACATGCACTGTGTCTAGTTTGGGGTGCGTGTGTGTGTGTGTATGTGTGTGTGTGTGTATGTATGTAGTGCCTGGCATAGAGGAGATCCCCAATAAATGTTTGTTAAATGAATGAATGTGAATGTACTTACTGATTTAATTCCCTTATGTGATATTTTCTGTTTCATTTTATTTTTAGAACTCACTACATAATATACTGCATGCTACATAATATGCTGCATGACCTTCTGGCAGGAGTAGATAACCATAACTGACTTATTCCTCTGTAAGACTGTTGGACCTCTAAGATGAGAGACTGCAAGCGCACAGGGAGGCGAGGCTATGTGTTTGAGGCCAACCTGGTCAACACTGACCAAAAAAAAAAAAAAAAAAATGAGCCAAAATTGCACCACAGCACTCCAGCCTGGGCAGCAGAGTGAGACTCCATCTCAAAAAAAAAAAAAAAAAAAAAAAAAAAAACTCCATTAAATAATTTAGAGTACTAAATTAGTATTTGTTACTTTTCAAAATGGCACACAGATGAACCAGAAATGATGAATTTTGATAACAAAGGGACAAAAGGGACAAGCAAACATAGCTTGGAGACTTTTACGTGACACACTTAAGCCCCATGAAAAGACAGCTAAATTCTATAAATTCAAATAAAAACATGGGGTGAATCAGACCTTGGAAAAATGATCACTCCGTAAAGCTAAATGTAGGATATGGTTAAGCCAAGCAGCCACATCATAAAAAGATTCTCCTCTATTTATAATTTTTTGAACAATCTGGAAATAAAATTTCTGTGCGTTTATGTCCTAAGAGTCAAATCATGTCCCCTTTTTCTTATGTTGTTTTTCTACCAATGAATAACTTGGAAGAAAAAAAATCTATGGTAGGAGAATTTGATACACTGATTATCAATTATACATGTTATAAATTTTTTCAAACTCTATACTAAGACTTTGCTATAGTCTTTCCTTTTTCTCTCTTTTTTTGTCTAACTGCAAGGGTACCCACCCAGATGTTTGATCCCTGAACAAGTGTGACCTGCTCAGGAGGTACACTTAATTAAATGAGGACTTAACAGGAGCACTGGTGTGTGACTTTTCTTTTTGAACTACATAGAGAAAGAAAGCCAAAATCCATGATAATGTGACATTTAAGTTGCAAATTCATACTGGAAAAAAAATGAGGAAATGCAAAAGTTATGGTTGTCATAGTAATTCTAGCTAAATCGCAGTATGCATAGTGTACTCCCTAAGACTCATTTACATTATAAAATCACATATGACATATTATATTATGTATTTTAATGTTACATGGTACATGATTCCTACTAACATATGCATTTATATGAACACAAAATCAGCTCTTTTTTCATTTATACATTTTGCTGTATTTCACATGTAAAAAGCTGACTGTAAAGAATTTCCCTAAATCCGTACTAAAATTTTAAATTCTGAGTATAGTTTATTTACTATGTCTTCCTTCCTCTTTACCAGAACATGGTGTTTGCAGTAATGCATTCAAAGAGATATGAGATGGTCGCATTTCACTCCATCAGTACTCACATCAAAGCCTCTGAATGGGAGATGAAACATTTAAAAAAATGTAGAATGCTGGATTCTGTAATCCCAGTTCACTTTTTTTTTTGTAATTTCTACATACCACATTATACATTCTATCCCAGGTAGTTAAGGTCCCAGCAAGCCTAGAAATTCTGTGATTCTGTGATTCTCCCAAGTTACAGACTTTTTTCTCAAAAAATACCTACCACTTCTCCAATAGTTATCCCACTATTTCCCTGATGAATGCTTTTGAAATCTCATTTAATTTTGTAAGACAAAATTGAAACATCCCTCAGGCAACAAATAATAGCATGCACATTATATGTTTTTTTCCTCCACTAAAAGTTATGTTTTTCTTAGGGCAAAACTTGATAGAAAAACCAAGATTTTTATGAATAACTTGAAGGCAAATTATTATAGCTCACACTTTCATAGCTTCAAAGCATCTCAAAGAAAGTATATACTATTTTTGGTATATTCTATCAAACAAATCTAAGTGAGAGAAAGGATTTTTCAATTTCTCTGTTACTTTTAAGCATCACCCCAATTAAACATTCCCCTCTTCTAAAGGGAGATAGCATTGGAGTGCTCTTAGCTTAAGCCAAACCCAGCCAGCCTGCAGTTGACATTGGCGTCCGCTCATTCACGTCACTTACCTTGGTGTATTGTAGTCCTGTGTTTACTTATCTGTCTGCCATGGAGAACTCAGAATTCAGGCCTTATCCTGTTCCTTATTGTGTACATCATTGTACCCTAGTCAGTTCACAAAGTGTACCACCACATAGGAAGCACACAGAGATATATTTGGGGAATGAGTTAATGAATTATGACTTACTAAAACTGTCTCTCCAGTATGGATGCTATTATTATTAAGTTTATAGTACATGCTTAATAAATTTTTGGCAAAGAAAAGGGGGAAAGAAGGAGGGAAAAAAGCCTCTAGCTGCACTCTGAGTTGAGTAGATAAATTCTTTAAAATATCCAAGAAGAAGTACCGCTTTAAAGGAAATCACAGATAGCAGCAGCCAGTTTTTCTGTTTTAAGGATATTTGACAATGGTGTCTGAGATGCTAGTGCCTTATAGCAAAATATTCATGGAAAGAGTTAAATAGAAAGTTTGGGCTGGGTGCGGTGGCTCACGTCTGTAATCCCAGCACTTTGGGAGGCCGAGGCAGGTGGATCACTTGAGGTCAGAGTTCAAGACCAGCCTGACCAACATGGTGAAACCCCATCGCTAGTAAAAAAAAAAAAATACAAAATTAGCCAGGTGTGGTGGCACACACCTGTAATCCCAGCTACATGGGAGGCTGAGGCAGGAGAATTGCTTGAACTCAGGACTTGGAGGTTGCAGTGAGCCAAGATCACGCCATTGCACTCCAGCCTGGGCAACAAGAGCAAAACTTCCTCTCAAAAAAAGAAAAAAAAGTTTGCCTGTGCAATACTTTGTAAGTCTCAGCTCATATTTGGCCATTGAACCTGCTCCAATGTTGAGAACTGCCATGTCGTTGCAGCCAGGTGTTTGGCTGCATCAAGGCCATTTTGTTTTCCTCTGTCCCATGTCTTCTCCTAGTGACATTCCACAGATTGAAAGAGCATGACAGCAGAAACAACCATGAGTTATCATTGTCCAAAAGAGCCTTGGGCCAAAAGCCACCATTTCAATAAATGAGGAGTCTTCAAGTATTTGAAAATCAGAGGCTGGGCACAGTGGCTCACACCTGTAATCCTAGTGCTTTGGGAGGCTGAGGCGGGTGGATCATGGGTCAGGCGTTCAAGACCAGCCTGGCCAACATGGTGAAACCCCGTCTCTACTAAAAATACAAAAAATTAGCCAGGTGTTTTGACACACGCCTGTAGTTGCAGCTACTCGGGAGGCTGAGGCAGGAGAATTGCTTGAACACGGGAGGCGGAGGTTGCAATGAGCTGAGATTGTGCCACTGCACTCCAGCCTGGGTGACAGAGCAAGACTCTGTCTAAAAAAAAAAAAAAAGAGAATCAGGCGATAAGAACATATTAAGAAGGCAGTTTGCACTTGGTGGAGAGCCAGGGAGTCGATGTAGGAGGAGGAGATAGGTGGAGAGTTTATTTTTCTTCTTTTCAAAGGCATCCGTATCTAGTCTTTGCTTCATTCTAAGTTTCTTATAAACATTCACTAGTAATTATTGGATACTTCTTATATTCCACCATGGTTCTTAGTTCTTTACAAATGCTAACTCAGTAGATCCATGTGACATCATTACAAGTGTGCCAGACACTGCTATTTCCTTAGCCAATATCCCTTTTCCTCCTTTTTTCCACATAAATAAGAACTTCCTTTTGTTTGGGTGTGGCAATATGGTTAGCTAAATTATTGAAATGTCTAGCTTCCCTTTCATGGTCATGCGATGCAGTTCTATTCAATGAGAAGGAGGCAGAGGTTTTGGGAAGGGCTTGCATTACCAAACAATAGGGCAGAGCAGTCTAAGGAAAATATGTTATGCTTTATCTCTTTTCCTTTGTCTCTGATGTTGCCTGGAATATAAGTATCGGTAGGCATAGAAGCTGTCTTGAGACCATGAGAATAAAAGTCGCATATTGCTCCACACATTAAGGATAGTGACACAAAACTATTTTTTAAAGTCCGGAACATGGATGGTCTCCCAGGGCCATTGTTTCATCCCTGGACTGCCTACTCCTGACTTTTTGTTACCCTAGAAAAATAAACATTATTTGCACAAGCCACTGAACTCACATTTGTTACATGCAGCTAAACCTAAATCCTCACTGATCAAGGTAGATACATACCATTTAAACTCCTACCTTTCTAGTGAGAAAATAAGGCACAATGAGATTCGGTACACTGGCCAAGATCTCTCAGACAGGATGTGGAGGGCCTAGAATACGCGTCCAAGCCAATGGCTCTTAAACCCGTGCTTCCACCAGCCTCCTGTCTGAGCTTTCTCTCTCTCTCTCTCTCTCTCTCTCTCTCTCTCTCTCTCTCTCTCTCTCTCTCTCTCTCGACTCCTACAGATCCTCAGGGCTTTGGCTCATTTTTTCAAGCAGTCATCCCTGTTTCTTGGTTCTAACATAGAGAAAAACAAAGTAGTCATGACAGACTTTACAGCATTTAAAGTCTTAAGATTAGAGAAAACCATTTCAGAAAGAAATTATCTGTGATATTTCTAAGAAACACATGAAAGCTTTTAACAAAGTCTTAAACTAATAGCCTTGAGATCTATCTGCAATGGACTTGGGAGGAGTAAACTGAAAACGAGTGAAAACATCTTTCACGTCCAAGGGCTAAATCCCTGTTTCTCATTAAGACAATGTAGTTCTAAGGCCATGCCGGGAGAGCTGTGACTTAGTTGTCAATCTTCAACCATCACGCTCTCAATCTTTTCTCTCGTAGCAAAGCTTTAACTGGAGATGCGTATGTTCTACCTCTTGATATAAATTGTTTTAATTGCTTATTAAGGTTTAAAATGTACAACTGTGAAAGCAAGAAGAATGCAAATTTCCTGTCAGCATTCTTTCTTCCGAGAAAGCTCCCAGCAAGTTTAGCACCCATAGAGATTTAACTTTATCAAATGTAACATGGGAAGGGGAGAATAGCCAATATATCTAAGACCTGGAAATAGGCTTAATCCACCCACTGACCCTGGGAAGCATTCTAGAGAGTGGTCATTTGGCCATTTTAATAACAGTCTTGCAATGTAAATGCTCATCTATTGAAATAGAACATTTCTGAGCACTAGAATTAATTCTAAGTGAATCTGTCAGAAATACCTTAGAGTAACATTTCCAAAGGCTCTAATAGTCAAATTTAGGAAATATTATATTTTGAAGAAATTCACAATGTATATTAGTGTATTAAAGACTCTGAAAGTTTCTGCAACAAAGGGACCAGTTTGGAATCATTCGATACATTTAAATACACTTTGGGGAAATATTGTCCTACATGGAAATTGGAAATATCTTTACCTTACCAGGTTAATGCTTACATTTATACATTTATAATTTTCCCTGACTCTCACCCCAACTCATAAAGCCTTTAGATATGTAGGAATGTTGAGTCAATTACAGTCAGTCTTCATTTTTGGCAGATTTCATATTTGCAAATTTGCTAACTCACTAAAATGTATTTGTAATCCAAAAATCAATATTCAGAGTGCTTTTGTGCTCAGACAAGCACAGAGAGGCAAAAACTTTGTCACCCAACATGCATGTTCCCAGCTGGGGTTGAATGTTCTGCTGTGTTTCAACTCTCATACTGCAAATGAGTGTTCTTTTCTCCAAATAGCAAATGCCACATTTTTCACATTTTTGTGGTTTTTGTTGGTGATTTAGCTGTTCAAAATGTCCCCCAAACCTCCTAGTGCTAAAGTTCTGTCTGGTATTCCTAAGGGCAAGAAGGCTGTGATGTGTTTTACATAGAAAATATGTATGTTAGATTAGCTTCATTCAGGCATAAGTTATAGTACTATTGGCATATATAGATATACATATAGTATATTATGTATTTTAAAACATGTGTATATTTATATAAAATATATATGACAGTAGCATGGTAACTCATGATGGAATGCCCATATTTTATTAATATATAATATTAATGAATCAACTATATGTTCAATAAGCTGTCTTTAAACAGACACATTTAAAACAAGGCTATGTATTGTGTTGGTTGACAAAAATATGACTAGAGGCTCACAGGAACCTACGCTTGTATTTCCCCTAGGAGCAGGTGTTCAAGATTGGCAAATTCAGTGCTGATGATAACTTTATAGAACATAACTACTGTAAATAATGAGAACTGACTGTCTTGTGTTAATAAGTTTTAAATTTTCTTCAACACATAAGAACAAGGAACCAATAGGAAAACTTTATATGTGTCACTCTGTCTTCGGGAACTTATAATTTAAGAATAGCTGAATAGAATCAAAAGTATAACATTTACTGAGCACTCACTAAGTGCTAGGCACTGTTTTAAGTTCTTCACATGTATACATCATTAAATCCTTAGAATAACTTGTGGAGGGGAAACACTTTATCGTCTATATTTAACCTAAGGAAACTGAGACATAGAGAAGTTAAGCAACCTGATCATACTCGCACATGGTTTTTTCTTTTTTAAAAAAATGTTTAGAAACATCTGGTGAGTGTTAACGTTAGATCATCTGCTTTGTACAAGATAATGAGCTGTTTGCTCCCTATTTTCTGACCTACAAATGGCTACTGAGGATCCCTCTTGTAGACCCTTCCACTTTGGCTTCCTTGATTTTCTCCCCTCTATAACACCCTGAGTTAATTAATTAGGTCATTCACTACTCAACTCTCCTGAGTTTCTAAGACCTGTAGGATGAAGTTCAAGCTCTGGAAACTTATTTTTAATCTGATCATATTACACTAAACTCAACAACTCCCGGCAGTCAGGAGGCTAGAGAGGTAGTCTTGGAGTGAACAATTTGGACACCATGATAGGACACTATGCAGCCTTGTTGTTAGCTAGCTTTATGAGTGGATATGCCATTTCTCTCTGGTTCCTGTCTCAAACAGTTTGAGTGTTGGAACTGTATCTCATCCTTCAGGATAGTACTCTCCCCTTCTCTCATCTTCCTAGTACAGCTGAAACAGTATCTTGCACACAGCAGGTGTGCTAATGAGTAATTGTTTATTAAACAATACGGTGTATTCTAGGAAGAAGTAAAAAAAATAACAGCACATCTGAAACCACTATGGTACTTGTATACTTATACATAAATTTTATTCTATAAAATAGGTGAGTTCTGGGAGGAAAAAAAAGTGTATGTGGATTGATTGTTATAAATTTTCATTTCCAGTAAATAACTTTAAAATAAAGGAATTATAATTCTTGAGTAATGCACAATATTTTTGTGGTGGTAAAATTTGTTCCCACATCCCAGATCTGCTTTCTATGTATAATTTAACTTTCATGTGTATCCAGAACTCTAAGTTTTAAGACTGAAAATACTGTATGAAGCCTCTGTGGCCTGTGGGACAATATCAAGTAGTCTAATACACACTTCTACTTTGAGCCCCAGAAGGAGAAAAGGAGGCAAAAAGGTTATTTGAGGAAAGGGTTATTTGGGAAATTGTTAGGTAATTTCCCAAATTGGATGAAAACTAAACTCACAGATCCAAGAATGTCAATTAGTCTCTGGCAGAATAAGCACACACACACAAAAATTACTAGGGGTTATTAAAATCAAATTGCCGAAAACCAGTGATAAAGAGATTTGAATATCTCACTTTTAATTGCTGGCCTTCAGTATTTGTTCATCTGTAAAATGGGTAAAATTATCCACTTTGTTGGGGTTTTTTAATTATTAGAAGGCTAAGTAAGTAAAGCAAACAACATGTATTTAGGAAGGCCCCCATAACATAGCGATTCTCAACAAAGGTTTGGCAATCCAACAGCTTGGGTTCAAAGCTCAGCTCTGCCACTGAGCGATCTTTAGCGGTACACAAACTCTCTGTGCTTCTGTTTTCTCACTGGTAAAATGGAATTATATAACAATCCTACTAGTCGTGAGAGTTAAATGATGTGAGATGGTGGCTATAAAACGTAACAATACCAGAAAATAGCTGGTGTTCAATAAATGATAAAGCTACTATATCATTCATTAAGAAGCAAACCATGCTGTAGCACTATTGCGATGCCTTCACCAAGCTGTGCCTGTTGCATCCCAATGTGCCCGTTAGAACTGGTTCTCGGTTCCTTGGATAAATAAAGTGTTCTGCTTTGCTGAAGGAAAAAATCAAGGGAAGTGAACTTGTAAAATTAGGCAGAATCTAGTTTCCCTTAGGCTCTCTTGAAAGACAATCTATTTCTGCTACCAGCAAACTTTTTTAATAGAATAGTGTTTTCATAAGAAGCCCCCCCAAGAGTGTAGAAGAAACCTAGAAACTATTAAGTAATATTAATCCATAAATAAAAGAAGAAACAGTGCCCACTGGAACCTACAGCAATTAATTTTGACCCTGTCAGCTCTTGTGAGCTTCAGAATTGTAGGTTTGGTTTGAGTTCTCAGTTAGTATTCATCCATTAGGATAAAACGTCCCCATGTGAGCAAACAAACAGATCAAAGCATCCCTCCTTGCACAAGAAAAAATGACTACAAATTCACTTAGAGATCTGTCCATCATTCTGTTACCAAGCTCCATTTTGCTTTGTTGGACTTGGCATCTTAATAAGACTATTTTATCTTAAAAAAGACTAAAGTCGAATTTAGTAAGACCCTGTTTGAGGTGTCATTTTGGGTTGATATGATTTCATATCATCATAGGGCAAAAAGATTTGGATCAACATCTTGCTTCCTGCTGACTTTACTGACAGCACTAAGAATCTCATCTCAGAGGAGTGGATGTGAATGCACTTATTGACAACACGTAAATAAGAGAAGATTAGTGGTTTTGCTGGTGAAATAAAAACACCTTGACTTTCAAAAAGCCTGTTTGAAACTGACTGTTCATGACTGTATACAATTGACACTTGGAGTTATTCCATCTTCCCATAAAGTATAAGCAAACTGTCTTATCAAGATTCTTTTGGTTGCAAGTAATTGATAGAAACTCAAGTTTACTAAAGAAAAAAAATGCATTTATTAAAAACTTGCTGAATGTGGGAGAGACTGAACCTGTCAAGTAACTGCAACCAGAACTGGAAATTCAACAAGAATTCAGGCTGTCCTCTTTCTCCCTCTGTTTTTCTTCTCTGCTTCAGTTTATCTCGGTGTTCTTTGTTTTCTCTTTACTGACCAGTTTTCCACCTTTTCTTTGCACATGGCAGGCGTCTGACCTAGCTCCCCCCATTACATTCCACAGGCAGACATTAATAGGTTATCTCTGAATCCCAACTCCAAGCTACTAGGAGTAAAATCTCACACTCAACTCAGGTCAGATATACTCTGGTAGTCTAATAAGCATGTCAATGTGTAGACATAGTCTGGGGTGCAAGATTGTGTGACATGTTCATGAGATATCTGAGCTCCACTTCTGTGAGGAATGAAGGGGCTGTTCTCAGAGAAGGGAGATATTTAGTAGATACTCCCCAAAACATTATATATTTGTGCTTATTAATAACAGCTACAAAAGAAGATAATGTCTATGTCCAGCAAACAATTCAATTCTTATACTCCCCCAAAATCACCTTATGTGAGGAAGAGGCTGCCACAGACAACACTGTCCCAGCCTTAGAGAGACTGGGGGTAAACAGGTGACTTGAAAGAGGCCAGATCTGTGATCATTAAGAAAACACAGGCCAGGCGCGGTGGCTCACGCCTGTAATCCCAGAACTTTGGGAGGCCAAGGTGGGCGGATCACGAGGTCAGGAGATCGAGACTATCCTGGCTAACACGGTGAAACCCCATCTCTACTAAAAATACAGAAAAATTAGCTGGCCGTGGTGGCAGGCTCCTGTAGTCCCAGCTACTCGGGAGGCTGAGGCAGGAGAATGGCGTGAACCCGGGAGGCGGAGCTTGCAGTGAGCCGAGATCGCACCACTGCACTCCAGCCTGAGCGACAGAAAGAGACTCCGACTCAAAAAAATAAAAAATAAAAAAAAATAAATAAATAAGAAAACAACTTGAGGCTCTGGGTCTCCTATTCTTTTCAATGGTCAAAACAACAGTATTTTTACAAAAGTCTTTCTACGGTTAGTGGGAATTTGAGCTCAAACCTAAATATTAGCAAAGATAAAACTTTATGTAGAAGTTTGTACCTTTTATTTTTAAAGCATTACAACTTATAGCTAAGCTGAAGTCTGTTTAAAGTGTAATAAAACAAGCTATTCCTTTGAGATAATACCTTGGGAATACTCAAAGGAGTTGATAAAGCTGAAAGGCATTTTCACCTTGATGTGTTGACTTGATGGTAAATATAAACCTTCAGGATGTTGTATATTTCTTGTAATTTTTTTTATCATCTGCCTCTCCCTCATATTTTTATCCTGAACTCATTCAGAATAGACTGGCTCTTCACTTTCCTTGGAACTTCTCATTTTCCACAGCACCTATGAGGAATTCCCAGTCTATCGAATAAAGTAGATTTTAAAAATCATTTATGTAAAAAAAACCATACATTTTAGAGTTGTAGATTGAGATATATTGGGGTAAAATTGCATGATGTCTAAGGTTTGCCTTGAATACTTTAGCAAAAAAAAAGAAAAAAGTATTTATATAGCTAATATGGTCTAAATAATAGATATTTGGATGTGTATTGTACTATACTCTCTACTTTTGTAGACATTTTAAATACTTAATAATTCTAAGATAGTTTAACATTTTATTAATAAAAATGTGATGCCTAGTGTAGCTATTCTTCTCATGTTGGAAGCCCTCCTTCATAACCCTGGCCTTGTGTTGTTGAGCTTCTCTTTGAAAATCTAAGTCAGTCCATTCCATCTTGGGACAACTATGACTATTTTTTATGGTGTGAAAACTTATTTATTTCAGGCATCAATAACCCCATATTTATGCATCTTCTACCTGGAAGTCATTCAAATGTCTATTGGAAAAAAATGGTATAAGAATTACTGCTAGTTTTCTTTAATGAAATAATGAAATAATTATGTTTTTAAAATGTTCTTCTTAGAGAAGCATTTTTAATGTTCATCTCATTTCGAGTATTTAGATATAAAAGGATGTGATATCTGGGATTTGTTTTAAAATAATTCAAAAAAACTAATTTGGGGGGAAGATTAAAAATAAGAAGTTGATAATTGTTAAAATTGTAAAGGTGAACTGTCGGTTATTATATTGTTCTCACAACTTTTTTTTTGCTTTTTTTTTTTTGAGGCGGAATCTCGCTCTGTCGCCCAGGCTGGAGTGCAGTGGCACGATCTCGGCTCACTGCAAGCTCCGCCTCCCGGGTTCACGCCATTCTCCTGCCTCAGCCTCCCTGGGGTAGCTTGGACTACAGGCGCCCACCACCGCGCCCGGCTAATTTTTTGTGCTTTTAGTAGAGACCGGGTTTCACTGTGTTAGCCAGCATGGTCTCGATTTCCTGACCTCGTGATCCACCCGCCTTGGCCTCCCAAAGTGCTGGGATTAGAGGCGTGAGCCACCACGCCCAGCCTTTTTAAAATGATGTTCACCAAGAATTAAGGATGCTCTTTTTTTTTCTTCTTCTTTTTCTTTTTCTGAGACGGAGTCTTGCTCTGTCGCCCAGGCTGGAGTGCAGTGGCACGATCTCGGCTCACTGCAAGCTCCGCCTCCCGTGTTCACGCCATTCTCCTGCCTCAGCCTCCCGAGTAGCTGGGACCACAGGTGCCAGCCACCACGCCCGGCTAATTTTTTTGTATTTTTAGTAGAGACAGGGTTTCACCGTGTTAGCCAAGATGGTCTCGATCTCCTGACCTCGTGATCCGCCCGCCTCATCCTCCCAAAGTGCTGGGATTACAGGCATGAGCCACCGCGCCCAGCTGTTCTCACAAGTTTTGTGTATGTTTTAAAGTTTTTTTTCCACAAAATTATTCTTAAAAGGCTATATATGTTTTTGCATATATTTGCAAAGATTATATGAGACACGTGTTTCCAAAAATATGTTTTATAAATGCTTGCTATATGTTTATTTTAAATGAATATTTGATAATATTTTCCTTTATTTAGGTTCACACTCTCAGTAGTCATGTACTTTGTCATTATTTATTTCCCCATGGTCTCTGAGAGTACTCTGATATTCTGGCCCCTTGTGGGAGATGGCATTTCTATTCTGTCCCAAACTCAACCCTCCAACCACCTCACTGTACAAGATAGTAACTGTGGTCAAATATCCCTATTATATTCTAAATTGGTCACATGCAAAAGCTGTCAAACGGAAAATATTGAAGTGATGTCAGTAGAAATAGTGAAGTAAGATCCTCTGAAAATCCTTTCCTCCATAAAAGCAAAGAGAATAGTAGAAATAAATAGTCAAGATCAATTTTTAATAAATTTTTACATTAACTAAGGAGTTACAACCCTCTGGAGAGAATCTGTTCAAGAAAAACAGCCAAATATCAGTAAAACAACATGCTTTATGGCATTTTAACTTGTCCTATTTCCATTCTTTCTTCCACATTTTCACAGGAGATTTAAAAACCAACATTCTCAAAATTGTGGTGAAAACAAGCAGCCTAGCAGCCACTGAAGGTGAAAGAAAAGAGTTGAAGTTTCTCCAAAATCCTATTTACAGAGAATTGTCATTATTTAACCTGTCTAGCATTTTCCTGGCAAACCCATATGCATGGCTTGTCCTTATTTGACCTAACTCAGAGCTTTGCCAATTGGACAACGGAACAGACTTTTGCCGAGGGGTGCTTGTTAAAAAATAATAATAATAGGTGCAACTGTTTAATGCTGCATCTGCTTAAGGCAATGATAACAGTTGGGGAAAACAGCAACCTGACTTTAAAAAGTAAAATCAAAAGCTAGAGAAGGAGATGTCTATAAAGAGCTTTAAAAAACTCCCACATTTTCCTGGGACTCTAGAAGACCACACACGTGTCGAGTTGTGTGCGTGCCCAGAGCTGTGTGCATGCTTAGGGAAGATCTGCCAAGGCCTTAAGTATTCACCCAAGGCTGAACTTGAGGCTCTTGTCAGGCAGTAGGTGAAGGATAAGGCAGAGCAGTAAACTGCCTGAGTGTGGAAAGTGTGCCCCAACATACACACAGGACCCTTTAGCAATAACTGGGAGACTTACTGGTCTTATGCATTTAAGGAAATCTCTGTCCAGATAGCAGACCATTAAAGCAAATGAGCAAAAATATTAGTGGCCATAGGTACTAAATATAGACTTTACAGAATTATTTCAGAAAAGTCACTAAATAAACAGGGGCAATAGCAACAATAACAAAAAACCCTAAAGAGGTTGGATAATATGACTTTTAGAATTGCCACACTATATTGTTTAAAATGTCCAGTTTTAAATAACGAACTTAGAGACGTACAATAAATCAGAAATGATGGCACGTACAGACGGGGAACATCAGTCAATGAAAACTATCCTTAAGGCAGTCTAAAAGTTGGACCTACTAGACAAAGACATGAAACCAGCTATTTTAAATATGTACAAAGAATTGAAGGAAAATATGAACAAAAGACCAAAGGAAAATATGAAAAGGATAGCTTACCAAATAGAAAATATCAATAAAGTACCACTGAACTTGAAGGCAGAAAATGGAAATCATCCAGCCAAAGGAGCAAAAAGAATAAAAAAAGAGTGAAGATAATTTAAGAAATTTATGGGACCATCAAGCAAAACAATATATACATTATGGTAGTTCAAGAGGAAGAAGACAAAGAAGAGAAGAAAGCTCACTCAAAGAAATAATGCCTGAAAACTTCCTGGACCTAACGAAAGAAATGGTCACCCAGATACTGGAAGCCCAAAGGATACCAAATAAATTGAGCCCAAAGAAATCTACATAAAGACACATTATAATAAAGTTGTTAAAAGTTAAAAAATTTTGGAAGCAGCAAAAGCAGGCACCTGTCACAAACAAGGGAACCATTATAAGGCTATGAGTGGATTTTTCAGCAGCTACTTTGCAGGCAAGAAGAGAGTGAAATTATATATTTAGTGCTGAAAGAAAAAAAAACTGTCAACGAAGAAGGATATACCTGGCAATACTCTTCAAAAATGAAAGGGAGATAAAGACTTTCTCAAATAAAAACTTAGGAATTTCATCACCACTAGGTCTGCTTCACAAAAACTGCTGAATGTAGTTCTTCCATTTTAAACAAAAGGATGCTAAACTGCAACATGAGAGCATAAGAAAGTATGAAATTCATTTGTAAACATTAACTTTGTTTAACTTAAAGTCAACTGAGTTGGGACCTTAAATTAATTATGTCAGCAAAATCTCTTCATCTTTGCCATAACATAACCTAATATAACATCTTTCCCATAACATAACCTAATTATGGGAATAAAATCCCATCATATTCACAGCTCCTGCTCACAATCAGTAAGAGATTATATAGGGTGTATAAATTAGGTGCCAGAATCCTGGGGACAATCTTAAAATTCTGTCTACCCTGATCTGGCATAAGAGAAGTGCTGAGTATAAAGTACTTATTGTTATTATTAATGATATTACTGTTATTACTATTGTTATGACTAGTCCATGTTAAAATTTCTTCCCAACACTACTTGTGTGCTTTCAGTACTTGGTGCACTGGAGGGAATTGATAGTATATTATAACATTTAAAGAAGTAATTCAAGCAGAGGAGTAGCCTGTGTTCACAAAATGGAAAAAGAGGAAATTCCATCCGTATTACATAATTCAATAGAGTCATGTGTCATTTAGTGACAGAAATACTTTCTGAGAAAAGCATCGTTAGGCAATTTTGTTGTGCAGACACTCTATAGTGTACAGTATTTACAAAAACCTAGATGATGTATCATAATTCTATAAACCTAAGCCTATTGCTTCTAGACTAGAAACTTGTACAGCATGTTACTGTACTGAATACTGTAGGCAATTGTGACACAAATCACTAGATGAAAGAAAATTTTAAGCTTCGTTATAATCTCATGGGACAACCATGGTCTGGTCTATACTCTCCATCATTGACCAAAATGTTGTTATGCAGTGCATGACTGTAGTTGTGTTTTAGAGAAAACTGTGGAAAACTAATTATATATAACTGAAATTTTCCAGCTGACTTCTTATTTGAGCTGACGTAGTTAGGAAGGAAAAAATGTAGCCCTGGATGTAGTAAACTATCTGGGGCCCATACTAACCATTCTGTTTACAAACCAACCTTTTTAATGTAATATTGGTATGTTCTCTTTAGGATGTAGCAAAACAGGGGCAACAGAATATCATAAAGGCTTGGTTGGTGGCAGGAAAAGAAAACATTACAAAGATCCCCAAATTGTGTGTGTTTAAGGAGTGAATTCCTTAAATTCAGAATGCTGCACATGAAGCTATCCAAGACAGATGTTTTTTTAAGTGGAGGTGAAAGACAGCAACAATGCTTTTTGATCTTCTGAACTTCTCCACAAACCAGACAGAAGAACTAAACTAGAATAAAAAAATCAAAGAAAATATCCCCAACAAAATATTTCCAACAGAACTTAGTAACAAAATATTCCCACAATGATCAAACCAATTCAAGACAGCTACCTGACTTATGTAGTAACAATATCTGATGGGAGAAACCAGTGGGAAAGCCACTAATCTTTTCACAGTTTTGAAAGAGAGGAACCCAAAATCACAACAGATACTAATTAGAAAACTCAGCCCATTAAGTAACACGAGTTAAACAAAGAGTTTTCAAGGTTCCAATTTAACAATGGGTGTAAGGGAACTGCTACAAGACTAGTTCTAATGATGCTGGGGCAGTCTGGAATGTGTAAACCTTCAAAACTGACAAATTCGAATTCTTTTCCAAGACAGAGTTCCTACCATTGACATTTGTGGCTTTCTGCGCTGTGTGGAAGAAGCAATGTAAACTACAATTCAAGAATAGCCATCAGGAAGGGTAGGCTCTCTCTTGCTGAAAAAAAAAATGTTGGGAATAGTGTCCAAACTAAGCAGGATAGAAACAATAGAGCCAAAAATTGGAAGATCCAGATTAAAGTGGGAGTAGAGAATAGAGGGAGTAGATTTCAGGAAATCCACCGCCATAGTTATTATAAACTTTGTGAAAATAATAAAAGAACAAACTCTAGAGACATGAGGCTGTGAAAACTTCCCTGGACCACTTTTTTTTTCTAAAATAATGCAAAAGCTTATTTCATTTGAAAATGATTTTTAAAAAACAGATAATGGACAAGTCATATAAAAAGTTACTATAAGAAAAAAAGTGAATGATGAGAAAGAAGACATGTCTACAGACAAAGAAAGCACACCAGAAAGTGTGTTCACTACACATTTAAAAAACTGTAACGAAATATGTCCAATTGAAAAAGAGCAGGAAAGAGAGAGAGAGACAGACAGAGACAGATAGATAGACAGGCAGGCAGACAGACAGAAAGAGACAGTATTTTGAGAACATAACTCACGTAAGACCTGGAAAGAAACTCAGAATTCAGGTGATCCTAGAAAATGGAGATTTGAAAAGGAAGCTGGGAGAGTTAAGGAGAGAATTAAAAATGAATGAAAAAATTATTGTATAAATGTATAGTAGAAGAAATTTAATTTTGTATACATTAAATTTTACACAAGAAAATAATAGATAATTTTATTTAAAAATTATTGTAAGAGAAATGGAAATTGAGGAAGAAACAAAATGATTTAAATAGGAAATAAATTAAGAAATTAAAAATAAGGATTAATAAAGAAAATAATAGAGAAGATAGACAAAGAAGATCCAACTTAACTATAATAGCAACTTCCAAAGATAACTGAGGAAATGGGACAGAACAACTGCTTAAAATTATAGTTCAAGAAAACTTTATTGAAATAAAAGATTACTTGAAACTACATAGTAAATGGCCACACTACATGCCAGAGAACACCAGCCCCAAATACCAAATACCAGTACATATTCTAATAAAATTACAAGACTTTAAAGAAAAAGAGTAAATCCTTTGGGCACCAAGGAAAAGACAAAGTTCCATTTATAATGGAAAGAAAATCATATTGTTATCAGACCTTTTATACTTCTCAGACCCTTTATATAAGAAGATTAAAGAGTAGTACAGTTAAGATGTTCAAATTAAAAAATTAAGGTACAGCTTTTTATATCCAGTCAAACAAATTTTAAGATGTGAAGACATAGACCAGCTGCTGTGATCATGCAGAAATTCAGGAAATCTTGTCTAATGAGACCTTCCTAAGAAATCTTCTAGAGAACAAGCTTCAGCCTGAAAGACTGTTGACATAAGGATTAGTGACTCCTTCTCTGTGTGTAGAAAGGAAGCTGATACATGTATCAGTAATGTCTGTCAGGAGAGGAAGGCTCCCTGCTGCTTGGACTGTAGTTTTTCCCAGTTTTTTTCCAGATAATTACAAACCTTCAGAGAACTCCCCTATAATCCATCAACCCATTCTTGCAATGAATTGGAAAGAAGCAGGGATTGGCTCTCAAAATCTTAGTCTGTTCTTTAGAAGTTACTTCAGTAATAGTAAGGCTGGTATAACAAACTACACTAACTGGGTAGCTTATAAGTCACAGAAATTTATTTTCTGTTGGCAGCTGGGGAGTACAAGATCAAGATGTCAGCAGATTCAATGTCTGGTGAGGGCCCACTTTCTCATAGATGGCACCTTTTTGCTGTAGCCTTACATAGTGGAAGGGACAAGGCATCTCTCTTGGGCCTCTTTTATAAGGGCACTAATTCCATTCGTGAAAGCTCCACCCTCATGATCTCATCACCTCCCAAAGACCCAAGTCCTAATATTGTCACATTGGTGGTTAGGTTTTAACATATAAACTTTTGGGGGGTATAAAAACATTCAGACCATAGCACTTACAAAGTCACATTATTCCCTATTCTTTATTTATTTTAATGACTTCATTGCCGAAATTTACAAAACAATATGGAGCATTCGAAGTAACCATGTGCAGGCATCTGTATGTTAAATTGCCTTCTGCCATAATAAATGAAATAATTCTGAAATAGACTTAAACTATAACATGAAAATTTGCTAGATTTAAAAGATAAATGTGAATTATTTACCATTCAATAAATTTTAAAAATTATTTCTCTAATGGGCACATAATCCTTCTGCCCAATAAGCAATTTTGTCATTTAGAGTTTATACTTCAATATTTGAACCTTTGAGAGTTTCTAGTCTGAACATATCCTTCAAGAAAAAATATCCATATACAATGAAGAAAAAAAATCCACTTGGAAAGAATATTTATATGAAGATTAAGATATTCCCCATCTTGCAAAGTCTGTGGGAACTATTACTGAAGTAAGTTCTAAAGAAATGTGTTAAGGCTTAGGGTGCCCTATGTGCTGATAGAGATAGGCATCATTCATATTACTTGAGAATTCTTATTTCCATATACAGCAAGCCAAGGAAATGAACACAACTTTGATTGATTGTTCCAGGAAAAGAATGTGCAATAGGGTACAAGCACATTTTGTTGTGTTTTGTTTTTTTCTTTTTCTAAATAGAAAGCTTCTGAGAAAGCTACAATGAGAGAGAATTCTGGGATTTTCTTTTTTTTATTATAATTATTATACTTTAAGTTCTGGGATACAGGTACAGAACATGCAGATTTGTTACATAGATATACACGTGCCATGGTGGTTTGCTGCATCTATCAACCTGTCTTCTACATTAGGTATTTCTCCTAATGCTATCCCTCCACTATCCCCCAACCCCCGACAGACTGTGGTGTGTGATATTCCCCTCCCTGTGTCTATGTGTTCTCACAGTTCACCTCCCACTTATGAGTGAGAACATGCGGTGTTTGGTTTTGTGTTCCTGTGTTAGTTTACCAAGAATGATGGTTTCCAGCTTCATCCATGGCCCTGCAAAGAACATGAACTCATCCTTTTTTATGGCTGCATAGTATTCCATGGTGTGTATGTGCCACATTTTCTTTATCCAGTCTTTCATTGATAGGCATTTGGGTTGGTTCCAAGTCTTTGCTATTGTGAACAGTGCTGCAATAAACATACATGTGCATGTGTCTTTATAGTACAATGATTTATAATCCTCTGGGTATATACCCAGTAATAGGATTGCTGGGTCAAATGGTATTTCTAGTTCTAGGTCCTTGAGGAATTGCCACACTGTCTACCACACTGGTTGAACTTTTTTCGTATGTTTGTTGGCTGCATAAATGTCTTCTTTTGAGAAGTGTCTGTTCATTTCCTTTGCCCACTGTTTGATGGGGTTGTTTGTTCTTTTCTTGTAAATCTGTTTAAGTTCTTTGTAGATTCTGTATATTAGCCCTTTGTCAGATGGATAGATTGCAAAAATTTTCTCTCATTCTGTAGGTTGCTTGTTCACTCTGATGATAGTTTCTTTTGCCCCAACAGCCTTTATTAAATAGGGAATCATTTCCCCATTGGTTGCTTTTGTCAGGTTTATCAAAGATCAGATGGTTGCATATGTGTGGTGTTACTTCTGAGGCCTCTGTTCTGTTCCATTGGTCTATATATCTGTTGTGGTACCAGTACCCTGCTGTTTTGATTACTGTAGGCTTGTAGTATAGTTTGAAGTCAGGTAGCATGATGCCTCCAGCTTTGTTCTTTTTGCTTATAATTATCCTGGCTATATGGGCTCTTTTTTGGATCCATATGAAATTTAAAGTAGATTTTTCCAATTCTGTGAGAAAGTCAGTGGTAGCTTTATGGGGATAGCATTGAATCTATAAATTACTTTGGGCAGTATTGCCATTTTCATGATATTGATTCTTCCTATCCATGAGCATGGAATGTTCTTCCATTTCTTTGTGCCCTCTCTTATTTCCTTGAGCAGTGGTTTGTAGTTCTCCTTGAAGAGGTCCTTCACATCCCTTGTAAGTTGTATTCCTAGGTATTTTATTCTCTTTGTAGCAATTGTAAATGGAATTTCACTTATGATTTGGCTCTTTGTTGGTCTATTATTGGTGTACAGGAATGCTTGTAGTTTTTGCAACTGATTTTATATCCTGAGACTTTGCTGAAGTTGCCTATCAGCTTAAGGAGATTTTGACTGAGACAGTGGGGTTTTCTAAATATACAATCACGTCATCTGCAAACAGAGACAATTTGACTTCCTCTCTATTTGAATACCCTTTATTTCTTTATCTTCCCTGATTGCTCTGGCTTGAACATCCAATACTATGTTGAATAGGACTGGTGAGAGAGAGCATCCTTGTCTTGTGCCAGTTTTCAAAGGGAATGCTTCCAGTTTTTGCCCATTCGGTATGATATTGCCTGTGGGATTGTCATAAATAGCTCTTATTATTTGGAGATACATTCCATCAATACCTAGTTTATTGCGAGTTTTTAGCATGAAGGGGTGTTGAATTTTATTGAAGGCTTTTCTGCATTTATTGAGATAATCATGTGGTTTTTGTCATTGGTCCAGTTTATGTGATGGATTATGTTTATTGATTTGCATATGTTGAACCAGCCTTGGATCCCAGGGATGAAGCCAACTTGATCGTGGTGGATAAACTTTTTAATGTGCTTCTTGATTCGGTTTGCCAGTATGTTATTAAGGATTTTTGCATCGATGTTCATCAGGAATATTGGCCTGAAATTTTCTATTTCTGTTGTGTCTGTGCCAGGTTTTGGTATCAGGATGTTGCTGGCCTCATAAAATGAGTTAGGGAGGATTCCCTCTTTTTCTATTGTTTGTAATAGTTTCAAAAGGAATGGTACTAGCTCCTCTTTGTATCTCTGATAGAATTCGGCTGTGAATCAGTCTGGTCCTGGATTTTTTGGTTGTTAGGCTATTAATTATTGGCTCTATTTCAGAACCTGTTATTGGTCTATTTAGGGATTTGATTTCTTCCTGGTTTAGTGTTGGGATGGTGTATGTGTCCAGGAATTTATCCATTTCTGCTACATTTTCTAATTTATTTGCATAGATGTGTTTATAGTATTCTCTGATGGTAGCTTGTATTTCTGTGGGATCAGTGGTAATATCCCCTTTATTATTTTTTATTTTGTCTATTTGATTCTTCTCTCTTTTCTTCTTTATTAGTCTGGCTAGTGATCTATCTATTTTGTTAATCTTTTTTAAAAAACAGCTCCTGGATTCATTGATTTTTTTTAAGTGTTTTTCATGCCTGTATCTCCTTCAGTTCTGCTCTGATCTTAATTATTTATTGTCTTCTGCTAGCTTTTGAATTTGTTTGCTGTTGCTTCTCTAGTTCTTTTAATTGTAATGTTAGGGTGTCAATTTTAGATCTTTCCCGCTTTCTCTTGTGGGCTATAAATTTCCCTTTAAACACTGCTTTAGCTGTGTCCCAGAGATTCTGCTACATTGTGTCTTTGTTCTCATTGGTTTCAAAGAATTTATTTCTGCCTCAATTTCATTATTTAGCCAGTAGTCATTCAGGAGCAGGTTGTTCAGTTTCCATGTAGTTATGCAGTTTTGAGTGAGTTTCTTAATCCTGAATTCTAATTTGATTGCACTGTGGTCTGAGAGACTGTTTGTTATGATTTCCATGCATTTGCATTTGCCGAGAAGTGTTTTACTTCCAATTATGTGGTCAATTTTAGAATAAGTGCAATGTGGTGCTGAGAAGAATGTATATTCTGTTGATTTGGGGTGGAGAGTTCTGTAGATGTCTATTAGGTCCACTTGGTCCAGAGCTGAGTTCAAGTCTTCAATATCCTTGTTAATTTTCTGTCTCGTTGATCTTTCTAATATTGACAGTGGGGTGTTAAAGTCGCCCACTATTATTAAGTGAGAGTCTAAGTCTCTTTGTAGGTCTCTAATAACTTTCTTTATAAGTCTAGGTGCTCCTGTATTGGGTGCATATATATTTAAGATAGTTAGCTCTTTTTGTTGCATTGATCCCTTTACCATTATGTAATGCCCTTCTTTGTCTTTTTTATCTTTGTTGGTTTAAAGTCTGTTTTATCAGACACTAGGATTGCAACCCCTGCTTTTTTTTTTTTTTTTTTTTTTGCTTTCCATTTGCTTAGTAAATATTCCTCCATCCCTTTATACTGAGCCTATGTGTGTCTTTGCATGTGAGATGAGTCTCTTGAATAAAGCACACTGATAGTCCTTGACTCTTTATCCAATTTGCCAGTCTGTGTCTTTTAACTGGGGCATTTAGCCCATTTAGGTTGAAGGTTAATATTGTTATGTGTGAATTTGATCCTTTCATTATGATGCTAGCTGGTTATTTTGCCGTTAGTTGATGCAATTTCTTCATAGTGTTGATGGTCTTTACAATTTGGTATGTTTTTGCACTGGCTGATACCAGTTTTTCCTTTCCTTATTTAGTGCTTCCTTCAGGAGCCCTTGTAAGGCAGGCCTGATAGTGACAAAATCTCTCAGCATTTGCCTGTCCTTAAAGGAATGTATTTCGCCTTCACTTATGAAGCTTACTTTGGCTGGATATGAAATTCTGGGTTGAAAATCCTTTTCTTTAAGAATGTTGAATATTGGCCCCCACTCTCTTCTGGCTGTAGGGTTTCTGCAGAGAGAACCACTGTTAGTGTGATTGGCTTCCCTTTGTGGGTAACCCACCCTTTCTCTCTGGCTGCCCTTAACATTTTTTCCTTCATTTCAACCTTGCTGAATCTGATGATTACATTTCTTGGGGTTGCTCTTCTCGAGGAATATCTTTGTGGTGTTTGTATTTCCTGAATTTGAATATTGCCCTGTCTTGCTAGGTTGGGGACATTCTCCTTGATAATATCCTGAAGTGTATTTTCCAAGTTGGTTCCATTCTCCCTGTCACTTTCATGTACACCAATCAAACGTAGATTTGGTCTTTTCACATAGTCTCATATTTTTTGGAGACTTTGTTCATTCCTTTTCATTCTTTTTTCTCTAATCTTGTCTTCATGCTTTATTTCATTAAATTCATCTTCAGTCTCTGATATCCTTTCTTCAGCTTTATCAATTCAGCTACTGATACTTGTGTATGCTTCATGAAGTTCTCATGCTGTGTTTTTCAGTTCCATCAGGTCATTTATGTTTTTCTCTAAACTGGTTATTCTAGTTAGCAATTCCCCCAACCTTTTTTCAAGGTTCTTAGCTTCCTGGTATTGGGTAAGAACATGCTCCTTTAGCTCAGAGGAGCTTGTTATTACCCACCTTCTGAAGCCTACTTCTGTCAATTCATCAAACTCATTCTCCATCCAGTTTTGTTCCCTTGCTGGTGAGGAGTTGTGATCCTTTGGAGGAGAAGAGGTGTTCTGGTTTTCAGAATTTTCAGACTTTTTGTGCTGTTTTTTCTTCATCTTTGTGGATTCATTCACCTTTGGTCTTTGATGTTGCTCACCTTTGGATGGGGTTTTGGCGTGGATGTCCTTTCTGTTGATGTTCATGCTGTTCCTTTCTGTTTGTTAGTTTTCCTTCTAACACGCCCTTCTGCTGCAGGTCTGCTGGAGTTTGCTGGAGGTCTACTCCACAACCTGTTTGCTGGGTATCACCAGCAGGGGCTGCAGAACAGCAAAGATTGCTGCCAGCTCCTTCCTCTGGAAGCTTCATTCCAGAGGGGCACCTGCCAGATCCCAGCCAGAGCTCTCCTGTATGAGGGGTGTGTCGACCCCTGCTGGGAGGTGTCTCCCACTCACGAGGCATGGAGGTCAGGGACCCACTTGAGGAGGCAGTCTGCCCCTTAGCAGAGCTTGAGCACTGTGCAGGGAGATCTGCTGCTCTCTTCAGAGCCAGCAGGCAGGGACGTTTAAATCTGCTGAAGCTATACCCACAGCTGCCCCTTCCCCCAGGTGCTCTGTCCCAGGGAGATCAGAGTTTTATCTATAAGCCCCTGACTGGAGCTGCTGCATTTCTTTCAGAAATGCCCTGCCCAGAGAGGAGGAATCGAGAGAGTCTGGCTACAGCAGCTTCACCGAGCTGTGGTGGGCTCCATTCAGTTTGAACTTCCCGGTGGCTTTGTTTACACTGTGAGGGGAAAACTGCCTAGTCAAGCCTCAGTAATGGCTGATGCCTCTCCCGTAACCAAGCTCGAGCCTCCCAGGTCAACTTCAGACTGCTGTGCTGGCAGCAAGAATTTCAAGCCAGGGGATCTTAGTTTGCTAGGCTCCATGGGGGTGGGATCAACTGAGCTAGACCACTTGGCTCCCTGGCTTCGGCCCCCTTTCCCAGGGCATGAATGGTTCTGTCTCACTGGCATTCCAGGTGCCACTGGGATATGAAAAAAAAAAAAAAAAAAAAAAAAAAAACTCCTACAGCTAGCCCAAATGGCCACCCAGTTTTATGCTTTAAACCCAGGCCCCTGGTGGTGTAGGCACCCAAGGGAGGAACCTCCTGGTCTGCAGGTTGTGAAGACCATGGGAAAAGCATAGTATCTGGGCTGGAATGCACCATTCCTTAGGGCACAGTCCCTCATGGCTTCCCTTGGGTAAGGGAGGGAGTTCCCCAACCCGTTGCATTTCCCAGGTAAGGCAATGCCCCAGCCTGCTTTGGCTCACCCTCCGTGGGCTGCACCCACTGTCTAACTAGTCCCAGTGAGATAAGCCGGGTATCTCAGTTGGAAATGCAGAAATCACCCACCTTATGCATTGATCTTGCTGGGAGCTGCAGACTGGAGCTGTTCCTATTCGGCCATCTTGCCAGCCACCCAGGGATTTTCTTTTTAGCTTTCCCTATGGTAGCTTCGTGGCTCATTAAAATGGAAAATGTCTTTGCAGACTCCTATCTGTGCTCTTTGGGATCTAAACCATTTCTTTCAGACTCTTCAATAATCACTTTTTCCACTAAAAATTTAACAGATAAGACTTCTCCAGTGAATTGCCATGTAGCTCGCTGAGATCAAAATTGGAAACAGTATTACATCTTGAACTTAATATGCTCCAAACAGGATTATTGATTTCTAACTCTCCTAAACCTGTTCTTCTGGTTTTCTTCATTTAAGTAAATGGTACCACAAATCATCTAATTACTAAAGCCAAAACCCAGGAGACATCCGAATTCCTCCATTTCTCTCACCCCCAACATCCAACCCATCAAGGCTTATTGGTGGTAACTCCAAAGCATGTCTTTAATTCATCCAATTCACTGTATGTCCGCTGCTACCATCTAAGTCCAAGCCATTATTTGTCTTACATAGCTCACTGCAATAGCCTCCTAACTGGTCATGATTCTACTTTTGTCCCACTGCAGTACACTCTCTCCTGAGTGACTACATTGGTCTCAGCAGGCCATATCACTTTCTGGCACAAACCCATCTTCCCAGAAGCATCCCATTACACATAAAATCCAAGCCATTTATGAAACCCCACTCTATTGGACCCCTTCCCCTCTGAACCCCTCTCCTCCATGGCCCCTCACTCACTAGACAACAGCTTTCTTTCTGTTTTCCTAATATGATGAGATCATTCTTGTGTTAGATCTGTGGATACTTGGAACATTCTGGTCATTTCAAGTCTTATCCTAAAAAAGACCTCCTAACAGTAACTTCAGTAATAACTACTCAATCACACATCTCTCCCGTTACCTTGTGGTGTTTTAATCATAGTACTTATCTTTATTTAAAATTATTTTGTTTATTTTCTAATTATTTGTCAAATGTCATATCCACAGAAAACAGCTTGTTTTAGTCCACACTTGAGCTCCAGATCCTATAAGAGTGCCTGGCACCAAGTAGGAACTCAATAAATATGTGTTTAACGATTGGATCTATTTTAGTACTGCATTTACTGAGCAATACATGAATTCCTTAAAAGCCAGTCAGTTCTTTTTCACAAGAATTTTTTCAGTGCTTTAGTAAGTGCTAGGCATAATGCCAGAGGCATAAATCCTAAAATCTTAACTTTGCATAGCTTGTGCTCCGTTCTGTCCACTGGAGGCCCTCAATACATTGTGATTGATATTGCATGATCAATTGATGATGCCCAGATAAGATTACTACAGGAGATATTGAACATTTTGACAGTGTCCTACACCATTATGGGAACGGAGACTACTAATATATTTAAAGCACAGAATTGTAACTAAGAGAAAATGTTGGGTCACTAATAATAATATGCTAGTATATTACTATAGCTGCTATATTATAATTATTTTTAAAATAGCCACTGCATAGGACATCCCTGAACTGATGGTCACATGGTGAGCACACTGTGCCAGAAAAGCGCCAATGACCAAGAGACAGTTTCACTCACTAGGCTACCACTCTCTAGTAGCACTGATGCAAATGCAGAGATTGACTCCAGCATGAGCAACTTGCTTTCTAAGATCCAGAGTCTTATAGCACCTGCCAGAATGGGCTACGTCAGGTAAGTGTCTGTACCAGCTTGCAGGACATGACATGGAATCAAGGCAATTTATGAAGTGTTTACTGTGCATCTACAGTGTGCCAGGCACTCTGGTGGGCATGGAGTTTCAGAGATAACTGAGACATAAGCCTGCTTAATTATGGGTTATTTGTTGAAACTCAAGGCTCTGTCCTCCTAATTTTCCTTCTTTGAGGACTAATTACAAGTCATTTTAATATAATAATAAGAGCTTTGCAAATATTAATTCACTCTATCTTTGCAAAATATCTGTGAAGTGGTATTATAATCATCCCCATTTAAAAAATTTAGGAAGCTGTGATATAGTGAGATGAAGGAACTAGCACAAGACGCATCTGATATGTGGAGGAACCTTGCCTATTCCACCAGCATCTCCACTGAACTCTAAAACCTCAATCCTGCACCTCACCCTGCATCTGATTTTACTTCTCATGAAGTTAGCCATCTAGATCTTGTATCCTAACTTCTTCCTCTGCTTATTGTTTTTGGTAACATCTCAACCTTCCCTTGCTAAGATCCTAAACCAGCTCTCTCTTTCTCCCTGATTGATGTACAGTTATCCTTCCATCCCAACTTCAAGTTTCATTGATAGAAACTGTCTATGCACTGTGATGACTATTCAAATGGACTGGTTGCTTTGGATTCATTCATTCAAAAAAATTGGGATACTATATTCCCCACATAGACATCTTGGAAAATGCATTCAGATAGGAAGTGAAGGCAGCTCAACAACCACAGACAAGTATTTTGAATCCCTGCAAATAAGTTGCAATATAAATGCAAGACTATCATCTTTTCCAATAACTTAATTTGCCAAAGGGACACAGTTCCCAGACCAATGAAGATGAAGAGTGTTAGAAAGCTGAAAATGACAATTACAATTTCCCCCCAAGTGGCCCACATTTTTGAGTGTGCTGTCTATTTGCATTCATTTTCGGTTTTCTAACACTCTTCTCTTTCTACCCTGTTACCCTCCGGTCTTTTTAATGAGGCATTTCTGTGTATGTGTGGTATGTGTATATATTTTATTTTTATATTGGAAGGAAATGGCTGTGTACAACTGCATTTGTTATAAATAGGAAAGTCAGTCAGCAAGTGATTAAGAGCTCCACAATGAGTCATAAATATTAAATTTCTCTTAGAGCTTTTGGCACTATGCAATGTTGTTTCCCAAATAATGTGCATATAACCCCAGGTCTTATTGGCATATGAACCATAGGTTAAGACTATATTGCTGGTTTTATCCCTAAGTCCTCCTAGAATATAGCCTACTTTCCAATGTGCAAACACTCAGAACACCCCTTCTTCCCCTTAATTGTGTTTATCTGAAAGTCCCACAAGAAGGGAGTGTAAGTTCCCATGTAATTTTCCTACTGCTGGTACTTCTGCTGTCCTTATGTTCCAACTCAATGCTTGCCGTCCTTCTGATTTGTTTTCTAATCATTTGGCTTGAAGAACTTCCTAGGACTCTCCTGGGGCTGCACATGAGGAAACACTGACCTAACCTTTACTTCCTGTGCCCTTGAAATGTCTGCTGTTGCCACCTGGAGCTCTGTAACTGCCTGGCTGTGAATCTCCATCACCAAATGCCACCTGCAATGGTTCTCTGAGCTGGCAAAACTCTGTCAGTCTGCCCATGTGTTGTCCCTGAGCTGCTTTTGACCTCTGCTGCTCATCTCTCCAGCTGATGGAAAAAAACCTTTACTGCTTCATGTCCTACTGTTTGTAAAGTAAGAGGGAGATCTTTCACTACAGTCACTTGAGTATCCTAGTGTTGAAGATCTAGTTGTTGAGATTCTTTTTTTACAGGCTTGTCCTGAGCCCATCCACATTTTCCAAGGCATCAGACGTAACGGTTTATGTCTCAATTCCAACTGCAAGAAGTATTCAAGCGTTTCCCTGTGCCCCAAGGAGGTGCCACAGTATTTAGCACTATGCCACTCCCTTTTGCCAACTTTTGACTAGGTGAATTGAAAATACAGAGGCAAGAAATGGGTTTGATAGCAGGGAGGAGTAGGGCTGGATGTAGAGTAGGAGTTAGTCAATGCTGAGAGTCAGGCTGGACAAAAAAAGGATCTCAGTGTTTACTCTGCCATGCCAAAAAGAATATTAGAAAATATGCCTAGAATGGAAAGGAAAGCAAACATAAAACAGAAGGGCCAGGCCACAGTAGATCAAAACCTAGGAAAATCAAGAGGAAAAGAAGGCTCAAGTGCAGAGCAAAAAGTGGAGGTTCAAGACCAAAGCACATGACTGGCATGGAGGATGTATCATAAAAGGCAAGAAAATCCATAGAAAGCAAGAACAACAACAAGATAAGCTGAAGAGCAGCAGTGTTACTGGGTAGAATTTTCCAGTCGTGATTTGTCCAGGTTCTTGGTATATCGAACAAAGAATTGAACAGCATGCATGAACAATCAGTGAAAGCATAGATTTATTGGAGCAGAAGGCAACAGTAGTGAAAGTACACTCCATGGAAAAGGAACAGGCCCAAGCAAGTGGCTCAAGATACCTGGTAGCAAAGTCTTCTGGGGTTTAAGTGCCCTTTAGAGGTCTCCCATTGGTTACACCCTATGTAAATGAAGAGCTGGCCCATGGCCAATTAGAGGCAGAAGTGAATTGGCCTGCAGCCAATCCACGACTGTCATGGATTGGTGCCTTATGCAAATGAAGGTCCCGGAATGGGCCAATCATAGGCCAGAGTGCAGGTCTGGTCTGTGGCCAATCAGCAGCTGGCATGAATTGGCACCTTATGCAAATGAAGGTCCCAGCAGACTAATCATTGGCCAGGGTGAAGGGTTTTTTTTCTTTTAATTTAATTCCACGAAGTTTGTGTGAATCAGCCTTAGGTTCCCTGCCTTCAGACTCTACTCTCCTGCCTCAGCAGCATCAGTAGCAAGGAGGGACCAAGAGACCAAGGCAGCCAGCTTCCTAAGACTGAACTGACTCTGCTCTTCTCTTGCTCAGTTGAAAGCTAATCTCAAGTAAACTCAGCCTGAAGATCTAAGGGGAATTATATCAAAAAATAGCACATCTGTAGACAGCAAAGAGCAGTTATTTGAGGCATTTCCTTTAGAATAACCAGGACATCAAATAAGATGATGAGCTCTGTGCACACATATTTTAGAGAAACTCCACAGCTCAGGAGCAGATTAGGTCCTAGAAACTCCTAAACCTGGGGACTGCCTAAGCTGTCCCTAAATCTACTTGTCTATAAGTCCAAAGGGAAAACATTCATGTGACCACTGTCACCATCTGCTGTTGGCAGAGAGAGGAAATATGATTTTTCTCTGGCTTTGGCCCCTGTTTGCCTCCATAAAATTCCACAGTTGAAAATCCTGAAATAGATTAGTGTCTTTACAAGCAAAAGCAGAATGTGGATGGACAAAAACCATGTGTGGAAAGTGAGTGATTCAGGGACCTGGATCTTCCTCTCCTTTCAAAGCTCTCATCTCCCCAAACCACCATTGCTTAGTCCTCTGCATGCCAATTAAAGTCAACAAACACTTACTGAGAGCTCTCATTAGGCCAGGCTCTGGGCTAAACACCAAGAGAAACAAAGAAAAAGAAGACTCAGTCTCTACTTTCAAGAAGCTTCCCATCTAGTAGGGAAGTCAGTCAAATAATTCCAAGTAATTACATCTTCTGTGTTACAGATTCCCAACAGGATGCAGGAGTCTTGAAGGGTGATTTTGTTTGCAAATTGAGAAAAGTTTGGAGAAATCTCCCTTTAGCATTTGAAGCAACATGTAAGAAATGCATGGAACAGAGTCTTTTGGATAAAGAAGGCTGATTGAGTATATGCATTTCATTTCACTCCCTACTAAAGCCCTCCAAATATGTACCAAGGAAATTTTTGAACCATATATGCACAAGAACAAAAGAGATTGGAAGAGGAGGCAACAGTCACAGAACTTTGGAATCTGGAGCAGATTAAGTAAAGCTGCGAAAGCTGAACCCTAAACTAGTAGTGGAGAAGCCAAGAGGGAAATTGATCTATTCCACAAAAGCTACCAAAGGCTCCGGAACTGATGGTCCCAGGTATCTCTGAAACTAAGCAAGAGGGTGATACTAAATGTCAGAGGAAAGCCTGTTTAAGAAGAAGGTTAAATCCCTGATCCCTTCCCGCAGTCTGTTTAGTCAAGTATTGTCCCTCTCTCACTATGTCTTTAATGAGCATAAATCAGAGAATTTCTGAACTAAGGTATATTAGTCTGTTCTCACGCTACTAATAAAGACATACTTGAAACTGGGTAATTTACAAAGGAAAGAGGCTTAACTGGCTCACAGTTCCACATGGCTAGGGATGCCTCATAATCATGGCAGAAAGCAAAGGGGAAGCAAGACACATCTTACATGGCAGCAGGCAAGAGAGCTTGTGTAAGGGAACTCCCATTTATAAAATCCTCAGATCTCATGAGACTTATTCACTACCATGAGAACAGCATGGGAAGGACCTGCCCCTATGATTCAATTACCTCCCACCCGGTCCCTTCCATGACATGTGAGAATTATTACAATTCCAGGTGAGATTTGGGTGGGGACACAGAGCCAAACCATATCATAGGGGATACCAGGTATAGTCCAGGGAGAAGGTATAATATAGAAACAGGAAAAATAAATGAATGTTGATGCATAGAATGTTGGAAAGCCCAGTCCTCTTCTCTCAGTGAATTTCCAGAACACTATCAGACAGATTGAGCCCTGCAGGATACTAGAGAACTTTTCTGCGGAATCTGAAAATAGCCCAAAGGGCAAACCTGAAAGTAATGACACAATGCTTCTCTAGCCATATCCTTACTCAGGGAGACCCATCCTCAGAAAATCCAGCTAGCTTGTTAGTAGTGCCTCATTCTGAAAATATGAGCACTCTTAGGTTTTTCCCCAAGAAAAATGAAAACATATGTTCTCACAAAGACTGGTATATGAATGTTTGTAAGAGAACCGTTCGTAATACCCAAAAAGTGGAAACAACTCAAATGTCCACCAAATGATGAATAGATAAATAAAATGAAGTATACTCCTACACTGGAAAATTATTCAGCAATAAAAAGGAATGAAGGACTAATCCATGCGGCAGCAGGAGTGAACCTTGAAAACATTCTGCAAAGTGAGAGAATCGGTCCCTAAAGACCACACATTGTATGATTCCATTTATATGAAATGTCTAGAATGGGTAAATCTATGGAAACAGAAGGTACTTTAGTGGTTTCCAGGAACTGAAGGGAGGTGGGAATAAGGAGTGACTGCTAATGGGTGCAGGGTTTCTTTTTATGGTGATGAAAATGCTCTATTGTTTGGTAGTGATGATTTTCACAACTCTGTGAACATACTAAAAGGTACTGAATTGTACCCTTTAAAAGGTGGGATTTTTGTGGTTTTTTTTGAGACTGAGTCTCACTCTGTCACCCAGGCTGGAGTGCAGCAGCATGATCATGGCTCACTGCAACCTCCACCTCTGGGATTCAAGCGATTCTCATGCCTCAGTCTGGCACATGCCACCATGCCCAGCTAATTTTTGTATTTTTAGTAGAGATGGTTTTTCACCATGTTGGCCAGGAGGGTCTCGATCTGCTGGTTTCAAGTGATCAGCCTGCTGCAGCCTCTCAAAGCGCTGGGATTACACGTGTGAGCCACCACGCCTAGCCTAAAAGATGTACTTTAATGGTATGTGGGTTATGTCTCCATAAACATATTATACACACACACAACCAAAATTCACCAGACATCTGAGGAAGTAGTCTAACACAGAATTGCCCATTAGAAATATAACGCAAGTTACATATGTACTTTTAAATTTTTTAGTAGTCATATTAAAATAAATTTTTAAAGTGCTAAAATTAATTTTAGTAATATATTGTATTTACCTCAGTATATCCTTAATATTATCATCTCAACATGTAAACAATACAGAAAAATTAGTGAGATATTTTACACTCTTTTTTCATTCTAACTTCTGAAAATCCAGACTATATTTTATATTTATAGTATGTCTCAGCTTGGACTAGTCAAATTTTAATTACTCAATAGCCCAGGTGTCCAGTGGCTACGGTATTAGACAGCATGGGTCTAAAATGAATGATATAAGCCAAATAAGTAAACCAAAACAAAGCAAAACAACTAAAAAAGAAAAATCCTTACAGAAAGCAGAAACTACAGAAGAGGAAAATTTTTAGAAATAAGCTATTATTAATATGCTCAGGGAATAAAGAGAAAATGTGCACTCGGAAAACAAGAACAAAATATCACTAAAAAAACAGAATCAAAAATTTTAAAAATTTTAATTCCCTTTCTTAGAAAATTAAAATTATGATGGCAGAAATTAAAAATTAAATAGAAGTGTTTAAATATAAAATTAAGGAAAACTCCTTTATAGTAGAACTAAATGACAATGAAATGGAAAATTACAGAGGAAAAAAAAAGAAAATTAGAAAACTCATCATGAAGAAGGGAATCATGGAATTAATCAAAAGAGTAATTCAAGAATATTTCCCAAAATTGAACAATGAGGGTTTCATGGTTGAAATGATGCAATGAGTAGATAAAAATAAACCCACAGTGAAGCACATCAGTTTTGAAATACCAGAACACTTGAGACAAGGGGTTTTCCAAAAAGGTAAACTATAGGTCATGCCTCCAAAAAGGTAAACTATAGAACAGACACAACTGGTCAGGAATCAAAATGTCTTTGAGACATTTCTCAACAGCAACAGTGGAGCTAGGAAACAATGGACAAATGCCTTAGAAATTCTGAGGAATAATGACTTCCAACCTGGAATTCTATACACAATCATACTATTAGTTGAGAGTGAGGGTAAATGAAGAATTTTGGACCTGTGATATCATCCCCCTCTTCCATTTTTCTCTGCTTCTGGTCGGATCTCTGACAGTGGCTGCTCTTCCTCATGGTTCCTGCTCCCCACATCTTGGATCCTTCCACGGCCCCAGTTTCCATCTTATGGATCTTAACCAGTAATGATTGAATACTACAATCATCCTTTTGAAACACACAAAGCTTTACTTTAACAGAAATTTTAGAAATTTTAATCACTCTTTTATAGCCTCCTTGGGTTTTTTCAAACTTTCATTCTACTTTTTTCACATGATTTCATATACATGTAATATTGAAAGTCTTCTATTAATCATCCTATCAAATGAGCAACTTTATTTAGTACATAAAATACTTAGTACATAAAACACTTTGTTTAGTACATAAAAATTTGTACGTAAAATCTTCTAATTGGTTTAATTTCCTGTGACCATAAGTCTTATGAGATCAAATTTTTTCTGGATTTGTCATTATAATTATGAGTTGTAAACACTTGATCTAAACAACATTTTTATATTACAAATTTTGATAAGTAACTGAAAAATAAGGTAAGAAATTTTAGTGCAAGTGCTGTCCAATAAGATAAATCTTTTTTTTCTATAGTAGTTCATGTATCTGTGGATGAAAAGGCCTTATTGCCAAATGAGGCAGGACTCAGCATTGACTCTGTTTCCACTCTGTGCTTCCATAAATGTAAACAGTGAGAAACTGTGTTTACATGCATAAGCTTAAGGGATGGACATTCTTATTTCTTTTAAAAAAGCAACGTCACTTGACCCTTTTAACTCCTTCCTGGTAATGAACCAAAATCCAAGCAGTGCTCTACCATCAAAAGGTTATTTTTAATGATATATCACCTGACAATTTCATTGGAATGTAAAAAACTGAAAACCACCTGAATTGAAACAAACAAACAAACAACAACAACAACAAAAACTAGACATTTGAGTCTTTCACTTTCTATATTTCAGTGAAAATAGTCTTTATGCAAACTTAGAAAATTATTATTATTTGTGTTTCTTACTGTTCAATTTAAATTCATCTTGGTTAACTTCAAGAGGGAATTGAGAAAAATCAAAATATTATTAAATTTAATACCCCTTTGCAATTGCAATATTTTTAGATAAAATACGTTCATTCTATCACAAGCTTTACATAGACGTTCATCAAAACCCTGGAGCTACAGATTTAGCTTATTCAGGTTATGGGAATTCTCTGCCATATAATTTAGTTAGGAAGGCCAAGTCTCATTTTCTCCCCATCAGCCATATGAGACCTGTATTTGTCAGAAACAGTCCAATTCTATTTTTCAGTTGCAATAAGCATATTATTAAGCACTTCAGGGAATATATGTTTTTAAAAACACACAAAAAAAGACTACATATTTGTAAAATACATTACTAAAATTATTCAAGATTATAGATCTAATATAATTAATACATCTATTCCATAATAAGTTTTTAAGAAACTAAATCAATATCCTGTTGTTCATTTTCTACCTAATGAGAACATGATATGTTGCTAAAATCGTTATTTATGAATCACAAAGTATGATAAAAAGACATGAAATTTAGTAAATACATTCTAATGCTTGGCTTCCAAGAGTAATTAAGGATCAAATCTTTAAAATAAAAAATAACTCTATTCATTAGGCATTATAATCAAACTTTACTTATATACTTTATGAAAGAGCGTAGACTGCTAAAAATTAATTAGATTGGCTAGCATATATTTTTTGTTAATAGAAACTAGAAATGCTAAATATTTTATGGGATAAAATAAAATATTTACCATGTTTGAAATAAACATTTCAAAACATATCTTAATAAAATTGCTCTAATTGTTAAATAACATCCCAAACGCAAAGGAATTACGTAAAAATTTTATCCCTGGGTTTTCGCCACTATATCTTGAAAATTTTGGTAGTACTGGGAAATATTCCAGTTATATTTAAAAGAATCAATAACAGCAATCAATACTGCTTTGGCTCTTGGAAGGTGCTTTTTGTTCTCAGCTAATTATATGTCGTAAGGATAAGTATGGACAATAGCTGAAATAAACTTGTATTTCAATATTTTCTAAAGTTGTTTCAGTGTTCAATGTTTTCTACCATTTTCCTTTGCTCTTATGGGACCTTCCCTCAGAGCTATGCAGTCTTAATAGTTGGAGGATTAAAGAAATTTATGGGCCAGGTGCGGTGGCTCACGCCTGTAATCCCAGCACTTTGGGAGGCCGAGGTGGGCAAATCACGAGGTCAGGAGATCGAGTCCATCCTGGTTAATACGGTGAAACCCCGTCTCTACTAAAGATACAAAAAATTAGCCGGGCGTGGTTGCAGGCGCCTGTAGTCCCAGCTACTAGGGAGGCTGAGGCAGGAGAATGGCGTGAACCCAGGAGGCGGAACTTGCAGTGAGCCGAGATTGCGCCACTGCACTCCAGCCTGGGCGACAGAGCGAGACTGTCTCAAAAAAAAAAGAAAAGAAAAAAAGAAATTTATGACTGCTAATACCTATGTATCATATATCTATATATGGATAGATAGGCCCTACTCTATCATACATCTGAATCTGAATAGGCCAACTAGGACAAAAATACTGATTTTCTAAGAACAAGCTTCACCTTTAACTGCAATATATATAAGACGGGAAGTGTTACCAGGTTATGATGACTTGATTGATTGTTAATGGAGCCTTCTCTTTTATTTGGTACTCTTTAAGTTTATATAGACCAGGAAAGATTTGTGGATGAGTGAAAAGAAATGCCTTTGCTTTGTCCAATGGGAAAAGAGCAATTGTTGAACTCAGACTCAATCTTAGCTACTGCAATCTTAGGAAAGAATATATATGGAAGTTGAAGGCCTAAAACTGAATATCTAAATCTATTCCTATACAACCCTTAGAAAATCTTGATGTGGCCCAATTTGAGGACCACCAGCCTCATCCACTTTATTCTTGCAGCATCTGGGTTCAGCTAATAGTCCTCTGTGTAGCTTTTGCTGTTTGTATTGGATATGACATGTAGGGATACTCCTCACTTATTAACTTGTCCAAAGTTTCCTTTGCAAAATCTCCATTCCAGAGGACTTCTTGAAGTTTTGACCCCAGAAATGACAGTGAGCAGCTGTGGCTTTCAGACTTGACCTAATCCACAGATCTCACAGACCTTCACAGCCCCAGTTGTCTCTGCTGTGGTACAGTAAAGGGTGGAACCTTTTAAACTCCTTTGGTTGCACTCCCTTCCTGATTTGGATGAGAGCTGAAAAGCTGCCCATTGTGCAGTGCCAGGAAACTTCCTGTGTAGCACAATTAACAAACCCTCTATTGGGGTCACTGCCATGTCTTAACCACATTATGTTCACTACTTTGTGGGCTTTATTTACAACTTCAGAAAACATTATTTTTAAAATGTTAGTATAACTGATTTTAAGTATTTTGTAACCTTATCATAATTTTCAACCTATCAGAATTGTGTTAATGAATATGAAATATTCCATTTGAAAATGTTTCTTTTAAAAAGAGTATTTAACATCATTTCTATTAATTCATTCAGCAAATAGTTACTAAGTACTTGCGTGCCAGATTCTCATGGTGATGTGGATACAAAGATGAAAAACAAGAAAAAAACAAAAAAACAAAAAAAGCAGGATTGTAAACAATAGAAGAGGAGAATAGATTGGTGGTTGCCAAGGTACAGGGATGGGGTGGGGGTGGAGGTGGGGTTGGGGGAGTGCCACCCTAAACGGGTAGCACAAGGGAATTCCTTTGTGGTAACAGAAGAATCCTATATCCAAAGGTAGATGTAAAACAGAGGTTGGCAAACTTTTTCTGTAAAGGGCCAGATGGTAAATATTTTTAAGCAAGTTGCGCTTGGAGAAACAATCAACTTTAGCAAGAAGTTTATTTGTCTTTTAGATAGCTCACCATGAAAAATTTGGAGGCCTTTTACAACTACAGACAGAACGTCTCAATCTACCCTTCTTAGATGGAACTGGGAGCCCTGTGCTAGAGCAATGAAGTCTGTGGGGAGTAGGACAGAAGAGAAAGAGGAGGGAGACCAGAAAGAGGGGAGTCTCCTGCATCTTGGACTGACACAATAGGAAGAAGAAAGATTTGTATTAGAGTTGGCAAACTGTGGCCTGTAGGGCAAATCTGGCCCACTTTTTGCTTTTGTAAATAAAGTTTTATTGGAGCACAGCCACATTTATTCATTTATGTGTTATCAGTGGCTGTATTAGCACCACACCAGCAGACTTAAGCAATTGTAACTGAGACCATATGGTTCACAAAGCCTAAATACTTACTATTGGCTCCTTAAGAAAAAGTTTGCTGATTCCTGTTTTACAAAGACTTTGGACTCTGTGGCTTTCTTTCTGTCATTGTGCTGATAAGCCCTCTCAGGTGTCAAAAGCACAACAGAGGACTTATATCGAGTTCATCCATGCACCAGAGTTGTCTGTATCTGTTAACAAAATTTTATGTAAATTCAATATAAAATAGGAAATGTAAAAACTAATCAATATGATCCAATCGAAAATAGTAAGTTGCAGAAAAGTAAATGCGGTCTAAAGCCATTTTATAAAATATAAATGATTATTTATATTTATAAAATAAAATATACATTTTTGTATACTTATAGAAGAGAAGCCATTGATATGGGTGAGATTATAGGTCAGTGGGGATACAGGGCGTTCCAAGGAGCTATGTGTTACAGTAGGGAGGGAAGAGGGAGAAGAGATTGTTATTACACAATCCAAGTAAGGAAGGGAAATTGTTTGTTGAGTTCATAGACCCAGGGACAAGTAATGAAAACTAAATTTCAAGGCATCAGATGTGAGATGTGAAAATATTTTGAAGTATCAGATAATTGTCTACAATATTGAACATGAATAAAATTTGACAATGTTATTTAATATTTAATTTCTGAAACAAAAGGATGGATGATTATTCATTTTTGTTTTGTTTTCATGAATTGAGTTGCATTACAAGACAATGTGCCCATTTAAATGATAACTTCTTCTCTTAACAACATTGTTCTCCTCAATACCTTTCTAAGCAGTTTCTTGCAATGCCCTTAACAGATTATGGCTGAAGTCAAGAGAATTGTGTCTTAAACCATGATAGACTTTTATGTGTGTTGCATTCATTTTTGTTGCCAATCTTAGCTTAGCGAGCCTTTTTTATCTATAAGGAAACTTTGTTCGACTTCTTTAATTGACCTATGAGGTTGGCATTGGGCTCAAAATTAGTTACTATACTAGTGCCATAAGCCAAAATTCAGCTGGTTACGTCAATTGCAGGTATCACCAATGGGGAGCTCACCATGTAACAACTACAGATTTGACCATGACCCCTTACAACCTTGACATGTTTCCATGGCAATGAACTAAGAAAACGAAAGTGCTGAAGGGATAAGTAACACATACAGAAAGCAACAATTCTTTAAGAAAAAGGTAGTAATTTTACATCTGGATAACCTTTTTTTTTTTTTGAGATGGAATCTTGATCTGTTGTCCAGGCTGAAGTTCAGTGGTACGATCTCAGGTCACTGCAGCCTCTGCCTCCCGGGTTCAAGTGATCCTCCTGCCTCAGTCTCCCGAGTAGCTGAGATCACCCCTTGCTAATTTTTTTTGTATTTTTAGTACACAGGGGGTTTCACCATGTTGGCCAGGCTGGTCTCAAACTCCTGACCTCAAGTGATCCACCTCCCTCAGCCTCCCAAAGTACTGGGATTACAAGCATGAGCCACCATGCCCAGCCTACATCTGGATAGATTTTTTTCAGTTTTCTTTTCTTTTTTTTTTTTTTTGTGACAGAGTCTCACTCTGTTGTCCAGGCTGGAGAGCAGTGGCACAATCTCGACTCACTGCAACCTCCGCCTCCTGGGTTCAAGTGATTCGCCTGCCTCAGCCTCCCTAGTAGCTGGGATTACAGGCACGTATCACCACCCCCGGCTAATTTTTGTATTTTTAGTGTAGATGGGGTTTCACCATGTTGGCCAGGCTGGTCTCGAACTCCTGACATTGTGATCCACCCACATCAGCCTCCCAAAGTGCTGGGATTACAGGCCTGAGCCACCATGCCCAACCCAGATAGATTTCTTAATGTTAGATAATAATAATTTTAAAAATATATTTTCAGTCATACTCCAATACAACTTTAAGATTAGTAAACTGTGAACTTTAGAAATATATACAGTCAAGTCTATACGTGTCAATCATTTAGAATTTCTCATTTAAAGAGAGACTTGCTGAAATTTAATATTATACTATGTATGAGGAAACATAAAAGAGAAAAAAATTTATTGGCCAGTAAATCAGAATGTCTCTTCAACTTACATAACTTTAGGCAAAACACTTAATTTTCAGAATTTCGGTTTCCTTATTTGAAAACAACTGAAAGATTCCTCATTCTTCTTCAAATGTGTAAGGGCCATTATTTGTGGAAGCACTGTACAAATGTCAAGCTTTACATAGAGCCATTTCTTGACTATCTACACTGGTTCTACTGAGGGATGTTCAAGATAGAACCATACCACAGAAAATTGCACACTATTATTTTCCAAAATATAGCATCATAAAATTTCAGAGCCAAAAGCTATATTTGGGATATTTTTCTCTCTTTTTTTTTTGAGAAGGAGTTTTGCTCTCGTTGCCCAGGCTGGAGTACAATGGCTCAATCTCGGCTCACCACAACCTCTGCCTCCTGGGTTCAAGCGATTCTCCTGCCTCAGCCTCCTGACTAGCTGGCATTACAGACATGCACCACCACACCCAGCTAATTTTTGTATTTTCAGTAGAGACAGGGTTTCTCCATGTTGGTCAGGCTGGTCTCAAACTCCCGACCTCAGGTGATTCACCCACCTCAGCCTCTCAAAGTGCTGGGATTACAGGTGTGAGCCACTGCGCCCAGTATTTTTTTCTTAATTGTTTGAAAATATTTCTCCACTATATGTTTCCAAGATAGCACTCAGCACTGATTTTCCTCCTACCACTCTACCCACTCCTTCCCAGGCTCCTTGACCACACATCCTCTAGTAACAGACCTTTTAACATTGGAGCTCCTCCAGGCTCATCCCTGGCCCCTCTTTTCTTCTTACGTTACACCATTTCCCTAAGTCCTCTCAGCTACCTCCCTAGCTTCCATCTCCAACTTCATGCAAATATCTTCTAAGATTTTTATCTCAAGTCCACTCCTCTCTCTAGCCCCAACCCAACTACCCAATTGCCTGCTTAACACTTCTATTGAACAGTTCAAATGCAGTTTACATAAAATCTCTTCAAACCTCACCTCATGTTTTTCTTTCCCCTTTGTCCTTCAAACTCAGTCCTCTTCCATGTTCTTATCTCAATGCATCTTAAAGTCCGTGTACCCAGATGAACAAATAAGGGCCTGGGAAATTGTCCTTGTCATTCCTCTCTCTATTACTTCCCATAGTCAAGAAAACACTTTAATTCTATAGGTTTTGCATTTAAAAAATTATCTTCTCTTCATCTCTACCCAAGCCTAGATAACTCTCATCTTTCAGCTGAACTATTTTAAGAACCCTCTAACTCTTCTCTTGTTCCACATTTAACCTATCTTTCCACTGCATCCTAAATCTATGATTCTCACGTCAACCTCCTTATGAAAATCCTCCAATGGTCCCTTAGGCTAAAGATTAACATCCAGCCCACCAGGTTCTCCATGATCTGCCTCACCTACCTGTCTAGCCCTATATTATTTCCTGTTGTCCCCAACATTATGCACTTTAACCATCTGGCCTTCTTTCTGTCCTTCCAAAATGTCATGTTCTTTCTTGTCTACGGATCTTTGAACAGACTCCTTTCGCCTGGTACCATCATCTCCCCACAAACTCACCCAGAAAACTCTTATTTATCTGGAAGATGCAGAGCAAATGAAATTTTATCATGCAAGTCTTCCTGAAGCTGCCGACGAGGTCACGTTCTCTTCTGTGTGCTCTACTTTTCCTTCAGAGCGTTTATCACGAATTGTATTATATTTTTACTGTTTGTATGATTTCTGTCACAGTGTAGTATCTGTCTATACTTACTGGACTGTAAACATTATCTATAACCAAGTCTGTTTTGCTTAGTCCAGTGTGAGCATAATACATGGTACTCAAAAATTATTTCTTAAATGAATGAAAGAACGTTAGTTCATAATGGAGCCAAATGTCACAGGCCATCTTTCTGACTGATGACCATTCCATTTCTGGTTGAACTCTATCAGCATGGCAAGATATTGCACTTTTGAACAACTCTATTAATTAGAGTGTTTAAAAGTATTGAATCTATTTCCCCAATTTTAACCAAATATTTGTGGTTTTTCCCAGAAGAATAGGAATAAACAATTTTACTCTCTCTTCCTTATGACTCTCCCTGACTATTTGAAAATCTTTACTGTGAATTATTTTTTAGAGATCCCCATTATTTCTCACTGATTTTCTGATATGATTCAGGGCCTTCTATTACTCTGATTAGGCTCATCCCTATAGTGGTTAGGAGAAGAGGCTCCAGACCTAGAAATCATGGTTCAATCTTGGTGCTGCATTCACAAACTTAAGAAACCTTGGCAGATCTCACCACATCTTATTGTTTTCATTTTCTCATTTGTAGAATGGAAATAATTATATTATCACCTCACATGACTGCTATGAGGAATAAAGAAGTTATTATATGCAAATATCTTAGAGTGCTGCCTGGCATCGAGTAAGCACCCTTCAGAAACAGAAGGATAATAATATCTGAACATGGCAGGGTGCAGTGGCTTACGCCTGTAATCTCAGCACTTTGGGAGGCTGAGGCAGACGGATCGCCTGAGGTCAGGAATTCGAGGCTAGCCTGACCAACGTGGTGAAACCTCATCTCTATTAAAAATATAAAAATTAGCTAGGTGTGGTGGCGCACACCTGTAATCCCAGCTACTCAGGAGGCTGAGGCATGAGAATTGCTTGAACCTGGGAAGCGGAGGTTGCAGTGAGCTGAGATTCTGCCATTGCACTCCAGCTTGGGCAACAGAGTGAGACTCTGTCTCAAAAAAAAAAAAAAAAAAAAAAAAATATATATATATATATATATATATATGCGTACTATATAGGGGCTATGATTATTGTTATGTAACTGAATTAGGGTTTAATTTGGGAAGCAGATGTGAGTTATGGAATAAGGATATTAATATAAAAATTATAAAATTATAGGAGGAGCTAGGGAAGTGAAGGTCTAAAAGGTGCATCTGGGATATTAGGTAAGTCATCAGTATATCTGAGAAGCCCAAATCACCCACCTGCCAAAAGGAGTGCCACAAAGTGGGATGTATTAGAAATATCTATGTGAAAAATGGTGGATCAGTGTTCTAGCATCTGGTTTGGGCTGCAGGCCACCATTGGTCCATAGTCAGGAAGAAGAGAGCAATGTAGAATAGAGAACAAGGATACCTGTCATTGCTGTCTGTCACTGCTTCTGCCACCACCATCTTCAGAGAGCAAGGCTGCTGCTTGACTTCCGAATCTTAAAAAAAAATAAAAATTAAAATTAAAAAAACCTCTTTTGGCCAACTAACTCAACTACCTCAGAATCACCCAGTGAAGGAGATTCAGGAAAAGCAGTTCCATGTTAACCAGCTTGACAATAAACAATACAGCACAGTATGTAGAATTGCTTCAGGTTAACAACCAACCACTTAACATCTGCCCCCAACAGTAGAATCCAAGCAGGACACAACAGCACAGCACAGTGGGGCTCCTGCAGCCCACATTCTGCAAGTGGAACTTCTTCTAGATTCTAATGAAGCATCTTCTTCCAAGCTTGCATGACTTTTTGGTCATGGAACAGTTATTTTGTATTGAATTTTCTGACATTGAAAAATCCTGTGGCCTTCTTCATACATACTGCTATTGAAACAGATCCCTCAGACCCACTATTTGTATATCTGATTTTGTTTTTTCATAATTTACCCTCATTTCAATTTCAGCATATAATTGGCAGTTATGCTTTCACCTGTTCTAGTTGAAGTCATTTCATATTCTTGATGTTGAGATGCAAATATTAGCTAGCCCTCCTCTATTCATTTCATATGCAAATTAATGCACATGTATTGGGGGATGGAGAGGAAGCGCCCTGAATAGGACAGATCTCTATAGCATTTCTCAAGTGCTCCGTGGAACATTAATTCACTAGATGCTCATAACAAATGTATACAATATTTCCCTCTCCCTCTTTATACTTCACTAAATAACTGTGGGAAATACTAGCTTCAGCAAAATCTACAGATTGCTGCTGAAAATCCCAGAAACTCCATTCAGTATGTATATAAAATAAAGTTCCCAACTCACATGCTTTCTTTCTCTTATTCTAGGGAACTGAGATTTTTGTGCACTAAATCAAGGATATTGTGAACCTGGTATTTCCATTAACAACTATGCACAATGTTGAGACTTCTCCCTCACCCTGACCAAACATATCGATGCTTATCTCTGGCCCAGCTCACCAGCCAGAAGGTCTTGTTTGGAACCCACCTAGTTCACCCCAATAACCTCCATAATTCTAAATCTCAGGAAGAAAATACTGGAAGTGGGGGTAATGGGCAAGTATTTATTCTTTTCCCCTTGGAAGAACCTCAAACTTCTTATATAAATTAGGCCATCTCTGCCTAGGACCAGCTTTGCATACCAAGGACCTAAAGGAGTGGCAGCATTAATCAAGTAAAAAAAGGTTCGTAATACTGTTATTTATAAAACTGAATGGCCACTTAAGTGGCTCTATGCTGAATAAGAAGGTCTGTTCCTGTAGCCTGCTGTCTCTACCCTTAGACAAAGGAGAGGCTGGGATTTTCATCATCTCCTTAAATCCTATTTAATCTTTGTTTGACCGGTGCCTGGTTAGATCCTAGGATTTTGAGAAACTTTAAGTGAAATAATCTATATAAAGTGTTTAGCATAGTTTGTGGAATGGAATGCATGCTACATAAATGGAAGCTATTTTTGTGACTGAATGTTTTAATCTCCCTAATTACCTTTAAGGACCCTAAGGATAGGGACCAAGTCATATGTTTCTCTTTATCTCCCTACTAATTAGCGCAATGTCTGGCTCATAGTTGGCTTAATAAATATTTATTGAGGAAATGAAGATGCTTATTTCACACTTTTCTTTTTCCTATGTCCCTGTGTTCCTTGAATCCCGTTTGGATAATGTAATAATTACCATTGATAGCAAGCATTTACTATCTTCAATCCCAGTTCGTCTAAAAACCTCTAAAGTATGCAGGGGAAGCAGAATTTGAAAATTCCTCATACTTATGTCTTCTATCTTGGAAGACCAATTCCAGGACTCAGTCAGACACCTGCTTATAGAACAGTCTCTTTGTCTACATTGTCACATAAACAAAGTTGGTGCCTTGATTATGTTTCAATTAATCCTATAAATCTCAAGTTCAAGTTCAACATCTTCCACATGTGGCTGGTACTGCACCAGGCTGCTTCTGCTCACTATAGGCTGACGGTGGCAATCAAGGACTCATCCAAAATGTTACCTGCTAGCAGAAAATGTCACAGTCCAACCTAGAAGCCAATAGCAGGCAATGTCCAGCTCTAATCTCATGTAGGAAGAGTGGAAATGGGGCTAACAGTGAGATATTCAGGCTTCCAAAAAGCAGAAGAGAAGGCTGATTCTGTGGCAGAGGTTAGGGCTAGAAAACTCTTTCCTTAGCCTTCACAGCCAGTGCTGTCCAATAGAAGTCTTTACAATTATAGAAATGTTCTATTTGTCCTGTCTAATCTGTCACATGTGACTACTGAGCATTAGAAATGTGACTTTTGACCCTGAGAAACTGAACTTTGTGTTTAGTATTAATGAACTTTAATTTATATTTAAATAACCATGTGAGGCTGGTGGCCAACATATTGGACAGTGCAGCCCTAAGCCATGGGAGAGTCCTTGAAGGAAAAGCTACACAATATAGTCCATTGCTGCTATACAATGATCTCGGTTTCTTAATCTGAAAAATGCAAATAATAAAACTAATCTGCTATGTCACATGATATTTTGAAGATAAAATGAGACTACAAATGCGAGCATACACAGTGATGAAAAAACCAAAATCCTCTACTAATGCAAGGCATTCTCATACAGTAAGCTATATCTTTTTATATATATGATATATATGTGTGTGCATACATATACACACACTTATATACATATTATATATTCAAAGTTACACGGAAGAGAGGGCAAAAATATGGCTACCGTTCTACCCAAAAGATGACCTCTTGCTTCCTGCAAGCCCTTTTTTATATTAACCATCAACTAAGGGACAAGAAGTGTAAGCACAAGTGAAATGGTGCCTCACAGCATGTCCTTAGCCAGGGAGTTGGCCCCACATCTGCAGTTCTCTGAACTTGAGATGAGAGGTAGTTAGTGCCCTATCATCAGATATGGGATCTGATTGCCAATTTCTGAGAAAAAGGGAATAACCCTTTGAAAAACCTCACACCACCAAGCTACATGAGGAAAGTGTTATGGACTGAATGACTGCATCCCCCACACATTTAGATGTTGAATCCCTAACCACCAACGTGATAGCATTTGGAGATGGGGCCTTTGGGAAGTAAGTAGGGTTAGATGAGGTCATGGGGATGGGGCTTCCATGATGGGATTAGTGCCCTCATAAGAAGAGACACAGGAGTGCTTTCTCTCTCTCTCTTTCTGCATGCACACAAAGAAGTCATGTGAGCACACAGCAAGATGGTGGCTGCCTACAAGCCGGAAAGAGAGCCCCCACCAGGACCCAGATCCACCAGAACCTTGATCTTGGACTTTCCAGCCTCCAAAAGTGTGAAAAAATAAGTTCTGTTGTCTAAACCACCCACTCTATGGCATTTTGTTATGGCAGTCTGAGCTGACTAAGGCATCTTCACATCCCCAGCTCCCGCTTTTCCTCATTCTAAGAGTTGGTAACTATCACCAGTATCTCCTTCTGCATTGTATCAAAAATAGATTTTCATTACAAGCTTATTAACCAAAGGAGTTCCAAGAATATTCAACCAAATGGCTGCTTATGGCCCTAAAGACATTTGTCAGCAGGGTGCAATGGCTCACACCTGTAACCCCAACTCTTTGGGAGGACGAAGGAGGAGGATCACTTGAGCCCAAGAGTTGAAGTTTATAGTGAGCTATAATTGTGCCACTGCCTGGGTGACAGAGAGAGACCTTATCTCTTAGGAAAAAAAAAAGACAGTTTTCACCCTTTCTCCTGAGATCAAACTATTAAATAAATGCTAAGTCTTAAACATAATGTGATTAGCTGGTCACGGTGGCTCATGCCTGTAATGCCAGCACTTTGGGAGGCTGAGGCAGGCAGATCACCTGAGGTCAGGAGTTCAAGACCAGCCTCACCAATATGATGAAACCCCGTCTCTACTAAAAATACAAAAATTAGCTGGGTATGGTAGCATGCGCCTGTAATCCCAGCTACTCGAGAGGCTGAGACAGGAGAATCGCTTGAACATGGGAGGTGGAGGTTGCAGTGAGCCGAGAGAGTGAAACTCTGTCTCAAAAAAAAAAAAAAAGTGATTAATTTACAACTTCTGCTGTAACAAATTACCACAAATTTAGCAGCTTAAAACAACACATTCTCTTAGAGTTCGAAAGTCTGAAATGAATTTTAATAGGACTTCAATCAGGTTTGGTTCCTTCTGAAGGATTCAGGGGAGAATTTGCTTCTTGACTCTTCCAACTTCTAGAGGCTGCCAGCATTTTTTAGCTTTACTTGTCATTCCTGGGCTTGCTGCATACCTGGCTTATCCAGGATAATCTCCCCATTGCAAGATCATTAACTTACTCACATCAGCGAAATCTCTGTGCCATATAAGGCAACATTCACAGGTTCTAAGGATTAGGTCCTAGATATCTCTGGGGGCCATTATTTAGCCTGCCACAAATAATAGCACCACAAAAATGTCACCTGTTTTATTAGTGCTATGCATAATTGCTAACTCTTACTCAGTGTTACCATTGTTGATCCATTTTTTATATGCTGTTGAGAAGGTAGTGATCTGACAGAATTTGGAACTGGTGGCATGGACAGTTTTCAGAGAAAATGGTATTTTTCCAGGAATAATCTACTTTCCTCATGCACTGCAGGTTTAATTTTTCAACAGCAAGACAAGGTGGCAAAAGCTTCCGTTCTCTTGTGAAATGCATCCAGTTATCCTCATTTGTGGGTGAAATGACTTTCTGTTAATAAAAAGCACAAATTACTTTAATAAATTGGATAATTTTGCAAGTTGTAAAATGCCACACCATTTGAAATATTTTAGATATTCATATGAGAAAAAAAATCACATTGACTCAAGGCAAACTTTAGGAGGCGTGTAGAAAAGAAGCCCAAGATTGAATGCATATAAAGTATGCATACAGATTTGAACATAATATGTGAGCAATAAATATTTATTTCATGTCAAATGGGACGATGATTTAGAAGCTTTCTAATGAGTCTGACCCTCTCATTTCATAGATGAAGAAACTAAGACCCAGAAGGTATAAGATCATGAAACTGTAAAGACTCCTATGTCTGAACTTTTAGAGATGTCAAAGATGGCAGAGTATGCAACTACAGAGATGAGCAGATAGTTTTGCTATTTCGATTGGAGATCTCGCCTCCCATAAATGCCCTCACACACCCCACTGCAAAGCCTCACGCTGGTCTCCTTCAGGTGCGCCCTGAGTCCCCACACAGGATGAAGGGGGCAGGCTGCAGACATACTGAGGAGAGTAGAAGGAAGGGCAGCCTCTCCAGGTCCCAGCCGTGACCCTCAATTAAATGAAGACTTCACACGTTAGAATCCACCTCTTAAAGACAAGATCAGAGAAGCCTTTCTAGGCAATGGGTCCAGGTCACATAGCTAGTTCGTAGCAAGGCCAAGAAGAGCAGAACCATAGACTGTTTCCCAAGCCAGTGTCTCGTAGAGGCTGTATCCATTTCTCAAGGCTCATGGTTTATTAATAAGTGAAGTAGAATCACAGAAACGGTGCGATGTCCTACATGTTGACATTAAAGTAATGGTTTAACAATTTAAAATATGACTCTTCTCTCAATATAATTATAGGACTTACTAGATATATATTATATATCATATGTATGTTAAGTAATACTTTGCTTGAGGAAGTGTGGTCTGGGAAAGATACAAATTTCAAATTGTTTGATAATCATCTTCTAGCAATACTGTCATTGTGTCTCTTTGGCAGTGTGTATAAACTTGGGTGTTATCAAAACTCCACTATGTGCCACCACAAGCCACAAGTATAACCACTAGCCCATAAGATTTTTGAAAAAACTAATTACACGGTATACAGAAAAAAAAAAGGCTTCAAGAGAAACACATCAAGCTGTTACGAGGAGTGGCCTCTATAAAGAGAAATTAGGATTGAGGAGGGGAAAGGTATGCATGTTGGCTCATGTCTTCAAGTTCCTTTAATTTCTTTTTTACAATATGATCCTAGAATCATTTTATATATATATATATATATATATATATATATATATATATATATATATATATATTTTTTTTTTTTTTTTTTTTTTTTTTTTTTTGAGACAGAGTCTCGCTCTGTCGCCCAGGCTGGAGTGCAGTGGTGCAATCTCGGCTCACTGCAAGCTCCACCTCCCGGGTTCACGCCATTCTCCTGCCTCAGCCTCCCAAGTAGCTGGGACTACAGGCACCCGCCACCATGCCGGGCTAATTTTTTTTTTTTTTGTATTTTTAGTAGAGACGGGGTTTCACCGTGTTAGCCAGGATGGACTCGATCTCCTGACCTTGTGATCCACCCGCCTCGGCCTCCCAAAGTGTCGGGATTACAGGCATGAGCCACCGTGCCCGGCCCATAAATAATTTTTTTAATGCAAGTTTCCTAACTGGAAAACATCTTATCCAACGTGTAATTAAAAGTATTGCTAGGTGCGGTGACTCACACTTGTAATCCCAGCACTCTGGGAGGCCAAGGCAGGTGGATTTCTTGAGCTCAGGAGTTCAAGACCAGCCTGGTGAAACCCTGTCTCTACCAAAAATACGAAAAATTAGCCAATTGTGGTGGCAGGTGCCTGTGGTACCAGTTAGGAAGCTGAGGCAGGAGGACAGCTTGAGCCTGGGAGGCAGAGATTGCAGTGAGCCAAGATCACACTACTGCACTCCAGCCTGGGCAACAGAGCAAGACCCTGTCTCAAAAAAAAAAAAAAAAAAAAAAGTATCAGTCCTTAAGTCTCCTTATGAAGAAATCATTCAGGAAACTGATCCACTGAGTACAGCAAGGAAGGAAATAGGAGGTCATTACTGAAGCATGCATAATAAAAAGCAATGCATGAAACATACCCCATTGTTGCAAAGATTCAATACATGAAAATTAAGATGGGCAAGTCCACTTCTATCTTCTACTAAGTCCTGACTCTCAAAAAAAAAACATAAGTGAAAAGATTTAAGAATATAATTTCCTAATAGTGTGGTGAAGTGGAAGTTGGGAGATAATTTGGAAGTCCTGAACCTTAGTGCTGACCTTCCTGTTTACTAGCAACAAGGATAGAACAAGTCACTCTGCTTAGTTAGCTCATTTGTGAAGGGGAATATCACAATCCACTTGTAAGTCATACTGATTTACCTTCTAAAATCACTGCAGTCAATTTAGATTGGACAATTTCCAGATCACAAAAATCCTAATGCCAAAAAGCATGGGGTGGGGGAGTCAGAAAGTCTCAGGGAGTGAAGTGCGGGTGGAGGTGGGAGATGGATAGGCTCAACTAAGCTTTGTGAATTTAGGCAAAACCATATTATCTCCCTGGCCTTCTTTACAAGTCTGCTAAAGGAAAATGAATAGGACAAGTAGGTAAGGCACACTGCAAATTCTGAGCATTCTGCAAATACATTAAAAATTAATGTTAGCCTCATTTTCCACTTGCTGTTGTGATTGTTTCAAATTGGGTTATTCTCCATAGAGCTTTGTAACTTACTGATATCCTTTTTTTGGAAGAAGATGAGGTAAAATTTAAAAATTTTTGAAGACTTTTTTTTTTTTTTGTCTGAGACAGTATCTCACTTTGTTGCCCAGGCTGGAGTGTAATGGCGTGATTACAGCTCACTGCAGGCTTGACTTCCAGGGCTCAAGCAATTCTCCCACCTCAGCCTCCCAAGTAGCTGGGACTACAGGTGCACCATCAAGCCCAGCTAATTTCTGTATTTTTTTGTAGAGGCAGGGTTTCACCATGTTGTCCAGGCTGGTCTTGAGCTCCTGAGCTCAGCAATCCACTCACCTTAGCTTCCCAAAGTGCTGGGATTACAGGTGTGAGCTATGGTGCCCGGCCTGAAGACATTATTTTTATCCCCAAATATTTTTACAAGTATAGGCTGTTACGCAGTGCAGCAAAAAAAAAAAAAAAAAAACACAGTACAGTAGGGAAAAGAATACAGTTTTGGAGCCAAAAGCTCCAGGTTCAAACCCTAGTTTTGTCAGGTTAGCTGTTTCTAGGCAGCTTAGTGACACTGTAAAGATTAAATGAGACAATAAGTGTAACACTCAGCAGGTGCCTAGAAAATGTTTGTTTTCTTCCCTGCTTAAGAATGTGATCACACACACAGACACACACACACACACACACAATTTAGAAAGCTTCATGTGCAATCACAAAAAAGCAAAGCATGCACCCTCACTGGCTCTACAGCCTCAGCTCTGCCTTCCCAAGCAGCATGTGATGTGCTGCATCAAAGGCTCAAGAATGACAAAGAACAGGAGCTACTATGGAACACGGCATTGCAGATTCCAACACAGATTTTTTGCTTTTAGACAAAGCACTGTATCTCCTTGAGTTTAATTATGCATAATTGCGACTCTCCTCGAAAATACAATAAACAAATATTGACTTCATTGTTTTAGAAGAACAAAGCTACACATCTCCAATGCAGGAACTCAGAAAGATTTTTTAAAGAAGTAGAAATAGGCCGGGTGCAGTGGCTCACATCTGTAATCCCAGCACTTTGGGAGGCCGAGGCAGGTGGATCACCTGAGGTCAGGAGTTTGAGACCAGCCTGGCGAACACGGTGAAACCCTGTCTCTACTAAAAATATAAAAGTTACCTGGGTATGGTGATGGGTGCCTGTAATCCCAGCTACTCGAGAGGCTGAGGCAGGAGAATTGTTTGAACCCAGGAGATGGAGGTTGCAGTGAGCTGACACAGTGCCACTGCACTCTAGCCTGGGTGACAGAGTGAGACTCCGTCTTAAAAAAAAAAAAAAAAAGTAGAAATAAAAATGTGTTTAAGAAGGAATTGATAGCTTGTCTCTCTTCCTATCCCAAACCACATTAGACAAGGTTTGGTAATTGAGGAATGAAGGAGCCCAGCAGGCATCACCAGCTAGTATATTCCCTCCCAAATCTCTTAGCATCTTACAGAAGGAACAGATGGCTCAAAGTGGTCTAGAGAGTGTGAGAAAATCCAGAAAATGAGGTCAGGAGACCTGGGCCCTGTGCATTGACATATTATGTTACCCTGGGCCACAATTTTCTCATCTAACCATGACTGTTAATGGGTCTCCAGTTTATAAATTCGAAGTTACGTAGATCCTTTTTCTCACTTCCCACTTTGAAAAATTCTCTCTTTGGTAATTCTTTCTCATATTTTTGTTTGATTACACCCAAGGCTGTCTTACACTGTGGTTCAAGCTTTGTCTTGGGAAGGTTTACCATCTGAGAGACCTTGGAAAATTATGCAATCCCTCCTATCTTCAATTTTATCACCTCTAAAATAGCAAGAATAATATTATAGAGTTCACAGAGGCTTGATAAGGTAATTAACATAAAGCACCTACGGAATGCATAGTAAATAAATATTACTTATTACTTACCATTAATATTACTTTTTCAAAACATTCCTTGAAATTTCTCTTTTCTTATGACTTTATTCCAACTCTCACAGCCTGATTCAAGTGTTTAGGAATACAAACAAACTTTTTTTGTTTATAAACAAGAAACAGGATCTTTTTAAGTATGTATTTGTCAGGTTGGGTTTTGGGAAATGTATTTGATATTTTGATATACAGGTCACATTCACCAGTTGGTTGACTTTTGATAAGGTGGGTCAATGTGTGATGAACTATATGTCATTCTATTATAAATTCTTTAGTATTTCAGGATTTTAATTCTAATTTTGGTGTTTTTTCAGCAGTATTATAGGCCTCTGAGAAAGATTATTGTTTTTCTTCCACAAAGTAGAGTGGCCTGGCATACCCTATCAGTGACTTTAGCAGTCAGCTATAAGAAAGCTAGCCATTATACTACAGCAGACCACATCTTCAGGTTCTCCAGGCCCCAGCCATGTGAAGTGGGCTTTATTCTGGGACTCAAAATGATTGAATGGGCTTCTCCTTCTCTGAAAGAAACAGCCAAACAATTCCATGTTTTCCACAATTCTAAATTACTTATTTTGGGGGTGGGAGGTAATATTTGTTATATCTTACTTTTTGACAATTGGCCGAAGGTAAAAGAGAAGGTACATGGTTTCTCTCTGCTCATTTACCAAAGACTCTGATCTTAAATGGAGAAGAGTGTGTTCCAAGATCCATTCCACCCCCAAGCTGCCAGCTGTTGTAAGGGGGTCTAACTGAGCCTTTCCAGATCCTTCAGCTTTATCCCTTCCTCCTTCGTGAAGCCTTTTCTATAGTAAGCGCAATCAAGTCCCACACTCAATTTAGTCCTTATACACTGTCTTCAACATTTGGTCTTTATTGCTTTATCAATCCCAGTAGACAGTAAGCTCCTTGGGTGGGAAGACCATGTCTCGTTCTATTGTAACCAGCACAGTCAAAAATATGCAGTAAGTGCTCAAAGCTGATCTCCAGTCATGTGTCACTTAACAAGCAGATAAGCTCCGAGAAATGCATCATGAGGTGATTTTGTTGTTATGCCAACATCATAGAGTGTACTCACACAAAACTAGATTTTCTAGCCTACTTACATACCTAGGCTACAAGGAGTAGCCTATTGCTCCCAGGCTGCAAACCTTAACAGCATGTGACTGTAATGAATACTGTAGGCAGTTGTAACACGTTAAGTATTTGTGCATCTAAATATACTTAATATGGAAAAGGTACAGTAAAAAATAGTATTTAAAAGATTAAGAATGGTATACCTATAGAGAGCACTGATATGGTTTGGCCTTGTGTCCCCACTCGAATCTCACCTTGAATTGTAATAATCCCCACGTGTCATGGGAGGGACCTGGTGAGAGGTAACTGAATCATGGGGGCGGGTTTTTCCGCTGCTGTTCTCGTGATAGTGAATAAGTCTCATGAGATCTGATGGTTTTATAAAAGGGAGTTCCCTGCACATGCTCTCTTGCCTGTCACCATATAAGATGTGACTTTGCTCCTCCTTTGCCTTCCGCCATGATTTTGAGGCCTCCCCAGCCATGTGGAACTGTGAGTCCATTAAACCTCTTTCCTTTCTAAAGTACCCAGTCCCAAGCATGTGTTTATTAGCAGTGTGAGACCAGAGTAATACAAGCACTTACCATGAATGAAGCATACAGGACTGGAAGTTGCTCTGGGAGTATCAGTGAGTGAGTAGTGAAAGCAAAGGCCTAGGACATTACTGTACACTACTGCAGACTTTATAAACACTGTACATTTAGGCTACACTATATTTACTTAAATTTTTTTTATTTCTTCAACAGTAAATTAACCTTATCTTACTGTAAGGTTTTTACTTAATAAACTTTTAATTTTTTTTAATTTGTTGAGTCTTTTGTAATAACAGTTTAAAACACAAACACATTATACAGGCATAGAAAAAATATTTTCTTTTTTATATTCTTATTCTATAACTCTTTTCTCTTTTAATTTTTTTATTTTTTTAACTTTTGAAAGTTTTCTGTTAAAGATGAAGACACAAACACACATATTAGCCTAGGCCTGGAACATCAATATCATTGTCTTGCACCTCCACATCTTGTCCCAGTGGAAGGCCTTCAGGGGCAATAGTACACATGGATCTGTCATCTCCTATGATAACAATGCCTTCTTCTAGAAACCTCCCAAAGGACCTGCCTAAGGCTGTTTTACAGTAAACTTTTTGAAGGAAATAATGTATACAGTGGTCCATTTTCAAGACAAAGTGCCTTGAATTGACTTAGGTTAGCAAACTACAGAAGAAACAAGATATACTAGGCCACTGCTTGGCTAGCCAATGCCTGCTTGTCGGCCTCCCCCTCCCCTTTCTTCCCCCCAACGCTTAGTTGCCCTCACCAGAACCAAAAAAGTTTAGTCTAAAATGAAAGCTTTCTAGCCTGCAAAATAGCTCGCTTTATCTATTCTTATCAGCCTGCCCAGCTACTTAGGTCATAAGTCAAATATTTAAAGAGCCCCTGAGCTAACTAGGATTGTAATGCATTGTGGGCTGCAACAAAATGCGGCAAGACAACCCTAAAGAAAACACCTAAAGCCCCTACCCAACAATCAATAGGCAACGTCCAGGAAGATTGTGACCCCATAGCACTCAGCCTCTAAGGAACTGGGGGAGGGACTTGCGCACTAGGGGATAAACTGCTTGTTAAAACTGTACTGGGTGTGCCTGTCCATCAAACACGGATCTTGCAAGACTGTCATTAAAAGTCTCACTTTCGCTGTTCTCCGGGTCTCTAAGTCCATTCTTTGGGTTTGAATGGGTAAGTTTGTTTCTCATACTTTTTTAATAAGCAGAGGCAGTACACTCTAAAATAATGATTAAAAGTATAGTATAGTAAATACATAAACAAAATAGTCATTTATTATAATTATCAAGTATTATGTACTGTACCTAATTGTATCTGTTAGACTTTTATACCATTGGCAATGCAATAGGTTTGTTTATACCAGCCTCACTACAAACACCTGAGTAATGCATTGTGCTATGTTATTAGGACAGCTAGAACATCACTAGGCGACAGGAATGTTTCAGTTCTATTATAATCTTTTATAGTCTATTATAATGGACCATATATATGGCCACTGTCATATATGTTATCATTAACTGAAAAGTTGTTATGCAGTGCATGACTATATTCTGTCGTTGCAGCTTATTGTCTAAAACTATGTCCTTTCTCAGTCCAATACAAGTATTCCCAGCAGTGGTGTCTCAACTATCATCTAGACTGCAAACGTCCTGAGAGGTAAGGGCTGTTACTCAACATTATATCCCCACAGTCCAGCCCAGTGCTTGACTCACAGTAGATACTGCAACAAATTGCTAATTTGAATAGAATTCTCAAGAGCGTCTATGCTAAAAACTTTCCTTCCCTCTTCCTAAATACCACATTAAGAAATATCTCACCAGGCACAGTGGCTCATGCCTGCAATCCCAGCACTTTGGGAGGCAAGGGTGGGAGATCGTTTGAGGTCAGGAGTTCAAGACCAGCCTGGCCAACATAGTGAAACCCCGTCTCTACTAAAAATACAAAAATTAGCTGGATGTGGTGGTGGGTGTCTGTAATCCCAGCTACTCAGAAGGCTGAGGCAGGAGAATTGCTGGAACCCGGCGGAGTGGAGGTTGCAGTGAGCCAAGATCCCACCATTGCACTCCAGCCTGGGTGACAGAATGAGACTCTGTCTCAAAAAAAAAAAAAAAAAAAAAAAAAAAGAAAGAAAAGAAAAGAAAAAAAGAAGTATCTCTACTTTTTCTCTCATTTGTTTCTGGACTTCCAAGTACTGCAGAGGCTCCTTAAATAGATGCAAACTAAAGCCAATACTCTAGGTCAGGAGTGGGCAAACTATAGGGTCAAATTCTGCCTGCTACCAGTTTTTATAAATAAAGTTTTACCGAAACATAACCACGTCTATTTGTGTACGTAGTGCCCATAGTTGCTTTCTGGCTACAATAACAGAGTTGAATAGTTGCAACTGTATGGCCTGCAAAGCCAAAAATGTTTAATATCTGCCACTTTACCGAAAAGCTCGCTGATGCCTGCTCTAGTTTACACTGCAAACCACTGCGCTTCTTAGTTGTGAAGAGAAAAAGAAAAAGAAGCTCTGAAAATTTCCAGGTAGAGAAAGTAATAATATTTGGTGATAATTTTATAATAAAGGTAACCTTTCTTGGTATATTTTACACATATATGTAAAAGCATATTTACAAAATTATTTTACACTTGATTCTATCACATCTGGATGATGTAGGCAGGGCAATTATAGCTTCATTTCACAAATGAAGGAATAAAAAAATTAAGTGACATGTTCTGGGAGACAAAATACTTTTTTAAAAAAATTTAACATCTGTTTGAGTCTTTTCATAACACCTAGTTATTGAACAATAACAACATAAAAAGCAAACAAAAACCCACTCTGCCTTACCCCCTTATTTCTTCTTTACCATTAAGCTGGTTAGTACATGAAGGTCTCCAGTGCTGGGCTTTGGAGAGTTCTGCTTCATAAAAATTTCCATGCTAAAGGCCTTGTGGTCTTATTATATAGGTAGAATTTATTCCATTTAAATTGTTTTGGGCCCCATTTTCTGGGATAGTTCTGTCTGTGCTCCAAAATATATCTGCAGAATGGATAAAGTTGTGAGGGTCCGGTTGCCTTGAGGAAGCTCTCCATCTCAGTATTCTCCTATTGGAGAGTAGCTGTTAGTATATTCTTTCAAATGCTTCTGTAAATGCACCCAAGTTAAATATCGTATTAGAGAAGGCTTATGACTTTTGGTCAACTCACAGGCTCCTGAAGTGTACACAAACAGGCCCATGCATCCATCTCTGTCTATGAAAATAGGACTGTAGCCGGAACAAACTGATGAGAAATCTCATCACAACCTCCTCGTTGGTAAATTCTGAAAGTGTGAGTGATCCCATTTCAGGCACTGGCATCTCCCTAACTAGCCAATGGCTCCTAGTAGTGCCTTAGCAAGAAACTGGTTGCTTATCAAATATATTATATATAATTAGCAAATAGAAGCCAAGACATTTGAGCAGGTCTGCTGTAAACCATTCAGTCATGCAGAAGGAAGGAAGAGGGAGATGACATCTGAGGTAGACAACAATTCAGAGAAAGTTTAGCAGAGTTTAGCAGAGATGCAGCCTTCTTGGGGCAAAAACTAGTCAGCAAAGTTCAGAGTAGTGCTTCTCCAACTTTAGCTTTATAGTGCAGCAGAATCACTTGGAGGAATTACAGGAATCACCTGTAACAGATTGCTGGGCCTCACCCAGAGTTGGCCAGCACTGGGGCTTGATAATTTGCATTTCTAACAAGTTCCCAGGAGATTCTGAGGCTGCTAGTTCAGCGACCACCCTTTTAAGAACCATGCTGTAGTCTAGAACCTAGACTCTAGACCAGTGTTTCTCCAATCTTAATGTGCCAATGAATCAATCTCCCTGGAATCTTATAAAATGCAGATTCTGATTCTGCAATTCTGGAGAAAAGAGGGCTGAAATCTTAACATTTCTAACAAGGTCCCAGATGCTGCTGACTTGGTATATCTGGCCCCAGTAGACTGGATGTTGTATACAGCGTGGGATTCCAGACTGCTCCCTAGAACACACCATTTATTTTGCAACTGCAGTTGGGCTTTTGAAGTTTTTATGAAGTCATAGCATGCTTCAAGACTTTATATTTACATCAAGTATTTTTTTCCTGAGTCCAATGCCTGTCTTTCTTTTTCTTTTCTCCTTCTTCTTCCTTTCTTTGTTTCCTCCATAAATGGAGTTTACCCTCTCATCTTCACCTCTCAGCTGTGAATTTGTTAGAAAGTCGATAAGAGCTCACTTTAGTGAACATAGATCTGAGTCAGGTAACTTAGATTCTGCTTGGGCTGTGGCTCTAAAAAGGTGTAAGATACTGGGCCGGTCACAGAATCTTTCTCAGCCTCAGTTTCCCCAGATTCAAAATGACATGGCTGTTCTAGATGATGTTTAAGGTGCCTTGAAGCTCTCAAAGACTCCATTACGTTAAATGTAATCAAAAGCGCACCAAAAACCAATAATACGTGTGCTGCCACCTTTGGGTGGAAAACATAACTTTAGCTAGACCAGCTACAACTTTGAAACAAAAGACATTTCACTGAAACTCTCCTACCCGCAGGGCCCAACAGAAATGTAATATTTCTTCCATATGATTACAATTCATAATGGCTTCCCTTTAATATGAAATTTCAGACACAAACCAACATAAACTTGATTTTGATGTCATTTACCTTTATATATATTAAAACTTTACAGTTTGATCAATCTTCTGTGGATGTTTTTCCCATCTTAGGAAATTTTCATGGTTTCAGAAAGTCTGAACACTCCGGTTAATAATGCATTCCTATTAAATTATTGATTAGTAAGTAATTGACCAATCCCAAGAATGCACTGTAGAGAAACAGAACAAAAATACTGGCATTGAAATAAGATTAATCTGGATTTGAATTTTTGATCATTCTAGTTCCTAACTGTGCTCTTTAGTAAGTCATTTAACTTCTCTGTGTCACATCTTCTCACCTGTGAAATGAGTGTAAAATACTTCTCTTCATTGTTGAGGGGTTAAAAAAATAATGTTGTAAAGTCCTTGACAAAGTTGTTAACACTCAGTAAGTGCTCAATATGCAGGAGGTCTTACCAAATGGCCACTGCCAGGCAGCCTGTGATGTTGAAAATAAATCAGGCTTTGAAGCCAGAAATTGGTTTCAATCTCCGGCTGTTTTACTTTATGACTTTGCACAGCTCACTGAACCTCTCTAAGCCAGTTTCCTCATCTGTATAAGGATATCAAGACCTTTTGGAATTGATTGAGGATTAAATTCTAATGCTATAGACTGAATTGTGTCTCCCACTGCCATTACCCAGGAAGAGAAGCAAGTGTACATGGGTTTATAATCCACTAAGACTCGTTTCAATTTTTCACAACCACACTTTCGTCCAATGGAAGGTGGACATGACTTTTACTAGGGGAGGACAATCTCAAATCCTACAAAACTGTCTCCTGTCTCACAGGAGGAAGTAAGTTTTGCCTTAAAAGAGAGATATCTTTGGAAGGATTTCCTGCTCAGTGAATCAGAGCCCAGATCTACCAATAAAAGGGTGAATTTGTTGGCATCATTAGTAGTAAGACGAGTGCAGAAGAAAAAAAGGTTTAAGATTCTTTCTCCCAAGTTTTAAAGATCTTCTTTGGCCTCCAATTATATTTCTGACCACTTTTTTCTTGACCCCATCCTTCAAGGCACTTAACTGCCTACCACTTGCCCATACATTCCTCTTTCTGCTCTTTGGTCATCTTGGCCTTTCTCCTGGGAATTATTTTTCCCTAACCTATGGTTGGGACACATTTCTCCATGGGTTTCTCATGTTTCCACATGTTTTGTGAACAGCATTTGTGACAGACTGGTCTTTATTCTAAATCTAGACTGTTTTTCAAAGATATTTGTATAGCAAGCCTTGGAAGATAGAGATTGTGTCTTCCTCAAGAGCAAAGGCATCTACTGCCCCTTGTAAAAGATTTAGTTTCCCTAAACTCAAGGTTTCTCTCCTCTAACAAAACCCCCTGCATGTGCAGGTATTATCTGGCCCTGTTTACATTTCCCTGTGGGAATTAGAACTCAGAGAATGAATATTTTAAAATGCTGATACTCTAACTACTGCTTTTGCAGTGAATAATAAACTATTCTTTCTTTCCAGGAGCCTCATGTCTTCTTACAACATCACATGAAAGGAGCAGGCTAACTTGTTAGCTTCCAGATAGGTAAAATCTCAAGCTTTTCGCCATTTTTGACGCTTATTTTACTCCTAAATACCCAGATCCTACTTATATTTTAAAATTTACTTCAAATGCTTGTGCTTCATGAATATACTCTGGTTAGTTTTTGCTCCTATCTGTAAAATAAGGATGATAGTAATAGTATCTATCAATTTGGGTTGTTGCGCAGGTTAAATGGGTTGATATATGTAAACTATAAGTGCTATAAGCATTAGCTGTTAATATCATTATTTTTTTTTATTCCAGAGAAGTTTATGAAAGGTGACTTAGTATCCTTGGCAAATAACAGATCTAATTCAAATTCTGTTTTTACTTCTGTCCAGCTCTGTGACTTTAGGGAAAGTACTTGACCTATACAGCCCTCAGTTTTGTCACTATAAAAATGAAGATGATAATTCCTGCCATTTCAGGGAGGTTTTAGTAATAAACAAATTATATGTAAAGCACATAACACATAATAGATGTTCAAATAAGCATAAGGCTAAGTTATTATAGCACTTTCTACTTTGCATGCAACTAATCTCCCGGTATATTATTTCCTCTATCAACCTGTAACTTCAATGGAAACAAGAACTCTGGTGAATTCATCTTGATGGCCCTCAAATGCCTAGCACAAAGGAGTCAACTTTTAAGTCATTCATTCATTCATTCAGAAACATGTATTGATCACTTGCTTTGTGCCAGACATATGTATTGAGGATGCATCAGGGACTACTAATGCTAAATAGAAGCAGGAGAAAAAATACCCTCAAATTTCTTTTTTTTTTTCCTTTTTCTGGGGACATAAAGAGAAGAATTTGGAGATTAGAAGTGGGGAAAAACTTGCTTGTATTATATAAGTTTGTGAGCCAAAATGGGAAATTGCTGTATCATGAAAAGCTCATGATTATTGCATTTAATCTTTAGCTTCTTTAAAACAATCTTATTTTCCCCATTGTTGGATATTGGTTAAAATAGAAAAAAAAAGGTCACAAACCTTTTAAACTTTATTCCATGGCTACACAATTGGGTTGATTTGGATGACCCCTCACTTTCTCATTTATTCAAAAATTCTTTACATTTGTAATTTTTCTTATCCAAGCTAGTCTCCCACATGCTGTCTTTCTGATCATGGAAATCAACTTTCTTAAGAAGGCTAACCTCTTGGTTCAAGTGTGGCTGGTGGACTCCACCCCTGGCTGGGTTTTGGCATCTGACGTTGGTATAAAAGGTCTCAGCATTGTAAGTATAGGAAGGGTGGGGGCTTCCCAATGACCTCACCCTTTCATACATGAATAGGTCACTCCCAGATAACAACCACTCTGAAACATGCCAGCCGGAAGGGAAGGGTCAATTTTAGAAAGTCAACAACCCCACTACCCATTCATTCAATCATGGGCCTCAATGCCCTGAGAAAATCATTTTGCTAAACCATGGTTTCACCTACTGTAACATTATGCAAAACACACTGTCATCTCCCCAAGAGATGTCAGGAAAGACAGACAAGTAGCCCTAATTACAATCATATTCGCAACAACAAAAATGAGTATAGATATGTGTCACAAGGGATTTTTTTCTTCTCCCTTGACACTACTATGTATTAAAGAGACAACAGCTAACCTGATATTGCCCTTACTTCTCCTTGCTGGAATTTTATTGACAACTTAGTTTCCTTTCTGTGTTTCTTTATTAACTAAATCAGCACAAAACATAGGCAACAGTAAACATAAACTATTTTTATACATGCAAATTAGTGATAATACCTATCCAGAGAGTCACTTTTCTAATATGGAGTGATCCAAAGAAGGATAAAGGTAGTCTAAATGTCAGGGTCTTCATTTGTTCTCCTATCCTGCAAATGGCCCTCATGTAAGTTTCCTACATTACACTTCCAAACAAATTCAACTCTTTCAACAAGCCTGGCATATAGAGGGACTCAAAAAGTATTACCTGAATTAAAGTGAAATGTATTTGTTAAATTTTAAGGAAATAAAATATACCACTGTCATAATATATCTGGTTCTGGACTTCAGACAGGTCTTGGGGTCACAAGTTGTCACCTTTAATTTCAATAGCTATTTGTTCTACCTTTAAGCCAACTAAGATGGGTCTGCAAAGCTCCAACACCAGCATGTTAAAAGAGTGGCATTATCTACCTTAACGAACAGCTGGGCACACATAATTCAGTAGCAAGAGGTTTCCTGCCATCACCAAGCTCTATTTGTTTTCCAAAACTAAAGGAAAACCTTTCTATTAACAGAGAATGTGTTCTAGTGAAACCTTCTTATTGACAGAAATTTTGCAAATAAATACAGAAATAATATAGGCAGCACAGGGATGGATTTTCATGTAAAATAATTTTTATATTATTAAAATCATTTTCTTGTCTAACTGGTCCATGAATATTCATTGATTGCATACCCTTTCAGGCACTAGAAATTAGGAGATGAAGAAGCTGTGTTGAAGGAATACAGGCTCTTCCAAACCCAGAAGTTTCAGGGAACAAAACAGCAGCTCTCTTCAGGGGGTTTCCCAGGGTAGTGAGGGAGTTTGAGGATATAGAGTCAGAAGATCACCTCTGGAACTCTTTGGCTCTACCCTACCTCAGAGGATTTTCTTGGAGGTGTCCCTCCAGGCTCCCAAGGAGAGATTGAGTTTGAGTTTAATATCTTTCCACCCCAAAAAAATCCTCTTCTTACCTGCTGCTCATTCCTGAAACTCCTTCCATGTGAACATTTTCCTTCTTATCAATTTGAGGTACGTGGAAAAGTGTAAATAATTGCTCGACTGTGGCCTGGACTCCACTTGAAATACAATCAACTTGTCAATGCATGAGCAATAATGACTTCTTCATTTCTTATCAGATCTTTCTTGGGGCACTAGTGTTTCTGATGCCCAAACCTTGTCCTTACCCACCAAACTGCTTGCGTGCATAAGGTTGCGTCCTGAGCTTGACCTCTCTGAGATTCCATTTTCCTGTCTACAAAATGTCTGTCCTCCCTATTATGTGAAGAACAAATGAAATAATGAGTGGGAAAGTGCTTTGGAAGCTGTAGCTGTGGTGCAAACACAGGGATGATGATAATGATGGTGACTACCCCCATAGTGCTTAGCACCCTCTGGCAAGGTTTATGTCTCTTCAACTCCTTACATCCTCAGAAATTAAGCTCCAGGAAAGCGAGCTCTTGATTTTGCTGCCATATCACCAGGCACCCTGTGAGTGGCAAGAGAGTGAATTAATGTTCCATATATGTTGCCAAGAGGTTTTTTCCCCTCCTCTTTTCTTATTCTTTAATAATAACATCATAAGGAGTCTTATCTTCCAAAATTCTTACCAAAATTCAGTTGAAAATTTTGTTAACTTGAGAGTGCTCTTTTTAAAAATTACTATTTGTTATACTCTGCTACTATTGGAACAGAGATATTAAATAATCCTGTTAGCTTCATAAAGCTAGATATGTTGAAAAACATTAATATTGTATTCCCCTTCTATGGATGAGAAAACAGAGTCCAAAGATGTGAAGTTTCTTGGCTCTGGTGTGGTAATCAGTGGCATCTATAGGCTGGCAATTGCAGCTTTTCCTTTTGGTGACACCATCTCCCTCTTCTCTCTGTGGACATGTTGGGTGCCTGAGTATGCCCTGCTATTCAGACTAAGGATGTGAATAAGAATCTATCAAGCTAACTAAGTGGATGTTGTTAGGTCACCTCAAGTGGCATGTGTCAAAGCTCTAGGAATAAAGAGAAAATAAATGGGAATAGGGTTCATGTAGATGGGAAGTCAACCAGGGACAGGGAAGAGAATAAGGTAGGAAGAACTTTCAAAAGCCTAGGAAACCAACAGAGCAGCCATGTATTCATTTAGCAAATAATGAATGCCTACTACATGAATGACTCTGGGGAAACAAAGGTGATTGCCAACCAATTGTTGTTTTGCTTGAAAGATACTACTGTCAAAGGAGCAGAATGAATTGATGGATGAGAACTCACTTCTACTTGATGGTCTCTCTTCAAACCACTTTACAGTCCCCGCCAGATACTTACATGTGTAAACTACAATAAATTGTTATTATTTTATCACTAATACCAGTCTTAGATACATAATTGCCAACTAAATACTGTCGTCTAGTAAACTGAATGGATTGAAAGATGGGAATTCACTTTACCTTGATTATCTCTTGGGCCTGCGACCCAGTAGGGCCACTGGTGTAAGTTCAGGAGACTTATCTCACCTCAAACAAGTTTGTAGTTGTCCCCAGGCACTTAAAAGTACAAACTATAATAAATTAGCAAAAGTGAAGTTTGGCCAGGACCCTGAGGTAGCCCTGGGGCTGGATGTCTGGGTGATAAATGGAAAACTTGCAAATGCTTCACCCCTCTAGACACCATCAAAGCTAATGCTGCCAAGGGCTTCCACAGTACACAGCAATGTTCAGTTTTGAGAGTGCACATGTTTTTAGAACCTGGTTCTTGTTGTCAGATGACAAGAGAGAGAAGCCCTTTTTTTTTTTTTTTTTTAATCATAGGCTGTCTTTGGATAAGAAATTTACAGAAGTCTCTGTCTGGCAGGTGAAGGGGAAGGTTGAGTGACAATGACCAAAATGCATTCTAAGTTTTGCTAAGAGACTTTTGGAAGTCCCTATCCATTCTCCTTTGGGAGGAAATATGACATCTGATTTTAATTTTTTTAAATTACAGAAAATGAAATGCTACATGGAATTGTTGTTTCCCCTAGATTTATATATTTGATACAGGGTTTTAACCCATGACAAAATTCATTTTAAAAATATTTTCCATTTGAAGTTGTTTGAGACTTACAAGAAATTAAAAAAAATAGTACAAAGGCTTCACATATACTCTTCCCTCACCTTACCTCCATGATGACATTTACACAACTATAGTGCATTGCTAATTCACTAGGGCCTGCCTCAGGTGAATTAAAACGTGGCTCATTCCCCAAGGAACTCAAACCTAGTGAGGGAAACAGACCAAGAGTGCAATAAGTCCTAGGACACAGAAACACGCTACTACTAAAGACCAGAGGAGAGGCATTTCTATCAGATTCTTTGTGCAGGAAGACTCCTCAAAGACAAGCCTCACTGAAATTGTAAGGCTAAGTAATCTTTACCCCCGCCCCCACAAGGATCACAGAATATTTGAGGCAGAGGAGCGGCATGTGCTAAGTTTCAGCAATGTAAAATAGCAGGATCCATTCAGAGAATGAAATTAAATCAACTTGGATGGATTAAAGAGTGTGTATGTACTGTGGGTAAGTAGAGGTTAGGGAGAGAAAGAAGGGACAGCAGATATGTCTAGAAAGGCAGTGTATTAGTAAGGGTTCTTCAGAGAAACAGAACCAACAGGACATACACTAAGAGGTATACCTGAAAGAGGATTTATTATGGACATTGGTTCACAGATTATGGAATCTGAGAAGTCCTGTGATATGCTGTCTGCAAGCAGGAGAACAGGGAAGCCAGTGGCAAGGCCTGGGAACCAAGAGAGCAGATGGTTTCATTGGAATAACAGAGAAGGCACAGGCACTATCACTCTCTTAGCCTTGAAGCAGCAGGTCAGATGACATTCTTACATGGTTATGGGCAGAAGTTCATCACCACCTTCTCCTTCTTTTGTAATGATACATCAAGACTATTGAGAGAAACAGAATGCATAGCAAATTAGAAGTTATCCTTAAGTATGAAAAATAAGACCTTATAAGGGAAGCATCTTCTTTCTCTCTTTTTTTTTTTTTTTTTTTTTGACGGAGTCTTGCTCTGTTGCCCAGGCTGGAGTGCAGTGGCGCAATCTCGGCTCACTGCAAGCTCCGCCTCCCGGGTTCACGCCATTCTCCTGCCTCAGCCTCCCGAGTAGCTGGGACTACAGGTGCCCGCCACCACACCTGGCTAATTTTTTTGTATTTTTAGTAGAGACGGGGTTTCACCGTGTTAGCCAAGATGGTCTCGATCTCCTCACCTCGTGATCTGCCTGCCTCGGCCTCCCAAAGTGCTGGGATTACAGGCGTGAGCCACCGCGCCCGGCTGCATCTTCTTCTTTCTTGGTAGAACATTTAATCTTTACCTGGCCATGTCCTACAAGTACTTACTAACTTTAGATTAGTAACCTCTTCTCAGAAGCTCTTCCTGGCGCTCTTACCCCCACCATACACAGAAAGACTGGGTTACTGCCCCTCCTGCATGCTCCACTAGCAACATTCACTTTCTTCCCTGATAGGACCTATGACACACATGAATTGTAGTTACCATGAATTGTAGTTACCGTGAATTGTAGTTACCCGCTCACCTGTTTGTCTTCCCCTTAGGCTGTGATAATACTCCTGGAGGGTAGGGGTTACACATTGTATTCCCAGTGCTTTCCACCTAGGAAATATGTTAAGAAAATGAAGTGTTGTGGCTACAGGCAAGACTCAAGGAACCAATCTCTTCTAAACCAACAATTCTGTCCAAAATCCTGAATTTTCCTGTTGATTTTATATTTTTCACTGAACTAACGTGAACTATTTCTGTTAGAAACATGAAATCCAAAGTGCACATCAAACCAACTGAATGTTTATTTAAAACCAAAAATCATAATAACCTCAGGAGACTTTGAAAACCCTGTGTTATTTCCCAAGAAGAAAACTTACCTGTTGGCGACAATGAGTCGCCAAACGATCTACTTTCCTGATGACCTTGAACAATTATTAGGCATTTTACCAGCTGGGAAGGTTCCAATGTTCAATAAAAACAGATAACCTCTGGCACTTTTTAAAATCTGTGATTTCCCAAGCTGAGCATAACTTCCATCACTGGTGTGTTCTTTATCTTCCTCTTTAAGATGAAAGCTGCCTCTGTGATGTGCACCTACACAGAACAGCTGTTCCAGTTGGCTTTACATAAACAAGCAATTCCCCCAAATCAAGACTTGTTCCCACCAGTGCAGTTAATTAATCTGTCCGTTAATCAACAAACGTTTATCGAAGAGCAGGCACTGTTCCAAGCATTGAAAACACAGCAGTCAACGAAACAGATGAGACCCCTGCCTTCATGGAGCTCACATAATTCAAGGAGTCTGATTGTACTGATTGATGATAAACATACAAATAAAGTTATAAGAAATGTCTGAGGTTACAGAAAAAGGATTTCCTGCCTAAAGGAAATAACAGTTAGGTCTTTGCTTTATTGAGTGACTGGCCCAGGGCCAGAGAAAGCACTAGTTGTAAGGATTATTATTGGAAAAAATTTGTTGTAATTAGGTAAACCAAGTGTTATTAACTCTGAGCTACAGGGATAGGGAAATAGAGAACCTTCTTTGATATGGCATTGGCAGCTATGGGATTTTGCCTGTGGGCTGCAATGGGATTTAACATAGAACTGTACTGTTTGGCACAAAAGGAATTTTCCCCCTTTTTCTGTGTGTCCCAAAGGAGCAATATGAGTTATTTAATATACCTAATAAAGTTAAAACTTGACCAGTTGAAAGGAGATTAGAGCGCATTTGTTTTTCTGTGTCAGCCTGATTAAAGTAACTCATTAGTGGTCAATCCCACTATAGAACCAGATACACAACATGTGTGAAAAGTTATCAAGTCAGAAGACAGAGCTATGGGCTTATTGTCAATAACTCTACCTGCTGGTACCATCTGCACATTTTCTGACTTATCTGTGTACCGCTTGTACTATTACTTACCTAACATTTTTCTTTAAGTCAATTCACTTTTTTACTTAAAAAGCAAATGTGATGGCATTATGGATAGAGAAACCAATATCATTGTTATAAATAGCACATAGTCATAAAAATCAATGCAACAAATCAAGCAATACTATTATATTCTAGCTAGATAGTGTTGCCTGGTGACTGCTCTGATTTTTTTATGGTAAAACCTTTTTTTTTTTGTCAAAAATGAGAAATTGGTAACCGATAGAGGGGTTTTAGAAACATCACAGGATAAGAAGAAGGCATATTCCTTGAGGCCATTAGGAGGGATTAGATTCTCCCTCTGTGAGTCAATGTTGCTTCTATGTCTATGCATAAGCTAAAATAATATCCTATTGTATGAACAGAAAATGCTCCTCTTTGGGAAATATTGAACCAGGTGGCTTTGAGAGTGCCTTCCGGCTCTTAAATGGCACAGTTCTCTGAGACACACTCTCTAGTTAGGAGCAGGGAGGAGAGATGTCATTCACAGCTCTCTTTCAGGTTGCCCACCAAAAGTCAACCAGTGCTTCCTCTTCTCCCAGCCTTCACTCATAGTTCACATCCCATTTTCTTTACTCTACCTGCGGCAGACAGGCCAACCACCCTCAGCCTGGAAAACTCCCTTTCACAACATGGAAAGATAGAGGAAAGAAGAAAGAACCATGGTGAGATCAGTTACAGTAAGGGGGTCTGGGTGATCTGGGACAAATGAAGCGATCACAGCTCCTTAGCTCAGTGCTGAGCTCACATGACACCTAACATGAAGGTACAGTATCTGAAAAACATCTTTTGTAGAGGCAACATGTTGACTCTGGATGGAATGTTTCACTTCTCATACAGATGTTTGGAATCCTACAAACAGTGCCTCCCATTTCCTTATGTACCAGTTTATTCTCTTCCAGAATCATTTGTTGTCAGTTAGACACACCTTGAGTCTAATGTTAATTCTTAGACACAAAACTCTCTACCAAAGGGTCAGGAAACCCCCAGGATTTGACAATGTGCAAAAAAATAAGAGAAACACTGAACAGGCTTGAATTCCTAGGAATCTTTGGAGGAAAGTCAAGACCTTCTTTGTTATATTTGTAGATAATCAATGTTTTCGTTTGCTCTATTGATCTTTCTCAATCGTCTTTTTTTTTTTTTGCTTGTTCAAGCAAAGAATTAGTCACAATTTAATGTAAGTGAAAAAAGTTAATAAGCCTTTTAATCTTTTAAAATTATTTATGAAAGGCCATTTAGTTCTGGGTGCTCAAATGCTAATGTTTGCCTAAATCTTTTCATTAAGACTATGCATAGAATTTCTATTATCTCAGAAAAATGACTCCCTCTTGTGGCAAGAGCAGATTTTGCAGCCAATTCTAGGGCTTTTGAGTTCTTAGGTGCTAAAGAGCTGGGTAAATTCTTAGAAACCCTCATTTTACAGATGAAATAAGTGAAACCCAGAGTATAGGTAATGTATTGGTGTTTATATCTTGTTGGTGATTGAGACAGACCCAGTATCCAAGTCTCCAATTTCCCAGGGAAGGGCTTTTCCCTTATATTTTCAAAAGTTTAAGAAATGCCCTTACTGGTGTGATTTCCAGTCAAAGTCTCTCCTTTCTGCTTCCTCTGAACAGAGCCGGTGGAGAGGCCATTCTCTGTCCAGGCAACATTTTCCTCCATGTGAAAGCTGCTTCTTGGTGGGCTTTCTCAACGAGATAATTAGCCATTTCCCAGAGCTGGGCTCTAAGCTGCATCCCCACATCGGAGAGCAGTTCTACCCATACAACAAGGACTCTCTTCATTTCTCTGGGAACAGCCACCATCTATCATCCTTGGGTACTGCTTTCTGTCTAATTCTCGCTCACTTGGCTTGTTGTGACAATGAGTAGGGCTTTAAACACAGCACTGGGAGATACAGGCGGACACAGCCACAACCCAGCTTCCTATAAGGGTAACCATTGCAACTACTGGAAATACGATAAAACTATCTGCAGCCTTACTTCCTGAAATGTGTTCTGTGGATCAGTAGCATCAATATCACTTGGGACCCTCCTAGAAGTATGAAATAATCTTGTTTAGTAGCACATTCTGATTTAGTAGCCATGGGTTAGAGCCAGGAGCCAAAATTGTGCACTTCTCATAAGCTCTCAGGTCAATGCTGGGTTTTTTTGTTTTTCGTTTTTTGTTTGAGACAGAGTCTCGCTCTGCCACCTAGGCTGGAGAGTAGTGGTGTGATCTTGGCTCACTGCAACCTCTGTATCCCAGGTTCAAGCGATTCTCCTGCCTCAGCCTCCCAAGTAGCTGAGACTACAGGCACGCGCCAACACGCCCAGCTAATTTTTGTATTTTCAGTAAAGACGGAGTTTCACCGTGTTGGCCAGGATGGTCTCCATCTCTTTACCTCGTGATCCACCCACCTCGGCTTCCCAAAGTGCTGGGATTACAGGCATGAGCCACTGCGCCCGGCCTCAGGTCAATGCTATTGATTCACAAATCACAAATTGACTAGCAAAGGTCTACAGCAAAGTAAGTTGCCTACCCAAATTGTAAAGCACAAGTCACAGTTCTGTTTGTTTCATGACTGGGTACAAATTGATAGTCATTCATCAAAGCAAAAATGACAAACTTAGATTTCATAAACTGGTAAAGAGAGCCACCAACAACCCAGCCAAGTAAACTGTGCTCTGCTCCATGTAGATTTTAGTCACTACAGAGTAGGGAGAAAGACACTAATTCTTGGATTCCCAAATATACCCCTCACCCTGCCTGTGCACCTGATCTCTAAGTCTAACATACAACCTCTAACCCACAAGTCAGAAGTTTCTGCTTGAATAACATCAAAGTCTATTGACATGAGACACACTCAGACACAACTGTCTCCCGTGGATAACTCTTTAGGTTTCTATGAACCAAAAGATCTACTCCCAACAAGCCTTCCAGTAAAAGCTGCCATCTTGCCTGTATTGACCAGGAGGCAAAGAAAATCCAGGAAATGAGCCAATTTAGGAAAAGAACAAGGCAACATCAGAGACCCTTGAGGGATACCCATTAGAGGAAGAGGAAGTTGAACAGCCCAAAGAAGACCCAGATATCACTAAATGATTCTGGAGACATCTGAGAGAAAGAACAGTCATAATTTTTTACAATTATTTTTACTGATTTGGAAAATGTAGATAAATGTTTCTCATACTTAATGTTTTTGATGCACTAATTAATTATGGGTGATAGCCTCAAGTTTTCCATCTTTTATGATTAGTAAAAATGATGAGATTTTTGGAAACGCAGCTCTATTGGAAAAGCAGCTCTAATGTAGTTCTGAGTTGATGGTGTAAATAATCAATTTTAGCAAAACAAATACTGGGGTTTCTTATTCCCACTTGAGAAATGCAGGTGGATAAGCACTAAAGCTAAGCAGGATCCCAGGAAAGCCCTTGTGATTATCTTAGGTTAGATTTCCTGGGAAGTAGCCTCTGAGAGGAGATTTCTAGGCAGCTGGTTTACTGGGAAATGCTATGGAGAAACATGCTTGGTAAGCAAATTGGGAAAGAATGAGAAGCAGAGGCCCTTCCAGAGGACTGGGCAGAGAAAAAGTTGACCTGTGATACAGTTGCAGAAGAAAATTAGCTGAACCCATGGGGAGCTCTGAAGCAGGGATGGCCCGTGAGATGTGTCCCAAATTGCATAGGCCAGGCATGGTGGCTCACATCTGTAATCCCAGCACTTTGGGAGGCCAAGTTGGGCAGATCACCTGAGGTCAGGAGTTCGAGACCAGCTTGGCCAACATGGTGAAACCTTGTCTTTACTAAAAAAAAAAAAAAAAAAAAAATACAAAATTAACCGGGTGTGGCGGCACATGCCTGTAATCCCAGCTGCTCAGGAGGCTGAGGCAGGAGAATCGCTTGAACCTGGGAGGCAGAGGTTGCAGGGAGTTGAGATCACATCACTGCACTCCAGCCTGGGGGACAAGAGCAAAATTACATCTCAAAAAAAAAAAAAAAAGTGTCCCAAATTGAGGCAAGGAGGCTGGGCATTTTTACTTGTATGGTTGTTGGATGTGGACCACTGCAGGAGGAGGCATGCAACCTTGAGTGAGGCAGCTTCCTTGGGTTGAGGCAATTCTCAGAAGGGATTCAGGTGTGAAAAAAAAGCCTACAGAAGCTCAAAGAATGAGTGCCTTGGTCCTGAAAGGGTGAAGGGGGAGTATCTGGCCAGCACACCACAGCATCTCGTTGCAAAATGTCCTCTTCTCATTTCTCAATACTCATGACATCTTTCTGTGGTTGAGATTGCTGTCTTACAGCTTTTAGGGTATTTGTCTACAAAAGCAGAATCATTTGGGGCAACTCTTAAAACGTCTATACCCAGTTCCTACTTTCTGATTGAATTGATGTTAATGGTTAGCCAGGGTTGAGCACTCTAGGCCTAATCAAGCAGTTATTCTTAAATCTGAAGGGCAATAATGTCCCTTAACATGTGGGTGCAGTGTCTCAGGATTACATTTGGCTGGCATGGGACAAGACCGTGAGCTATGAATTCCAGCCACCACTGCTCCAAAGGGATTAATTAGAGATGTCTAAGGTGTGTAGGGGAATGAAACAGCCAACATAAACATATACGCTACCACCTCAGTCATGCTGCCATCTCCCAGGACTTTGCAGATGAGTTTTATTGGCCAGATTTTAAACGTTTGAAGCTTATAGTTTGTTTCTTTTTCTTTCTGAAGCCCATAGTTTGTTTCTCTTTCTTTTTATTTTTGGTTAAATGTCTGCCTTTGGATCCTTGTATAAAGGAGACTTTTATCCATCTAGCTCTTGTAATCCCACCAGTTTTGGCTGAAGTACAGTAGTAGTTAGACTTTCATAGCAGAACAAACTATACATGAAGCCTGGTTCAAATCGTATGCCCCTAAACATAACAGTTGTGCTATAAAAATCCACCAATGTCCACCCTTTTCTAAGATGCTAACATTATAAAGTCAATGTTCTTTGGTTGTGTGTTTTTATTTTCCATTTTGTGATTGTGTATGTGTATTTACTTTGTATTATGAAAGTTCTCAAATATACCACAATTTAGAGAGAATAGTACATTTATCTCCTCCTTGTTCATAACCTAACTTCACCAATTATCAATATGTGGCCAATTTTTTTCATCAGTACCTATAATTTCTGTCACTATCCCCCCAAAGAAGCTGGAATATATTGAGGCAAACCCTGGGTATATCATTCCATTCATAAGTACTTCAGAAGACACATGCATTTTAATCTCTGTCAATATTACTAATCGATGAGCATATTTCCTGGCATTGAAATGATATGAACTATCACTCCATACCAGAAATGGTAGACTACAGTATTTTTCATTCAATAAGCAGATATTAGGTACCCAACTCATGTTTGCTGCTTAGGATAGAAAATAGAATTAGACATGGTATTTGTTTTCGAGAGTTTTAAGTTCAGTATGTGTGTGTGTAGGTAGGTAGGTAGGTAGGTAGGTAGATGAAAGAGGCAGGAAGGAAAAGCATAGAGTTGGCTACAGTGCAGTTTGTGACTGTTGTGGGCAAGGGTGGCATATGCTTTGGGAAACACCTTTTGCCAGAGCAGATACCCTGAGCTGAATTTTGAAGATTCATCACCAAATGATGATGTGGAGGTTGAAGTATATTCCAGGCAATGAGAAGAACCCTATGAAGCTCCTAATCTCTAAAGCATGTTAAATGCCTATATGCTCATTGGTTGAAATTGCTCTATTCAGTTAGCTGTCCTAAGGGGGGCCATGTAGCATCACTTCTGACGCCTAATTACAGTCAGCCACTCTGATTCCCAGACAGAATTTCCAAAATGAATTGAGTCACAAAGTAATAGCAGGTCTACTCATCTGTACCTCTTTGACAGCCTGCACCAACTCTTATGTCTTAGATTCATAGCCCAGATAGAAAAATTCTCAGTAGATACTGTGTAGAAGGGGTATAGGTATGAGAATCTGGGCAAATCAGAAGGCATGTTCTACCAAGGGTAACTCAGTATCATAGTCTCTGCACAATATAATGCAATGGATCTATTAGACTATTTGTGTTACTACATAAAAAAGTAGATAAATGATAGAGATAGCACACTAACACAATCAGTTAGATTAACCAAAAGTTGAGTTTTTTTTCTTTTGACATGGAATCCAATTAAAAGCCTTTAGAATATTTGCAGGGAGAAAGTAAAGTAACACTTGCTACTTGATGGTATTCAGAGGTATTTTGGTGTATAATATTTCGTAGACTAAGATATTAATAAAAATAACATTTGCGTGTAATTTTATTACAAAACTGTGTGAAGTAACATGCTAAATCCCTCTTCATAACTTTTTTAATCTTCACAATATATTTATAAGTACATCCTAGAATTACACTCATTTTAAAAATAGAGATGGACAGAAAAAAGTTAAGGAATTTATGTAAGATCACACAAAAAGCAGTAAATCTTGAATTTGAGCCTAGCAGTGTTATTTCCGTGTTCATGGTGTGAATACTATGCAATATACGTTCATTATAGTGTTTTTTACAATAATGTGATTTTCATGTAGAGTGGATTATCTCAAAAGTTATACAAGGAAATTTCAGGAAACCTATTAAGTCATTCTGGAACTTTATGAAACTTACTCTGTGAAAATCATTTAACTCTGCTATCTTATGACCAAAAGGTGGGCCTCTTTCTAGATGCTGATACAGCATTATCTGTAATATGTACTCCAATTGTAAGCTGTTTATATTTCCAATAATGGAGTAATGGTTATACAGTCATACACTACATAATGATATTTCTGTCAACGACAGCCCACATATGCGACAGTGGTTCCATAAGATTATAATGGAGCTGAAAAATTCCTATTGCCTAGTGACATCATGGCCTTGGCAACGTCGTAGCTCAATGCATTACCTTTTCTATGTTTAGATATGTCAATGCTATAAATAAAAATATAAAATATATACATAAACATTGTGTTTCAATTGCCTACAGTATTCAGTATAGTAACATGCTGTACAGATTTGTAGCCTAGGAGCAGTTGGCTGTGTCTAGGTGTGTAGTAGAGTAGGCTGTACCATCTAGGTTTGTGGAAATGCACTCTGTGATGTTCACACAATGACAAAATTGCCTAATGATGCATTTCTCAGAATGTATCACTGTCATTAAGTGATACGTGACTGTATATGTGTGTATATATAATGAATTTGTATGTGTGTATAGTACATTCATATGATAGACTCTTTTGCAGCCATGAAAACACATACTTAGAAATAAGTAGGAAAATAGAAATAATATATTTGAAATATATAAGTGAGCATAACTAAAATATTAGAATAGAATAAAACTATATGCATGTATATATGTGCATATGTATGTACATACAGACATACACGTATATATGTATGCATGTTTATGTATATATTTTATATTTTTATTTATGTATTTATACATATAAATATATAGATAGATATAATTTGTATAATGCCAACAGAGAGAAAGAGAATTAAAAAAAAAATACACCAAGATGGTGAGTAGAGTTTTGTTATTTGGGAGATTATGAAATATTTTTATTTATATTATTGTTTTCCACAATAAACTTGTACTGTTCCAATCAGAAAATGATTTTTTAAAGTACATCTATCTTTCTTGAGCAATACCCACAAGCATAGGCCACCAAAGCAAAAATGGACCAACGGGATCACATCAAGTTAAAAAGCTTCTAAACAGTAAAGGAAACAGTCGACAAAGTGAAGAGACACCGTACAGAATGGGAGAAAATATTTGCAAATGATCCCTCTCACAAGGGATTAACAACCAGAATATTAAGGAGCTCAAACAACTCTATAAGAAAAACATTGAATAATCCAATCAAAAATAGGCAAAAGATCTGAATAGACATTTCTCAGAAGAAGACATACAAATGGCAACAGGCATATGAAAAGGTGCTGAACATCACTGATCATCAGAGAACTGCAAATCAAAACTACAATGAGATATCATCTTACCTCAGTTAAAATGGCTTTTATCCAAAAGACAGGCAGTAACAAATGCTGGTGAGGATGTGGAAGAAAGAGAACCTTTGTACACTGTTGGTGGGAAAGTAAATGAGTACAACCACTATGAAGAGCAGTTTGGAGGTTCCTCAAAAAACTAAAAATGGAGGCACCATATGATCCAGCAATCCCACTGCTGGGTATATACTCAAAAGTAGGGAAAACAATATATTAAAGAGATATCTGCACTCCTGTGTTTGTTACAGCACTATTCACAATAGCTAACATTTGGAACAACATAAGTGTCCGTCAACAGATGAATGGATAAAGAAAATGTGGTGCATATACACGCTGGAGTACTATTCAGCCATAAAAAGAATGAGATCCGGTCATTTGTAACAACATAGATGGAACTGGTGGCCATTATGTTAAGTGAAATAAGCCAGGCACAGAAAGACAAACATTGCATGTTTTCACTTATTTGTGGGATCTAAAAACCAGAACAGTTGAAAACATGGACATAGAGAGTAGAAGGATAGTTACCAGAGGCTGGGAAGGGTAGTCGGGGGCTGGAGGTGAGGATGGTTAATGGGTGTATTAGTCCATTTTCACACTGCTATGAAGAGATACCTGAGACTGAGCAATTTGTAAAGAAAACAGATTTAATTGGCTCATAGTTCTGCAGGTTGTACAGAAAGCATAGTGGCAACCTGCTTAGCGAAGGGGGAGCAGGCCCATGACATGGCCAGAGCAGGAGGAAGAGAGAGCAAAGGGGGAAGTGCCACACAGTTTTAAATAACCAGATTTTGCAAGAACTCACTGTCAGGAGGACAGTACCAAGGTGGGTGGTGCTAAGCCATTCCTGAGAAATCTCCCCTCATGATCTAATCACCTCCCACCAGGCCCCACCTCCAACACTGGGGATTACAATTCAGTAGGTGATTTGGATGAGGACACAAATCCAAACCATATCAATGGGTACAAAAAAAAATAGAATAAATAAGGCCTACTATTTGATAGGATAACAGGGCAACTACAGTCAATACTAACTTAATTCTACATTTTAAAATAACTAAAAGAGTGTACTTGGATTGTTTGTAACCCAAAGGATAAGTGCTTGAAAGGATGGATATCCCATTCTCCATGATGTGATTATTTCACATTGCCTGCCTATATCAAAGCATCTCATGTACCCCATAAAGATATATACCTACTATGTGCCCACAGGCATTAAAAATAAAAAAAGATTTAGGATAAATAAAAGTATAGAAAAAAATTAGGAAAATAAAGTACATCTATCTCTACTTTTGAGGTAATTAAATTTTTGATTGAAGAATGTGTCATCAGTGTAAAAGAATCATGCATTCTTACAAATTGTACTTGTGTTCCAGTGCTACTGTTATTCCATTTGTAGGTTGGGAGGAAAATTTTATGTTCAAATGCTGTGATAAGCATTTCTAGTCTTGTCTTTACTTTGACCCATTTCTAAATGCTTTTAACAAAAAATAATGATATGCCTTCACATATAATGCCTTTCTTCAAGCTCCTGAAGGTCTTTTCTTAATTGATATGTATCTGATACCATTAAGCAAAATGGTCTTTTTAATTTTTTTTTTTTTATGAAGTCTTGCTCTGTTGCCCAGGCTGGAGTGCAAGGACAATATCTCAGCTCATTGCAGCATCTGCCTCACAGGTTCAAGCGATTCTTCTGCCTCAGCCTCCTGAGTAGCTGGGACTAATTTTTGCATTTTTAGTAGAGATGATGTTTCACCGTATTGACCAGGTTGGTCTCGAACTCCTGACCTCGTGATCCGCCCACCTCGGTCTCCCAACGTGCTGGGATTGCAGGTGTGAGCCACCGCACCCAGCCGCAAAATGGTCATTTAGTCCACATTTGCAGAAATATATATATTAAGGTAAGACAGGAGTAGAGATTGCAATGTATTCTGTACTAAATTATCTGCTGTGGTGCAGTGTTACGCAGATTTCTTCAATTTTGCATGGAGTCATACTGTCTTCATGCATACTTCAGTCTCAGAACTGTCTTTTCTTTAAATAATGCAGTGAAAAAATTAAATAATTAAAGTTGCAGGCAAGAAGTATCAAAGACTTTAAACAGAAAAAAAGGGGAAGAGTAAAAGAAGAGAAATGAACACTTTAGTCGTCTCCTATTTAAAGAGAAAACCTCATGAATGAAACCTGAAGGGATGGGAGCAATGGCCATTCTTTGTCAGAAGGGAAATTGGTGATCTTCGTTGACTGTCTCATTTGAGTAGCACCTCTGGTATTATCAACTAGATTGCAGTGTTTCAAGCAAATTTTAAGTTATAAAACTGTCGTTCAGAATGCCTAAATTTATTGGAAACATACTCCTGATCTCTGGTTACTATAGAAGCTTAAAGCTGCATTTTGGAGAACCTCTTGGCAGACAATGTCAGACAAAAATCTTTGCATGGAAGGCTTATAGTAATAGCATTTTCCTGCTCAAGCCAATATATTGACGACTAGGAGATTATTTTGAATGGATTTTAAACATCTCAGGGAACAGAGCAACCTCTCCAGGTCCCTTTCAACTGTTCTCTAATCAACAGTCCAAACCTTCACACCATGCTCAGAATTGACTTCTAAGCTTAAGGGAAAACACAAAGTCATAAAGATTCTCTCTGGTTGAAGAGGGATTCCTTGGTACTTTTCAACCTGGAAAGTTGGAGAATGGTTTGTTAAATTAAGTTTAGCCTAATTCTGCATCCTTATATATTTTAGGTTTGGCCTAAAGGTTTCTGCATACATAGTGAACTGTCAACTAACTGGATGTGTAAACAGGCTGCAACCTACTCTTGTAACAAGTAGCTGAGTCTCAGCCAGTCATGGCAGCCAGTTTCGGTCAATCACGAGCAGCCAACTGTTCAAACCTATTCAAGGAAAGCAAACACTGAGCTGTAGGCAATCCAGTTGTTTCTGTACCTCACTTCCATTTTCTATACATCACTTTCCTTTTCTGTCCATAAATCCTATCCAACCGGCTGGGTGCAATGGCTTACACCCATAATCCCAGCACTTTGGGAGGCTGAGGCGGGTGCATCACCTGAGGTAGGGGGTTTGAGGCCAGCCTGACAAACATGGAGAAATCCTGTCTCTACTAAAAATACAAAAAATTAGCCAGGTGTGGTGGAGTGTGCCTGTAATCCCAGCTACTCAGGAGGCTGAGGCAGGAGAATCGCTTGAACCCGGGAGGCGGAGGTTGTGGTGAGCCAAGATCGCACATTGCACTCCAGCCTGGGAACAAGAGTGAAACTCTGTCTCAAAAAATAAAAATGAAAATAAAAATAAAAATAAATCCTATCCAACCAGTGTGGCAGTCCCGGAGTCCCTCCCAATCTATTCTGGTTTTGGGGACTGCCCAATTTGAGAATCATTCTTTGTTCAGTTAAACTCTGTTACATTTAATTTGTCTAAAGTTTTACTTTTAGTTTAAAGTTATAAAAAGGGCTGGGCACAGTGGCTCACGCTTGTATTCCCGGCATTTTGGGAGGCCAAGATGGGAGGATCACTTGAGCCCAGGAGTTGAAGACCAGCCTGGCCAACATGGCAAAACCCCATCTCTACAAAAAATACAAAAATTCGCTGTGTGTGGTGGCGCATGCCTGTGGTCCCAGCTACTTGAGAGGCTGAGGTGGGAGGATTGCTTGAGCCCAGGAGGCTGAGGCTGTGGTGAGCTAAAATCGTGCCATTGCACTCCAGCCTGGGCAACAGAGCAAGACCCTATCTCAAAAAAAATAAATTAAAAATAAAGGTATAAAAAGTACCTAAAATCTCAAGATTCTTAATAAAGGGCACTGAGAAGTCTACCAAGTATTAGAATCATGATATTTTCACTCTATTCAAACTCAGCTCCCAGCCCATTCTTTCAAGTTTATCTCAAGCTCTATTTCCTCCATGAAATTGCCTAGACCACTCCAGCAGCACTACATCGCTTCACCTCTCTCTTAATGTCAGCACTTGACGTTAACAGTTAAACAAATTAGATACAGTCATGCATCGCTTAATGACAGGGATACAGTCTATAAAATGCATATTTAGGCTATGTTGTCATCACATGGACATCATAAAGTGTACTTACACAAATCTAGATGGTATAGCCTACTACACACCTAGGTTATATGGTATTCTAGGCCACACACCTGTACAGCATGTTACTGTACTGTGTACTGTAGGCAATTGGAACACAATTGTGTATTTGTGTATCTAAACATAAAAAAGGGTTGGGTGCAGTGGCTCACGCCTGTAATCCCAGCACTTTGGGAAGCTGAGGTGGGCGGATTGCCGAAGCTGAGGTGGGCGGATTGCCTAAGCTTAGGCATTTGAGACCAGCTTGGGCAATATGGCAAAACCCCATCTCTTAAAAAATATATATATATATAAAAAGCCGGGTGTGATGGCTCACACCTGTAATCCCAGAACTTTGGGAGGCCAAGGCGGGCGGATCACCTGAGGTCGGGAATTCAAGACCAGCCTGACCAACATGGAGAGACTTCATCTCTACTAAGAATACAAAATTAGCCAGGCCTGGTGGCAGGTGCCTGTAATCCCAGCTACTCGGGAGGCTGAGGCAGGAGAATCGCTTGAACCCAGGAGGCGGAGGTTATGGTGAGCCGAGATCGCACCATTGCACTCCAGCCTGGGCAACAAGAGTAAAACTCCGTCTCTAAATAAATAAATAAAAATAAAATCAAATCAAAATTAGCCGGGTGTGGTGGCACGAGCCTATAGCCCCAGCTGTTTGGGGGGTTGAGGCAGGAGAATCACTCAAGCAAGTCCAAGAAGTCAAGCTTGTGGTGAGCCAGGTTTGCACCACTGCACTCCAGCCTGACTGACGGAGCAAGACCTCATCTCTGAAAAAAAAAAAAAAAAAAAGGCCAGGCACAGTGGCTCACTCCTGTAATCCCACCAAGCACCTTTGGGAGTCTGAGGCAGGTGGATCATGAGGTCAGGAGTTCGAAACCAGTCTGGCCAACATGGTGAAACCCCATCGCTACTAAAAATACAAAAATTAGCTAATTAGCTAAAACCCCATTGCTACTAAAAATACAAAAATTAGCTAATTAGCTAACATTCATTTTCATCCTACAAATGTCTGGGTGCATTGGCATGCGCCTGTAGTCCCAGCTACTCGGGAGGCTGAGTCAGGAGAATCGCTTGAACCTGGGAGGTGGAAATTGCAGTGAACTGAGATCATGCCACTGCATTCCAGCCTGGGTGACAGAAGGAGACTCTGAAAAAAAAAAAAAAACCCACAAACATACAAAAGGTACAATTAAAATATGGTACTATAATCTTATGGGATCTCCATCGTATATATGGTCCATTGTTGACATCCTGATGTGGCACATGACTGTAAAAATCAATTCAAGGGTTTCACCCAATAGCTTAAAGCTTTGTGAAAAATGTGAATTTTATATTAGTCATTGATCATAGCACCCAGCTAGTATTGGCTGACTGACTGACAGATGGATAGACAGATGGATGGGTGGACAGATGGAGGCAGCAAGATTAGCAGACAGGGCCGTAGATTCAGGGAACGTGGTCAGGGCTGAGACAAGATGTGATTCAGTTCACAATATTTATTGGCCCACTTCACTTGTTTAAATTACCTGTCTGGTCTCTCTAGAATTTGAGGCTGCAAACTATTATCTAATTTTTGGAACCTGAGAGACCTGAAGGTTTTGAATTCATCCTAAGGAAAAAAAATTAAAACACACACAACCTTTACTCATGAAGACATTCTCTGCTGTATTATATACACAATAATAAATTGGAAACAATTTACATATCTTACAATAGAGTTTAGTAAATTATGATACATCAACCCAATGGCGTATGGTCATCAAAATGATAATTACAAAGACCATGGAGACATATTTATAGCATATATTACTTCAAAAATGCAGAATATAAAAGTGTATCTGTGGTAAGTTTATAACTTAATAAATATATGTTTGTTTTCAGACCAATACTAGAAAAGAGTACATATATATGAAAATCGTTATTTTTCAGCAGTGAAAAGAAATATCACTACATTTCTCCTTTTCTCAAACTGTTTTAATTTTTTTATTATTCATTCCAGTGAAGATCAGAGTGTTGAAAGACAACCTGTGATGAATATACAGATGGATAGAAAACTTGGAGCAACGGAAGTGTTGGAAGAAAAATGGGGCTAATGTAGGCTAAAGAAATTAAATTTGCCATAAATCTTCCGTTAAAGCTTCTAAACCATAATGAATTTTCCTTGTGGCATCTGCCACCTGAATCCTTCCATTTATGTCTGCATGAACCTTTTTCTGTGTGTCTCAAAGTTCTACCGACTATTATGTGTGTTGGGGATGTGCCTGTGTGTGCCTGAGTTTGTGTGTGTGTGTGTGTGTGTGTGTGTGTGTGTGGTAGTGGTGGTGGTGGTGGAGATGGTGGGGAGGATCCAATTCTTAAAATGCACCTTTTGTCATCATGTAAGAATAGCTCTGATAATAGAAACCACTCATAAAATAAACATGTTACTGGGAATCTTAAGAGAATTCTTTGTAAGAGTGTCTATTGTAATGAATTCCAACAGACTTTGCTATTGTTTCTCATAAAGCTACTGGAATTTCATCACAATCAGCATATTGCAATTAATTGCATCCACAGTTTGTCGGACCTGGATAATTAGCAAGTGAAAAGAAAACCTCTGAATTCGGTCAGGACAGGAGAAAAGCATTTTAGACACAATGAATCAAACATTCACTTTCATCCTACAAATGTCTGGGTAGTGTTGATTTGGATATTCGTCTAGGGACAGAGCTGAGGAATGACTGAACTTTGAGGTGAAGAGAGATGAGAGGAGGAGGTGAAAAGTAACTGCTGCTCGCTGACAGACCCAGGAAGCCCTGAAGAAAGGCTCTCAGCTTTGAATCCTCCAGTCCTTCCTCCTCAATTGACACTGTAAGAACTTTCCAGAATGAATGATTGGCATATGCGCAGGGATAAAACAAAACCACATATCTTCAGCTGGGTGCGGTGGCTCACACCTGTAATACCAGCACTTTGAGAGACAGAGGTGGGTGAATCACCTGAGGCTAGGAGTTCGAGACCAGCCTGGCCAACATGGTGAAACCCGTTGCTACTGAAAATACAAAAATTAGCTGGGCATGGTGGTGTGTACCTGTAATCCCAGCTACTCAGGAGGCTGAGGCAGGAGAATCGTTCCAACCTGGGAGGCGGAGATCGCAGTGAACAAAGATCATGCCACTGCACTCCAGCCTGAGTGACAGAGTGAAATTCCGTCTCAAAAAAAAAAAAAAAAAAAAAAAAAGTACGTATTTTCAGGGGCTTATCTTTGCAGAGACTTTGTTGTAACTCTGGAATGGTGGAATAGTACAAATATAGGCTTCAGAAAACTTGAGTTCCAGTTCAAGCCCCATCACTCACTACTGGTGTGCAGCTGAACGAATCATTTCACTGTCGACTTCTCATATTTGTAACCTGATATTGATAGCTATGACAGTGTTAAAATAATCACAATGTCTCTACTTATTTGGCATGTCACTGTGAGAAGTAAATATGATGAAAAGCTGAAAGTATTTTGTAAAGTCTATATAAATGCTGTATCAGTGCTCTGTCAGTGTTAGTCATCAAGATCACTCTGGGTCATTATTTAACCAATCAGTGTGACAGGGTTTACTTTCGCCCTTCCTATGCAGATTCATCAATTTCCTCTTTTCATTTGATCCAGATGTTTTCAGGGAAATTTACTTTGAATTTGTAGAAAGGAAAAGGCCTGTTCCCACCCAGACTCCATTTAGCAGAGAGTTTATCATTAAACATGCAGAGAACATGACTAACACAGGAGAATTGCTGCATTCTAGGCCCAATGTAAGTAAAAGAGCTATTGGATAATAGAATATTGATCAGATAATTTGTTTCAGAGTCATTAGTTTCCACACGTAGCTGAACCACTTCTGGAACCTCACATCTCTCAAATCATGAGAATCAATCTGCTAAACCCGGAGCTCCCCACACATACACTTGAGCAGAAAAAGTGTTTTCTAAAGTGTCCAGGGTATTAAATATAAAATCAATTTTTTCATTTAGCCAATGCTGTGGCCTTAAGTATATCACTGACCTTTAGGTGGTCAGCTTTTTACCTGTAAGTGTAACTTTTCTTTTCTATCAAGCATCTAGCATCTAGCTCCTTTGAGCCTAGAAGTCTCAACTACTGTCATCCCTTAAGATTTTATTTTCTAATAATTCATAGCCCAGTTTTATAGAATGTCATGGTTTTTCATTGCTGACATTTACTACAAAATTCTTTTCATTTTTTATTTTGCTGCCAAAATGTGAACATGCAAATATCCTATGAATTTGCCAACTTGTATCTGTATGGACACACAAAAAAATGTACGACAAAGACTAGAATAAGAAATGATTAATGATACTGAATATATTGCCTGTTCTTTCCACATAGCATTCAATCTATGCTCACCTTTTATAGTTCAATATGCTGCCAGATCTCAAAACAATGCTCTAATTATTTTTAAATAAATAAAGAACCGTACTAGAGAAAGATGTTCTCCTCACTCAAACCCTAACTATGAGGCACAGTATGTTCATAGAACTTGGTCTCATTTTCTCAGAGAAGGCAATATTTAGCATTCATACAACAAATGTGTGTTATAGTATTATTTAGCACTTCTGCAACATAGGCTTTCACTGTTCATATCTGGAGAAAATTGAAGAGGAGCTTGCCTTAAGTTCTCCAGTGATTTAGTAGACTTAGTTGCTGAATTTCTGGAAAAGCTAACTAAGTCATAGGATTTAAAAGGGTAGCATTTGCCAGAGTTCAAACTGGGGTCTGTGTTTTCTTTATGCAGTATCTGTTTTTGAGACATCACAGGGAACTTGTAAACACAGAGCCAGGGAAGTCTTACGCTTTTTAAATTTGAAAGCTTCTAAGCTTTCTGCTGAACTGTATTCCACCAATCTTTAGAAAAATAAAATTTTATTGATAAATTATTTCTACGTGTAGGGTAACCTTTTTGAAAATAGAACATTGCTGCCACTCTAGATACATAATACAGAAGGATATTTGCTGCTCATTGGTATAAGTTGAACCTGAACTCATTTTCTTCCAGGAAAATGATTGCAGTGAGGTCTGGCTCTGAAAAGTCTTACTGATAAACACCTTTATCATGAATTGAAAGGTTAAGAGTTACAGAAGATGTCTGGTTTTTTATTTTTATTTTTGGTGTGTGTGTGTGTGTGTGTGTGTGTGTGTGTGTGTTTTCACATACAGACCATCCCTGACTTACAATGGTTTGACTCATGGTTTTTTGACTTTACGAGTGTGTGAAACCATCATAATTTTGAGGCAACGTACAGTATTCAACATGTTCCATGAGATATTCTCTACTTTATTATAAAATAGGCTTTGTGTTAGATGATTATGTTCAACTGTAGACTAATGTTAGTGTTCTGATCAGATTTAAGGTAGGCTAGACTAAGCCATGATATTTTAAAGTTTAGGGGTATTAAATGCAGTTGTGATTTATGGTATTTTCAACTTACAATGGGTTTATTGGGATGTAAACCCATCATAAATTGGGGATCATCTGTATTACTAAAATCTGAAGCAGGGGCAGGGAAGATTGGTAGAGAGATGCCTAAACAATAGCTGCACAATGGCCGTGTAATAACTACATTTTGAATACACCATCGGAAGAATGAAGTTATGTCACACACAGGACGCAGTAGGTGATCTAGACACATAGCTTCTGGAAACAATGGAATGTAATAAATGAAAGGATGTGCTTACACAGGGTATTTTCAAAATAATTTTATTATAATTTATCTTGCTTCATATTGACAAGTAAAATCATACTGAATATGTTTTGATTTAGAAAGCCTCATTGGGAATCAATGAATTAGATCTAGTCCTTGGAATCAAAAAAGTTTTTTTTGTTGTTGTTGTCGTTTTGGGATGGAGTCTCGCCCTGTCACCTAGGCTGGAGTGCAGTGGAGCAATCTTGGCTCACTGCAACCTCCGCCTCTGGGTTCAAGTGATTCTTGTGCCTCAGCCTCCCGAGTAGCTGGGACTACAGGTATATGCCACCATGCCTGGCTAATTTTTGTATTTTTAGTAGAGATGGGGTTTCACCACATTGGCCAGGCTGGTCTCAAACTCCTGACCGTAGGTGATCCGCCCACCTCGGCCTCCCAAAGTGCTGGAATTACAGGCGTAAGCCACCACGCCTGACCTCAAAAAAGATTTTAATTATGAAAACCCATTTAGCTTTGTCTTCCTAAGTAAGATGAAGTTGCTGCATCATTACTTATTAATCGCCTGATTCCTTGAGGGGATCTTAAGAATACAAGAGCCAATAAAATGTTTGGAGAAAAGGGTCCAAAGACATTACAAAAAGAGCAAGCCTTGACTCTTGGGGATAGGCTGCTGCCATTGGCATAGCACCCATTCTTTTTAGTGGGTGAAGCTCAAAGACTCAAGCCTATTCCTTTGATTTCTGCCATCCTTTCCCTACCTGCTATCTTTCTGAACTAAAGTCCAAGGTGGACCAGGGGTAGGAAGGGAACCACTTTCATTCATCATATCCATCTTGAAGAAGACACTGATCTGGGACTGGAAGTAGAAGCTAGAAGGTAAGAGACAGTTGGTGTGTCACTTCCTTCCTATATATCTAAAGGAAATCACCTACAACCTTCACACTTCAGTTTTAACTGAAAAGCTTTCTGGGCCAGGTGTGGTGGCTCACACCTGTAATCCTAGCACTATGGGAGGCTGAGGCGGGCGTATCACCTGAGGTCAAGAGTTCAAGACCAGCCTGGACAACATGGTGAAATCCTGTCTCTACTAAAAGACAAAAATTAGCCAGGTATGATGGCGGGTGCCTGTAATCCCAGCTACTTGGGAGGCTGAGACATGAGAATCGCTTGAACCCGGGAGATGGTGGTTGTGGTGAGCCGAGATTGCGCCACTGCACTCTAGCCTGGGTAGCTGAGCGAGACTCCATTTCAAAAGAAAAGAAAAGAAAAGCTTTTTGGGAACCAGTTTGTTATTTTAGGATTTAAATGTCCACAAAGGGAAGCCAACTGTGTCAAATTAAGCCAACTTCAAACAGGTCAAAGAAGGAGCTAAAGTTTCTTGAAACTGATAGACTGTTACTCACTTATTAGTGTCCCATTTTATCAATATTATACAATACTTTAAATGTAGTACCAAACCCTGAATCAACTCTTGTCCTAGAAGCTCGTGTGTCATGGATCATGGTTTTAAGTGGTAGTGGTTAAACATCTAAAGAATTGAAATGTTAAATCAAGTTTCCATTCTCCTGACTGTATTTTATTAACTCACATAAGTAAATTGGATTACTGTTAATCCTTGTTTCATAGCACACAGTCATCTTTGATCCATGTAGCTCTTCCTTTGTTTTATTTGTTCATGTATTTGTTAAGTTACTTTTCCCTGATAGGATTACTGACCTCCAAATTGACTTTCTATTGGCCTCAGTATTTTTATCTATTAAACAAGGAAGTTAGATTATATGATATATTTGGTCTCTTTCTGCTTTGATGCTCTATGAATAACATTAAGACCTGTTTGGCCCAGAGTCTGGCATATAATTAGTGCTTAATAAGTGGTAGTTAATACTTTACAGTAGACCTTTAAACAATGCAGGGGCTAGGGGTACCCTCACTCCCTGAAGTTGAAAATCTTCTATGACTTTTGATGTTCCCAAAACTTAACTAATAGCCTACTGTTGACTGGAAGCCTTACAGTTGATTAACACATATTTTGTATGTTTCTTGGCTTCTTTTTCTGTGTGTGAGAGGGTGTTGCTCTGTGGCACAGACTGGAGTGCAATGGTATGATCATGGCTCAGTGCAGCCTTGAACTCCTGGCCTCAAGCGGTCATCCCACCTCAGCCTCCAGAGTAGCTGGGACTACAAATGCATGACAATTTGCCTGGCTAATTTTTTATCTTTTGTAGAGACTGGGTCACACTATGTTGCATAGGCTGTTCTCTAACTCCTGGGCTCAAGCAATCCACTCACCTCGGCCTCCCGAAGTGCTGGGATTACAGGCACTGATCACACCTGGCCTATCTTGAGCCTTTTTTTAAAGCCAAAACTCTAAAATTATCAAACCATCCTGCGCCAGTATTAAATTCTCCAGCTTTAGATTCTTCAGCTTCCTTTTGCTTGAAGTTGTTATATAACAACTTCCCTTTTTCTTGAATCACATTAGATTCTATAGGTATGCCTTTCTTTCAGCAATCCTGCTCCCATATAAAAGCTGCACTAACAATATCAAATAAAAATACATGTTTCTCACCTGCTGGTGAGAAAAACAGTGCAAGGTTGTCTCACCTGCTGGTGTAGCTGCAGTGAAGTCTTTACTAATTTTCCTTTGTTTACAATGTTCTTACACTGGATGGATTCATTTATCTTGAAAAGGTAAGCAACTGCAGCTGCAGAACTCAATCTATGGTACATATCAAGCAATTCAACTTTTTCTCATAATGTCATGACTTTTCTCAATTCTTGGGAGCCCTTCCAGCATCACTATTAGCACTTCATATAGGTCCCATGGTGTTCAAGATTTACAGAATTGCCCTAAATAGAATGAAACATACGCAAGAACCATGAGAGATCACTTTTTGCTGTGATACACCGTTTACTGGAGAAACTAACTGCTCATGTGGAGATGATTAGTGTCATCAGATACTTGTAATACTTGAGCTCACCGCAATAGCAACAGGAGGTCGCTAAGAAATTATTACCATAGTACAATATGCATTACAATCAATTTTATGCAGTTGTAATTAATATTACATCTTTACGTTTATTTACATTTCTTTCAACTGTGAGTGGTGCTATTTATGGTCTGTAGGTGTTTGTGTGTATAAGTTTTAATACATTTTAATTTTCATAATATTTTTAATGATAAAATAGACTAGTATCTACATATATTTTATGAACTCATAACATACAACATACCTACCTAACTTTTTCTTTTTTTTTTTCTTTTTTGAGACAGAGTTTCACTCTTGTTGCCCAGGCTGGAGTTCAATGGCGTGATCTCGGCTCACCGCAACCTCTGCCTCCCGGGTTCAAGTGATTCTCTTGCCTCAGCCTCCCGAGTAGCTGGGATTACAGGCATGCACCACCATGCCCGGCTAATTTTGTATTTTTAGCAGAGATGGGGGTTTCTCCATGTTGGTCAGGCTGGTCTTGAACTCGCGACCTCGGGTGATCCGCCTGCCTAGGCCTCCCAAAGTGCTGGGATTACAGGCGTAAGCCACCACACCCGGCACTTTTTCTTAATTTTTTTCAATATATCTAAGCTACATGGTTTGTCTGAGAGTTATTTTAAATTGTGGCAATCTCCAAAAAAAGTACGATGTATTTTTTGAAGAAAATCTGCATAAATGGACCTGTGTAGTTCAAATCCAAGTTGTTCAAGGGTTAACTAGTAATTTATCATTATTAGCATTATTAAATTTTGGGAACTTTCACACCAATTCTCAATCTGATATACTAGCATACCATAGAGTTGGTAACTCTTCTAATTGGCAGTGAAATGTTCAGAGGCATTTTTTTTCTCACACTGGTCAGCTCCAAACAGCCCATTACCAATTTATTATTGATTCACAGAATCTCAGGTTATAAGAGATCTTAGAGGTTAATTTCTGGCATTGGATATAGCAGAGGAAGAAATAAGGTGTCTCATAAGGCAAACTCTTCCCAGAATAATTTCAGTTTGCAGAGTTTCAAGATGGGTCCTTATGGAGTTCTTTTTCTCTTCTTCCATTAAACTGCTTAGATTTCTTTCTGTTCATTGCATTTCAGCGAAGTTTTCTTTTAGAGATTTAAGGGACTTTGGCAGACAGGCCAAACACTAGTGGGGCCTCATTATCAAGTAATATGTTGCAAAGTATAAGGCAGCGTAAAACTGAAAACTGCCTGGTTATCTGCCATATGGCATTTTACAGAGGAAGAGTCCAGGGGCAAATCTTGCAGTTCTGTTCTTCGCATACAAAAAGAAAACACTCATGCAAGACTTGGATTTTTGCTTCTTTACAATGTTAGGAATGGTTTTCTATCAACCACTACTAGTCTATCAGTTCCTCCTTCCTTTGGCTACTGAGACATTTGTAATAGAATTGACTGTCATAACCATCAGAGCATAAGGTCATGAAATATGACAGATTCTTTGCTGTTGCTATTGGTGCTTATCTGCAAGCTTCCTTCTTGGCCAACAAGGCTCTATCCAAGGAAGCTAATGAGATCGTTAAAGTAGATCCCAAAGGAGGAAGCAGAATATGTCTATTCATCAATGGAAGTGGGACTTCTTTGATATCATTTAGGTTTAAGAATCACACTTTTTGAGAATGGACTTATAATGGAACTGTGATATAACTGCAAAAGCTATGGATAGTAAGAGGAATGAGTCTACATCCATACATTTGATTTAACAGATGAATGAGGGTTCAACTCATTTTTTAAAAAAAAAACAGGGCTAGGTTTTTCCCTTTAAAATATATATGCATTGAAATGAAAGAATATGCCCTTTGAGTAAGTTTAAATGCTGGCCCAGGGATTAGTTTACAAAGCAGAAAAGTGGTTTGCCCACTTCCTACCTCATTTTCCAATTTTCTCTCATGTTCAATGCAGTGAATGTTACATTTGTGTGTGCCAACCAGGGCATGCTCACAGAAGGAAAGAGTGCTAGTGGAAAGAAAAAGAGAAAGACACCATGGAGAAAAAAATATTAATGATCAATTTTTCCACCCCAAGAAAAAAATCTCCAGGCTCCAGAAAACCGGGTGCAGTGATTCCTCTCCATTTCATTCAGAATTTGAAGCCCAGAGACAACAAGGCTTTGAAAGAGAAGCATTTTGTGCTGCCTTTGTAGTCCTAAACAATTAACAGCTCCAGAGTCCCAGAGAGAAACCCGTACGGCATCCTTCAAACTTGTTACAAAGTACCTTATGTAGTGGCAACCCTTCTGTGGATCACGGTGAGACAGGTCCTTCCTCCTACCTGAAATGCCCACAATTCTGAATTAAAAAAAAAAAAAGAGAGATTGACTGTCCCTTATATGTGTATTGAGATGTGGACCTTGACTGAAGTCTTATCCCATCTGAAATTTACCATCTTCAAGAGGGGTAATCCAATGTCCCTATGCATAGATGCAGATTGTCAGAGTTAACAGTGTTGTAATAGATTGTGAGCTTTCGGACTCCATGGCTAGGGAAGCAGGAAGAGATGTGTCTACAGGGACTGGCTAGCAGGGAGACTGTACCAAAACTCTAAAGCACAAGCATAGTGCTTATGTTTTCCTCTTAAAAATAATAATAATAGGGCCGGGAGCGGTGGCTCACGCCTGTAATCCTAGAACTTTGGGAGGCCGAGGCGGGCGGATCACAAGGTCAGGAGATCGAGACCATCCTGGCTAACACAGTGAAACCCCGTCTCTACTGAAAATACAAAAAAATTAGCCAGGCCTGGTGGCGGGCGCCTGTAGTCCCAGCTGCTCGGGAGGCTGAGGCAGGAGAATGGCGTGAACCCGGGAGGCGGAGCTTGCGGTGAGCCGAGATCGCGCCACTGCACTCCAGCCTGGGCAACAGAGCGACACTCCGTCTCAAAAAAATAAATAAATAAATAATAATAATAATAATAATAATAATAGGACGGGCATGGTGGATCATGCCTGTAATCCCAGCACTTTGCGAGGCCAAGGCAGGCAGAGCATTTGAGATCAGGAGTTCGAGACCAGCCAACCCTGTCTCTACTAAAAATACAAAAATTAGCCAGCCTGTAATCCCAGCTACTCGGGGAGGCTGAGGCAGGAGAATCGCTTGAATCCGGGAGGCGAAGGCTGCAGTGAGCCAAGATCACACCACTGCACTCCAGCCTGGGCGACAGAGCGAGACTCTGTCTCAAAAATACATACATACATACATACATACATACATACATACATACATACATACATACCTTCAATAATAAACCACATTTACTCTACAGTATTCAGAGATTCTGAATTCCACTAATTTTTTGTGCCTCCCCCTTCCCCTTTCTCCAGTGTACAGCACAATTCATTGCACATGCTAGGTGCTCAAAACAGATGTGTTGAATCAGTCAAATAAATAAACGAATAAAATACATACACTTCTGCACATGTTTTAGTTCTTCTGATCTTCTATTTCTTCAGCTATAATGTGGGGATGATGTTATTTTGTGGGTTTGTTTTCAAGATTAAATAATATAGCATACCTTATACAATATGTAAAATGTCAAATGCTATGCTCAAAGGTACTAGTGGAATTTTAAGTCTGCAGGTATCTTTCAGATTTTAAAAAATCAGTACCAAAAGCTATAGGTGGGATGAGTTAATTAATCTCAAACACATTTAAATTAACAGGAAGAAAGAAATAGGGCATGGTAGGAGGAGAGAAAGGAGGACAGTTAGGGATATAGTGAATACTTTTAAAGTCAGTTGAATTATTTCATACGGGATAATTTTTCTTGTCACAGTAAATCACCCTGTGCCCCACCCCCGCTCCAGGAAGGCAGGGAGGTTGTAAAGGAGAAGCGAGAAGAGGGTTAATTTGAGCTCCCTCCTGCCTGCTGCAGTCACAGTGCATGATAGAGTAATGAAGGTGACGCCGCCACATATCTCATCTGAACTTCCTCTGTGGTCTTTTTCATATTAAAGTCTTTCACTGTTACAGGACTGTGCTTGGAAAAGTTGGGAAACTTTTCCCTTGGTGGAGAAAAAGAAGCCCTCGTCAGACGCAATCCAACAAATGAATGGAGTTATTTCCTTGGCCCAACATGTCCATCCACTAGCACACCAAATATTCATAGAAACATCTTTCCTCACTTCCAAGGCCGGAATTGTACTCTCCCGTGGCGTTGCCTAGTATCGCAGATTTCGAAAGTGAGCAGGCAACAGACTTGGCTTTCGAGCCAATTCTAGGAGTCGATGCGACTTACTGTCCTGTGTGGTAGCTTCTCCCGGGAGCAGAAAGTGTAAAATAAACAGCTGCTGAAAAGCATGAAGAATTAACGAAGTGAAAATCTCGAGTTATTTGTTCGGCAATTGACACGTAAGTGACCTCCTTAAATGCCTAGTTATTTAAGGACGTTTAGAACGAGGATGAATGAATCTTCAGGGCGGTTAATTCGCACCGGCGTGTAAATTTCTTTAGTCTTTCGGGAAGTGGCGGTAAATTCATACAAATCCAGCAGGGAGGGAAGAGAAGGGAGTAAAACCACGATCTCGGAGCGCTCTTCTCAGTCCTTTGGAAAGACTTGCCTTTACTGCCCGGAACCCTGGAGGTTACAGCTGGGCGAACCCGGAGGCGCTAGGACCTCGTCAGCGCCTGGCTGCGGCCGCTTTCAAGAGGGCGGAGGAGGGAGAGGAGGAGGGCGATGTGGGAAAGGAGGGGTGTTAAGGGGGGCGGGGGAAGTCATTTATGCAGAGCAGGAGCTGCTGCCATTGCCACTCAGAATCCTCGCGCGCTGCTCGGAGCCGGAGGGAGCGCTGGGAGCGAGCAAGCGAGCGTTTGGAGCCCGGGCCAGCAGAGGGGGCGCCCGGTCGCTGCCTGTACCGCTCCCGCTGGTCATCTCCGCCGCGCTCGGGGGCCCCGGGAGGAGCGAGACCGAGTCGGAGAGTCCGGGAGCCAAGCCGGGCGAAACCCAACTGCGGAGGACGCCCGCCCCACTCAGCCTCCTCCTGCGTCCGAGCCGGGGAGCATCGCCGAGCGCCCCACGGGCCGGAGAGCTGGGAGCACAGGTCCCGGCAGCCCCAGGGATGGTCTAGGAGCCGGCGTAAGGCTCGCTGCTCTGCTCCCTGCCGGGGCTAGCCGCCTCCTGCCGATCGCCCGGGGCTGCGAGCTGCGGCGGCCCGGGGCTGCTCGCCGGGCGGCGCAGGCCGGAGAAGTTAGTTGTGCGCGCCCTTAGTGCGCGGAACCAGCCAGCGAGCGAGGGAGCAGCGAGGCGCCGGGACCATGGGCTGGGGGAGCCGCTGCTGCTGCCCGGGACGTTTGGACCTGCTGTGCGTGCTGGCGCTGCTCGGGGGCTGCCTGCTCCCCGTGTGTCGGACGCGCGTCTACACCAACCACTGGGCAGTCAAAATCGCCGGGGGCTTCCCGGAGGCCAACCGTATCGCCAGCAAGTACGGATTCATCAACATAGGACAGGTAACGAACTACAGGCTAGCCCAGCCCTCGGCCCTGAAGCCACTGGGGGCTTCTTGTCCCCTCTGCGTGGAACCCCCTCCCCCTCTTCCAGATGTGCTCTAGCAGCTGTTGCCCTAACTCTTGGGCGATGCTCTGTCTCCTGCGCGCGCGCGCGTACGCACACACACACACACACACACACACACACACACCCCAGAGTTGCCGGGTCCGTGTTTTGTTTACTTGTCTTTTCCAAGCCACGCGGGACTGGTAGGGTCTCGGGAAAAATCCAGAGTGCCCCCGTGGTGGCTTCAGAGACGGCTGGACCTTTTGACCTGAAAAGTCGAGTAGCACTAGTAATCTGAGGCAGTCTCAGAGAGGGTGATCGTGGGGAGAGGGGGAAATTAGGTCTTTTGGGGGATAGGGGGTGAGCGCGCCTCTGATGCCTGCGGGGAAGGGAAAGCCTTTCCTGCTCGGACCTGAATTTAGCCCAGAAAGAAGTTTCCTCTTGGGCGAGAGAACCTCTGGCGCTGGAGACTCCGGAGGCGCGGGGACTGGAGCTGGAAGGGAGGAGAAAGGAGGGGGAGGGAAGAGGGGGCCGGCCCCGGTGTGAGTGCAGATTTAGGGGAGACCTCTAGGCTTTCTCGCCTTAAGCGAGGTCCGCGTGGGGGCTCCCGGAAGGGAGTTGTAGTGGGGAGGTGGGAAACTTCCGAAACCGGCTGGCTGGGTTCCGCTCCGGGAAAACGAGGAGTCTTACCCCGGGACGGAAGGTGCCGGGCCGGGAGGTTGCGCCGTGGGGCGAGAGTTGGGCAGGCAGCAGGGGCGCGGGGTTTTTGTGGGGTGCCGCTCTCGGGCTTTTGGCAGAGCTCTCCTGCTAGGGAGAAATGCCCATAAACTAAGGTGATGCTATGAGGATGATTGGAAGCGTAACAGATTTGGAAGTACTCCGGGTTCAGTGGTCTTGGCTTTCTGGTTCTCTTCCCCCGACACCCCTGCGAGAAATGGGGGTAGAGAGGGCTATGAAAGTGGGTCCCAGAAAGTACCCCCCTCCACATACACACCGCAAGCATCTTTGGGGTTGGCCGGAGGGGCGGGCCCTGGCTGGGCTCAGGCGAGAATCCGCTGGAATGGGAGGTGAGGATGATGGATGGCGCCTTTCCAGCAGGCGCGCTTTGGGGACTGCCCGGGGTGCACGCACCCTGCGTGCTCTGCCAGGGGGAAGGGAGAGGGAGGTGCTGGCTGGTGCCGGCGGAGTGGGAGAGTACGGACAGTTTCTGAGGCCATTGCGTTCCACGCCCAGGAACCCGGGGACACCCCCCGCCCCTCCTCCCCGCCGCCTGGGGGATGCGGCACCTGGAGAGGAGGCAGAGCTGCTGTCGCCGCGTTTAGAAGGAGCTGGGGAGTGCGGGGAGTGTTCAGAGGAGCAAGAGCACAAGATCTTGCTCTTTGCCCGCCCAGAGGGAGGACATATTCCAGAGAAGCCAGCCCTGTGGAGAACTGAGACTAGGGCAAGGGGCACGGTTTGTATTCCCTCCTGCCCCTGGAACTAAGGAAGTAAGGGAAGCCAGCCAGATTTTGTTGCTTGAGTGACTGTTATCTGCGGAAGATTTCCATTCTAAAGGCTCGTTGGGATTCTACTGGCTTCTTTTTCTCTGGAAGAAAACACTGAGTCCGTTCAGGTCTTTTTACATGAACTTAAAGTTGGGCACTGCCTATGCCCTGGGAATGGAACTGGGGAGGCTAGCACTGAAAGTAGCTAGTACTATTAATCTTTCCAGAGATTCATCTCGGGTTCTGCTAACATTGAACATCTCACACATGACCAGGCATTTTTGGAGGAATAAATTCTTGAACATACCCTTCTTTCTTAATCTCAAAACAACCTTGTTTGGTGAATATTACCTCACACACAGGAGATGAGGAAACCGAGACCAGCTAGACAGTGGCAAAGCAGTGATTCAGACCTGCTACTCTGACTGTTGCAGGCCCAGTCCCCCATGGATCCTGCCTTTTAGGGAACCCTTCCATGCCATGATGAAGGAGGAAGGAAGTAAAATCTCCATTTCCTTGAATTCTGATTTAATGGCTCAGTAGGCTGGAAGCAAATATCTGGTCTCAGTTCACAGATATTTAGTTCAAACGCACCTAGCTTTCTTGACTTTAACAAGGGCAGAAACAGCTGTTACCTTTCTGAATTAATTGAGCAGAACTGGTATATGACAGAATCTGGCATAGCGAGATGGGAGAAATTGTCACCAAATCCACTTTTGAACAAGCAAACATTGCAATGTCCTGCAACCTCTGCTTGACTATTTACAAAAGGCCTTATAGTGAAGATTCATGGCTTCTCATTAAAAATAATAATGCTAAGAAAGTTTACATACAAATAACACCAAGGATGATTTATTGTGGTTTTACAGCGCCAATGAGGAAATTTAGTGCTTATAGAGGTTACAGAGGACCCCTTGAACCAGTGTAAAAAGATCAGCTATTCTACAGTGGAGAGCATTTCCTCTGTAGATCAAAGGAGCTTAAGCCTATGCTAAGTCTTTGGGGTGGTAAATGGAGTTCACACGTGCAATATCATTGCACTGTACAGGCCAAATGTATTTCTTATTCATCCTTTACTGCTCTGACCTTTCAACACTTTAGACATCCTTTTGTTATTCTTTCCATCAGTAAACCAGCTGTGGATCAGCTGAGGGCAGTAACTAATTTGCAGATGCGTCTGGAATGTTCTGTTTTTTACCCATTTGGGCTTGGGGTCTCATCTTACGTGTTGCAAATTGGAACTGAAACTTGTTATTATTTCTGCAGTCATTTACTATCCTGGTAGTATTTTTTATATCTTCGGTATGATATTCTAGGTGAGTAAGGTAGTAAATTTTCACCACAGTAAAGGTATAGTTTTGACCATTTGCTCAGAATATCAATGTAATGTTTTGTGTAGCATCTTAGCATTTGAAAGTCACGAGAGGTAAGATTTCTGGCCAGGGCATTTCTATGGAAAATAATAGCTGTGCCTCTTCTGTTAAAAAAAAGATGGGATGTGCAGAGTAACACAAGAAGAAAGCAAACAAACAAGCAAAAAGGACGTGCTTGATTTCCAGAAGGGAACATAAATGAAGGTTTTCTTGCCTTTGTTCATAGAGCTAGCATATGTTTTCACAAAATGTTTATATTTTGTGAATGGTTGTGCCTTGAAATCCTGCAATAATAATACTTAACCATAATCATTGTTAGTTGTTGTCATGTTAGCATATATTATCTTTTGGTTGGTATCGGAGTCAGCTGCAGAATGCCCTGCTTTTCTTCCCTACAAGTTCTGACTACCAGCCCTCTTAGTATCTAGTGGAACCAGCACCTTCTGAGCTGGCCGAGGGTAGGAGGTGTGCATGCCTATTGACCTGCACGGGAATAGAGGGAGAAGCCTTTGTCCTCCCTCACTAATCATGTGCTCTGACCCTTTGAGCTAACAATCTACTGGTTAGGCAATTGAAATGATATAAAGGAATAAGACCTGACATGTTGTTAATTGTGGACCTCCATTTAGAGTAAATCTACAAAGAAGAATTAATGTCTGGTTATTTGAATTCAGGGAGAAGATCCCTTGTGAACAAACAGATTGTTTACAATGTGCAATAGCTGTATTTATCCTTCTGTGAGTTGCTTATAATCCTTGATTCCAGCCTGAGATTACCAGTAGCAAAGCCCCTTCCCCAAACCACATAACAATTTGAATAACACCTCTGAAGGATAAAACTAAATGCAAGCCATACTGGAAAAATATTTTACCTAGAGCCCCCCCATTGACAGCATGTGGACTTGGAAACTCTGGAGAGGCCACTTTCGAGGCTGTGAAAGCAGGAAAGTCACTGAACTTAATGGAGCCTCTGTTCCTTCATCTGTAAAATGATAAATCTCTAGATAATAGAGTGAGTTAACTATGCATTGCTCAGCACATAGTTAGGCTTGCAGCGAAAGGTTTGTTTAATCTGAATCTGAGGAGAAAGGTCAAAATAATTGAGATCCAAAGTTTTAGATAAGGAGAAAGGAAGACATTTTAAAAATGGAGATGCGAAATGTGAAGATCAGGAAAATATATTTTTGAAGATTGAATTGTAAGAACCATATCATAGCTTTGTAGGCAGGGAAAATGATTTTCCCTTTCAGTGAGTAATTTAAAATATTAATAGTTTAAAAATAGTTTTATGTTAGATTCTAAACAATTAGGATTGATTTCCCATGGCAGGGCCCTCTTCCCTCATTCATCCTAGTCATAGGCCATGAAATGTTACAGGATAAGCATACTGCGGATGGACAAAAGGGAGGAAAAATAACCTGAAAAATTTTGTTAAATCATATTCGCATTTACATTTTATTTTTTATTCTGAGTGTAGTTTGTATGAGTAAAGCTAGAAGAAGCATTTTCCAAGTAGGTAGGAAGAGATACATTCGCAGGGAGAACTTTGTTCAGAGATGTCCTGAACACCTCCCACCCTGCTGATTAATTTTGAGCTGTGGATATTATAGGACGCTTGAAATGTTGATTCACATGGGCAGTGAATTCTGGGTGCTTATGGATAGTCCTGGAAATAGGGGATGTGGTTAGTCTGATGGGTTGTATGGGAGTGGATTGTGCTTGCCTAATAAATTCTTAGGCATTTTATAAACAGGAGAGTTAGTTGGTGCTGTAGTCCCAGATTGGTCTCTGTGTGATATATCTGGCTTTGCACAGGGCAACTCTTCATGCTCAAGATCCTCAGCCCTGACCCCTGCTAGCCACTCTCATATGCATATTTCTTATGATGAGGCAAATGAAGGGATAGTAGGGGAACCTTTGCTGGAAAAAACAATTCAGAGTGCATGGTCTGGTGATGGCGTGTCTGCTGCATTAACCTCATAGATAAGGAATGGTTTGTATGTGGTCATTGGGGATTTCGGGGTCTATTTGAAGTGAAAAACTGCATTTTTGTGAGCCTAAAGGCAGCTGACTTTGCCTTATCACTGTCTTTCATGGGCTTACATCCAGAGGTCCTAACCTTAAAGGTCAGCCAGAGAAACAGGGTAGTACAGTGAGAAAATTTTCAGCAATGTCTGACTCTTTGGCTGAGAGAGGGAGTCCTGACCCAGAAATATCCCCTGGGCAGGGAGGGATATTTTTGTTGTCGGTTCAAGTTATGTGAAGCAGTGTCTGGTTTTTACCAAGGCTGAAGTATCTCCAGGCATTGCTCTGCATTGGGACTTTTTTATTCATTTAATTCAGGTTGTGATCAATGACAGAAAAGCTGACTTTAGCTTCCTGGCTGGTAAAAATAAATGCTTATAGACATTAATGCATGCTAGAATACACACACACACACATATATACACATATACTTATATATGATATATACACAGATATGTATGTGTGTAATATATGTACATATGCACAGCATATATATGTCAATTTTTATTTTTACCAGAATAAAGTTTGCACATAGTTTAGAGTAAAATTACTCATGAGTGTTCTCACTAGTTTCAACAGATTATCCATCTCTACATCAAAGGGTACCAAGGAGGAACAATCAATACCAATAAACTCTCCAATTTGAGTTCATCCTGAGAGTAAAATTAGATCGGAAAGAAAACAAGACTAAGAGTCAGGTTTGAGTGAAATTCCAGGGTCTTTACTTTTATCAACCAACCTGACCCTCAGTTCCTCATTTTTCAGATAGGGAGCCATAATACCTACTCCATCCACCTCATAGAGTTGCTGTGAAAATCAGGTGACCTAATAGTGAAGATGAGTGTGTATTAGCTAAAATAAGGCATAGGGAGCATTATATGATCTTTAAAGACACCTAAGAGATGCACAGGCACTCAGAAGAGAATAACAACATACAGTAATTTTCCAGATTCTTGTGATTGTCCCTGGGGATATAATGGGGGCTGAAAGGAAGAGGAATAAGTGTTGTGCCTGATTCTCCCATAGGATGATGTGATAGCTACACTTTTCCCCCAAGAGCCATGGAGACAGGACAGGGGAGGGGGCAACTGACAAGAAAACCAGCCAGCTAAGGCTCCCATCTCCTGTTGGACAGCCCTTGTTTATAAGACATATACTCTATGGAGGTTGCAAGATTTTCTTTCTTTTCTTTTTTTTTTTTTTTTTTTCCCGAAACGGAGTCTTGCTTTTTGGCCCAGGCTGGAGTGCAGTGGCACAATCTCAGCTCGCTGCAACCGCTGCCTCCTAGGCACAAGTGATTCTCCTGCCTCAGCCTCCCTAGGAACTGGGATTACAGGCAAGCACCACCACACCTGGCTAATTTTTGTATTTTTAGTAGAGACGGGGTTTCACCATGTTACCAGGCTTGTCTCCAACTCCTGATCTCAAGTGATCCACCTGCCTTGGTGTTCCTAAGGGATTACAGGTGTGAGCCACTGGGACGAGGCAAGATTTTCTATTTAAAGTATCAAAACTTAGTCTTTTAGTTTGACTCCAGTGTGAGTCTGTATAGAAGACTAGTGGGAAGTAAAACTGACACATAATAGGCCCATGAGGAATATAGATGGGACCTTTTTCAGGTACAAGTGTCAAAAATCAACCCCAAACTGCTTAAAACTAACAAACAAGCAGATAAGCGTACTGGGAATTTGTTAGTTTAAACAGATTCACATGCCTTTATATGCCTTTCTGAAAACAGCTGAACACTTTTTGTAATCAGACCTTACCTGATCTGCACTTTCTTCATGGCAAAACCTACCCTGACCTAAACTGACATTAATTAGGCCCTTAGTTTGTTTCATTGCAGAAATATGAATTGAATTTGATTGCAGTGATGTTGTCCTTGATCCAGACAGAGGTGTATGTAATATACTCAAGTATGTGCCTCATTGTGCTATTCTCACCTGAATAATTCTGAGTTCTGAAACATATTTAAATCCAAGAGTTTCAAAAAAATGATTGTGGGCCTGTCCAGCTGAAAAGCCAGAGGTAGTGCTAATGTCAGCTGTTTCTCCTTTTCCCTCAGAAGGTGCTTTCTAGTAAGCAGCAAAGTTCATATGCTGCTTAGTACCTTTCTTATCCAGTATTGAAATTAACACCTGAAAAAGACTCCTGATCGTTGACTGGGGTCGTATCCCCACATGTGGGCCAATCACTTTGTCTAGGAGGGTAGCAGTATTTTGATGGGTGAGCTTGGGTCACATGTCCTCCCTCAAAGGGAGATGTTGACCTTTGATGGGCAGTCCACCAGTTGGGTAGGGACAGTTCCCCAAAGGAAAGTGGGATGCTGTTACTAGAATAAGAGAAAAGAGATGTGGGATAAGAAAAAAAAAAAAAACCCACTAGAGATCAGGTTTTATAGGCCCTAAATGCCTAGGCTAGAGAGTTTCAACCTTATTATTTTGGATAAGTTTATATTGAAGTTTATATTGAGGATCTCTGAGAAGGAGAGACAACAACCCACTGATTCTACCAGCACAAGTCTACCATGTAACATACAGATCAGAAAACATTCTCTGTTCTTGAGAAGCTAGAACATTTTCACCTATAATTATCATTTAGTAAGACAAATAGTAATGGACTTCTGGGTAGTATAGTATGGTTCAGTCACGCCTTGGGAGAGTCTGCTGGTAGCAGTGTGCACAATGAACTGAATGCATAATGGCAGAGTGGTTATTGTGTTGGCAATGATTATTGGTAATGGAAACAGGAGCCATGACAATGGAAAGATTTGGAAGTTCTTGTAGAGGATGATTCAATAGGGCTTGGTAACTAAATGGAAGTAGGGGATGAGGAGGAGGGAGAATGTGAAGATAGCTGTAAAGTTTTAGCCTTGGGACCAGGAGAATGGTGGACTGTTGTGTAGAATTAGGACAGTCTGCAGGATCATTTTGAGAACAAAAGAATAGGCTCAGCATTAGTTTATACTTAAGGTATACAACATGATATTTTGATATACATATACATAGTGAAATGATTATTACAGGTAAGCAAATTTACATATTTATTGTCTTCCATAATTACCCCTCCTTTTTGTGGTAAGGGCACCTGAAATCTAGTCTCTTAGCAAATAGTCAATAAACAACACAGTATTATTATGTTGTTTATCCCTAGTACTCCTGCTGCACATTCCATCTCTAGACAAATTCATCCTACATAACTGTGAGTTTGTACCCTTTGACCTACATCTCCCTCCTCCCTCTCCTCACCCCGGTAGTCACTGTTACACTCTGTTTCTATGTAATCAACATTTTCTCCCCTAAATTCCACATATAAGCGGGATCATCAGCATTCTTTTTGTTAGAAGATAGAAGGACATGCTTATAGAAATGTCTAGTAGGTGGAAGAGCATTTAGGTTGGGAAAGAAGTATAAATTAGCACTCATCATCAACCTCAGTATAAAGGAAGCTTGTGGAAGGGCTTAGGATTGTTAAGAGATGAAGCATGAAGAGAGGGGCACTGAGAAGAAAAGGCAGAGAAAAGAATGTCTCCACTTAGGGAGCGAGGGAGAACGGGAGTAGATGAAGGGGCCAGGAAGATGGAGAGAGCCACCAGAAGAAAGGGTGCCTCCTTTAGATGGTGTGCAGTAGTGAGAAGTGCTATAGAAAGAATCCAGGAGGATGTGTGTAAAGTGATAAGGAGGCTTCCAGTGCTCTTAGCACCAATGCTTGATTGAATAGTGGAGTGGAAGTCAGGTTGTGGGGCAGTAGAGAAACGGAGTACAACAGTTTTTCATTGGACATCTGCTTCTATCCACCTGCCAGCCTCCATTCGCTCCCTTCATCTCTTTCTTGCCAATGTGCTGGAGTAGTTAGGATCATAGGTTTAGAATTAAAAGGGTTTGAAACCTAATACTGCTCCTTCCTAGCTGGAGGACCCTAGATAAGTGTCTTAAGCTCTCTGTTCCTCAGTTTCTTCATGTGTGTAAGGGATATAATAACAAGAGTGATCCCCGCATACAATTGTTGTGAGGATGAGTTAAAAGTAGCTAGAATAGTATCTGACACACAAATACTCTGTAAATGAGAGTTATTATATCTTGTTTAAAATTTTTTTGGCCAGGTGAAGAGGCTCATGCCTGTAATCCCAGCACTTTGGGAGGCTGAGGGAGCTGGATCTCTTGAGGCCAGGAGATCAAGACCAGCCTGGGTAACATGGTGAAACCCTGTCTCTACTAAAAATACAAAAATTAGCCAGGTGTGGTGGTCTGTGCTTGTAGTTGCAGCTACCCGGGAGGCTGAGGTGGGACAGTTGCTTGAGCCCGGGAGGCTGAGGCATCAGTGAGCCGAGATCATGCCACTGCACTCCAGCCTGGGTGACGGAGCGAGACTCTGTCTCAAAAAAAAAAAAAAAACAAACAACTTTTTTTTTTTTTTTTACCCTGCAGTAAATCGGTTCACCCCATTTGTTTTTTACCTCCCCATTCACTCTCAAACATGTCCAAGTTTGGAAGATAAATGATGTAGTCATCCCAATTGTATGTGAATTTGTGTGTGTGTGTCTAATTACACACCTATCCTTCCACTAGCTGGTGAGCTTTTTGAGAGGGCAGTGCCTCATTCATGATTGTATCCCCAGCACCTAGAACAGTGTGTGGTACAGGAGAAACACAGTGAGCACGTGGGCAGGGGGCATGCAGGGTGTAAGTAAAGAGGGATAAAAAGTCCATCTGGAAAGGAAGAGAAACGTTGGTGCCTCAGACTAAAGAGGAAGGAAGGGCGAGTGGCGAGTCAGAGGAATTCCGCTGAGGAGGAAAGGAAGTATAGAGTGGCCTCAATCTCAGTCACTTAAAAGGATTATAAATCATTCTATCATAAAGACACATGAACACGTATGTTTATTGCAGCACTATTTACAATAGCAAAGACTTGGAACCAACCCAAATGCCCATCAATTATAGACTGGATAAAGAAAATGTGGCACATATACACCATGGAATACTATGCAGCCATAAAGAAGAATGAGTTCATGTACTTTGCAGGGATATGGATGAAGCTGGAAGCCATCATTCTCAGCAAAGTAACACAGGAACAGAAAACCAAACACCACATGTTCTCACTCATAAGTGGGAGCTGAACAGTGAGAACACATGGACACAGGGAGGGGAACATCACACACTGGAGCCTGTTGGGGGTGGCGGGAAAAGGGAGGGAGAGCATTAGGACAGATACCTAATGCATGCAGGGCTTAAAACCTTGATGACGGGTTGATGGGTGCAGCAAACCACCATGGCACATGTATACCTGTGTAACAAACCTGCATGTTCTGCACATATATCCCAGAACTTAAAAAAAAAAAAAAAAAGATGAAGACCACCTGTGGCAAGTTGGAGCAGCGGGAACTGGAGGAAATGGATGTCTGGATACTTCAGTATTTTGGAACACTTTTAGGAAATGCTGATAACAATTAATGATTGATGACTATATAAAAATGTACCAAATAGCAATGAGGTTATTTGCTGCTTGTCCTTAGCCATTGCGCAGTGAGTAGTGATTAAATGAGTGAGTGAAAAAAGAAAAAATGAACCAGTCTGTATTGTTTTGTGCCTTTCTCATGAATGTTCAGGAGCCTGAGATTAGAAAAGGACAAAACAGGCTGGGCGTGGTGGCTCACGCCTGTAATCCCAGCACTTTGGGAGGCCAAGGCGGGCAGATTACCTGAGGTCAGGAGTTCGAGACCAGCCTGGCCAACATGGCAAAACCCCATCTCTACTAAAAATACAAAAATTAGCGGGGTGTGGTGTCGAGCGTCTGTAATCCCAGCTACTCAGGAGGCTGAGGCAGGAGAATCGCTTGAACCCAGGAGGTGGAGGTTGCAGTGAGCCAAGATCGCGCCACTGCATTTCAGCCTGGGTGACAGAGTGAGACACCATCTAAAAAAAAAAAAAAAAAAAAAAAAAAAAAGAAAAGGACAAAACAAGGAGTTTGAATTTACCAGAGTAAGAGAGAAGGCGAAAGAAGACTCTGGGAAACTAGGAGGCAAACAGTTCTTGAATATAAAAGGTGCCACTTCTGAAGTGGTTGACCATAGTCTGTGAGGAAGGTGGTGGGGCCAAAATAGGACTACTGGACCAATGGAATAGGGTGGCCATAGCGGCTTTACAAACAAAAGAAAAATGGATGGCCAGCTTGATAAGAGTGGTAGAAGCAGAAAGATGAGAGCCAACCCAGAGAGTATTTTTATTTTTTTGTAAGCTACTAGCTAGAGTTGTTCTGCTCAATGATAAGGTCCAGGGTATGGAGATGCAGGTGAGACGACCAGGCAGAGAACAGGCGAAGTCTAATGGGTTGGAAAGAGTCAAGAAACAGAGGCTGAAGTATTTGAGGGGTTATCAGTGCGTGGAAGAAGAGGATTCCAAGCAATTTGTGCTGATATGTCCACTGGGCAGATAAACATGAAGCTTACCCCGTATTTCATTCTCTTTGGATAAATGTAGGTATTATCTCTGCTTTACACATCTGTGTGCTATTATTTGCACTGCAGGTCCCTTACCAACTTAAGGGATAAAGACAGACACATGGATGATTGCTTTCAACTCCCATATTTGGTTTAAAAACTGAAGATCGTGTTGAACACTGAATATAGAGGGGACAGTGGAAACAGAGAATGTAAAACCAGGACACAATATTTAAGGATGATTTTTTAAAATGGTCTATACTATCTCACATTTTAGGTTGACTTTTAGCTTAGGTTGTCACATAGTCTACTTTCCATCTCAGTATTATAACAGATAATTATAACTATAATTTATTCACATTTCATGTATTCTGCCCTTTAAATACGTATTTTATATAGTACAACAAAGCTGTGTTCTGAACATGCCTTTCATGTATTCTTAGCCTAAACTTTACTACCTTATAGGAATACAGATAAGTTTTAAAATGAGTCTTTAAAATTATTTATAGATTGCTCTATCACATATAACATTTTTAGATTGCTCTATATAATAGATTAATCTTGTTTACATTTGTATGGTAATCTGATTGTTAATTGAGGTTAGCATCACAAAAGAAGTATTTAAGTTTCTATTTTAATTTTCTATACATTATCTGAGAGGTTAATTCTATCCTGGGAAAATTACATTTTGGATACCATGCCAGCATTGAACCTAGTTAAGATTTGAACCTAGTTAAAAGCAAGTCTTTCCTTGATGCCTTTCCCAGTATAACAAACTGTTTATATTCTGTCTCTCTCTGTATGTGTATGTGCATGTGTGTATATATGTGTGTGTGTGTATATATATATATAAAATATATATTATATATATATATTATATATATATATAAAATAAGTATTTAAGGGATGATATTTTTGTAATAAGTTCTTAAGGTCTGGTATTTTTCTATACTGAGAAGCTCTTACAGCTGTAAAAATATACCAGATCTCTGTATATCCATGTTCCCATGCTTGTACCTTGTTTTCTCTGGTGGGAGATCCTCAACCAAAATAAAGCTGGGTAGTCTGAATACAGAGCAGGGAGGGGAGATCATCCCAGGGCCTATAATTTTATAAGCAAATATCCATAATGTAAATTTAGAAAGATACTGCCTACTCATCCTGTGCCTATTCTAGTTTCATTTAACTAATATGTTTGTGTGTCAGTGGGAACCCCATTCATCAATTTCGAAGTTTCTCAAAGAAAACAAAATTGTAGGCCACTTAGGATTTATTACAGGCTAGCTTCCAGCAAGACCTTTTTTTCTTTATTTTTAACTATGGGGCGTCTTTCAATTTGGTGCTCACGGACCAATTTGCCAAATGCTGCATTCTTTGACTCATCACGGGATGATGTCATTGCTCCTGGGCTGGTTGGACAATGCTGGGAACCAGTGAAGGAAACTCAAAGCTGAAAACAGGTGACTTGAGTCACCCTTCTAGATCCAGCCCTGCCATGAATTTGTCACATATTTATGAGCCAGTCACAGGTTTCCTTTGTCATAAAAGATTAATTCTATTCATTGTTTTATTTAAAAAATAGTTGTTGAGGGACACCGTGAAGAAAGTGAAAGGACAACCCACAGAATGGGAGTAAATATTTGCAAATCATATCTGAGGAAGACTTGTACCCAAAATATGTAATGAATTCTCACTCTCAATAATAAAAGACCAATTTCTCAATTAAAAATGGGCACAAAATATCTGAGTAGACATTTTTCCAAAGCACATATGCAAATGGGCAAGAAGCACATCTAAAGATGTATAACATCATTAGTCACCAGGGAAATGTAAGTCAAACCTCAATAAGCTACTGGTTTACACTCACTAGGATGGCTATAATAAAAAAGACAGATCATTACAAGTGTTGATGAGAATGTGGAGAAATTGCAATTCTCCAATTTACAATGGGAATGTGCTAATGGGAATGTAAAGCTGTGAGACCACTTTGGAAAACTGTCTGGCAGTTCCTCAAAAGGTGAAACATACAGCTACTCTATGACCCAGCAGTTCTCTCCTAAATGTATACCCAACAGAAATGAAAACATTTGTCCACACAAAATCTTGTAGATAAGTGTTCATGCCATCATTATTCACAGTAGCCAAAAAGCAGAAACAATCCAACTGTCTATCAACGGATAAATGGATACAATTTGGTGTATTCATATTAATATTATGGAATATTTTTTCACAATGGAAATGAAGTTTTGATACATGCTACAATGTAGATGAACCTTGAAAATATTATTCTAAGTGAAAGGAACCAGTCACAAAAGGCCACATTATTGTATCATTCTGTTTATATAAAATGTCCGGATTTAGCAAATCTATAGAGACAGAGGGTAGATTTGTGGTTGGGTAAGGCTGGAAGGGTTGGTGGGAAATGGGGAGTGGCTGCTAATAGGTATGAGATTTTTTGGGAGGTGATGAAATGTTCTAAAATAGATTGTTGACCTGGCTCACTGGCTGTTGCCTGTAATCCCAACACTTTGGGAGGTCAAAGTGGGAGAATCACTTGAGGCTAGAAGTTCAAGACCAGCCTGGGCAATAAAGTGACACCTTCTGGTCTCTACAAAAGAAAAAAATAAAAATAAAAAATTAGCAGGGCATGGTAGCCTGTAGTCCCAGCTACTTGGCAAGCTGAGGCAGAAAGAGGGCTTGAGCCCAAGAATTTTGAGGATGCAGTAAGCGTAATGGTGCCACTGCATTCCAGCCTGGATGACAGCAAGACACTGTCTCAAAAAATAATAACACTGATTATGGTGATTTTTGTACAACTTTGTAAACATACTAAAAACAATTTAATATTCTGCTTGAAAGCAGGGATCCCTAACCCCCAGGCCATGGACTGATACGGTCCGTGGCCTGTTAGGAACCAGGCTGAACAGCAGGAAGTAAGGGGCAGGTGAGCCGCTCCACTTCCTGTCAGATCAGTGGGGCCGGTAGACTCTTGTAGCAGGGCGAACCCTGTTGTGAACTGTGCATGTGAGGGATCTAGGTTGCGTGCTCCTTATGAGAATCTAACTAATGCCTGATGATCTGATATGGAACAGTTTCATCCCAAAACCATTGCCCCCTCCCCTGTCCATGGAAAAATTTTCTTCCGTGAAACCGGTCCCTGGTGCCGAAAAGGTTGGGGACCACTGCTTTAAATGGGTGATTTGTTTGGTATGTGAATTATATCTCAGTAAAGCTGTTAAAATAGTTATTGAGTACCTATTTTATCAGCCATTCTACTAGGCACAATACAATTACATTTGTCTGCTCACACGGTGCTTGCGTTATAGTGGGAGGAGACAAGCCATAATCCAGTAATGACATGAGTAAAATTATTTCAAATTATGATAGGTGATGTTGGAAAGCAACATGTTAGTAGACTAAAGTGTGACCAAGGGTGAGAGAACTCATTTAGTTGGTCAGGGAGACTCACTGAGGAGGAACACTTGAGCAGATACCTATTTTTTTTTTGAGACAGAGTCTCCCACTGTCGCCTAGGCTGGAGTGCAGTGGCGCAATCTCGGCTCACTGCAGCCTCCGCCTCCCGGGTTCAAGCAATTCTCCTGCCTCAGCCTTCTGAGTGGCTGAGATTACAGGTGTCTGTCACCATGCCCGGCTAATTTTTTGTATTTTTAGTAGAGATGGGGTTTCTCTATGTTGGTCAGGCTGGTCTCGAGCTCCTGACCTTGTGATCTGCCTGCCTCAGCCTCCCAAAGTGCTGGGATTACAGGCGTGAGTCACTGCGCCCAGCCGCAGATACCTAATTTTAAGAAAGCTCCAACCACATGGTAGTCTGGAGTCAGATGAGGTCTTTGTAAAGGAGATGGCAAATGCAAAGGCCTCTGAGGAAGAGAAGGTCAGAACAGTGTAAATGGAGACTAACAAGGAAGAAGAGGTGGAGCTTGAGATTAGAGAGGATCATCTTAAGGCTTAATTTTGGTGATGTCATTTCCCTGTTCAGAAGCCACCAGTAGCTCCCATTTGCCTATTGCATTACAATGGATTCCTTCTCTGGGCTTTTAAAGGCCTGTACCTACTTGTCCTGAAATAGTTTTTCCATCATTTCTCCTACTCATTCCCTTGATAAAGCTAGACCTTCCTATTGTTCCCCAGATATTACGCTCAATGCTTTCCTGTTGCTCTGTCAGTCTTTCCACCTGAACTATTCACCTGATCCATTGCTCTTCTGGAAATTTTATCTCTTCTTGAAGGCACCTCTCAAATGTCAACTCTTGTCTATGGCCATACTATGCTGAATGCGCCCTGTCTCATTAAATATCACCTCTTTACCTATATTTTGCTCTGGAAGTATACGTAAAATGTAGGTATAGGTAAAATTGCTCTGATTTTTAACTTCATTGACTTGCATAATAGCTTGCCCAGAATTCTCTTAGGGAATTAAATATAGTTAAGTTTGTCCTTTTTTTTTTCGGTCTACAGGGACTTAATTATTACTCTGTAGCATATAGCATAGTGTCTCACTGTGTATACTTAGTCATTAAATATTGGTTGAATTCTAAAGTATTTTGCAGACATGGAACGTACGTAAAATGTAAAATAATGTGAACACTGGAGAAAAAGTACAAAAAATTCTATATAGTCAAGAATGAAATCAGTAGTGCATTGTTTATTCTATAAAGGGGTATGGTAAAAAGCAGTGTTCTAGGATTGATGAGTCATTTGTGTGTGGATTCGAAAGTCCAGGCTTCCTGGGAAATAGCCTAGCCCTTATCTTTTAGTGTTTCAGACCTTGGCATCATTAGCAGGGTCATTCTTCTGATTTTGACTTCTATGAGCATTTTTGGTATGAAAGTCAGAGTACACAGTGTGACAGCACGCACTCCGAGAGGCAAGTCCCAGATTATCCTAGGACTATTATTGCTTCTCTGTGGATCTTGGTGAACCCTAAGGATCCTTCTGGCTGTGACCATCTCCTTGGGGTGGCAGTGAAAGTCTTTTGTCTATTGGAGCAGTGGGAAGAACAGCACAGAGTTCCCTAATGAAGAAACTGGTCAGTAGTAAGAAACAATTTCCAATCACGGGCAAATTTCACTGTTTATGTAGAAGCAATGGAAGTAGCAAAAACAGTCAGGTTTGGTGCGCGTGAAAGGTCCTAAAAGAAGGGTCCTCTGTATAAAATAAGCTGTACACTCTTGTGATGGTCAGAGGCTCATGGCAGGGCCTAGCCGGATTGGCCATTTAAGTGCCAAAACACTGAAATTAAATCCAGAGAGAAGGAGGGATTGCAGACTCTAGAACAAACAGTCATAAATTAAGCCCTGCAGGTCAGTCCTTAAGGAGTGGCTTCAGAAACATCCTTGGAGATAGGAAACAAACTCAGGACAAATAGAACAAGTATTTATTGGGAGTTAACTCCCTTTAATGATAAAGGGAACATTCTCTTGGTTGGGTGACATGGCCAGAAGCCAATCTCTCAGTAGAGATGAGTCTCCCCATTTGACCTCTCTTCTTTTATCAGATCCAAGCTGCAAACCTCCAGGCCTTCAGGCTTGGGTAGATAGAGGGAAAGGTGAATTGTATTTTCTAGGTCAGATGAAGGAGCGATGGAAAAGCTGAGCTTTCTCATGGGATATATGGTTTGAAAGTAGAGCTATTCCTTCCTCACAATTGTGATGGGCCTACTGTAGGTAAGGCCTTTGTCACTCTTATGTGGATTATTGTGCAAGTCTTACCCTGTCCCCACTGCCTCCCCCTTTCCTCTGGTCAAAAAGAATTGCTTCTTCCTCTCCCTTTTTCTTCTCTTTCCTCCTCTTCCTTCTTTAATGTTCTCAACATCATTCAACCTAACTATTTTGCCATTCTGTGCACATGAACTGGCATGTCCTGCTTTTCTGCCTCTACTCATGTCATTCTCACTGCCGGGACATCCACATGCCCAGATCTCACTATGTTCTACAAAGCCTTTCTCAGATGTCATTTCCTCAAATGAAACTTCCTATGGCTAAAACCTCCTTCGTTTAAACTCTCATTGAACCTTGTATGCTTCTTTTTATTGGCACTTGGCATTTTCATCTTACATGCCATCTATCTATCTATCTATCTATCCATCCATCCGCCATCCATGCATCCTTCTCTTTCTATTTATCTATCTATCTATCTATCTATCTATCTATCTATCTATCTATCTATCTCTCTATCTCTCTCTCTGTCTATCTATCTATCTATCTATCTATCTATCTATCTATCTATCTATCTATCCGATTTTCTCTCCTCTGCTAGATAATAATCCCCCTAAACATAGGATTTCTGGGCCGGGTGCAGTGGCTCATGCCTGTAATACCAGCACTTTGGTAGGCCGAGGTGGGCGGATCACCTGAGGTTAGGAGTTTGAGACCAGCCTGGCCAACATGGCGAAACCCTTTCTCTACTAAAAATACAAAAATTAGCCAGGTGTGGTGATGCACACCTGTAGTGTCAGTTACTCTGGGAGGCTGAGGCAGGAGAATTTCTGGAACCCGGGATGCAGAGGTTGCAATGAGCCAAGATCGCGCCACTGCACTCCAGCCTGGGTGACAGAGTGAGACTCCATCTCAAAAAAAAAAAGATAGGATTTCTGTGTGGTTCACCTTTGTGACCCAGTTGGCACCTGGAAGAGTTTTCTGTAGTTAAAATGCCCTCAGAGCTGGGTGCGGTAGCTCACGCCTGTAATCCCAGCACTTTGGGAGGCCGAGGCGGGCGAATCACCTGAGGTCAGGAGTTCTAGACCAGCCTGACCAAAATGGAGAAACTCAATCTGTACTAAAAATACAAAATTATCCAGGTGTGGTGGTGGGTGCCTGTAATTCCAGCTACTTGGGAGGCTGAGGCAGGAGAATTGCTTGAACCTGGGAGGCAGAGGTTGCGGTGAGCTGAGATCGTGCCATTGCACTTCAGCCTGGGTAACAAGAGCAAGACTCCGTCTCAAGAAAAAAAATGCCCTCAGAAAGATTTTCTAAAATGGATAAATGGAAGTGGGCAAAAACAGGCAGGGAGTAAATAAAGCCCGCAGCAGTTGTTAGTACTGTCCACTGAATGTTTCTGGTTCTCTCCCTTGGCTGTGTTATAAGATTGAATTTCCCTATATTTGGTGTTGAGCATGGCCAGGTGACTTCAGTGGCCCAGTGAAATGTGAGCAGAAGTGACTCGTGTCCCTTCATTTACAGCCAGTGAGTGACTTGTGGTGAGCTGCATCTGCCCTGTGATTGGCAGAGCTCCAGATGGTGGATGCTTCATTAGTCTGAGTCCTTGAGAGATGCGATGAGCAGCACTCCCAGCCCAGTGCACGATAGATATATAACATGAGCTAGAAATAAACCTTTTTTGTTTTAAGTCACTGAGACTCATGGGATCAGTTCACTCTAGTGGAACCTAGTCCATCTCGATAAACACAAAAGGCCAAGCTCAATAGTTTTCTCCTTAGCCTTGTGTGCAGTGTAGACTAAGATATGTGGTGAAAGGAGAGAAAAAGATTGTGATACTCTGGATAAGAACCCCGTGATGTAATAGGAAGACCCTAGTGAACTCCAGCATACATTTTGCTGATTATTCAATTGGTAATTATGTATATCCAAGAAAAAAATCAGAAGCCACTTATTAGTTATTTCCAATGTGTGTATGTGATTCTGTTGTTTGGAGATTTGCATTTCCTGAAAGAAACCCTAAAGGTCCTAGAGCTTAATTGCTCTCAGAGTTGCTTCTTTGTCCTCACATTATTTATTGACCTTGCCGGTTCTTTGCATGAAACTTATTCTATGAGTTCAGATAGACCTGTTAATCACTGGTAAGCTTCGTTAGAAAATACAGAGTTCTTTTTTTTTTTTCTCTTTCCATGAAGACAGAAACTTAATGTGTTGCAGGTTGTCTTTTATTTTTCCCCATCAGATGAAAATAGCATGTTAATTTTGTACTTCAAAAAATTGTTTAATAGAGAACTCTCTTTCTGCTTGCCAATAGCACTTGCTTGTGCCTTCGCTGAGGGCCACATTGTGCTTCCAGAATTATGACACCCACTGCTGCAGAATCCACTTAAATTTGCCTCTCCATTCCAAAGGACATTATGCTTTAGTTGTGAGAGAACTGGCTTCACAAACATGTGGGTATCGGTTCACTCACTGATTTATGTGATGTGGACACAGTGGGGAACATCTGAGATTTAAAATGTGATGGTCTGAATTTCCAACTGTTGAAATGAATCCAAAGCAGCAGATTTTTCTTCTTTGGCAAGACAGAATTGAAGCAACATGCAGTGATTTGGTTTGCCGATTTGCGATCTGTTAAAAATCTGAATAGCTTAAAAACAGGGAGAGTAAAGGCTGTGTAATGTGAAAAATATTCTAAAGGTCACCTGGTTGTAAAGTCTTAGGCAAGTTAGGCATCATGAAACAAGAACTATTTTGAAATAATTGATACATTGCGTGTGAACATATAGGTTTTTTTTTTTTTTTTTTTTTTTTTTTTTTTGCTAAGCTATTCTATTGCCAAAGTAGTTAAAATCTTATTTTGTTCAACCTAATTCTGAAAAGGCAAAGGTTATAGTGAACCCAGCAAGTCTTTCTCCCACTTTGTAGTCTCTCACCTGTGGAAGTCATGGCTGGCATTTATTCATTTCTTTCACTTGTGAGTTTTCCCTTTGCCATCGTTCTGTCCTTCAACATTCATTGCAAATATTTTACAGTGCCCACACTATGCTGAGCACTGTGCTAAGCCCTGAAGATGCAGCAGTGCATAATGATCCCTTCGTTCTTGGAACTTATGTGCTCATCAGAAGAGTGTGCCAACTTGCTTAGAAATAAATCACCCGAAACTCAGTGGTTTAACACCACAGTCATTATTGCTTCTGAAGCTATGAGTTGACTGGTAGGTTCTTGAGTTGACTGCTGGGTCACCTGGGCCTGGCTGGTCTAGGATGGCTTCACTCACATATCTGGTGGTTGGTGCTGGTTGCTGGTGCTGGCTTGGGTTATGGAGAGTGGTGGGGGACCTGGCCATTGTGTCTCATTATTCAGCAGGCTAGGTATCTTCCCAAGTGACAGGAAGGTATCCCAGCAGCTTGAGAGAGTAGTCTCAATGTGCAAAGTGCTTTTCCAATTTCTCCCTTTGTCTTAATATCCCATAGGTCAAACCAAGTCATATGACCAAGCCTAGCTTCAAGAGGTAGAGATATATATTTCATCTCTTGATAGAAGGAGTTGCATAGAATTTGTGGTCGTATTTTGCAGTCTATCAAAGGAGATTTCTAATAATCAAATGAATAAGAAACAAAAGGTAAGTCAGATAGTGGTAAGTGCTATGGATAGAGAACAGGAAAGGAGAAAAGGAGAAGAAGAAAAAAGAACAACAAAAAAGCAGGGAAGAGGGGAACAGAGACTGGAAATTTTTTTTTCGATTGTAAACAGGCTTAGGAAGTCTTCGTGGAGAAGGTGGCATGAGCAAATTTGTGAAGAAGGTGAGGGAAAGAAATGAGCCTTAAAGATGCCTGGAGGAAGCACGTTCTGGTTGAGGGAACAGCCAGTGCAAAGGCCGTGGACAGGAGAGAACCCTACTATGTTGGAGGCATGGCAAGAAGCCCGGTGATTCTGAGTGAGCAAGAGAGTGGTAGAAGATGGGCTGGAGAGGCAATGGGAGTGGGTCGGAGAGATGGGTTAAATCTTGAAGGTTGGTGCTTTTCACACTTTCATGTGCACCTGGGGATCCTGTTAAAATGTGGATTCTGGTTTAGTAGATCTGAGATGGGGCTGGAGATTCAGCATTTCTAACAAGCTCTCAGTTGTTACCGCTGCTACTGCTGCTTGTGGTCCTGAAACAATGCTTTGAGGAGGAAGCCTATAGGTCTTTGCAGACTTGCATGCACAGTCAGTACTAAGTGAGGAGAGAAGCCATTAGACAGCTTTGAGCAGACATGTGACCCATTCTCTACTACATGATAACAGAAGGTAATTGTTGAGAATGTGTACATACATACACATAGCATAAAGAATGACTCTAGTCTGTAGTGTGGAGAACATTGTCTGTTCAGCTTGCCGTAGTTTCAGTCATCTGAATATCGTTTCCTCTACAGAAAGCTATTTTCCTCTGCTCTTTTTGTAAATGACAAAGGGACCTAGCTCTGGACACCTCCCCATCCCACTCTCATACCAGATCCTTTCTAGAATGAACCTGCTCTGTCTCCTTGCAGTCGCTCAAATCCTGATTTTTTGGAACTCTTCTTACTTAACCTTTTCTTTCTCTGATCCTCAGCTCCCTGACTCAGGTGGCTGTCAATCCTGACTACTTGTTTCAAACAACTAGAAGCCTTTAAAGACACCTTCAGAGAGCCCAGTTGATTGGGTTTGGGTGGGTTCTTAAATAAGCAGCCAGGATTCAGAACAATGACTGGGCACATTCTTCCTCAGCACCTGGTATGCTGCTGGCTGTTCCCACAGAGCTCAGAGCTTCTCTTTCCCAGAGGAGTCCACTCTCGCTCCACTCTTGTCTCAGTCTTTTCTCTTTTCATTACCATCAAAGTACCTGAATCATTAGCTTATTTTCAACCCTATTGCATTTTGATGCGTCGGTAGTCAGATTTTGCTTAATTACAGTCATTTGCACTTGAGGTAGGGGATGATCTTTACATAGCCACACATATATGAGTATTTAAATATTTGTTGATATTTAGTGTCACGTATTTGTGCTTTTTAAATGTAATTGATTCTGTAGAGGCCCCATCCACACAACAAATCTCTAAGTAAACTTCAGGGTCTTACCCAGGGGATACTGGGAACATGGGCTAGAAGATCATTTGGCTCCAGGCTGCATATTTATGAGATACCTTCCAATGAGTTTTTAGATATAGTTTTGTGCCCTGGCTGGATTGGAATATAGTGTCCATTTGAAAACTTTCATCTCATGTCTCATTACCACATCTCATTGCTTCTAGTACACTAGGAGCTAATACACATTGTGCATTCCAGAACTATCTGGTGAATAGCATAGTTGTATTTGGAGGTTACATGTAAATACTGAAATAAGTTACAGATTTTGGCATTCCTTTTTTTTTGTAATACAGTAGGAACCCAATGCAGTAATACAGTAATTCCTACTGTATTATTAAAAAAAGGAATGCCAAATTATGTATATAGAAGTAGCCTGGGATCTATCTCAAACTTTGCAAGGCCCTTCTGAAACCCTATGTTATTCCTGAAGATAATGCTTTTTTCTCCTCTTTTAATCCAGCCTGTATGTATACAGGTCTTATTTATAGGTCCAGTTTGTTCTTAAATGATTTGTAGTTTTCTAATCATTGGAGGAAATAAAGAAAAATGAAAGGCAGTGCAAAATGTTATCTACAAATCGTGTCACAAATTCGCTGTATCATCATGTACCTGGAATGGCTTGGCTGTGCATCATTAACTTGTAACAGATTTAAACCAATTATTAACTCAACCAGATAGATTTACTTGAGTGTTATCATAAAGGGCTCTGAGATGTGAGAGTATGACGAAGTTCCATAAAATTTATTGCTTGAATCTTGTTGCATCCATTGTTCCATTAAGGCACTGCCTTTTGCCCCCACAGCACCACGTCAGATTTGGTTGTTACTTACTATTAGGAAGAGTGTGTTTAAATTAATGGTAATTTATTTGTCTTGAAAGAAATGCTACTTCCAACAGTCCATGGCTTTAGAGGAGCCCTAATACTAGTCTCCTAAAATATAAATGACCTTTAGGTAGTTTTAGATGACCCAATGACCTAAAACCCAATGACCATTGGGTTTTAGAGTTGGGAGCAAGAATGTCACCTGGCCCCCTCATTGTAAAAATGAAAAAACGAAGTCCCCTTTCAGTAGGGCAAGAACACTGAACTGGTATTTAGCAGACCTGAGTTCCAGTATCTTCAAGTTCTATTATGAAAGCAGCTCCTGAGAGTTGCTTCATTAAACTTTTCTATTTCTCAGGATCCTCAGTAGGATGTATATATTTCTTTAATAATTCTTGCTAATAATTTTTATATTTATCAGGGCCTGTGTTTCTTTAGGAGATATATGTGTGAGGAAAATTGGTCAAGGGAGTTAGCATGTGTAGGTATATGGCATATAAGCAAATAATTCAGTTTTAGAGGTAGTATTTTTTCCCCTACTTCTGTGAAAATCTGGCTTTTACACCCCTTTCATTAAGCTGCCTTGATAAGAAATGATAAATATTCCACACTTTGATACGGTAAAAGGTGTGAGGAATAGTTTACAGTTCTACCTTGGTGACTGTTTAGGAATAAGGTAAATGATTGATTGAACGGCTAAAGCATGCCCATCTTGTTTTGTCCGTTGGAACCACAGAACTCTTTCCTAGGGGAAGTTAGAAGGCTCATTTTGGGGAGGCATGCATAGTGATGACTTTTCCAAGTAGGAATCTGACCGTGTTATAATGGGGATGCCTTTACCCATGACTGCAGTGCTCAGGGCTGGCAAGCTAACCTTGGCTTTCCTTGGCTGATCCTGACTGTATTATATGGTTTGTGCAATTGTGTGATGAGGAGTAAGTTGCTGCATCCATCATGTTGAGCAGCCTGTTCTGTTTATGGGTCTGTAGAACTTATACAGTAACCAAATCAAGAGAATAGAGACATAGCTGCATATCTAATGCAGTCACTGTTAAGAATCAAAATTAACATGATACATTTGAAATAGGAGAAAGTGCTTGTGGGCTGTGGGAACCATTCCCCACTCTTGGTCTTTATCACTTTAATTTCTTGAGGCTTTAAACCTATTTCACAACTTAGTGACAGACCGTTGGCATGTTAGAACTAAGAAGGAGGAAAACTTATGAAGCCCTGTTCTTTCACTAAATTACCTGCGTGTATTTGAACAATGCAAATAAAACAGGCAATATCCAGTGTTTGGAATATTAAAGTAATTCATGGATTAATTTTTAGTGGTGTAGAAGCCTCTGATTAAAGCTTAATATATATTAAATGCACTTTCTTCATTTATGCAGATATGAGGAATGGTCCAGATAAGTATAAGTCTTGAGTAACTACAAAAATCTAGAAATGTTGCAGTGATTCTTTTGGTAAAACACTGTATTGAGTTTATCTTTTACATCAACAGTAAGTACTTAGGAATGATGGAAGTGAGATACTTAAAACTCAATCTAGTGCGGGAAGTTACATATTCTTAAATATCACTTCTAACTTTCTATTTTGTGGATACAAACATTTACTTGGTAGGCATAATGGTTATTTAAACTCTTCTTTGGGCTTATTTGACATATATTTAAGACTAAGCAAGCTGCTGAGATAAAGGTCAGTGGACTTTTTATGTTAAGAAAGAAAATTAAAAGCTTGGCACTTTAAAGCCAGGCTCAGGAATTGTCGAGATAAAGATATTAATCTTAAAGTTAATCAGGTCAGGGTTTAAACTTTAATAAAAATTGAAAATATGACTCCAAGAACGAATATGTACTTTAGCATTTAGCCTATTTAGGTTTAATATAGTATGGTGAAAATAGCACTGAGCTTGGTGTCGGAAAAATCTTGTTTCTTTCTCTTGCTATTAGTATAAACTTGGGTAAATTACTGAATTTAGCGGTGCCTCAGTGTTATTATTTCAAAAATGGAGATTATAACTTATTCATTCTGTAAATGTTTACTGGGCAACCACTCTATCCCACCCACTGTGATAGGTGCTGGCAATATAGCGGTGTTTTTAAAGTGAGTAAGGAAATAAACAGCTTGACCAGATAGAAAGTAACTGGGGAAGGCAATTTAGCAGAGAGGTCAAAGAAGACTTTGACTTCGGAAGAAGTGATATTTGAGCTAAGATCCAAAAAACGAGAAGGAAGTAAGAGGCAAGAGATTGAAAAAAAGAGAATTCCAGGCAGATGGGGCAGCAAGTGCGAGGGTTCTGAGGCTGGAAGGAAGGCCAGTGGGTTGGTGCGTAGTGAGTGAGGGTTAGGGAGAGGTGTTAGGGGATGATGTTAGACAGGTAAATGGGAGCCAGATATGATAGGCCCTTGGGTCAAATAAAGGCATTTTTTATCTTAATTTAAAAGTAACAGGAAGTAATTGAGAAGTTTCCCAAAGGGGTGATATTACCTTGCATAAAACAAAGTAAGGGAAAGCTCTTTAAAGATGGGAAAAGCAGGGCCAGGCGAGGTGGCTCACGCCTGTAATCCCAGCACTTTGGGAGGCCAAGGCGGGTAGATCACAAGGTCAGGAGTTCGAGACCAGCCTGACCAACATGGTGAAACCCTGTCTGTACTAAAAATACAAAAATTAGCTGGGCATGGTGGCACGTGCCTGTAATCCCAGCTACTCAGGGGGCTGAGGCAGGAGAATCACTTGAACCTGGGAAGTGGAGGTTGCAGTGAGCCAAGATTGTGCCACTGCATGCCATCCTGGGCAACGAAGAGAGACTCCGTCTCAGAAAAAAAAAAAAAAAAAAAGATGGGAAAAGCATATGAATATAAGCAGTTAATATTGGTGTTACATAGGATAAGACAGTAAGACAAAGACACATGGCCTGATGAGTTATTTATCCTGTTTACAAGGTTGTAAAACTGTTGAAGTGGGCAATCACGTATGATGCTGAAACACACAGATAATCCAGAACACTTTGCATTTTTATGTGTTTTGGGAACAAGTGTGTATGAAGGTGAGAGGTAGCAAATCTATCTTGGTAATATTTTAATTAGACTGATATTTAAATTTTTGTTGCTTTGAGCATGCATCTGCTGAAGAACCGTGTGTCACCTGGGAGCTAACATCAGATTCAATATTTGCCCCGAGGCAGCTCAAAGAGTAGATGGTTCATTTATGCAGAATCAAGATTTATAGTCCGTGGATATCATGAGCAGATAGTATCAGTAAAACAGAACCCCAAGAGGAGACACTGATAATTTAATGCAAATAAAACCTTGCTTTACACATTGCACATATCTGCTGATATAATTGTAAAGATATTTGGGATTACTTTATTCATCTTGCTTGTGTTTGATGAACTCCTGTTAAGCCTGATAAGAATAACATTTTTCTACTAAGATATCTGTTGAGATACCTAAACATTTTACTTGAAAAGAGGAAGAAAAATTTAGAAATTATTATTGGTCCTTCTATTTAGGAAGTAGAAGCTAAGAAGAGCATTAACCTAAAGTAAAATATGGCAGGACTTAATGGTTATGGGAAGACAAACTTTTAATTTTTAATAGTTACAATTATTAGTATGCATGTCACCTGGGAATTTTTAGTTCTGAAATTTTACTGGTTATGAGGTGAACTGAGTTTTCCTCAAGATAGTTTCTCATAGGTAACTATACTTCTTCTAATACTGTGAACATTATTAATGTTTTTCATTATCTTCTGGAGTTGAGTTTGGATAAAACTCTTCTTGAAATCCCATTTTATTCTAAACATAGATTGGGCCCTTAGCGTTATAAAAGAATACAAATTAATATAGATTGGTTGGGTATATGCAGGGTATATTTGTGCTTCATCTTGACTGCACAGGTCAGGATAGACGATAATGTGCTTGCACCCTTTGTTGAATGTTGCTTCATCAACACTCTTGGTGACCTCCTTCTCACCTCTTGGATTGAGCTGGCTGAGCAGGTGATGACTAGATTCTGATTCAGTTAAGGTGGGGCTCATTAACGTGCATTTCTGCCAGGCTCATTGATGCCAATGCTGCTGGTCCAGTGCTTCTGGCCCCAGGGCCACACTTTGAGAGCCACTGATTTATAGATTTTTATTACTTATTTCAAGACATTTATATTAGGTGTGGTATGGCTGATAGCACTTAGGAGACATCAAACTATATACACCTTCTCATCTTTGTTTCAAAATTACCAGCCATTTTTTTTCAGTTTACAGTAGTTCCAAATGACTCCATCATGTAGCATAATCGTTTGTATTTTGTTGTGACGAAGATGGTCATGTTAGTGGAAAGCAGCACTTTACTAGAAATGCTGAAATATTTCATTTATTTCATAAAAGGAAAGCTTTACATATTGCAAATGATTCTCAAGGTTGCTTTTTGCACTGTATAATTCCAAATGTTGATGTGGTTGCTATGACTTTAGGAAAGTTCTTTAATTGAATAACATCAATTTGATCATATATTTTAATCTAAACAAATAACTTCTTAATGTTTTGCCTTTCCTTTTGCATTACCTTTCCAACTAGCTCTCTTGATGACAGGGCTTTTCTCTGTAGAGTTAAAAAAAATCAGGTTTATTGAGGTATCATTTGCATGCAGTGAAATTCACTGTACAGTTCTGTACGTTTTGACAAATGCGTATGGTTGTGTAGCCACCACCATAAGAAACAGAAAAATTCCTTTGCCTCGGAAAATTCCTTAGTGCTGCTATGTGGTCAGCCTTTTGCCTCACCTCTCACCTCTCACCCTTGGCAGCTGCTAATGTGTGTTCTGGTGTACCTTGCCTTTCCAGAAGGTCATATAAATGGAATAATACAATAGGCAGCCCTCTGAGTTTTGCTTTTTCCTTTGTTGTAATGCATCTGAGATTCATCCTTGATTAATTAATCAGTAGTTTGCTCCTTTTTATTGATGAGCAGTATGACATTGTATGGATGTACCAGTTTATCTTTCCACCAGCTGTAGGGCATTGGGTTGTTTCCAGTTTTTGGTGATTGACTAAAGCTGCTCTAACAGTCATGTACAAGTTTTTGAGTGAACGTTAAGTTTTAATTTTTCTTGAGGAATATACTTAGGAGTAGGATTTCTGGGTTGTATGTTAAGTGAGTAATTTTATGTGAAACTGCCAAACTGTTTTCCAAGTATTCCCAACAATGTATGAGTGTTCCACTTACCCCACATCCTCAGCATCATTTGATATTGCCATTTTTTCCTTTTATTTTTATCTGATTTGATAGGTGTTTTTCTGTGATGTCTTTAATTAATACAACAAGCCAATAGCTGCCAACAGTGGCTGAACCTTAGGAACTATAAAAATAGGACCCATCCTTACATCTGGTTAGAAGCCTCACCCTCTGCCATTATCCACAGATGCTGCTGCTCTTCCCCTAGTCTGGGCCCACTTTTGTGGTCGCCATGGTACAGGTGCTAACTCTACCAGTCCTTAGAAGGACCCAGATGGGAACAAGTGAACAAAAAGCATCTCTGGGCTGGGTGTGGTGGCTCACGTCTGTAATCCCAGCACTTTGGGAAGCCGAGGTGGGTGGATCACCTGAGGTCATGAGTTCGAGACCAACCTGGCCAACCTGGTGAAACCTCGTCTCTACCAAAAAATACAAAAATTAGCTGGGTATGGTGGCACATGCCTGTAATCCCAACTACTTGGGAGGCTGGGGGAGGAGAATCACTTGAATGCGGGAGGCAAAGGTTGCAGTAAACCACTGCACTCCAGCCTGAGAGACAGAGTGAGACTCCGTCTCAAAAAAAAGAAACATCTCTGAACTGAACAACCATTAGCAAAGATATAGGGGGAGCTTCTCCTCCTAATAGGGTTTTAAAACTCAGAGTGACAGGGTCATAAGCTGTCCCAAGCTAGTCTCTATCACATGTTTTTTGCTTTGGTTTGTTTTTTAAGAGGTGGGGGTCTCTATCACCCAGGCTGGAGTGCTGTGGTGATCAGAGCTCAATGCAGCCTCAAACTCCTGGGCTCAAGCGATCCTCCTGCCTCGGCCTCCCAAAGTGCTAGAATCTATCACATACTTTTAATTTAATGCTCACATCTTCTCTACTCCAAATATTCTCCTTTAAGAATAAAATGGGTTATTTTAAATGCTATAAAGCTCAAGGCTGGGTGGTATGGGTCATGCTTGTAGTCCCAGCACTTTGGGAGGCCAAGCTGGGAGGATTGCCTGAGCTCAGGAGTTCGAGACCAGCCTGGGCAACATGACAAAACCCTGTCTCTACTAAAAATACAAAAACTAGTTGTGGCATGGTGGCACACACCTGTAATCCCAGTTACTCTGGAGGCTGAGGCACAAGAATCACTTGAACCTGGAAAGCGGAGGTTGCAGAGAGCCGAGATTGCACCACTGCACTATAGCCTGGGTGACAGAGTAAGACTCTGCCTCCAAAAAAATTAAAAAATAAAATAAAAAAACAAATAAAAAAATGCTATAGAGCTCAAAATAGCCTCTGTTTACCAGTATGAAAAAATACTGGCAATTCTGAATCTGATTATACCATACACATTCAAATACATATTTTCTAAAATTTTTTTTGAGGGGAGAGTTTTTGGAATCATTAATGGAAGGCATAAAAGAATGAAACATGCCAGTTAACATTAGTTTTAAAATAAAAAAGTTGTTAGAGATTTTTTTCATTTAAGCTTATTTTAATTAACTAGATAGGAATATTTAAATGGAGATTGCAGGATTCAGGGTAAATGTTTCTGTTTCTGCCGAATGAAATGGATGAATTAGAACAGTAGTTCTTCACTTTGGCTGCATATTAGAATCACCTAGATGTTTTCAAAAAGAAAAGTACCGATGCCCTGGCCTTATCTCAGACCCTTAAGTCAGAATCAGAATCTCTGGGGCAGGTGTGCAGGGGTCAGGGGATTGGTCCTTCGGCATTAGTACTTTTTAAAGTCCCCGTATAATTCTAATGCATAGACAACATTGAGCATGACTGGACCGAAAGCGAACATATACTGTTCTAGGCAGTAATTCTAGCAATGTTTTCACCTATAAAAATATGTACTATTTTCTGTTTGTTTCCATCTATGTGGCAATGCTTCCGGTTCCCGAGATGATGGTGCAGAAAAGAGTGAAGACCCCATTTTCAGACATGTGTTCTTTCTCTCAGCCTCTCTTGGGCTCTCTATTTCGTTTGTGTGTGTGTGTGTATGTGTGTGTGTGTATGGGAAATGTGTGTCTTAAAAACAGGTGGGATAGCTTAAATATTAAACAATAATCTCTGTAAGTCTCTCCAGAAATTACTTACAGATGGGTTTTGAAGAACTTTTCATAAGAATGGCTGACTATAAATAGCAGTAATAAATGCTCTTATCTGAGGACTAGAGTACATGGGTTATTTTATATTAAGGATATAATTACTCATTTTGGACAAAAATGGATTGAAGAAAATAAAAGCGTAATGTCATTTCCAGGTCATTCTTAAATAACTGTTATAAACATACTGTAAGTTGAATGTTGAACCCAGTCCTTATCTGTAGTGTGCTGATATGAAAATTTATTTGAGTACTCTTGGGAGAAATGTTCTAATTCAATAGAGGACATAGGTTTCAAACTCACAGTTGACACCAAGGGGTTGGCAGAATCAAGTCAGGACATTATCCTCATGTCAACAGGGACTGTGTTTTGTTCACTCTGTCTGCAGTGTCTTTGGATCATTGCTCGGCACATAGTACACACTCAGTTAATAGATGAATGTCTGATAGTCTGTAAAAGCATTAGTAGGGTACAAAAATGAAATTCAGCATTCAACAGAAATATAGATTTCTGTCATTTACATATACATTTTAAAAATTAAAGTACAGACTGGAGGAGAACCAAGTTAAAAAGAGTTCCCAAGGATTATTCTGCTAAAGTATTCTGATTTTAAGCTACTTTATTAGAAGTACATTGCCAAGGGAGGTCATGGTATCATGGACTCTATCCCAACTCCACCTTACCTGGAGTTGAGATGTGTTGTGTTCTAGGCTCCAGGATTTCTGGGGAGACGTTACAGATGGCTTGTCTAGGGGAAGTAACCTGCAAAAGCTTGTTACATGAGAAAAAAATGGAGAAACTTGGAGGTTTGGCCAGAAACAGGGAAGACCCAGTAGGGATGTGTTGGCTGTCTGCCATGTAGAAGAGGGATGATGCCATTGGGTTGTTGCCTTGAGTAGTCAGTGGACCTAGGCTAATTACTGGGAAGAACTTTTTAACAAATGGGCTGCCCAGAAAATGCAGCACCCTAGCCAATTGGAAGGAAGGATTTCTGCATCCAGTGGGGAAGGGCAGATTAAAATCTTATGAAGATGTTTTCCAACTCTGAGATTCTATGATTTGCTTTGAGGCAAATCTCATGTCCCTTGTGAATAGTTGGGCAGACCATCAGATTTTCACTTGAACCTGGGAAAATCTGGTGCTTATTCAACTTGCTGTGTCTTAAGTTTCCTTGGTGAAAGTGTTGCATCTGTTTCTTACCCGCTCAGGATTCGTAATCAGATGTTTTTGATTACCTGCTAGTAAGGTAAACTACGAGGACTTAAATTCTTCTGTACTCTATTCAGGTGGCTTTAGAATAAACTAATGAGGCCTTATATTAGTGAGGGCGAGGAGGTGAGACAGGGTGGGGATACTATGTTAGTGTACCCATAGAATTGAATGTGGCTCTACAAAACCCTTTGAGTAAGTTTTAAATAAAATCAAGGTGTTGTGCCTGGAAAAAGCATAGATTTTTGGAATCAGGCTGACCTGGTTTCAAATCCTGGCTTGGATACTTCTTTACTTGGGCATATTACTTAACTTCTTTTAGGTTTAGAGTCAGTTTCCTTGTCCATAAAATTAGAGTAATTCTCCTTCCTTTGGAGGGTTGTTGGGAAGATTAGACGTAACGTAGGGAAAGCATTCAGGAAGTGGGAATGTTTATTAGTAGTCATGTCAATTACACAGTGGCTTTGAATAGATAAGTCATTTACTAGTTCTATTTTTCTAGGCAGATTCCTTCATTTTGGGCTTCAGTTTGTTTTGAGAATTAAGATCAAGATCATGTGAAAAAAAGTGCTTAGCAGAGTACCTATATTGCTATAGCTATATTGGTATAACTATTTGGAAGCTGATAACCAAATACCCAAGGATTCCTGAAAATTATGAAGAATAAAAAGGAACCAAATTCAAATAGTCTTTCTAGTTTAATTTCCTTTTCTTTTGGGTGTCTCCTGAGGTACTAGTTCTACCTTGTGTTAGGTTCCTATTGCTGCTGTAACAAATTACTACACAGTTAATGTCTTAAAACAATGCAAATTTATTAACTTGCAATTCTAGAGGCCAGAATTCCTAACCTAAAATTGAGATACTGGCAGAGCTGTGCTCCTTCAGGAGATTCTGGAGGAGACTTTGTTTCCTTGCTTTTTCCAGCTTCTAGAGGCTATCTGCATTCCTTGGCTTGTGGACCCTTCTACCATCTTCGGAGCCAGCAGCATAGCATTTTCAAATCTTTCTCCAATCTCTGTTTCCATCTCTTTCTTTCTGACTTCTCCTTTGGTTATCACATCTCTTTCTCTAATTGCTGCTTCCTCTTTTCTTTATAAGGACCCTTGTGATGATATTAAACCCCATTTCAAGATCCTTAACTTAATCACACCTGCAAAGTCTCTTTTGCCATAAAGGTAACATATTCATAGGTTCTGGAGGTTAGGGTGTAGACATTTGGTGGGGAGCACTAATCAGCCGACCACATACCTGCATTTCATAGAGATTAGATATCTGAAATCATAGAGATTATACATCTTTCCTTGAGCACCCTGATTTAAAAATATCTATACTGTAGTGATTTTGCTCTGAGTTCATGCCCTCTAATGCCATTCTCTGAAGAGCTCAAAGCTGAGTCTGAACCTGAAGGAATTTAGGAAGGAATCAAGGATACTCTGAATGATTGACTTGAAACTAAAGTCTAAAAAAAAATAGCTTTTTTGTCATTGTGTGGCATTCTACTGCCTGATGCAATAGCATTTACGAATCTAGGTGTCAGGATGTTGTGCTTGTTTTGGAGTCAGGCTGACATGGTTTCAAATCCTGGCTTGGACACTTTGAGGTGAAGGTATACCTTAAAGATACTTTATTGCCGGCATGGAAACACTAATGTAAGTTCTCTGGGGTTAGCGGTATAACCAGGTATGAAGGCCAGGATTCTTGCCCCCGCCCCCCACTCCCAGAGAAAAGGAATGAGCTCTCTCTTACTCTTGGAGATACTTGGCAATTCTCTTTTTGCATCTGCTCAAAGTAGATGGAAATATTCCTAGAAAATATCCCCTCTCTGTACAACTCTTAGAAATACAGCTTTCTGGACAGCGGTTGAGATCTCTGGGTAGCTGTAGTTTTAAGTTCATCCTTAGAAACTTTATATTTCGAACATCTTTTAGAGTAGTTAGGAGCATATGCTCTGGAATTAGGCTGCCCACCATCAACCTTAGCTTCATCCTTTAACTGTGTGGCCCCGGGCAGGTTCTTACACTCTGTGAGCCTCTGCTTTCTCATGTGTAGACTAGGGATAATGATAACCTGCTAATACTGTTGTGAGGCGGCAGTGAAGTAATGGCTGGCTTGTACTCCATAAATATTAGCAGTTCATCAGATTGCTGCATTTCCTTGACTTTTGACTTACTATTTTAAAATTAATTCAATAGCCTTGTTATAAGTATGATTTTTGTTCAGTGATTTGAAGAAATCATTAACTGTGATGGGATGAGGGAGGGGACTGAGAAATATAGACAGACTTTGATGATTATGTGGTTATTGGTGATACATTCTTAATTTCAGATATATTTTTATTCATTCCCCATGTATTTACTAAGCATAGAGCCTATGTTACATTATATGTCAGTGATTTACCCAAAAAGGGCTATAAAAGAATGAGCAGGAAACTTTCACTAAGGTTTAGAGACATGCCCACTGTTATTTCGAGTTCCTCAATGCCAGGGGCTATTCATTCATTGCTTTATTCTACTCGTTTATTGAGTGTGCCTGGCACTGTTAATAGGAGGTGAGACTAATCCAGCAGTGAATAAAACAAAAATCTGCCCTTATGGGGCTAACATTCTAGTGGGGAAAGACCGACAATAAATGGGTCATGTAAGTGTTATGGAGAAAAATAAATCAGGGTATGGGGTATGCCAGAGGGGCAACAGTAATTTTAAATTGGGTGGTCACAGAAAGCCTCCCTAAGAAGGTGGCCTTTGAGAAGTGAGGAAGTGTGAGTCCTGGAGATTTCTGGAGGAGCATTTCAGGCAGAAGGAAGGAGGTGCAAGGGCCCCAAGATTGGGAATGCTCTTGGTGAGTAAGGAAAGCAATCGTGGCCTCCTCCTTATGGATTCTCCTTTGAATGTTATGGAGTTTAGAACACAGAAGGCAAGTAGTTACAATTATTTTAACATTCTCACATTTAGCCAAGTGCTAAGGAAGCATCACACTTAAATTTTAATGAAGAGAAAACAGTATCTCATCACTGCCTCTGTAACTTTCTGTCTAAATCAGAAATGAGTTTAACAAGTGGAAGTTTCGGACTTTTCAGTTTTGAGTATTGGGAAGAGGTTCGTCAACAAGAACAATGGTCTTGATGACTTGGTTCTCCCCCATCTCACCTGAGCAGGTAGGAACAAGTGTGAGCTGGCGGACACATTCCAGCTCCACATCATGGATTCTTTCATTTCCCAATTCTTTCATTTCCCCATTCTTTCATTCATTGTTTCATTTCCCAATCGCTAAGTCACTCTATGGATTGCAAAGAAATAACCAGAATTCAGAAAAGGGGAATTTATAACTTTTTTGAGATCATCGGTTATTGAGGTATAATTTACATATCCCAAATGCAGCCAGTCCTGTATATAGTTGGCTGAGTGCTGACAAATGTATATACCCAGTGATGTGCTGATAAATAGTTAACTGGCCCTTTATGGAGAAAAGGAAGCCCTAATTTGTGACCTTTGCCAGTTTTTTGTGATGTAAATACTTCTATCCTTGTTGATGTTAAGTCATCAACCTGCTGTCACTTAATAGGGTGCTGGGAAAAGATGTATTTGGTTGTTAGAAGGCGATGAGGAGGAGCTGTTTCCAGCACACACCTTTGCACTTTATGGGATTACCATAATCAAAATGCAAAACATTCTCAGCATGGTTCTCCAGGCATCTCCCAGCCTGTTCCCACTCCACACCCAGGCTATCACTGATCTGTTTTCATTCACTATACAGTAGGTTTATCTGTCTTAGAATTTTATGTTAATGGAATCATATGGTATGCACGTTTTTGTGTTAACATATTTTGAAATGTATTCATGATTGATTGTTCCTCTTAATTGTTTTTCATTACTGGGTATCATTCTATTATATGCCGTATGATCTTTATTTTATCCTGTTATATTCTATTTTATACTTTATGAAAATAAGATATGGTACATGTAGTTTTTCATTCACCTATTGATGGACATTTGCATTGTTTCCAGTTTGGGGCTACTATTAAGAAAATTCTGTGAACGTTTATGAGTTTTGTCTAGAAATAATGTTTTAATTTCTTTTGGGTAAATACCTAGAAACAAAATGCCTAGATCGTGAGGAGAGTGTATGTTTCATAAATGGCCAAATGGTTTTCCAAAGACGTTGAACAATTTTATACTCCTATTAGCAATATATGAGAATTCTCATGCCCCACAATCTCATTAAAACTTGGTATTGCCTGTCTTGTTAATGTTAGCCATTCTAGTGTGTGTGCAGTGCTATTATGATTTTAATTTTCATTCAAGCATCCTTTCATGTGCGTATTGGCCATTTGTATATCTTCTTTTGTGAGATGTCCATTCAAGCTTTTGCCCCTTTGGTTAATTTGTTTGTAGAATGGAGGCAAATAACTTTTCAAAAAGGAGGTACAGAATTTGGAGGAATCTATAAATTGAAGAAGGCAGGAGGGAAAACCAAGCAGAGAAGAAGCCCAAGAGAACTGACAGGTTCCTCAAGGTGGCCACAGTGCTGGTGACCCCAGCTTCATAACTAGGTGACCAACTGTCCCTATTTCAGCACTGAAAAATCCTGTGTCCCAGGAAATTCCTTAGTCTTGGGTAAACTGTCTGTGGGGGTTGGCTGGTCACCTTGCATAACTATGTACAAGGAAGCTGCAAACTCTGTGCAAGGAGGCATTAGACTGTTGAGGGGTTTCGCTGCATGCTCAGGTGAAGCTGCCAGTGGTGAATGATTTCTGAAAGGCCACACAGCTCCTCATCAGGGGCAAAGCCAGTGTTAACACGTGGGTCTCAGCTGTCTGTTCAAAAGTCATCAGCTTGCTTGTGATATGAAAATTTAGGAACATTGGGAAGGTGTCCTCCTGCTGCTAGAAAAAAAAGTAAACCAAAAACTTCGGTGATTATTTTTTGAAATTACAGGCTCTGTGAACTCATTTATTTGGCTCAAGTTTTAATTTTCTGATCAAATGCAGTTTTCCCTGAAAGAACTGAAACATTGAATCTACCAGTCATTTATTAGTATAAAATAGTTTACAACGCCTTTCCTAAGAACACACTTTGGTTCTAGAAAGGATAGAGATAGGAAAATTCTGGGTGCAAGGGTGACGGGCTATCATTCAGGAAGAAAAAGCACAAAAACTTGACAGAATTAGGAACAAGAGATGACATTCATTGACTTAGAGTTGTGTGTAGAGTTGTGTTAGTGTGTGACTGTACAGAAGAGGAGCTTTAGAGGGCTAAGAGGGAAGAAATTATTCTCTCTTTCCTTTATGTAGCTAGCTTTAAGGAAAAGGTTGGGCTTTGCACTATTTGCTATCGATTTTATACTTCATATACTCCTATTGTTTCTGATTTATTTATAAGATATCCCCATGTTAGTTATATATTGTTCCTTGTTTCAGTCCTCGCTGCTATTGAATAACGTAACCACAATCAGCTTTTGTTTTACATTACCCCAGAGAAGCTAGATGGAATGCCTGCTTATAGATAATATCACTGCTGTTTTCATACACTGCCTTTCTTTTGAATAACTTCCAACATGTTGTGACATTTTTCTTCTTAATATTTATTAAATGCCCAACAGCATGTTGGTGCTTGTTGAAAGAATATAAAAGATAATTCTCTTCAGTAAGGGACATGCATATTAATAGATGAGAGACATAAACATGCTTTTACATATAAATACATATATATATATATATATATATATATATATATATATATATATAATCCTAGAAGGTGATAGATTATTTTGTTTGGTTGGGGCAGAGTAATTGAACTAAGGCACTTTACGCTTTAGCTGTTATCTTGCAAACAAAATGAAAGAAAATAAAGGGTAGAGATGTCTCAACCCACAACTTTCAGAACCTTGGAAGAGTTGGTACTGCAATTAAGGTAGAACTAAACCATTTTTGCTGAAATTAGCCTTAATGTGATAATTCTTTGATACTCATACTAGAGATTTTGAGCTGTATGTAGCTCTACTGTATGTGGTTTCAGTAATTTAAGGATTCTGATATTTATTTATTTATTTATTTATTTATGAGACACAGTCTTGCTCTGTCACCAGGCTGGAGTGCAGTGGCACGATCTCGGCCCACTGCAACCTCCGCCTCCCTGGTTTAAGCAATTCTCCTACCTCAGCCTCCCGAGTAGCTGGGACTACAGGCGTGTACCACATGCCCAGCTAATTTTTGTATTTTTAGTAGAGATGGGGTTTCACCATGTTGGCCAGGATGGTCTTGATCTCTTCACCTCATGATCCCCCTACCTCAGCCTCCCAAAGTGATGGGATTACAGGCGTGAGCCGCCGTGCACAGCTGGATTCTGATTTTTAGGCCATTCATTCAGCAGTCTTTAATGAGATTCTATTCTGTGTTGAGCCATGCACTAGGAGCTGGGAATAAAATGGTGAGCAAAACAGATGTTTTCCTGTCTCAATGGAACATATGGGCTGATGGGGACACAGGCATTAAACCAGTATTTGTACTAATTAAGGTATAACTAGAGGTGCATATTCTTATGATTCTATTAATATGAGATGGTATAATTAATGATGCTGACCTTGCCTGGGGAGTTTTGGAAGACTTCCTACTTGAGACACAAACTATGAGGAAGAGGAGTTCAGCTGGAGAGGGTCCACCCTCTCCCTCCAGCTGCAGTAGGGGAGGTGCCGCAGGTGGAGGGAGCAATGAGCTTGACACAGTCAAGGAATGGAAGGAAGGCCATCATAGCTAGTGTATTAGTCCATTTTCATGCTGCCGATAAAGACATACCCAAGACTGGACAATTTACAAAGGAAAGAGGTTTAATGGACTTACAGTTCCACGTAGCTGGGGAGGCCCCACAATCATGGAGGAGGGTGAAAGGCACGTCTCACATGACAGCAGACAAGAGAAGAGAATGAGGGCCAAGCGACAGGGGTTTCCCCTTATAAAACTGTCAGATCTCTTTTTTTTTTTTTTTTTTTAAGACAGAGTCTCACTCTGTTGCCCAGGCTGGAGTACAGTGGCACGATCTTGGCTCACTGCAACCTCCGCCTCCCAGATTCAAGTGATTCTTCTGCCTCAGCCTCCTGAGTAGCTGGGATTACAGGCATGTGCTACCACGCCCAGCTGATTTTTGTATTTTTAGTAGAGACGGGGTTTCACCATGTTGGGCAGGCTGGTCTTGAACTTCTAACCTCAAGTGATCCAGCTATTTCGGCCTCCCAAAGTGCTAGGGTTATAGGCATGAGCCACTGTGCCCAGCTGATCTCTTGAGACTTATTCACTACCATGAGAACAGTATGGGGGGAACCCACCCCATGATTCAGTTATCTCCCACTGGGTCCCTCCCACAACATGAGGGAATTATGGGAGCTACAATTCAAGATGAGATTTGGGTGGGGACGCAGCCAAACAATATCAGCCAGAGTACAGAAAGAATGCTGGTCAGTGTGATTTGAGGTGAGGCCAGAGAGAGGCTGGGCCAGACCACACAGGCCCCTAGGTCGGAGGAGGAGAATGGTCTATTCAGTGAGTTAGATGAAGCGTACGGAATAGTTCCCTGGCATGGTGTGAATAAAAGTTTAATACAATATTATTATTCTGATTTACTTTTAAAAACTATATTATGAAATAGTATTAATTGTTGACTGATACTATTTATTTTGAGGGCAAAGGGAATCCACTAAAGGATTTTAGGCAGGGGTAGGCCATAGAACACAGCCAGATTTGTATTTTGAAAGCCTCATTCCAGCTACTGTGTAGAAAACAGATATGAGAGGGGGTTGTTCTGTGACGATCTTCCTTATGGAAATTCTGTTTCTTTCCACGAGAACTACTGTATTTACCAAAGAGTGCTTTTGACAAAAGTTACAGGAGATGACAACTCTAAGCTTCTTGGGATTTTAAGGTTTTCTTGTAAAGGATTATGCAACCACTCCTGAATTCTACCCTTAGTCCTCTGGAATCTTAAAATGGGCCTGTAAAACCCTCCTTAAAACACTCCTGGAGGCTGGGGCTGGCATCTGTGCCCTCTTCCTCATTGTTCACTGCTGCTTCAGAGTCCAGGATCATTGAGATGAGAGGCTTCCCCGCCTGCATTCCCCGCTTGTTTTCAGAGTGCAGGATTTCATCTGTGTAGGTCAGAGCAGTTTCCACTTGAATAAAAAATGTGAGACTTAGACTTTGTTTCAAATCTTAATGATGAGACATTCAATTACTGTGTAAAGCCCTAGTGAGGACATGATTTCTAAATAGCACAGAAATTGAGTGGGATGGTGGTTGAGAACGTGATGAACAGAAGGGAAAGAGAAATAAACTTTTTATCTGGAAAAATTAACATGGGCCAAGACTTTTTTTTTTTTTTTTTTTTAAATTAGGAAAGCTGAACTTTTGACTTGTCCCAACTGGAAAACATCCTGATGATAGTTATTATTTTAGGGCAGAGCCGTGGATGTCCTGGAGAAATAGCTACTATAGTATTTGCCTAAAGCATGTGAGTGTCAAAGAATGGAATCTGGGCGCTGCAGTGGTCTTGGAAATTAACTAGCCCAAAGTCCAATTTTATAGAAAAGGAAAACAGAGACTTAGTGTATGTTATTTAGCTCTGGTGAGTGTCAGCTGGAATTAGAACCAAGCTCTTCTGTCTTCAATGCATAGTTCAATTTTCATTCTATGATCCACATTTTATAATTTGCTGAGAAAATATGGTTGGTTGAGGTTTTGCTAGTTTGCTTTCCCAAAGTGGACAGGGGCTTATTTTCAAAGCCATCCTAAACAGACCTAACTGAGGAAAGGTGTATGTAAATGAGAGGACTAGAATGTTAGAGAAACGGATAAGATAAAGTAGAACCAACTGTTTTTATACAGGAAGCTTAGCTGATAGGTAGGATGTATGTTTTTGTCTTGTTTTAGATATTGCGATTTTACTTTTAGTTTTGCAATAAATGCATAATCTATATATTTATACTGTCTACAGAAGTCACAAACAAACGAAGTCATGTTATCTTTGTGAATGATCAATTGCTTAAGACATATTTCAAATTAACTGTATAAATAATCTAACAAGGTCCTTCATTGTACATTTCTCAGAGCAAACAAAATGCAATGTGTTTTTATAACTAGATAGCTATTTGATTTTCCCCCCTCTTTCCCACATTTGGGTATAGATTGATATAGAATTACTTAAAATGCTGCATATAAATTAAACATTAAAAGGAGATTTGGAGAGGCTAAGCTGCCCCATTATAATCTTCAGTTCCGCAGTCACTGCCTCAAGGACACTCCATTTCATATCACATGTCTTTCTTTTGAAAAGTGATCACCAAGGTTCAGGTAACATTTAAGCACAGCCAGCAGCTGCATAATTTATGGACCTTTTTTGTTTTGTGTTCCTTTTTAAATGAAAAACAGGAAAACAGAAGACGGTTTTCACACATTAATGTCTTTTTTTTGTTCTTTCCTTCCCACCCTTCCTTTGCAGATAGGGGCCCTGAAGGACTACTACCACTTCTACCATAGCAGGACGATTAAAAGGTCAGTTATCTCGAGCAGAGGGACCCACAGTTTCATTTCAATGGAACCAAAGGTAAGAAGAACCAGTTGCGTGGGGACCAAGAGGCAAAGCTTCTGCATTTTTCATTGGTAATAACACACTAGGGGCTGAGGACCAGCATGAAGGCTCAGATTTCTAGAACTGTCATATTATCCTTTGGTCTAGTGTCTATGCTTCCTCTTTAGACAAAACTAGGCAGTGGCTTGATTTTTATTGATCTGCCACTATCATCCCAGTTGTAGAGTAGCCCAGGGGTATCCATAGCTATGGGTTCTCATGGAGAGGTGAGAGGGGAATAGGGAGTGGGGAAGACAGAGTTTGATTGAGAATGATTGAACTGTTAACAATACCATACTGTCTACCTATTTGCATACAGATCTGAGGTTGTATGAGCTCCACAAAAGGAGGGGTTTCTTCCAGAACCCTTAGGTCAGGGGTACAGATCACCGTGAATCCTCATGATTTTACTTGGCACTGATAGACCCACACCATTGGCAGCCTCAGGACTAGACTGTGTCTGGAACAGGTGGGATACTGAACACAGAAAGGGGAGAAGCTGACTCCTGCTCTTGGGGCCTCATCAGGTATCTTTCTTGTGCCAAGTCCTTTTGGGTTTTCCAGACGACGTACCCCTGGGAGAGCCTAGAAGCAAGCATGCTATGCCTAGGTTCTCCCGTTTTAGAGAAGTGGAGCAGCTTTGAAATGGGAGATGGGAAGCTGAGGGGTGTCAGGGACAAACTAATAGCCGACAACTAAGACTCTGAGGTCGAGTTCAGTATCTGCCCTTATTAATTAAGTTGGTGGAAGGAATGGAGTTTTGACTGAGAACTAATTGGCCTCTCTGATGTGTCAAGTAAAGGGGAAGAGGGCGCATCTGTACCAACTTGCCCTAGTTCCTCTGTGGGCTCCCTGTGTATTATTGATTGTAGGGTGTTCTTGCTTTTTTCCCCTCCTTACGATTTGGGTTTGCCTTAAGAACTCATTTTCAAAGAAATTGATAGATAAGCCCCTACCAGTGCGCATAGCAATCTCAGCTAGATATCCTCGAAAGTTATATTCCTTATAAAGCAAAAAGGCCCCTGTTTGAATTAATATGCAAATGAGGTTTGCAATATTGCGTCTTGCCCTCAGTTATGTGCTGTAGTTAGCCTTGTTTAATTTTTTTCTGGAATATGTTCATGATTATGAAATTGTAACTTGGCTAGCGAAAGCACATACTTTCTATGTCCCTATTTTCTGTGGGTTATAGGAATATCCCCTAATACATTTTCATGGTCTGTGGATTACACATTTTTTCCTTTGTCACTATTCAGAATTGAATTTTTCTGGAAAGGCAGTCCATTTGGGACATTCATGAATTAGCTGCATTTTCAAAGCAAAGTCATATTTTTCATCTCAAACTTTTTTGAAGCTTTTCTTGAACTTTGGTAATTAAAACGACGCTAATTTCAGACCTCATGTACAAAATCAATGTGAATTTGAAAAACCAAGTACTAGTGGTTTGGGAAGTAAGAACAGAATGTTATGAGGCATTATTTTCATGATGAAGGATTTACTGAACATGGAGCTATTTCGATCCTTCTTGTTATCTTGGGGCATCTTGGTGTTTATTTCTTCTTATCTCAGTGCATCACATGGCTTATGCGTGATCCGACAGAGACCTTGTATGCTAGGACACATAGTACCTGGAATGCACTCCTATTTCAGGAGAGTGGGGCCATTGCAGGCCAGCCCAAGGGTACATGCTGCACTCCCCTGCCTCCTCAATAAAAATAATCCCTCAGAGTAGAGCCACAACTTACTCTCCATTCCAATGCCGTCTGCTCATCGTTCCCACCTAGCATTTACACAGGACAGCCACGGTTCCTACCAGCTTTGCAGAGAGAGAGCCACAAATTGGGGTTTGCCCACACTTTCGGATCTTTCTTGTAGTTCATTTATTCTTTGGCCCTTTTTCGAGCCCCTAGCATATGCCAGGCCCTGTGTTAGCCTCCGGGATTTGGAGACACATTGGTGCCCTAAGGGAGCTTGCTGCTTTCAGGGAAGACCATCCAGGACATTGCAGTGCTTCTCAGTGTTGGGGGTTGGGGGAGCAAAGGACATTGGGGGTTCCTAAGTTTTTTTGTTTTTTTTTTTAAATTTTTTTTTTAAACAGAGTCTCACTCTTATTGCCCAGGCTGGAGTGCAATGGCGCGATCTCAGCTCACTACAACCTCCAACTCCCGGGTTCAAGCGATTCTCCTGCCTCAGCCTCCTGAGTACCTGGGATTACAGGTGCCTACCACTACCCCTGGCTAATTTTTGTATTATTAGTAGAGATGGGGTTTCACCATGCTGGCTAGCGACCTCAAGTGGTCTGCCTGACCTCAAGTGATCTGCCCGCCTCAGCCTCCCAAAGTGCTGGGATTACAGCTGTGAGCCACCATGGCTGGCCTTGTTTTTTTGTTTGTTTGTTTTAATTTTCAGAAACTTTTTATTTACAGAGAATTTGCAAACATGAAAATGTTACAAAGAATTTCTATATACTCTTCCTAGATTCCCCAAATGTTAATGTTTTACATTTTACCACACTTAGTTGATCATTCTTTCTGTCTACACACACATGTACACATTTTTTTATTTTTATTTTATTTTTGAGACAGAGTTTCGCTCTGTCACCCAGGCTGGAATGCAGTGGCACGATCTCGACTCACTGCAACCGCTGTCTCCCGTTTTCAAGCAACTGTCTTGTCTCAGCCTCCTGAGTAGCTGAGACTACAGGTGCATGCCACCACGCCCAGCTAATTTTTTGTATTTTTAGTAGAGACAAGGTTTCACTGTGTTAGCCAGGACGGTCTTGATCTCCTCTCCTCGTGATCCACCCTCCTCGGCCTCCCAGAGTGCTGGGATTACAGGCGTGAGCCACTGAGCCCGGCCGATATTCACATGTATACGTATGTAAGGTATGCATATATATACATTTTCTGAACATTTGGGATCAACTTACAGATATGATGCGCCTTCAATTCTAAATAATTCACTGTGTATTTATTTAAAATAAGGACATTCTTTTTTATAACCGTAAGTATAACAATAAAAATCTGGCTATTAATATTAACTTAATATTATCTAATCTACAGACTTTATCCAAATTTTTTGATTGCCTCTTTTCAGGGCCAGGAACACATTTAGTTGTCATGTTTCCCGAGTCCTCTTTACTCTGTCATATTTCTTCAGCTTTCTTTTTTTTTCTTTCATAAGCTAGAAATCATTTAACAAGTACAAGCCAGTTATTTTGTAGAATATTTCTCAAGTTGGGTTTGTCTGTTTCCTCATGATTAGATTCAGGTTTGGCAAGAACATTTTTGGCAAGAATATCAGAGAAGTGATGTGTTCTTCTCAGTACATCAGATTGAGAGGCACATGATACTGCTTTGTTTCATTACTGGTAGTGTTAACTTTGAACAAATGGTAAATATCGTATCTGCCAGTTTCTCTACTTTAAAATTACTACAAGCACACCTCAGAGATAGTGCAGTTTGGTTCTGGACCTCTTCAATAAAGCAAATATTGTAATAAAGCAAGTCACACTAATTGTTTTCCAACGCATATAAAAGTTATGTTCATACTATCCTGTAGTCTATTAAGTGTGTAATAGCATTACGTCTGAAAAATGTACATACCTTAATTAAAAAATACTTTATTGCTAAAATTTTCTAATGATCATCTGAGCCTTCAGTGAGCCATAATCTTTCTGCTAGTGGAGGGTTTTGCCTCAATGTTGGTGGCTGCTGACTGCTCAGGGTGGTGGTTGCTGAAGGTTGGGATGGCTGTGGCAATTTCTTAAAATCCAACAACAATGAAATTTGCCATATCAGTTGACTCTGTGTTTGCCAACACAGTTGTAGTCACAAAAGATTTCCCTGTAGCATGCAATGCTGTTTGATAGCATTTTACCTGCAGTAGAACTTCTTTCAAAATTGGAGTCAATCCTCTGAAACCCTGCCACTGCTTTATTAACTAAGTTTATGTCATGTTTTAAATTCTCTGTTGTCATTTCAACAATGTTCACAGCATCTTCACCAGTAGATCCCGCTTTCTTTGCTTAACCATAGGAAGCAATTCCTTACCTGTTCAGGTTTTATCATGAGATTGCAGCAATTCAGTCACATCTTCAGGCTCCACTTCTAATTCTAGTTCTCTTGGTGTTTCTATCACATATCACATCTGCAGTGACTTCCTCCACTGAAGTCTTGCATTCCTCAAAGTCATCCATGAGGGTTGGAATCAACTTCCATCAAACTCCTGTTAATATTGCTATTTTGACCTCCCCTTATGAATCAAGAACATTCTTAATAGCATCTAGAATGGTGAATGCTTTCCAGAAAGTTTTCAGTTTACTTTTCCAGATCCATTAGAGGAAACACTATCTATCAGAGCAGTAGCCTTACAAAATCTATTTCTTAAATACATTTGAAAGTAGACATTACTCCTTAATCCATGAACTGCAGAATGATGTCGTGTTAGCAGGCATGAGAACAGTAATCTCCTTGTAAATTTCCATCAGTGCTCTTGGGTGACTAGGTACATTGTCAGTGATCAGTAATAGTTTGAAAGGAACCTTTTTTTAGTGATAGGTCTCAACAGTTGGCTTAAAATATTCAGTAAACTATGCTGTAAACAGATGTGCTGTCATCCAGGCTTTGTTGTTCCACTTATGGAGCACAGGCAGACTAGATTTAGCATAATTCTTTTTTTTTTTTTTTTTTTAAAGAGTCTCGCTCTGTCACCCAGGCTAGAGTGCAATGGCACGATTTCAGCTCACTGCAACCTCCGCTTCCCGGGTTCAAGTGATTCTCCTGCCTCAGTCTCCTGAGTAGCTGGGATTACAGGCATCTGCCACTATGCCTGGCTAATTTTTGTATTTTTAGTAGAGACAGGGTTTCACCATGTTAGTCAGGCTGGTCTTGAACTCCTGACCTCAGGTGATCCTCCTGCCTTGGCCTCCCAAAGTGCTGGGATTACAGCTGTGAGCCACCACTCTCAGCCCTCCATTTAGCATCATTCTTAAGGGCCCTAGGATTTTTTAGAATGGTAAATGAGCGTTGGCTTCAACTTGAAGTCACCAGCTCCGTTAGCCCCTAACACGAGAGGTATCCTATCCTTTGAAGCTTTGAAGCCAGGCACCTGCTTCTTTCTAGTGTGAAAGTCATAGGTGGCATCTTCTTTCAACAGAAGGCTGTTTTATTTCATCTACATTGAACATCTGTTGTTTAGTGTAGCTGTCTTCATCATTGATCTTAGCTGGATCTTCTGTATCACTTGCTGCAGCTTCTCATCAGCACTTGCTGCTTCACCTTGCACTTTTATGTTACAGAGACAGCTTCTTTCCTTAAACCTCATGAACCAACCCCTGCTAGCTTCATACTTTTCTTCTGCAGCTTCCTTACGTCTCTCAGCCTTCTTAGAATTGGAGAGTTAGGGCATTGCTCTGGATTAGGCTTTGGCTGAAGGAAATGTTGTGGCTTGTTTGGTCTTCTATCCAGACCACAAAAACTTTCTCCCTATCAGCAATAAGGCTGTTTCTCTTTCTTATCATCTGTGCGTTCATGAGAGTAGCACTATTTAATTTCTTTTAAGAACTTTTCCTTTGCAGTCACAGCTTGGCTGTTTGGCTCAAGAGGCCTGGGTTTCTGCCTATGCTGGCTTTCGACATGTCTTTCTTACCAAGTGTAATCATTTCTAGCTTTTGATTTAAGTGAGACCGGAGTGACTCTTCCTTTCATTTGAACACTTAGAGGCCATTGTAGGGTTATTAATTGGCCCAATTTCAATATAGTTGTATCTTAGGAAATAAGGAGGCCTGGGGAGAGGGAGAGAGATGGTGAACAGCCAGTCAGTCTAGAGCAGTCAGAACAAACGCAACATTTATTGATTAAGTTCACTGTCATATGGGTGAGGTTTGTGGCACCCTAAAACAATTACAATAGCAACATCAAAGATCATTGATCACAGATCACCACAACAGATATAATAACATTGAAAAAGTTTGAAATATTGCAATAATTACCAAAATGTGACCCAGACACACGAAGTGAGCACACGCTGTTGGAAAAATGGCACTGACAGGCTTGCTCGATACAGGATTGCCACAAATCTTCAATTTGTAAAAAGCGCAATATCTGCAAAGTGCAATAAAGAGAAGTGCAATAAAACAAGGTATGCCCGTATTTTCCCTTCTCCAATTAATAAGTGTTTTGTGGGAAAATACTTAGAGACTGCAAATTTCTACAAGCTCATTTTTTATTTTTTACTCCCAGCTGACTTCATTGGGCATATAAGGCAAGTGTTGGTGTGACAAGGTTTCTTGGGCAGGTCTCTTTCCTTTATCTTGGATGTGGATAGGGTGGGTGATTTGTGTGCCAGAGTGGGGGTACATTTGTGGGTTTGGACCATGTGAAATGGCTTCGTGGAAAATTGATGATGCAACCTTAAAGTTATTTTTGATCATCACCTTCTCAAGAAAGGAAAAACACGTGAGTGAATTGTAGGGGATACACACACTAAACAGATCCTGGCTTTTACTTACTATAGTAAATTGCACACTCCCTTTTCCCCCTCCTTTTATTCTTTACTTACAAGGCTCCAAAGAAGGAAATGCAAAAGTAGCCACATTGTAAGAGCAACCCTCTTGGTGCTAAGAAAATGATGTGGTCAGTTTGGGCACATGAGCCCAGAGAACAAGAATAGCCTTGAGTCACACATATAATGTGTGTTAACATTATGTTATGATTAACTTTTTAAATAACAGAGATTCACAGACTTCTAACATAGAAGCACTAGGGCAATAATAACACAGTTTTGCAGAAAGTGCTGTTATATTTTATAGCAGTCTGCCCAATAAGGCTTTCATCCTTCTTGTCCACATCTTTCTTTTTGACTTGACAACATTTCTCTGAGAGATCTAAGCTAAATTTTAGAAACAATAGTCTGAGTTCACGTTTTCAAAGCCTCTTACTAGTCTGTTTATAAATTTTGGTGAGCCACAAACATTTGGGTCAAGGACAGTGTTATCTGTAGGAGAATATTGGATGGAAGCTCTTTAGTTGCTCATGGAGTTGGAAGGGTGTGAGGGGGAGTGCGGAGAAGATCATTTTCTTTCATTTTCCTTCCCCTTATCCAAAAACAGAAAAACTAAAATCCTAACTTTTCTAGTAGGGTAGGGCATATTTGACTTTTAAAAATAAAAACCATAAACTGCCATTAAGTTAGACACCCATGCGCTATGCATATGTGGTTAATTACATAAGCATAGCTTCCCCTTTTTCCCATTAGATTTTATCTTGAAGGTTCTAGCCTATCAATCTTTTATCTTTTCCATTCCTTTTTCTATCCTCAAATCTATTATGGGCCAGTTTTTATCCAAGACTAAGACAGTGTCACTCCCTCCGATGAGTAAGCAATGGGCATCTCCCATCTTGTCGCTCCCTACGTTCACCTCAGCCAGCCTGCCTCATCACGTGGATGTGTGTGGCTGCGTTTCTCACTTGGAAAAGCTATTCATATAACATTACTTATTGTGGAATCACAGACTCCTTAGAATTAGAGTTGATTTAGTCTTATCACTTTACTATCCAATGCTGCCATACCATCCATTGTACTTCTAAAAGGAATTTTTTCAGATCTGTTTGAACATTTCCAATCAAAGAGGCTTCACCATCAGACAGGGCAAACATTTCTATATTTTAAGAGATTTAACGTGTTGGTTATAATCTGCTTGCCTGTAACGTCTACCCATCGAGTCTACTTTTGCCTTCCAGAATTCTATACACTCTTAAATCCATTTCTCTATAATAGTTCTTTAAATATTTGAAGCCTTTTGTTTATTCTCTTGGAAAAGCAATTGTCTCCTTATAAGTGTGGCCCAGCATCAAGTTCAAGTCTTTAGCTTCCCATTTGTTACATTTATCCATAAGCCATTTCCTCTGAAGAGAATTTAAAGCAGAGCATTCAAGCATTGTGCAATGAGGAAAGGGCATAGGAAAAGGACAGGAAGGGAGAAATGAAGTGATTGGATGTAGCTGGCAGGATCAGATGAACTCAGACCTGTGAAAGAAGAAAAGCAAGTTCAAGTTTCCTACTCATTCAGGCTGGTGCCTGTTGTGCTCAGGATTAGATTTTCAGGTGCCTGGGGTTTCTCTTTTTGCCTCAAGAGTAAAATAGGTGTAATGGAGTAACTGGAGTACAGGAGCACTTCCCTGTACATAATGGAGAGGTTGTGCGCATCTACTCCTTATCAGTCAAATTCCATTTCCCCATGGATTCACTTTATAATTTCAGAAGTATTTTTTCTTTACTACTACTAATTGATCTGTAATTGATCCATGGAGGCAACCATCACATTTGCTATCCTGAACTTGGAGACAAAACCATTTACAAGCTTTTTACATATAGCCGATCTACTAGGTGAACTTTGGAGTTAAAGAACCTTATTTAGTTAAAAATAAGTATTCAGAAGTGTCTGAGGTCAGTCTTAACATGGCTTACATTTCTGCCATGCCTCTTCATTAATTGTGGCCATGCTTTTTCACAAATAATATTTCATGGGGTCTAGCGTAGCTTCAAAGTGAGTTTCACCTGGAGTTCAAGTGCTTCCTGTGTAGGCCACTGCTGCATTGCCTCTCTCCCAGCCTGCCCTCCTTCCAGCGGGCGCTCCTGGGTGTTTTCTTTGGCAGGTTAACGTGCTGCTCTTCAGTTTTAAATGCGATAATGACTTAATGTTTGGGCTTTCTTTTGTGCAGTGCAGTTTTATAAGTGTAATATAACAATCCAGGGTTTGTGCTCATCCAGCTGTGTGGGCTGATCCAGGGTGTGTTGAGATCTGTGGCTTTGGCCTTGTGTTTCTGCACAATGAGGGTGGCTGTGTTTTCTTCGGGTACGTACCTGAGGCTTTGTGTGGTTGCTTAGGAATGGTGATTTCACGTTTGCCTCTCATCATCTTACTGGTAAGTAAAAATGGTTACCAAATATCCTGAGAATGCACTGTATTCTTCTGGAAACAGCATGGGCTTGGATCCAATGACAAGCAGAGAGGCTGCAGATGTGCTGATCAGGAGGGACTTAGGACAGCTCTCTCGTTTCTGGCTACCTTTTTTGCCATGTTTTCACCAGCTATGAATGCGATCATTATAGCAAATCCCTGTCTTTAACATTTGATAGCATTTCTGAGTCTTTGCAAATCCCACTAGAATGCATACACTCTTGGGAGAAGCCTTTCAGCCTTAGATTAGCCCTTGGATCCATTTATGGTGACACGATGATTAGGAGTGTGGAAGAGACCTGAAGAGGCATGTGGGTGCCGGGTCCACTGTGTTCTCCACCTCCCTGTCCTATCGGTTTTGTTTCCAGGTCTCCTAGGTGTCTGGATGGTCAGAAACCAGAGGGTCAGATTGTACGCTGCTGGAATATCTGATGGGAAAGTTTTGATCAAAGACCCAATCTCTTATAGGCAGAAGTAAATTATTTAAAAAATGATTTCTCAGCTACTTTGGCAAGGCTGCCAAATCTTTATTAGAGAGTGCTTGGCAGTACTTCACTTCAAAAGGTCATAAACTCACGTGCCTTGAGTGGTAGTGCAGGTAACATGAGTGAGTGAGAAGGGCCAGGCAGGAGCTCACCGGGCATGCGCCAAAGCGTAGCGCACTCGTTGCCTGCCCGGAGCAGCTGCTACCAACTGAGGCCGGCTGTCCTCAGGCTGCGGAGCTGGCTCGGTGTTGCCAATTTAAAAGGACATGCAAGTCTCGACTTTTACATATCATTTTCCAATTTTAAATATTGGCAACTAGTTCAAAAGTTTAAAAATATTTATGTGGATCAAAGGAAACACATCTTTGGGGCATCCCAGTTTATGACCCCTTGGGTTGGCTGTGTTGGGAGAAAGGGAGAAAGGCGTAAATGACAGATCTCATCACTTTGATGATTTCTCTTTGGTCTGATGCTCACATGGCCACACAATATTAGTTCTGTCAGTTATGTACCACGGTGGGGGCTCAAACATTATTTCTCTCTGTGCCTTTTTAGTTTCCAGATTGAAATATGAGTATCAGGCAAAACATAACAGGCTCAGGTCTTGCAAGTTGTGGAGCGAAGGCTGCCAGTGCACGGTGGCAGAAGGTGGAGGGCTTATTCTTGTTCTCTTCTGCTTTATCCGGTTTTTCACTGACACCTATGACTGCCCTGGGAGACAGGCTTAACAGACTTGTTCGAGGAAGCACCATAAGTTGAAGCAAAGAACAAATGGGAAATAAAAGTGACGGCCATAAAAATAGGAAAAGAGTATGATGAGGGGAGGCAGGTTATGGATTTTGCATAATCTCTTTAGCCACTTGAAGGAAAGATACTAACTATAAAATCTTTACTTTTTCTAGTTGTTGTGGTATTTCTTTTCTTCTTCTTCTTTTTTTTTTTTTTTTTGAGATGGAGTCTTGCTCTGTCACCCACGCTGGAGAGCAGTGGCGCGATCTTGGCTCACTGCAGCCTCTGCCTTCCGGGTTCCAGCTATTCTCCTGCTTCAGCCTCCTGGGTAGCTGGGATTACAGGCGCTCGCCACCACACCTGGCTAATTTTTGTATTTTTAGTAGAGACGGGGTTTCGCCATGTTGGCCAGGCTGGTCTCGAACTCCTGACCTCAGGTGATCCACCCGCCTCTGCCTCCCAAAGTGCTGGGATTACAAGCATGAGCCACCATGCCCGGCCTATGTGATATTTCTAAGATGTCAGATTCTAAAAAGGTAGCTGTTGAAACTAGAAAATGTAATGATAGCATTCTAAATTTCTAGATAGGTATTAAGAAGGGAATTTTGAACCTATAGTTTCTGTTGAAATCTTGGACAAATTAAGATAAAATAAGCAAATCTAGGGAATAAGTGCAAACAGCAAACAAACAAACAAAAACCCAGCAACAACAAAAAACTCAAAGCCAGTTTAATTGTCTGGCTTTGAAGAGAAATTGTACTAATTCATGTCTTTATTTTAATGAATGCAAGAGTAAATAAGAAATCTAATTGAAACACCACCATTGAAAGGACGTTATTTGTTAATTAAATGCTTGCAAATCTTATTTGTATACTGAGTTCTTCCAATTATCAATCAGTTCTTACAATACAAAAGGAGGCAATAAGACGCAGTGGAAAGAACCTTTGTATTGTAGTTCCTACTGTCATTCCTGTAGGGTGAGCTCTACCCATCAATCTTCCCTCACTTGAAGACTTACCATTTTTCATGCATATACTTAGAGAAGTACACAGTGTAATGCAATATAATGAACTGCGCATGTAAGAAAAGATCAAAAGTGTAGGTTAAATCCTTATAACAAAATAGTAAGTTGCCATTAAAATAATGTCATAAATTTATACATTCAGGTAAGAAATGATCCCCAAAATAATATGTAGGCCGAGTGTGGTGGCTCATGCCTATAATCCCAGCACTTTGGGAAGCTGAGGCAAGGGAGGATTGCTTAAGTCCAGGAGTTCGAGACCAGCCTAGGCAACATAGTGAGACCCCGTCTCAACAAAAAATAAAAAAATCAGCTGGGTGTAGTGGCATGGGCCTTTAGTCCCAGGTACTCGGGAGGCTGAAATGGGAAGACCACTTGAGCCAGGGAGGTTGAGGCTGCAGTGAGCCGAGATTACACCACTGCACTCCAGCCTGAGTGACAGAGTGAGACTCTATCTCAAAAAAGAAAGAAAGAAAAAAAATATATATATATATACACATATACATATATATATAAATAAAGTTTTAAAAAGCAGTATATGAAGAGAGTAGAAGATGAAGATGTGTTCCCGTTTATGTTTTACATTTAAACAAAAAAGACCTGTGTGTATGTGGCTATTGTTTTATGCAGGATAGATTTGGAAGGATGCACATATGCATAAAAATAACTCTTAACCTTTCCACAGTGCCTGATTTTTAAAAACGATAGTAAAATTGCTTTTGTTGAAATATCAAAGCAACAATGCTTTGATATTTCAAAGCTAATGGATATATTTCTGTTCTCATCTGACTCCACCTTTCACTTGACATCATGGTTGATAATTTGCTCCTTCTTGAAAAAGTTGACTTGTTTCTTGAGAGCACTTTCCCAGAGTTTTCTTTCTGTCTTTCCCCCTGCACCTTCTGTCTTTGTTGAGGGCACATTTTCTCCCACATGTGTAAAGTTTGGAGAGCCCAGGGCTCAGTCAGCTCTGTTCTTTTCCTAGGGGATTTCATTAATTCCCATTGCTTTAAATCACCATTATGCTGGTGTTCTTGCCTCAAATTTCTATCACCGTTTACCTTCCGGACATCCCCAACTAGATGTTTAATAAGCACCTAAAATGTAATAATAAAAATAACATGTCCAGGCGCGGTGGCTCACGCCTGTAATCCCAGCACATTGGGAGGCCTAGGCAGGCGGATCACCTGAGGTCGGGAGTTCAAGACCAGCCTGACCAACATGGAGAAACACCATCTCTACTAAAAATACAAAATTAGCCGGGTGTAGTGGTGCATGCCTGTAATCCCAACTACTCGGGAGGCTGAGGCAGGAGAATTGCTTGAACTCGGGAGGTGGAGGTTGTGGTGAGCCGAGATCACACCACTGCACTCCAGCCCGGGCAACAAGAGCGAAATTCCATCTCAAAAAATATAAATAAATAAATAAAATAAAACATATAAAAATATAAGAATAACATATAAGATATATGTCATACATATATAATATAACATATAAAATATAATAATAAAAATAACATACGTGGAACTTTTACATTTCTACCTATTACCATGGTCCCCAAGCCTTTTCTTTCCCAGGGAATGGCACCATGATTTATCCATTTTTGCTGAAGCCAAAAATGGAACAGAATCATTCTTGATTCTCTCCCTTTCCCTCGTTTCTCCTCACTGAGTCATCAAGAGATATTGTTGGCCCCACCACTAACATTTATCTTGCAGCTATGAATCTGTGGACTTTCTCCCCCTGCACTGCCACCATCCTGGTTAATTCCACCATCAGTGTTGACCTGGTTAATCCCACCATCAGTGTTGACCTGTTTCACAGCAATTGCCTCTACTTCCACTGCTGTTCTTCTACAGTCATTCTCCACAGAGAGTAAACTTCCAGAGTTCAAAAGAGATTTTTTTTTAATGACTTTATTGATCCTGAAATAAAGTCTAATTTTTTTTAAGTTATCTTCAAGGGCCATTATGATCTAGCCTCTTTCTACCTCTCTGAACTAGTCTTTGACACACCTCCTTTTTGCTCATCACACTTGGCCATATCTCTGTCTCGCTTTCTGTCTCAAGCCCTTTCCCTTGTTTCCCCTGCCTGGAATATGCTTCCTTTGGTCTTTGTATGATGGATGCCTTCTCAGCCTTCATATCACTTCCTTTGAAAGACCTCCCTCAATATCCTTGCTAAGGTAGATCTTTAATCTCACCTGCCCAATTCCTGTCTGCCTTCAGCATGTTAATTTCCTCTTTGATATCTATGTGAATCCAAAACCATATTGTTGATTTGGTGACTGTTGGTTTTCTCATTCTAGGATACAAATTCAATGGAGGCCATGCATCTCATTAACTGTGGTATTCCCATGGCCTGGAACAATATCCAGCACATAGAAAACCTTCAATAGAAGAATACATGAATGAATAAATGACATTTGAAATTAATTTTGGAAGATAAGTGATAGAGGCAATAATAAAGTTTGGAGCTGTAATTTTTTTCTTTATTCTTCTAGTACTGACATCATTTTATGGTGATGTACACGGTACTGTCTCATTTTAAGTATAGACATTAGAGCAACTGGTTGGAGAGAAGACACTGTTATAAAATGAAAGCAACATCAATTGCATTTAGGATATTTGGATTCTGGTCTCAGCTTTACTACTAGCTCAGAGTGGCTATTAGCATGCCACTCCTCTGTGGGCTTATTTCACTTGTAAAATCACGGAGCAGATGAGCTATTTTCTAATGTTCATTCTGATCCATTAATTACCATCTTGAATCAGTGTCACTTGTGATTTTACTATTAGTCCATGTTGCCATCATATTGCTTTTTTCATATTCTCTGTTTTAGTTTCTTTCCAAACTTTCTCCTTCTGCCTTTTTCCTCAATATTTACAATATTTCTTTTTTTGAGACAGAGTCTCACTCTGTCACCCAGACTGGAGTGCAGTGGCGCAATCTCCGCTCACTTCAACCTCTGCCTCTCGGGTTCAAGTGATTCTCCTGCCTCAGCGTCCCAAGTAGCTGGGATTACAGGTGCCCACCACCATGCCAGCTAATTTTTTTGTATTTTTGGTAGAGGCTGGGTTTCACTATGTTGGCCAGGCTGGTCTTGAACTCCTGACCTCGTGATCCACCCACCTCGGCCTCCCAAAGTGCTAGGATTACAGGCATAAGCCACCGCGCCCAGCCAATATTTAAAATATTTCTTAGCACTTTGAGCTCTTCCCCAGATACTGTTTTGCCTTAAAAGGCTAATTTTGCAGATGGACTTGAGATTAACTTGGTTAGTCTTGAGACAGACTTAATACAGATGTTATCTATTCAGCTATGCATATAATAAATGAGGAACAAGTAACGTTGCTTCTTTGTTCCTGCAGTACGTGTTTCTTGCAATATAAGAGAATGATGATGAGAATAATAATAATTGTTATTGCTGGCATTCAGGAAGTTCCAGGAGAAGGTAGTTCCAAATAGCAAAACATTGTACTTAACAGAGGTTCTTCTAAGGAGTTAAAAACTTTATGTGGCTTTTGAAGAAATAGAATACCTTCTAAGACGACAACAACAGTAGAACAAATTTTACAAAGCCATGAAAATTAGAATTAGAAATATATTAGGTGGCCAGTGGTGGTAGAGTCAGGATAGAAAATAGAAGAAACCAAAAATAAAGTCAGATAGAACAAGGGTGGATGCAGTTAATGAAAATTTTTGGTGGTTATGTAGATTACTTTTTAATCCTTTCGCAAAGCTAAGTAAGCATATGAGTTGGCAAGCCTAGGCTGCCATTCCAAGAAAAATTAAAAAAAAAAAGAACCAACAAAAGTGCAAAAGACTAACAGAGTAAATAGGTAAGAAACAGGACTGTGTCCTTAGGCCAGATTTGCTAGGCCCCAACTCAAAGGCAGGTTTTGCTTTAAATGGAATGTTCTAATAATGTCCCTTAGGCTGTGGACATACTTTTCAGACTTACTCCTGGCAGTCATGGGATTCCCTTCTTCAACTCACTTTTGTGCAGAGAAAAAAGAAGATAGAAACTTTGGGAAAAATGAAGTTGTACCTTACATGGGGAAAACTGAAGTCTCCCAGGAATGAGGTAGCATGAGAGAGATACCCAGAGTTCTACTAACCATTCACACATTTGCTTTCTCCATGGATATTTTAGAGACAGGGCCTCATTCTGTCACCCAGGCTGAAGTGCAGTGGTACAATCACAGTTCACTCTGGCCTCAAACTCCTGGGCTCAAGTGATCTTCCCACCTCAGCCTCTTGAGGAGCTGGGACCACAGGCACGTACTACCATGCCCACTTAATTTTTTTTTTAAATTTTTTGTACAGACAGGGTCTCACTAGGTTGGCTAGGCTGGTCTCAAACTCTGGTCCTGAAGCAATCCTCCTGCCTCAGACTCCCAAAGTGTTGGAATTATAGGCATGAGCCATCATGCCTGGCTTCCCCACAGATAAATATATATATTTTTATTATACTTTAAGTTCTAGGGTACATGTGTACAACATGCAGGTTTGTTACATATGTATACATGTGCCATGTTGGTTGTTGCTCCCATCAACTCGTCATTTACATTAGGTATTTCCCCTAATGCTATCCCTCCCCTCGCCCCCCCACCCCCCGAAAGGCCCCATTGTGTGATGTTCCCCGCTCTGTGTCCATGTGTTCTCATTGTTCACCTCCCACCTATGAGTGAGAATGTGCGGTTTGGTTTTCTGTCCTTGTGATAGTTTGCTTAGAATGATGGTTTCCAGCTTCATCCATGTCCCTACAAAGGACATGAACTCATGTCCTTTTTTATGGCTGCATAGTATTCCATGGTGTATATGTGCCACATTTTCTTAATCCAGTCTATCATCGATGGACATTTGGGTTGGTTCCAAGTCTTTGCTATTGTGAATAGTGCCACAATAAATATACGTGTGCAGGTGTCTTTATAGTAGCATGATTTGTAGTCCTTTGGGTATATACCCAGTAATGGGATCACTGGGTCAAATGGTATTTCTAGTTCTAGATCCTTGAGGAATTGCCACACTGTCTTCTACAATGGTTGAACTAATTTCCACTCCCACCAACAGTGTAAAAGCATTCCTATTTCTCCACATCCTATCCAGCATCTGTTGTTTCCTGACTTTTTAATGATCACCATTCTAACTCACCACAGATGTTTTTGAGAGCTTATTGTGTACAAGGCACTGAGCTAGACATCAGATATAAGACTAGAAAAACAAACCTAGTCACTGCCCTCATAGCACTTACTATCTTATCAAATCTAAAATCCAGGCCCGAAGTAAATAAAAACAAAACCAAAAAACTACTTTTGAAGATACTAATGAATATATTTTAAGAAAACTTATCACTAACACATCTGAAGTTTATATTTGTATCTAGGATGCTAGATAAAATAACAAATTTTTAATATGAGTATGTCTCAGATATGTCAAGGGACATACCTATATTGAAGTGTTTATTTGTTGCTTATCTGAAATTTAACTCAGCATCCTTTGTTATTATTTGGTAACCCTAATTTATACCTAAACAATTTTAAGACTAGGGTTAAGAATACCAGTACTGTGACATTGGTGTAAGTACTGAGGCATAACTTTTTTTTTCAAATGGGGTTGGAGCATTTGAAAGGATTTAAGGTGTAAGGACTGACCAAAATCCCAGTATCCCATGACATCAGTAAGTCAGGGGATTTCCTATTTTTCCATGTCATGAAGTTTTCCTTGAAATCATCATCATAAAGGAACATGGATTGTGTAACCATTGTTTATTTTGCCAATATTTATGTTGGGACAGTTGTTTATTTATTTATTAAATTTATTATTATTTATTTATTTTTTGAGACGGAGTCTCACTCTTGCCAGGCTGGAGTGCAGTGGCACAATCTCAGCTCACTGCAACCTCTGCCTCCTGGGTTCAAGCAATTCCCCTGCCCCAGCCTCCCAAGTAGCTGGGACTATAGGCGCGCACCACCACCCCCAGCTAACTTTTTTATTTTTAGTAGAGATAGGGTTTCAACATGTTGGCCAGAATGGTCTCGATATCTTGACTGTGATCCGCCCACCTCAGCCTCCCAAAATGTTGGGATTACAGGCATGAGCCACCGCGCCTGGCCTAACTTTTAATTTTTGTGGGTGCATAATAGGTGTCTATATTTATGGGGTACACAAGATGTTTGATACAGGCATGCAGTGCATAATAATCACATCATGGAGAATGGGGTATCCATCTATGTTGGGACATTAAGATTGGTTTTCCCGTTTATAACAGTATCTGTAAGCCAACAAGTAAAGTCTCTCCACACCATAGTGGTTATTTCTTTGTAGTTTAGTAGAAAGACAAACTCATTCTGCACCTTTTAAGATACTTTACAAACTGTCCTTCTCTATACCGGACCCTTAAACCTTTATAGTGGGACACACTTGTGTGTGTGTGTGGGGGGGGCGGGGAGGGGGGAACTGCTACAGCTAACCTCAGAGCTGCCACAACAAGGGCCTTTTATTTATTTGTTTTTTTTTTTTGAAAGCAACTGAATTTACTTTTTATATAAATCTTGTGTAACAAGAGATATTAAATTTGGATCAAAATTTTAGACAGGAATATATCAGGCAACAGAGAAACCAAAAAGACATATTAACCAGATAACTATTGAACCTCACATTTTTTCAAGGCTTATGTTAAAATTCAAGTTTTATAATCCTTAATTTGTTTTGGATGCTATTTGAAAGGCCTAAATTATTTGTTTTTAAAACGAAAACACCATCAGACTAACAGCTGATCTCTCGGCAGAAACTCTACAAGCCAGAAGAGAGTGGGGACCAATATTCAACATTCTTAAAGAAAAGAATTTTCAACCAAGAATTTCATATCCAGCCAAACTAAGCTTCATAAGTGAAGGAGAAATAAAATACTTTACAGACAAGCAAATGCTGGGAGATTTTGTCACCACCAGGCCTGCCCTAAATGAGCTCCTGAAGGAAGCACTAAACATGGAAAGGAACAACAGGTACCAGCCACTGCAAAAACATGACAAATTGTAAAGACCATCAAGGCTAGGAAGAAACTGCATCAACTAACGAGCAAAATCACCAGCTAACATCATAATGACAGGATCAAATTCACACATAACAATATTAACTTTAAATGTAAATGTGCTAAATGCTCCAATTAAAAGACACAAACAAGGGCCTTTTAAATGAATGCATCTATTTAGTTGCTTTCTGATCAGCTGTTGTCTTTCAGATTGTATGATTATAGGCAAAGCAACCATTGAAAGATTTGTAGATTTGGGAAATTTTGTAAGTAGTGTAGTTGTAGCACTGTTCCTTCACAGGAGAAAGTTTCCACCCGGTAGGCAGAAGTCTTAACCAGTAGTTAGTATTAACTGATGGAAACAGGGTCAAGAGTCCAAACTGGCACTGAATCTGAGATTGCTGAATTACCCTGAGAGGGCAAAGGCTTCATATGTAGACCTAAATGAAGATAACAGAATGAGTCACCAGTATAGACAATGCTGGTCTTTTCCAGTTTCGTGACTGCACAGCTTAGACTTTGGGGGACATTTGGTTTACATCACTGGGAATAAAACTTAGAGACAGACAGTTTTCCCCAGTGGACCAGCATCAGCCCCTGCACTGTGAGTTAATACAGGGGCAGGGAATTATGAAGGCATTCTGAAACAGTCGGTTTTCTCTTATAATCAGTGGATAAATAGTTCAGCCTCATGTGTCCAATTCAAGTGTGTAGTTGAGCAAACTGTGTAAAGAAACATGAACAGTTCTGCAGTTGTGGTATGATTTACAAACTTTGAATCTGAATAATATGTTAGATGCTTCAAAAGGATAGACATAGAAAAATGATACCCTGTAGCTTTTCAACAGTTTATGGCATATTAACTCTTACATCCTTTAAAATCCTTTGCTTTATGTATTAATACATACAATCAGACCTCCTTATCCACAGATTCCCACAGATTCAACCAACTGTATATGGAAAATACTTGGGAAAAAACAGTAAAAATAATACAATAAAATAATAATAAAATAAATAACAATAAAATTAAAAACAAAAATACAGTGTAACAACTATTTACAGGGCATTTACATTGTATTAGGTATTATAAGTAATCTAGAGATGGCTAAAAGTATATAAGCTACATACAAATACTCCTCCATCGCAGTTGTGGATTTTAGTATTCTCACAAATACCAAGGGATGACTGTATTTTAATTCTTTAGAACTGATGTCCCCACCAACATTTCATTATAACAAATTTCAACCATACAGCCAAATTTTGAAAGAATTTAAAGTGAACATCACTATACTTAACCACCTAGATGCTACCATTAGCATTCTACACACTTCTTTTATCACATCTATGCACCTATCCGTCTTTATCCATTCATTAATCCAGCTAATTTTTTGATGCATTTCAAAGTAAAATGCAGACATCCATCCACTTCCCCCTAAATACTTCAGCATGCATGTCATTAACTATAATTCAATATTTGTTTATGCTTTTTCTTCTTTTAATGTAAAATTTACATACAGTGAAATTATAAGTCTTAAGCATAAGGTCTTTGAGTTTGGACAAAAGTCTATATCCCTGTCAAGATACAGACTGTCAACTCATCGCACAAATTTCCCTTAAGCACCTTTCTACTCCATTGTCTCCATACTGAAGCCATCCTTGTTTGCTTTTTGTTTCCACTATAAATTAGTTTTGAATGGCATACTTTTTGAAAATTTAAATCAGGTTTAATTTATATATGGTAACATTTATCCTGTTTATTGGACAGTTCTGTTGAATTTTGACAAATGTATATAGTTGTGTAACTACTACCACAGTCAAGACAAAGAACAGTCCCTGCTACCTCCCACCAAAAATTCTCATGGGTCCCTTTATATTCAGCTTCTTTCCTTGCCCCTAGCTTCCTGCCACCATTGATCTGCTTTCCGGACCTGTAGTTTTACATTTTCTAGAATGGCATAAAAAAATGGAATAATTCGGTATGTAGTCTTTTGAGTCTGCATTTTTGCACTTAGCATAATGCCTTTGAGATTTCATCCACGAGGCAGTGTGTGTCAAAACTCGTTCATTTCTGTTGCTTAGTATTCTATTACATGGATGTATCATGGCTTGTTGATCCATTCACCAGTTGAAGAACAGTGGGGATTTGCACTATCCACCTTTTGGTGTTTATTTGTAACTTTAATCTATTACCATATATAAGATAAATGCACAGTCAGGAGTTTCCAGGGGTATGAACTCTGTGATTTGGAGAAAATTGTTCAGTTATTTCCCTTGAAATCTGCAGCTTATAACACCTGGTTGACAATATATATTACGTTACATTGTGTATTTTGACTTTGGGAACCTGAAAAAATATCCTTAATTGCTAGAATTTCATAGTCTAAAATGACTGTCTCATTTGAAACTTTTTTTCTCAAATGGACTTGGGAGCATTTTTCTTTCCTGGGCAGGGCATATGTTTTACTTTTCCAGTCTCATCTGGGAAGCAAGTATGTGTAATCCACCCTTGTACTCCAAGCACCAAGAGTAAAGATTTAATGGTGAGGAAGCAAAAGAAGTGAGATTAGGGAAAAGAGATAGGGAGGAGGGGAGGGCTTCCAGAAAGCGTAGCAACCACCAATAAATATTTTATTGTGTTGCTATGTGGCAATAGTTACACCAGGTCAAGTTGCTTAACAGTAAGTCAGGTTGATGCAGGGTTTAAAGTGAGCTGAGAGACTGATGAGGGGATGAATTTCACCATGAGATTGTCCTTTTGTTTTGGCCAGGAATCTGGTACCAAATGTGAGAACCTGCTGCCACGTGCCTACTGGAAGGAAACATGCTTGTTTCTTCCTGCTTCTTGCATTTTCTGTGAAAGCAAAAACAATTTGGTAGTTTTATTGGCGTGCATATGTGTGTGTGTCTGTGTGTGTGTGTGTGTGTGTTTACATGTGCAGATTTACAGTAGAGTTAGAGACAGCAAAATATCGTATTTGCTTTACTCATTTACTCAATTATTCCACAGAAGTGTTTTAAGCACCTATCAAATTCCCACACTTTTGAAACTGTAAGTCAGAGTAATTAGACCTTAGTAAAAGAAAAAAAAAATATGAGTATGTGGTTTTGTCACTATTATAAGAGTTGAGTAGAGATGGCATTTTACTTATGAGCCCCATTGAAGTCCTGTGGGGGAAGGCCTCCCTCTCTCTTTGCACCTTAAAGCAGTAATTTGGACTTGGAGCTAAGAATCAAGATGAGAAAGGTCTTATAGTAACCTTTGTATTCACATTCACACTGGAAGGTGTTAAGCTGATAAACTTAAAATAAGAATAAAAGGACACTGTAAGCCATCTGAATAGGTTAATAATCTGTAACGATGTGGCTAAACAGTACACAGAAGTACAGAAAACCAAGTGATTTTGTAAACATGCTGGACATTTCGTTTGTAGAAACAGGCCTATTTTTTCCTCCTGGTAGAGTCTGTACATGGCTTCTGAGATTATCATCAGGATATGTTTTTCTTTATTGGAACTCTATTGTTCAGATTACACTCATCAATAATTTTAACACTCAAATCACATCAATACTCTGTCTTTGTGTTTGTAAACCTTCGTGGTGCTAATGAATTTACAAGCACACAAGTTGGTTAATGAACATCCTGGGTGGGAGGGAAAGCATACCCTTGAATATCTCCCCCTCCCGCTCCTAGTATTAGAGGAAACTGATGAGGCACCCAGGAAAACACTGTGGTACTTTATCCTTATTATAATGATGGCTGTGTTACCAAGTTATTGAGTTACTGTGCCTTGACTTCTTTTAAGATCAAATTTACTCATAATTGTAGTTGTTACAATGGCAATTTGTTAAACTTAAAATGCTTGGCTCTCCAGAACATCCCTGTTAAGGAGATTGAAGTGGGAATTTGGCTACATGGATCAAGTGGATTGAGACATCAGGAAAACCAAGGGGAGATACACACATACCCCGTGGAAGCCTCCAACAGCCAAACCAAGCCAGCACACTGGGAGCATGGCCTGAAAATCTGTCCTATCCTTTTGCTCTAGGGCTTTCTCAACAGGAGAGCAGTTCTGTGCTGTCCTTGCCAAGGAGAAAGGAAAATTATGAGAAAGCACACTAAAATTTGATTGTGTAGTGGTTGCCTGTACGTCTCTGAAATGCTATCTATTTGTACCTTCTCTCTGAACCATGAAATATTTCTCTTTTTAAAATAGACATCTTCCTTTAAAAATAATTTGGAAATCTTTTAGGTTCTGCACTGAATATTGACTGCATCCTAATGAAAAATCTGTGGTTCACATTAATTCGGACTGCCTATATGAAGGGAAACCTAGTATTTGTCAAGCACCTAGTATGTGCTGGGCAAGTGCTGTGCATTCATAAACCTTCTGTCAATCGATGCTTCCGACAAACTTTGGGGAAAGTGCCTCTCTTTCTAGGAAACAGACTCGGAGAGGCCCGGTTACTTAGCCAAATAATGCTGTTTTCACTATGCCGGGCTATCTCCTGCATTTGTTTTTCTTCTTTCTGACAAAAATATAGAGCAGGAAGGGGGAAAGGAACAATGAAGAAAGATGAGCATTATTTACACTGGAATTCACAGGCATGGTTGGAAAATCAGCTTGCCTTCTCCTACCCTTTAAACCTCCTCTCACCAACACACGTGCTTTGTAGTCATTTTTGAAATGATTTAACTAATTTTAAAGAGCTTAAAACATTTAAACTTTAGTTTTAAACTGTAGCCTCAAATTAATTCAATTGTAACATACTTAATTGAGGCCGGGATACTACCACTACTACTAAAAATAGGAAGAAAAATTACCACGATAAATACTTCTTAGGTGCTTCTTATATGTCAGGCCCTGTTATAAGTGCTTTGTATATACTAACTCAGTGTTTCTCAGCTTTTTTTTTTGTTCCTATTATTGTCCCCTTGAGGAGAAAAATTAAATTAAATTTAGGTTTAATTTAAATTAACTGTGTTAATTTGAATTTGAATTAAATTTAATTTATCCATAATGAGAGAAATTAAATACAAAGGAGTAAGTTTTTGTCAGACAGGGTTGAGCTTTAGAGGGCCATAAACCATTCTAATACCTAAGATTGTTTTTACCCTCCAACGTGCTATCACCCCTGTTGAGAATATATGTACTAACTCAAATCATTTAATGCTCTTGACTACCCTAAGAGGTTGGCACTGTTAGTAGTCTCCCTATGGTACAAATGAGAAAACAAAGACCCTAAGAGATTAAGTAACTCGCTCAAAGCATATTTAATAAACAGCTAAAGCGTCCAGGCTGTACTCTTGTAACCACTACACTATATTGCCTCTAACTCTTCAGTCATTCCTGCTGGCTGCAGCCTCTCTGCAAACAAATTTTATATCCCAAACAGCCATCTTTAATTAATATGATCAAGTCTATTGGAATTGCCCTGTTTGTTACCTTCTGGTTTGAAGTTTTGGCCTTGGCATACTTTGCAATTCTTAGCATGAGCACGTACTCTGTCTCAGCCCTTTACTAAGCTTGTCACTCTTTTATCTAGTTTAATCCTCTTGATAACCTGTAGAGTGAGTAGGTGTTATTACCTTCATTCTACAGATAAATCAGGGAGGTGCTGGGTGGTTAGGAAATCTGCCCAAGGCCACAGGGCAGGTCAACTACTAAACTAGGCAAGCAATCCTGATTGGTTAGATTCCAAAGCCCATACCTACCCTTGGTCACTTCCCAGATAATCTTCCATGGCAGCCTCTGGGTAGACTTCCAACATCTCATTACATATTTGAAAATATATTCATATCACTCAAAGTTTTCTTTGAAATAATCCTAGATTTGAAGACAGAAGTAGAGTGACTCAAAATTACCCTCTTTGAAATCTAAGAGATTTATAGATATAAGATTTAAGATATAAACTACATAGAAATACTGGAATGCTGGCTAAAAGGCACTACTGCCTGCACATTAATTAGGAAGAGGAAATGTCTTGGAACTTGGACAAGATTGCAAAATAGATCCCTTATTTTCTTGGTGGTCCGCCTCTCGTTGAAGTCTTCTTTCCTCTATTTCTACCTCTTTTTGTTCTTATTCTCCTATAGGAATTCCTCCTTTTCTTTTCCTCAGCACTTCTCAGACTGATTCTCAAAGACATAAGTCACAAATTGTGAAAGACCAATACTAGCTTAAAGTATTATTTCTCCCCAGCAGATTTGCAATTTGGCAGAAATCAAAGCTTAGGGGACAAAATATTACGAATAACATTTTTTTAGGCCTGGGAGAGGGAAAATTCATAGAAGAGCCTTACCAAGTCCCTGGCATCCTACACAGAGGGCTGCTGTCTGTAGGCTTACCCATCAGCGAGTTATAAGTCAAATTAATGAGTGTTGGTGTCATGAGATTTGCTGTATACCCACCTTTTTCAACAGCTGAGCTTCTGTGCTAAGGGAAGCCCACCTTTTCAGTATTGCGTCTTTTTGTTAAACTGAATCTTGACTCAGTCCTGGCAGGACAATTCAGGCCAAGTGATCCATAAGATGGCTTCTACTCTTGGCTTCTCAGGGTGACTATGTGGGTGGTCTAGCGTGCCTTAGTTTCTCCATCTGTTTTAGTAGAAAAAGATCGTAACATTCTTGGAGATCACAGAATGGAATGTGCTGTATAAACACCAGGCAGTGTTGTTACAATAAATAGCAAATTAGTGACTCTAGCTTAAATTTCCTACACTTGATGACTTGTGGGTATAGCAAAGAATCAGAAGTTGTCACTAAGAAAAAAAAAATCTTCCTCCAATTTTCTGACAAAAACATAGTTTTAGGATTTTGGCTACCATCTGTGGAGGAGCACAATCCTGCCTCTCTGGAAGGCTGAAATGGTGACTGTAGTAGGATCCGGCTGTCTCCTAATTATATATAGCTGGCTTGTTAGTATCTGCCCCAAAAGTTCTAACCTGCATGTCTAGCCATTTTGTTTTCTAATCTAATTTGTTACACATCTCATTTTTAAAATCTAAAATATGCTTTTGGAATACACTGCAGTATTAATATGAACATTTCCTGTTAGTCAAGAAGAAAAAATGAAAACTTTTGGAACAATGATGAAGGTACAGAGAGCAGTTGCTTTGCAGTGGTTGTATGGTGTGACTGTTTTCTTTTAGGTAATTCTATTTTGAGAGATTATGTTATCATTTAGTGTTTCACCAAGGATCTAAGAGCGGGCAAATGGATCCTCCTTTCTTACCTGAGAATGATGGTTTATGAAACAGAGGAAAGAACAATGACTTTGAGCCTTAAATCTCAGATCTCAGGTTTGTTCCAGGCGGTTATTCATTAGGAACAATGTCTGCCCTATCTATCTAACTGGGTGGTTGTGAAGCTCAAATAAGATTTAAAACCACTTTGTAAACATGAAAAGATTATGCAAAAAGTAATCAGAATGTAATGCATTCACAGTTGTAAGATTTAAGGTCTAAGTTGGGGCAAACCTACTTAGCTTTAAATGATACCTGGGTGAGAACAATCCCCTGTAACAGGCCTAGAATAAACTCAGCCTCTGACCCAATCCAGGCTCGATAGTGTTCAAGGCCTGACCTCCCTAAGCTCCTGTCTGAGTTGGAATGGAGTGCAGCTCAGGGGAGGAGAATGAAACGAGTTTATTAGGCTGTTTTACTCGGTATGCTTAACAGTGATTTACACAACCTGACTATAAAAAACAGATGGAAGGAATTCTGTTTTCTGAGTACCCATGTGTATCCATGGGTTGTGTAGCTTGGAGGCAGCTTGGTTCAGGGGAAGAGTATGAACTTTAGAGGCCAAAACCTGTGTTGAGGATCCAGGCCATTACCTGTGTAAGATTCATGAGCTTGAGACTCTCTGTGAGATAATGCACAAAGATTTTTCTTTTCCCTTCCCATGGAAGATTCTGGACCCTTGATTTGGAGTCAGAAGAACTAGTTCTGTCTCTGTCTTTCATTGACAGTGAACATTTGGGCAAACGATTTAGCTCTATGAGTGAAAGTTTCCTTCTGTATGAAATGGAAATGGTAATAATAAGAACTCAGAGTAGTGTGAAGGTTAGAGAGGTTAATTCGTGCAAAAAGCACATTGTAAACTTGAAAGCATTGTATTTATCCATTCATTCAATCAACACTACACATCCCCTGTGTCGCTTAACAAGGAATTGGTAATCTAGAGGGCTGATAGACACAGAAGCTGACATTGTGGCACACTGGCCTTCCTTCAAAGGTCTAACCTTGCAATTTGGCAGAAATAGAAACTTAGGGGACAAAATATTACAAATGACATTTTTTAGGCCTGGGAGAGGGGCAATTAATAGGAGAGCAGTGATCATTTAAGACCTGTGAAGAAAGTTTGCTCATGACAGGGAGGGAACATTGAGGAAAGAGCACACAAAATTGAATCTAGAATATCTTTCCAGAGAAGGGAAGACTCTTGAGCCAATCTTTAAGAAGAAGTTTGCCAGTGGACAAAAACATTGAAGTGGCTCAAGGACATTCTAAGGAAGAAGACTGGGGAAACTTCAGATGCAAGACAGAGAGTGGCATTGTTTAGGCCACATTTCATTGTTGCTCAAGCTAAGGTGTGTGAATATGGAGCAAGTGGGGTGAGGAGGGCCAGGCTGATGAGGTAGATACCCTAGGAACCATGTCACAGACGGCTGCTTGTTCCATGTTGACAAGCTTGGGCTCCACCTTGCATGGGTTAAGGTTTGATGTACACATGAGACTACAGGATGTCATGCTCTTACTAAAAGAGGATGCTATTGAGCCACTATGAGCTGCTCATGTAATTCGATGATCCCCCCTGCTCCCTACCCAGATTGGAGAAGTGTTTGTATTAACCCAGTTAACTTCTTGCTGAATGCCCCATGTCCAGCAGTTGTACATACTCCAGTGTGGCTGGGCTCGGGGCCGACTCTGTGGCCACGGCACAAATGGAGATATTTGCCGGTGAAACTTAAGAATCCTTATGGGAACCAAGTCCCATTGGTTTCATTTGCAGCAATAAACATTCAACTGAAAAGACTATTTATTGGATACTCACCATGTGCTGGGCACAACACTGTGCTTAGTGCAGGGGAGAAATAGGAATGAGTAAGGTATGGTAAGCTTTATGGTAAAGACAATAGCTGCCTGTTGAGTGCTCACTGTGGGTCTGTGATGGTTCCACTTAAACGTTGCAAAGCCCTCTGAGGTAGATATTGTAATTCCTATTCTATGTAGGGCAGAAGAAGCAATTTTGGACACTAGTTTGTGGAGGACCTAGGATTCAAACTCATGTGTCCAACACCAAAGTCCACATTTGTAATCCTACCTGTGTTCTATGATGGAGACAGAAGTGTAACTAACTGTATGTAAGGTGAAGACTTGGAGAGTGAAGGAGATTGAAGAAGCAACGTAGAATAGATTTTAGGTCTTTTTTCAACTGTGAAATAAAGATAAAACAGACAATTCTTTCTTCTTTTGCCTACCTTTGTTAGATTATAGGTCAGAAGACTCAGTCAGAGCAATTGTCATATTCTTACAAGCTGGAGAACTGAAGGGGAAATAAATGAAAGACTTGGAAGGAATAGGATTAGTTTGAAACAACCAGAGGTCAGGGCAGCTCAATAGTGTAGACTTCTGAAGGAGTGAGAAATCCAAAACTCTGTGGGCAGTTAATCCCTGAAAGGAAATAGGGGCTGGGGAAGAAGCAAGACAAGAGAGAGACTATCAGAGAAAAAAACTAATTTTAATATTCTGGGAAAACAGAGGGAATGTGATCATGTGAAAGGGCATGAATAAAGAAAAACAGCTGAAGAACAAAAGGAAATTTAAGACGCCAAAGATTGTAAATTAAATCTTATTACTATAAAGGCCAGTTTACACTTTTTCTATATCACAGGGTTGCATTTATTATTCCCTAAATTTATATTTATAGAAGAGAAGGCCAGAGATGAGCATCGGCTCTCCTTCGTGCTCCAGCCGTGCTCTACTTATTAACATTCGACAGCTGTTTCCCGAGTGCCTGCCAGGAGCTCAGTTCCTGAGAGGCTCTGCCATAAATTATACTCTTCCAGAATTTGAGAGTGAAAAGGAGTGCAGATGACACCAGGGCAACAGGCTTGAGTTCAGTTGTCCTGGTCAAATGGGCACATCTGGCTACCCTGTACAGTGATGAAGAAGGCTCTCTCCAGAAACCAAGTAGATGACTCTTCTATAAGGAAATTGAAATGATGTCCACAATTAGTTAGAATGAAAAGTGGAAAGAGGTAAAGTACCAGAGGAATGGCATCAAGTAACATCTGCCTGGAAGGAAGATGGCTTCTTGCTAATCAAACAAAAGAGCTGTGTGGCTTAGCAGTGTCCCTGATTCTATCAGCTACTGTTGCTACTGAACTGAGTCCTTGTGATTGAGCTGAACCTGAAGTCCAGGTCACTGCATCGGGTGCCTCTTATGTAGCTTCACCTCTGACTGGTGGCCCAGCCCCTGGGGCTGGTGCATCTCTACATGAAAGTGATACAAAATGCCACTCACTTGCTACAAAGTGATTTAAGCTCCTGAGGAAATCTATGAAATTTAAGGCCTTTCAGTCAATTGGTGCCAAGAGTAATTTCCTTACACTTAATTGATGAAATGACCAATATTGTAAAATGTTTGATACATTTGTTCTCTCATTTAATCATTCAAATCTGACTCCTGAATATGGCAGCCGCTAACCACTGTGGCCATTGTGTGCTTGGCATGTGGCTAGTACGTCTGAGGAACTGGATTTTTAATTTCACTTAATTAAATTGTATTAACTTTAAATTCAAATTTTACAACTGACACTTGACTTATTAGAACATGTTTAAGTATGTTTGATATGATTTGGGTATATGAACCTATTTCAACTGTCAATTTTATGAGATCTAAATGCAGATCAAATATCTCTGGTGAAAACTTGGCATCCAAACTGAGATGTGCTGTAAGTGAAGGACACAGCTGATTTTAAAGGCAGAGAACGTAAAATAGCTCATTAGTAATTTTTATATCGCCTACATGATGAAGTGATAATATTTTGGATATGCTGGGTTAAATAAAGCATATTGTTAAAAAATCATCTCAACTGTTTCTTTTTGCATCTTCAATGTGGACACTAGTAAATTTAAACTAGCACGCCTTGCATTCTCTTTTTGTTGGACAGCACTAATTCTGGTATTGATTATCTGCTGTATCCCCGGCGCTGTGCTCACCATGGGCAGTAGGGATGGAGGCTGTGAGGTTACTGCCCAGGTAGAGTACAGGGTTCCTGTGCGGGTATGGAAAATAAACAGATAAACATAAATAACCAGCATGGATTGGGATTGTGGTGAGCACTAGAAGGCAGGTCTGCAGGGTGGTGCTCAAGTAACTGGGGGAGGGGGCCACGTTGAGAGAGTGTGGTCAGGGAAGACCTCTCTGAGTGGAGTTGAGGATTGGGAGGAGCTGGGAAGGAGCATGGGTGGTTTCTCAGAAGAGGAGGCCTTTGATGTGGGCTCTGAAGGGTGGATATGTCGTTCTTCCTTTAGCTCATTCAGAAAGACTTCTTCAGCTCCTGGGTCAAAAGGAGGATGTGGAGAAAGCGCTTGGCTTCACACCAGGCCTGGCAACTCGGCAGGTGCAGATCCAGCTGGGCCAGGGGCCAGGCAATCAGCGAGCACATGGGGTGAGAGTCTTGGCAGATTCATCCTGGAGCCAGCTGGATGTTGAGGGCTAGGAATGCGGTAGAGTGGCTCTTTCATAAGAATCAAAACTGTTGCATTTTGACAACTGGGTATTTGCAGGAGAACAGATAGTAGGTTTTAAATTGTGGTGCTGGAGTGTGTGCCTGGCTCCACTGTGCAGCCTAACCTTGAAAAGAGGCAGGCTGAAGTAGACACTCATTGTCATCTGCTCACGGAGCTCTCAGCAGAGATTTGGAAGCTGATCGAGAACCAGCATTTGTGATGGGCACACATAATTTGGCCCATCTGTACACTGTGGCCACATCAGTGAATTCACTGATGTCAGGAAGACATCACACCCAAGTGGCTGGCGGAAATTGAAATGGGACCCACAGAAGTGCTGAGTGGCAGCACAGCCCTGAATGGGCCTCTGCGCACACCCAGAGCTGGTCCCCTCTTGCTTCATAAGACACTGTGTGTGTGTTGGTTAATCGCATGGGTTCTGGAGTCAGATCTTGCCTGAATTCTGCTTTGCCAATCACTAGCTGTGGGAACATGGGCAAAGAATGAAACCTGAGTCCCAGTTTCCTCATCCATAATAATGTCATTTACATGATGCCAACCACACTCCTAATACTGTTGTATGAATAAATTATAGCTATTATTCTTATTAGCATAATTTTTTATTCTCCTTTTTCTTTCTCTTTTTAATTACCATATAAAAGCAAAGTTAAAAGATCAGATTGGGCCACGGCTCACAGGTTAGCATTTGGGGATACTTTATCCAACAAGAGAGAGAGATGGCTCTACTAACATACCACTCTGGGGAAAAATAACATAATCTTGGCTCTTCTGGGCTTCAGGCTTTGGCAGACCTGTGGAAATCACAGCTTTCCTCTAAAATTATTCTCACATTTTCAATTCTAACAATTTATGGTGAAAATCTAAGGAACTTTTGTGTTTAAAATAAGCAACTTGGAAGAATAAGAATTATAGAGCGGCATCTTCACCTGAATCATTTTGTTGACAGTGTCTGCCACATACAGCCTCTTGACATTTAGTTTTCCTGTGGTTTTTAGCCAACTTAAAGAGGTGTAGACTTCATGCCAGGTGTGGGCTGGGGGTAGTGTTAGAGCATTTGTTTGAGTTCGTTTTTACTTTTGGTTAAAAAATAATTCAGCTGGCTGGGCACAGTGGCTCATGCCTGTAATCCCAGCACTTCGGGAGGCCGAGGCGGGCGGATCACGAGGTTAGGAGTTCGAGATCAGCCTGACCAACATGGTGAAACCCCGTCTCTACTAAAAATACAAAAATTAGCCGGGCATGGTGGCACGCTCCTGTAATCCCTGCTACTTGGGAGACTGGGGCAGGAGAATTGCTTGAACCCAGGAGGCAAAGGTTGCAGTGAGCCGAAATCGTGCCATTGCACTCCAGCCTGGGTGACAGAGCGAGACTTCGTCTCAAAAAAATAAAAATTAAAAAAAAAATTCAGTCACCGTATACCATATAGTGGAAAAAGCAGAGGCTTAGGAGTGGGTTCACATCCCAGCTCTGCACATTTTTACGTGGCCTTGGACACTTTGCTTAACCTTTTTGAATCTCAGTTTCTCTATCTGGAAAATGGAAACAACATCCAACTGCTTCTTTTGTTGAGAGGATTCGAAGCTATGTAGGGAGAGTATCTGGACTGTCATTGTGGTTCTTGGTGAGCACATTTGATGACACTTTCTGCTGCATCGTTTTTTTTCCTCAAGAGAACATGCTCAATTGTGTATATGGGTTCAAGAAGGCACTGGCCAGAATACCAGGGAAATCTAAATTCCATACTTAGGTAGCTCAGATCATAACTGGGTGAAAGTTCTTTGGCCAGAACACCAAGTCAGAGTTCTAAAAATATCTTATATTATAATGTTTTTCTTTTTTAATTTTTTTCACTCAAGACAGTGAATATTTAATTGCTTGACTAGTGTGCTTACATTGAGAGTATTCTAGAACCCTCTTTCTGACATTATCTTAATGTTTTCAAATATTTAACCACACCTTGAGATAAAAGCAATGAAATAAAGCTTGTGTTTAGGACACAGTTGAAAAAAACATGCCAACAACGCAGTGAGTTATGGGGCAGCTAGCACCACCCCACCTGCCTTCCGTAAGCGGAGAGTCTGTGCTTTGCACCTGGGATGTTTGTCCTTGATACTTGATGGTTACTAGGTGTGTGCATGTTGATGTATGGGTGAGGGAATAAAGCCCATGAATGCCAATGTATGACTAATAGCAGTAGAATTTTGGTTTGATGAATGCCTTTGTTAATTCATGGTCCATTTCAACTTCATGTATTAATTAAGTGCTCATTGCGTATCTACTATATAGGTGTAACAAGGCTATTTCCTTGTAGGCCATATTCCAAATCAACAATTTGTTTAGGAAGCCAAAACTTTGTTTTAAATAGCATCTTTTCTCTTCATGCCAATGGCGGGGGTGGGGGAGCATTAATCCATATTGGTTCAATTCCATGTCAAAGCCAAGCATCAAGGATTAGACCGTGAAATGGTGGTGGAATAGTAGTCCAGAGGCAGGCCTGAGGGGGAACAGACCTTTCCTATCACAAATAAGTTGTGATACCACTTGGATTCATGTTCTTTGCTTGTCAAATGAAGGGTTTGAACTGGAAGATCTCTTAGATCCTGCCCCAAAGGCAAAGCATCTGTGGGAGGACACAAGAGGCAGCCAAGTGAAGCAATTTGTAGGCCTTTAGTACGCACTGTATTAGGGTTCTCCAGGGACCCAGGGCCAGTAGGAGATATACATCTCCTGTTTACATCCTATATATGTGTATGTGTGTATATGTGTGTGTGTGTGTGTGTGTGTGTGTGTGGAGAGAGAGAGAGAAAGAGAGATACTAATTATGAGGAGTGGATTCACTTGATTACAGAAGCTGAGAGAGGTCCCACGATTTGCGTCTGCAAGCCAGAGACCCAGGAAAGCCAGTAGTGTAATTCCAGCCTGAGTCCAAAGGTCTGAGAACCAGGGGAGCCACTGATGGAAATCCCAGCCCTAGGGCAGAAGACCAGTGCCCCAGCTCATGCAGGCACGTGGGAAGGGAATGCATCCTCCCTTCTTCTGCTTTTTGTTTTATTCAGGCCATCAGTGGATTGAGTGATGCCCACCCACATTGGGGATGGCAATTCATTTTACTGAGCCCACCAATTCGATGCTGATCCTATCCAGAAACACCCTCACAGTTATACCCAAAGAGAGTATTTAATCCGGGCACCCTGTGGCCTAGTCAAGTGGGCACATAAAATTAATTATCATACTGCCTATTGGTGACTTTTTTGGTAAGGCTATTTCCCCCATTCTTAGGTCTATGAAGTAAAAATTAATGAATGTAGAAAGCCAGTTGTTTGCTTTTTCAGTCACTGATTCCAAAATAAGAGGGGATTCTTGGGAAGAACAATATCCTAAACTCTGCAACCACCACCCGAGGGCTACAGATTACTAGCAGTGATGTGGTTTGTAATTGGGAACATGGACTAAGTTCAGCAGCATGTGAGCTATCAGGGACACATTATAGACAGATATACCAGAGGGTAGATGAAAGGTGTCATAAGGTAGACAAGTCCAGTGCAAGGATCAACACACTTCAGGGTGTGTTGCCCTTAGATGCTGTGTTGACCTCTCTTGGCCCTAAGCCCTTGTGTCAACCGGTGTCTCTAGGAATCACTCTGAGGTTAACACTTTGGGTACGTACTAACCTATACTGAGGCAGGGCTAGAAAGGGTACTCAATACCCCACACTGGAGGCATGTCACAAAAAGGAACAATCTCTTCAGAAGTCAATCTTGACAGATTGTGTATTGGTGGGGACTGGCCCAAATGCCTGTCGGATATTTCTTGCAATGGTGACTGTGAAACAAAAACTCTACTGTATTTTGAACAGTGTGTAGCAGCATCAAATTGGAAAATGACATCATGGTTGTCAGCTGAAGTGTCTCCCCTCAACAATAACTTTTTAAGATCTACTTACAAGTAGGTTATTTATTGGATACATTGCCCATAAGGAGAGCAACTTGCCATCCCAATCTCATGGGAATGTGCTCTTGAAAAAAGTCTTTCTTCTCGCTATAGAGGTAGATCTCTTTTAGTGGTTTTACAGATTTCAATGAAATTTAATGAATAGCAGGTGAACCTACCCATGTTTTCACTTCCAGGGTGTCCACTTGACCTGTCATTAAACATATGTGACAATTTTGTAGGAAGGGTGGTAGTGGAATTGGAAGAGAACCATTTTCTACCAAATACCTATTATGTGCCCTGCACTTTGGCTCACAACAAAATGAGAAAAACAAATAAATTAGATAAGTTCAGTCACTTGGGCAGGGTCACATACTATGTAATGCTTCCTAGAATTAGATCTAGAACCATCTGGTTTTGTCCATCCTATTTCTACCACAGTGTATGTTGTGAAAAACCCTTAAGCACTTTATGTTAAAGTTATATCTTTAACATAAAGGAGAACTAGTTCTGCCTCTATATGGCTTTTGGTCCTCTTGATCTGGGTCACAGGTAGCCTTAGGAAATAGTCTTCAAGGGGGGAAGGAGGTAATCCATTTCCTCTTGAATCTTACTGCAAATACAGGGTAACATTTCCACCCCTTTTTTAAGTGTTTTATTTATTTATTTTTTTCTTTAATAATATCAACTTCTATTTTACTTTAGGTTCAGGGGGTGAATGTGCAGTTTTGTTACATGGGTATATTGCCTGATGCTGAAGCTTGGGGTATAATTGATCCCATTATCCAGGTAGTGAGCATAGTGCCCAATAGTTACTTTTTCCGCCCTCTAGTAGCCCCCAGTATCTGCTGTTGCCATCTTTATGTCCATGAGTACCCAATGTTTAGCTCCCACTTGTAAGTGAGAACATAGCGGCATGTGGTTTTCTGTTCCTGCATTAATTTGCTTAGGACAATGGTCTCCAGCTGCATCCGTGTTGCTGCAAACGACATGATTTCATTCTTTTTTGTGGCTTTATAGTATTCCATGGCGTGTATGTGGAGAGCAACATTTTCTAATGCAGAGCCTGGAAGCAGCTATGATGTACCTTAAGGGAACAGCTTTCACAAACAGTCCTTGAGGATTAAGCTTGGGTGCCTATTTTCTGTGTTGTTGGCCCATTTCATACAATGCAGTTTAGTGGTAAGAGCATGCTAAAGCTTTCAAAAGGTTGCCTGATAGAACATTTTAGAACATGAAGGGACCAAGGGGATTCCTCTGTTGCTAAAGACATGTCATTTGGTATTCTAATAACTCCCTCACTGGGCTGTGAGCGCCTCAAGGGCAGTGCCCAGCCTTTTTTTTTTTTGAGTCAGAGTTTCACTCTTGTTGCCGAGGCTGGAGTGCAATGGTATGATCTCGGCTCACCACAACCTCCGCCTCCCCAGGTTCAAATGATTCTCCTGCATCAGCCTTCTGAATAGCTGGGATTACAGGCATGCGCCACCACGCCTAGCTAATTTTGTATTTTTAGTAGAGACGGGGTTTCTCCATGTTGGTCAGGCAGGTTTCAAACTCCCGACCTCAGGTGATCCGCCCGCCTGGGCCTCCCAAAGTACTGGGATTACAGACGTGAGCCACTGCGCCTGGCCAGGGCCCAGCCTTTTATAGTTAACTGCCAGCAATTAATAAGTTATCTTCACTGATCCAGGGAGTCAGAGGGATGTTGTTGATTCACTGATGCAACACTAGTGCCTAGCACAGTGCCTGGCACCTGATTGTGCTGAGTAAATGTGTGTTGAATCGAGTTGATTTGAAAGCTTAGCAAGGAACAACTGTGTCCAACAAGTGTTGAAGGGTCAGTCTCAGGAACTAGTTCAACCGACGCAAGGTCTTGACTGCCAGTCTAAGTATATCACAGGGTCCTGTTATATCGCTCGCGCGTTAACAGGTAAGTTAATTTATTCAGCAAACATGTATTGCACATCCGTTATCAGTCAAGTAATCTTCCAGATGCCAGGGACACAGATAAGAAAAATATAGCCTCTTTCTTCCAGAGGAATATGCTTCATGAAAAAGTCTGACAAATGGTTAAACTGCTGTTCTTAGTGGTTGTGGCAGAGATAAACATAGTGTGCTCTGGAAGCACCATAGAAAGGAAGATGCCCTCACCTAGAAGGTGCGAGGGTGAAAGAATTTGCCTACTGAAGTCCACTGCAAGAGCTTGGAAGATGAAATACATGAGGGCCAGATTTTATAGAAATCCAGCCAGGGGATTATTAGGGATTTCAGTGAGCAAGATGGAGAAAATGAGCATCTAAGTTAGAGTTATGTCTATGGAAATGTGGAAAAATGGTCAGATCTGATTCATCTCATAAAGACTCAAAAATTCTCCATAGTCAACGGTAGGGACCATTTGATAAGGTGTGTGAAAACTTCGTGTGACCTTCTTTATTATAGACTTGATTATTTATCATCATAGATGTCGTTATGTACATTACCTACTTGTTTTTCTAAACATGGCCTTGGTGTCCTCGGGAACATTTGTGTTCACTGGAATTGCTATAGAGAAGGTCTGGAAGTCCACTACAATGGGGAAACCTCATGGCCTGCCCTCTATGGCGGGGGGTGGGGGGGCGGTTCTGGCATCATCACAGCTGAGGATGGTTCTCGTCTTCATTCTAAGGCTACTGCTAATTACTCCATAAGAAAAAGTAGTTAGAAAATTGGTTACAAACGACAATGAATCAACTTTACATAGCTATAATTTTGTATAAGTGATCTGGATGCCAGTTCTCAGAGCTTAATGTCATTGTTCTAATGCTAGACAAAAGTAGGTCCGCAAGTTTCAGAGACTCAGTCGACTTTTACTAACTACACAGAATCTCAGAACTTTGGTGATTGTCTTTTCTTGTTTGAAGCAGAACATTTCATTCAAGAGATGGCTTACTTTGGAGAGTAGAGAGGAGGGGGCCAGAACATTGATTGGCCTTACTGCTTAACTTCAATCCCTGGGTCTTGGAGGCACTTCCCTGGACCCCTGGAGTCAAATCACTGACCTTACTCAACCCCTTAAGCTTATACCTAGGGAAATTGAAACAAAGAAGTAAAGGGCTGGATAGTATAGGTCTCCAGCTTTCTACTTTCTTTATAAAACTTCTACCTTCAGTATCATTCTCTGGTCAGTCGGGTCTAAACTCAAGCTTGCAGTTCTTGGACCAATAAAAGAAGCAAGCTTGTTGGTGGGTGTAGCTTGGTTCACGAACGCGTTACCATAGTCACATGGTGGACATTCCTGTGCCAAGGACTGTGCTGAGTATTTGACATGAATTAGCTCATTTACTCTTTAGATTCATTGATCTTCACTGTTTTCCATACAGAGGTTAACTTGCCTGAGGTCACCCTACTTTGCACTGGGCAAGCGAGAATTCTCAAACACGGGTTCCTTGGACTCCAGAAATCCTTTTTTTTTTTTTTTTTCTGAGATGGAGTCTCCCTCTGTCACTCAGGCTGGAGTTCAGTGGTGTGATCTTGGCTTACTTCAACCTCCACTTCCCAGGTTGAAGCAATTCTCCTGTCTCAGCCTCCCAAGTAGCTGGGATTACAGGTGTGCACCACCACACCCAGCTAATTTTGTATGTTTAGTAGCGATGGGGTTTCACCATGTTGGCCAGGCTGGTCTTGAACTCCTGACCTCAGTTGATCCGCCCACCTTGGCCTCCCAAAGTGCTGAGATTACAGGTGTGAGCCACCATGCCCGGCCACAGAAACCCAATTCTTAATCAGTAACCATCACACCTTCTTTTGCCTCATCTTGTTAATTCAATCTCTCATTAATTCAATCTAATTCAGAGCAGCTGGGTAACTAAGGCTTTTGGTTACAGGTTTTTCTCTTTCTTTTTCAAAATTTGGGCAATTTTCAGGCCTTGAACTTTATGTGCTCTTAAATTACAAGTCAGAAAGTGCCCTGGAGGGAAAAAGGATTTCTATCATCATTGCCAAGGCTGTGCCTAAGAATTCTTTCGCCTGTTTAGGCTTTTATTCTCTACTCATCAGACAGTTCTCCTGTCATTTGCAGACTAAATGAGTCTCAACCATTTTAAAATGCTTCCAGTAAGTGAGGACCTCCCAAAATTCCTTATGTGGAACATAAAGGCTCTAGAGTTATGCCATTCTCTCTGCTATTTTCTTTCTTTTTTTAAACTTTATTTTATTTATTTATTTTTTTTGGAGATGGAGTCTCACTCTGTTGCCCAGACTGGAGTGCAGTGACACGATCTTGGTTCACTGCAACCTCCACCTCCTAGGTTCAAATAATTCTCCTGCCTCAGCCTCCCGAGTAGCTGGGACTACCGGCGCACACTGCCACGCCTGGTTAATTTTTTTGTATTTTGGTAGAGAGGAAGTTTCACCGTGTTGCCCAGGCTGGTTCTTGAACTCCTGAGCTCATGCAGTCTGCCCACCTCGGCCTCCCAAAGTGCTGGGATTACAGGCATGAGACACCACGCCTGGATAACTTAATTTTATTTTAAGTTCCAGTATACACATGCAGGACGTGCAGGTTTGTTAATAGATAAATGTGTGCTGTGGTGGTTTGCTGCACCTATCAACCCATCACCTAGGTATTAAGCCCCACATGCATTAGCTATTTATCCTGATGCTCTCCCTTCTGCTCCCACCCCCACCCCCACGACAGGCCCCAGTGTGTGTTGTTCCCCTCCCTGTCCATATGTTCTCATTGTTCAGCTCCCACTTATAAGTGAGAAATGCAGTGTTTGGTTTTCTGTTCCCGTGTTTGTTTGCTGAGGATAATGACTTCCAGGTCCATCCGTGTCCCTGCAAAGGACATGATTTTGTTCTTTTTTATGGCTGCATAGTATTCCATGGTGTATATGTACCATGTTTTCTTTATCCAGTCTATCATTGATTGGCATTTGGGTTGATTCCATGTCTTTGCTATTGTGAATAGTGCTGCAGTGAACATACGCATGTATGTATCTTTATAATAGAATGATTTATATTCCTTTGGGTATATACCCAGTAATGGGATTTCTGGGTCAGATGGTATTTCTGATTGTAGGTCTTTGAGGAATTGCTACACTGTCTTCCACAATGGTTGAACTAATTTACATTCCCACCAACACTGCAAAAGTGTTCCTGTTTCTCGACAGTCTCACCAGCATCTGTTGTTTCTTGACTTTTTAATGATCACCATTCTAACTGGTGTGAAATGGTATCCCATTGTGGTTATAATTTGCATTTCTATAATGATCAGTGATGATGAGCTTTTTTTCTTGTTTGTTGGCAGCATAAATGTCTTCTTTTGAGAAGTACCTGTTCATGTCCTTTGCCCACTTTTTAATAGGTTTTTTTTTTTCTTGTAAATTTAAGTTCCTTGCAGATTCTGGATATTAGCCCTTTGTCAGATGGATAGATTGCAAAAATTTTCTCACATTTTGTAGGTTGCCTGTTTACTCTGATCATAGTTTCTTTTGCTGTGCAGAAGCTCTTTAGTTTAATTAGATCCCATTTGTCAATTTTTGCTTTTGTTGTGATTGCTTTTGACATTTTCATCATGAAATCTTTGCCCATGCCTATGTCCTGAATGGTATTGCCTAGATTTTCTTCTATGAGTTAATTTTTGTATAAGGTATAAAGAAGGGGTCCAGTTTCAATTTTCTGCATATGGCTAGCCAGTTCTCCCAGCATCATTTATTAAATAGGGAATCCTTTCCCCATTGCTTGTTTTTGTCAGGTTTGTTGAAGATCAGATGGTTATAGATATGTGGTCTTATTTCTGAGATCTCTATTCTGTTCCATTGTTCTACATGTCTGTTTTTGTACCACTATCATGCTGTTTTGGTTACTGTAGCCTTGTAGTATAGTTTGAAGTCAGGTAGCGTGATGCCTCCAGCATTGTTCTTTTTGCTTAGGATTGTCTTGGCTATATGAGCTCTTTTATGGTTCCATATGAATTTTAAAGAAGTTTTTTCTAATTCTGTGAAGAATGTTCATGATAGTTTAATGGGAATAGTATTGAATCCATAAATTACTCTGGGCAGTATGACCATTTTCACGATGTTGATTCTTCCTATCCATGAGCATGGAATGTTTTTCCATTTGTTTATGTCCTGTTTGATTTTCTTGAGCAGTGGTTTGTAGTTCTTCTTGAAGAGATCCTTCACTTCCCTTGTTGGCTATATTCCTAGGTATTTTATTCTTTGTAGCCATTGTGAATGGGAGTTCATTAATGATTTAGCTCTCTGCTTGTCTATTGTTGTGTATAGGAATGCTTGTGATTTTTACACATTGATTTTGTATCTTGAGACTTTGTTGAAGTTGCTTGTCAGCTTAAGAAGCTTTTGGGCTGTCTCTCTCCTATTTTCTTTCCTCCTTCCCCCACCTTTCAACTGTACAGCTTTTAGTAAAGTGTTTGAATGGCGTTGATTAATCTCCAGGCTTTGAAATGTTGTGATAACCCAAAGGGAGAGAGAAAAGATGTGCTCCCCTAACCTATGCCATCAGCTGACAAGATATTTCAGAAGGGAGTTCCTGTGCTCTATGGAAATCCATGGGCATGGATTTATGTCATCAGGGTTCTTGTTTCAGGTCCCTTACAATCATGTGACTGGGTTAAGTCACTTAACCCCACTATGCCTCAGTCTCCCTGGTAAAAAAAATGGATGATTCTTCCATGGGACAGTTTGGTGGCATTAAGGAAACAATGGGTAGAAATAGTTTATTTTGCACAAAACATGAAAAAAATTAAATAGTTGTATTTTAAAAATTATTATAACCAGTGATTTCTCTACCCATTGGAAGTCAGAGTACCTGAAAAACAACCATCAACATCTACATTATTTATGCCTTAGCTTTGTGACAAAACTTCATTGGTCTGTCATAAACCTAGGTCCAGATGCTCCTAACTGTAAATGACATAGGATTATTTTCTTCCTCTTTCCAGACTGAGAACTCTTGAACTAGAGCTTGCTTTTCTGCTTTCTCCTAGGTGTTTAGGCCCTGGAAAACAGGATTACCAATTATTCTTTGACTAAAAGAGCAGTGAATACAGTCATTAATTCTGTAAATCACTCCGGAGCACCTACTCTGGGCAAGGCACTAGCATAGCCACTGTGGGGACTAGAGAAACTTGGAGACCCGACCTTGGCCTCCTGGATCTCCGGGAAATCTAATTAGATCCTCAGCCTCCCTCTAGCCTATAGTCTCAGTCTTTATCCTCTACTTTTCTTCACTCTGATACTGAGCTGCTAAGTATTTAATATTAAACTGAACAAAATCTTTAAAGAGTAAAGCAGGTGCCAGAAATTTGACAGCCCTTCCTCAAGTCACCGATGCTCAGTAGGGTTGTTGGGAACTGTGGTCAAGGCCAACTCTCATTTTAGTGCTAAGGGCCCAAATGTGCCAGGGTGGAACCCTTTTGGGGGCAGAGGGCCGAGGAGTGGAGAGAGAGAACTGGTGATAGGTACCTTCCTTGGGTCCAGTAAACACATCATATTTCCGTGAACATTGACACAACAGACTCCAGGGTGAGCCATCCAAAACACACAGCATGAAAGAAGGAAGCTTGGTGGGGGAGATTCGCTGCTCCTGGGTCTTCAGACTGAGAAAGTGTCAGGCTTGATGACAGTGATGAAAATGTGTTTTCTCTCTCCTTCTCTGAGCCTCAGCCCCAGGGCTCCTCTAATTGACTGTGGTGGGCATGGATTACGTGTTCAGGGTGAGGGAGGCCCAGTGAAGTGACTTGGCACTCCTCTGCGACACACATGGAGACTGCCAGGAAGCTGGGAGCTGGGGCACCGCTCGCCTTCCCGTAGGGCTGGCGTAGGACCGACGGGAGCTCCAGCCGGTGCACTCATTCATCAGGCCTTCTTCCAGATTTTTATGTGCTATGACCCGCAAGTTTTGTCGAGTACCACCTCACTGGAAGCCCCGACAGTGGTTTCTGAGGTGAGGGAATAGCACTCAAATTGAGAAAACATTCGGTTTGCCTCAGGCAACTGGATTTAGGGGAGAAAATGCCAATCCCTTTCCCTTTGCCCGGGGATTTTGGACAGCATTTTTCCCTGAGGCCGAAAGGCATGCTTTTCCCCCACCCTGACCAAAGTAGCTGTTTGCTAAATATTTCAGAGGGTGATGATGGTGTTTAAGAGCTGCCACAATTCCAGTGTTTTTGGTTGCAAAACACCCCTGCCCTTTCTGCCAAGTGTAAGGTTACAGTTCAGGAAAAAGGAAAATATAATGAAAACACCAAGTCAGAGACCTTCCCCCAAGGCAGTCCCTTATCATTTCTCTCTGTTGTGTGTGGGGCCCACATTGCGGGTCTTCATTCACACTCCTCCTCACCAACAACTTCATGCTACTTATTTATTTATGTATTTTGAACTCATTTTAGGATTTAAAAACATAGGTTAACCTCAAGGGGACAGAATACACTTATGCAAACTTCACTCATTTCCCTAAAGGTTGCATATTTATCTTGTAACAACAGAAAGAAAAGACTAATTTTTACCCATCTCCCTTTGATTCATAAAGCTAGAGCTTGCCAACATAACAATTGGTCACCCCTTGACTTCTAAGATTTTAAATTCTGACAGTGAAGAGATTGAAAGATGCTGGAAAGATTTAAAAAACATAGAACTGAAGCTCCCAGAGTATTGAGAATGCCTCTTACTTAAAAAGAGAAAGCGCAAAATGGATGAAATGAAAACTCCTGGTACCCAGCTCTGAACTTACAGGCTCAAACCATTCCCCCTCCCTGAGTTTTCCCACTGTGATCAAAACCATAGCAGTAGGAGCCGTGGAAATTTAGAAACAATAGCCATTGCCATTTATATTTAAATAGCTAGGAGAAGACAGTATGTGCAATGGAGCTGAATTAGTCACAAGGGAAGAGTGTTTCTCTCCATAGAAATATAGCTTTCATGACCATTGCTTATGAGCTATGGAATTAAGTGGTGTGTTATATTGAGAAGCAAGATGCTGACATGCTTTTTGATATTTAGCAGATCACCCTATGTCCTCTGCTTGGAGAAATAATGAGAACGCCCTTTCCTTTGCCAGCATTTGCCTCTTTTTTATACTAATCTCAGCTGAATTGAACAATTTCTCTACTCTGTACAAAATAAAGCTCCTCTTTGTATTCACTTGATATACAACTTGAGGGCATCCAATTTTTGCAAATACAGATCTGGGAATATCTGAAATGATTTAGGCACAGATTTGTGGGATTGGTCAAAGAACAAAAACCCATTAAGTGATTAATGCTTTGTTTTAAGGTGAAATTGTCATTCTTGCAGTTATCTAAAACTTCAACAATACTAAGGCCAGAGTGATGTAACATATATTTACTTTAAATGTTGAATAGATTTTATTAATTACCTTGCCTTGGCTTTCGAATTGCTTAGAGGATGATTATTCAAAAGACAAATAAATGTAGAATGAAGTCATGCCACTGTGTTTTTCATGCAGTGATGATTTTGACCCTGGAGTGAAGCTGGGGGGAATTCTTTGTTGTCCCAGTTCAATCTCTGAATTAAGACTGCATTTAATCAAATGGTATGAATTTAACCCCAGGTGGCATTCAGACAGTAGAATTTGTTTTAGGTACTTTAGAATTTGTTTCCTTTTAATACATGAGCAATCGAAATTGTTTGCAAATTTCCTCTTATTGATTAAATGAGATGTCCTAAAGTTTAAAATGTAAGAACCTGAAATACAAGTTAGAAAATGGAAGGTTTGGGGATATAATCTTTCCATTCAACAAGTATTTAATGAGTTCTCATCACTGGCTTTTCCTGTTAATACCCAACCCCCTACTTCATGTTGGGTGCATACACACAGACACCACACACACACACACACACACACACACACACACACACACACACACACACCTTTTTCTCTCTTTTCCCTCTCTCTCTCTTTACATAAACTAAGTTCTTTTTACCCTCTAGAAAGCATCTTGGCATGGCTAGGAATAAGGGAGCTATCCTTTTTTTTCCCCAGAGGACAAATTAAACTTGTCCCAAAGAACAAATTTACTTGAGACAAATATAAAATAAGTGTCTTGCCTTTGAGAGATTTTCAGCAAGTTTTGGGAGCGACATCATCAATGGAAAAATGAGCCTGAAGTCTTTGAAATTATCTTTCCTGCAAGGATAAAGTAAAGCCAAAAAAAAAAATTGTCCTTACAAGTTGTGAAAAAACAGTTGCTTATGGGTATTATTACTAGCAGCCAAGATGGGTAGTCTTAAATTTAAATGTTTAAAATATTAAATACTTTATTCAATATTTATGTTATTATGTTGTAATGTTAATATTTTTATTAAATATTAATATTTAATATCAAAATATTAAAATTCAAATGTTTAATCATATTTAATATTTAAATGTTAAAGAAATATCCCCTAATTTATCAGTTTGGCACCTTTTTTCCACTTAGCTGTAAGAGTTGGTTGACAGTCATTTCTATGCTCTTTGTATTTTCCCCTATGTAAGTACTTTTAAATTCATACTTCTTTTGCTGTGTGCTTTGATTATGGACTTGGCATTGACCATTGAAATGCTGGAGATGTCTTTTATTAGTCTGGGAGAATGCATCACTTAACGTCATAGGTTTCATTGAGTTGATTCAAACCTAGGCCTTTGCAGTTTATGAAACAACTGCTCATATCTATTTCTAGAGTCATATGTTTGTTTATAACTGCTTTATTTATAATTGCCAAAAATTGGAATAAACCAAATTGTTCTTTAATGGGTGGATGGATAAACATACATACAATGAAATTTTTTGTTAACTATTATTTTAAGTTCAGGGGTACTTGTGCAGGATGTGCAGCTTTGTTACGTAGGTAAACGTGTGCCATCCATGTCGGCTCACTGCACAGATCATCCCTTCACCTTGGTATTAAATCCAGCATCCATTCACTGTTCTTCCTGACACTCTCCCGCCCCCCACCCGCCACATATTTCCAGGTTCTTGACCTGTGTTAGCACCTACTTTGTTCTTCCGTGTTTATCCATTTTAATTGTACCCACTGTCTTTTTTGCTTCTGAGATTTTATCTCTTTCCTTCTGAGATTTTGTCTCTTGAGATGGAGCCATTTCCTCCCGTCTTACCAGTAAGACAGGTAAGGTGGAGGAAATGGCTCCATCTCAAAAGATAAAAATATGTACAAGAGTGGGTTTCTTTTTTTTTTAAGACAGAGTCTCACTCTGTGACCCAGGCAGGAGTGCAGTAGCGTGATCTCAGCTCACTGCAACCTCCACCTCCTGGGTTCAAGCAATTCTCCTGCCTCATCCCCCCAAGTAGCTGGGATTACAGGCGCCTCCCACCACGCACGGCTAATTTTTTATATTTTTAGTAGAGATGGGGTTTTGCCATGTTGGCCAGGCTGGTCTCGAGCTCTGACCTCAGATGATCCACCCACCTCAGCCTCCCAAAGTGCCGGGATTACAAGCTTGAGCCACCGCGCCCGGCCAAGAGTGGGTTTCAAGTGGGTGTCAAACAGAGAAGGGGTCAATGAAACATTAAAAACATAGAATTATGTAAAGAAAGATCATATCCTTCATTAATATTTTTACATGTTGTTCATTGCTAGTAATATAATCATCCTTGTGCTACCATCTATCTGTTGTTGAAATACGAAACATTTTGTAACTTGACAGGATTAAGCCTAAATTTTTGGCTCCTTTTTTTCCACTCCCTTCTATTTAAAATTTCCTATTTTTTCTTTTAATAAGGAGAAAATTTAGACATCCCTACCAAGAAATGTATTTACAAGGTAAAAATATCCATTCACCTTACCTATTTCTTGAGGGCATGTTGTCAAGCATCGTCTTTGGTACTAGGGATCTAAAACCTAGTTTCTTTTGCCCCAAGCCAGCCGTGGAAACATGCAATTAAAACACAAGTTACTAAGTACTTTGGGAGCTTGCAATTGTGAAGCACATTGTAAGTGTGACCCTGTTAACAATACAGGTAATTCCATTTTACAAATGAGAGTATAGAATACCAAGAAGTTATGTGATTTGCCCAAGTGGCCAGACTAGTGATTGGTAGTCCTCTACCATGAACTTGAGTAGTATGTTTTCCCAGTTTGTTCTACACTGCCCATCTGTGGCAGAGTCTAGCCTAGCTCTGGGCACAGAGGGAATCATGCTGCTACAGTAGGTGTAAAGATCACACACAGGATGTTTTTAGATGTTTTAATAGCTCCAGAAAGAATTACTTTGTTTTTATAAAACCTAATTTAATGTTAAATTGTTTAGCAAGATTCATCCAACAACTGATATTATTTCTTTTTTCATAGAGTTTCAGAGGCGTTAATACCCAAAATCAAAGGATTAAGTCACTGTGTCTTCTGATTCCTAGTACAATGATCTACATACATCTGATGGTGCACTAAGTTGAATTTTAGGCTTTGTTTGAATGTTTCCCTTTTTTTTTTCTTTTTTTCTGAGATGGAATTTTGCTCTTGTTGCCCAGGCTGGAGTGCAATGGCACAATCTTGGCTCACCGCAACCTCCACCTCCCGGGTTCAAGCGATTCCTCTACCTCAGCCTCCCAAGTAGCTGGGATTGCCCAGCTAATTTTGTATTTTTAGTAGAGACGGGGTTTCTCCATGTTGGTCAGACTGGTCTCGAACTCCTGTCCTCAGGTGATCAGCCCACCTTGGCCTCCCAAAGTGCTGGGATTATCGCGTCCACCCTGGGACACTTTTTATCATAGAGATTATTTTATAATTTATCTGCTGTTTAGATGGCAGCATTGATTGAATCTGTGATTTTTACTCCATAATTTAATTGAAAAGACAGATGTTCATCAAAGCCGTCTAAAAAAAAAACCAGTTCATACTGGCTAGCATCACAAGGGTACTACCTCCAGATCTGGGCAAGAGGGTTTTTGCCTAGGGCCTCATGCTTTAGAGGGCCTTGCTTGATCCCTCTTTCAGCTGAGTTTATCACCATTAGCTGAGAAGTTGGTGGAGTTGTAGGGACAAGTTCAGCTGGAACCTGTATCCCCCTTCTAGATTATATTCCAGGTAATCAGGAGCCCACAGTTAGTCGACCAGATGGCTGGGGTTCTGCTTCCATGATTTGAGTGAGCTTCTTTCTTTGTCTGTCCACTGGAGGGCGAATGCAATACTGGTAGGCCTGAGGGATTGCAATAGGCATCTGTAGCTCATGGATGAACTGTAAACAAAAATACAAAGGTACACAGTTGTTCTAGACGGCTTTTGCATTAGCTGGTCACATTGCCCGTAATATCTTCTTTGAGAAATCTGCACAGATGGTTTCTCATTATTCAAAATTCTATTAAAATATCACATCTTTCAAAGAGGCCTTTCTTGACCACCTTACTTGAAATAATCCCTTCCTCCATAATCACTTTCTACCTCCTTACATTATTTACTTTTTGCATCATTTAACTTTTTCATCAATAACTATGAAAGTCAGTTGGCTGTTTTGTTCACTGCCATCCTGTAGTTTATCCAGAGAGTGCCTCCCACATAGGAGCTACTCAATAAATATTTTTAGCATGAACAAAAGTAAATGAAAGGGTCTTGAGGGTGGAAAGCACATTTTACTGCTTTGATTGGATATAACCATTTCTTTTTCACATTCACATTTCATCTTATCAAAACTGAAGAAAAGAAACAAGCAACAAATAGGAAAATCAAATTTTTAGAAGTAGGTGCATAATAGGGGAATAGCTTAAGGGGAGAACTATGATGTTAATTCTTTGAAAGTGAGTAATGTAATTAGAACAATAACACTATGAGTTTTTCTATAAACAAAATATAGCAAGATTAAGTTGATAACATACATTTCTAAAATTTTGGCTTCCTTAGAGAAAGCCAACCAAATATAAAATTTTACAGCAGAGTCAAGTTTTTTCAGTTTGGCCTATATTTTCTTTGGTAACACTGTTCTGAATGTATATGCAGTGTTTATTTCACAACTTCCCTCTGAATGACCTTTCAAAAATTAATGATTCTTCACATTCATGACCAGATGTTTTCTCTGATGGAAGCATCTGATGTTTGCAGTCATCAAATAAGATTCAAAATGTCTGTTTCAAGCAAATCAAGTAAAACTTCTCCATCACATCAAAAGTAAGGCTTTATTTGGTTCACAAGTAGCTATATGAAATAAACAGAATTTAAACGATCTTAATAATTTTTTTCTTTAAAAAGGTGACAAAATAACAATGCCAATATTTAAAAACTCCTCATTAATGATAAGTTGCTAGATGGAACACAATGTAAAGTATGGAAAATCCTTGTCTAACAAATGCTTTTGCTAAATTCTCTGATTTTTTTTTTTTTCTCACCAGTTAGCTTTGATGTTTTGATCAGAGTTTTTAGAAAATTTCTAGGATCTGTTGCCTTTGGACTTTAGAGCTTCTTGGAGCCACATGTCAGTACTAAAACGTTTTCTTAAGCCCTCGCTTTCCATAGCAAAAACATGTTATGTCCATTACCACCTAACTCATACTTAAAAACAACACCCAAGATGCTCTATTTTGTTTTCAAAGTCAGAGAAGAAAATAGAGGGGAAGTATTTTTATGTTCTTTTCCCTGAATTGGTCGAAGCTAGTTAGTTCAAAAAAGATACAAAATATGGAATACCACCTATTTTATTTCCTGGCAACTGTTTCATTCAAATCATAGAGTAACATATGATTTACTACACTCCTTTATGAATATTAATCTCGTATCTTCACAGAATGACTTAATATCATTGATCAGCTAGAACATTGACCTCACCTGTCTGTTGTTTTTAACGAAATGTTTATTCCTAGTCAAACCACACAATTAGACTCTCTAGATAAAATTTCAAAGCTGGAAGAAAGAGAGTAGAGGACACATTTAGTATGCCTTCCCTCATTTTACAGATAAAAGAGGCCCACAAAGTTTTTTGCAAGATCACATAGGTGACTGGTAGCTAATCTAAGATAATAACCAAGCTCTTTCCAAATCCAACTCCTTTTTATTACTTTACCCAATTTTCTTAATATTTAAGTTGTGTTGGAATATAATATAAAATCATCTAAGGCACTTTTTATGTATTATTTTTTCTCACTAACTGCTTTTTAAAGAAATACATTGTGATTTAGACTTGTAGTCTTTTTTTTAGCAACAGGATCTCACTCCCCTACCCAGGCAGGAGGACAGTGGCGTCATCATGGCTCACTGCAGCCTCAAACTCCTGGGCTCAGGTGATCCTCCCACCTCAGCTGCCTAAGTAGCTGGGACTACAGGATCATGTCCCCACACCTGGCTACTTTTTTAAACATTCTTTTTTTTTGTAAAGATGGAAGTCTTGCTATGTTGTCCAGGCTGGTCTTGAACTCCTGGGCATAAACCATCCTCCTGCCTTGGCCTCCCAAAGTGCTGAGATTATAGGTGTGAGCCATTGGGCCCAGCCTTAGTCATATTTGAAATTGTTTTTTGATTGTATGATAGTGTGTATAGGTAACATATTCCCATGGATCAAAAGTAACAAGATTTAAAAGGGCATGCAGTAGAAGGCATCCCTCTTATCTCTGTATCCAGCCACTAGTTTTCTACCTAGAAAGCAACCAGTTTATCAGGTTTTTTGTGTATAATCACTTTAGAGAGATGCCAAAAATATAGTATCCCTTTAAACCATTTGTAACTTACATTTTTTTTCCATTTTAACTGTATCATGGAGATGATTCTCTGTCAGTACATTAAGACCATTTCATTCTCTTTTATGGTTGTATTGTACTTTACTCCATCATACAGATATGCTTTCATTTATTATATTAATCTCTATTGATATATATTTAGGTTGTTTACAATTTTTAGTTCTTACTGGCAGTGTTTTAGTAAATAACCTCGCACATTCACATGTGTACATAGGTAGGATAAACTCCTAAAAATAGAATTACTTCTTTCGTCCTTTTTAAAGGAATTGTTTAATTATCCTCCATAGAGTTGTACACGTTTCCATTCCCCTCACCATTATGTGAGAATGAACCTTTTCCCATGCCCCCACTAACAGTATGTTATCAACCTTTAGACTGTTTGTATCTGAAAGGTGAAAAGTGATATCTCAGTTTGGTTTCATTTGCTTTTGTCTTAATATGCATGAGGCTAAGTGTATTGTATATGTTTAAGAACCTGATTTACCTTTCCAGAAGTTTCTCTACCCCTATCTTTTGCTGCTTTTCCTGTTGAATTGTTCTCTTACTAATTGTTGAAACTGTCTCTATATTAGGGAGATAGACTTTTGTTATGGTAAGAGCTATACACTTTTGCCCAGTTTGTCTTTTACCTTCCCTGTGGTGCTTTTTTTTTTTTTTTTTGGCCATGTCGTTCACATTATTTTTATGTAGTTAAATTAGTCAAAGTTTCTAAATCATCTTTTTGGTTTGTATTATACTTAGATACAATCTTGCACTCTGAGATTAGTGTTAAACATCTCTCATATTTCTTAAAGTACCTTTACATTTAAATATCTGATTCATTCGTTCTGACCTAAGACATGAGAAATGGCTTCAGCTTTATTTTTTTTCCAGTTGGTTGTTGTTCCAACCAATGTGTTCCAAAACATTTATGAAGTAATTTTTTTCCCTACTGATTTAGAATAATACCATTATCATATACTGTATTCTTACATGTTTTGGGTCAATTTCTTGACTTTCTATGCTATTACATTGGTATATCTGTAGACATTTGCTACTAGTATGTGTTTTAATTATTATAATACTTTTTAATATCTAAAGGGCTGATTCCCTATCACTGCAGGATGCATTTTTAAAGCAACAGCATAATTTGTTTCCCATTTATATTTATGTAATAACTTACATAATTTATATGCATATGGTCACATTTTTTTTCCTCCTATTGCTTGCCCCATGTGTAGTGTCAGAAAGCTGGCAAATTCCAAAATAATGAGATACAAGTTCAGCTGAGATTATGAGGGCAGGCTTCCCATAACTGTCAATTAATGTGTTTTGGATCTTATAAAGGAGGACATCTTTAGACAAAGGTTCTTAAGCAGCAAATGCACAATGTTTACTTGGACCAAGGTCCAAAGGGAGAGAGTACTCTGAGTAGAGGGAGGGAGTGTCCCGGAAATCATGTAGCACATGTATGTTTAAATTAACGAAGGATAGACTGATGATTTCAAAGGTCCTGTAGCTTTTACACCCTGAATTAACTGTAGTTCCTTAATGTATTGGAAATAGAACTTTCAAAAGTTAAGCCAGTGAGGCAAAGCACACAATAATTCCCTTCTCTTAGGCTGACCATAGTTTTATGAAAATGAATTTTTAAGTGTCTTTTCTTTGCATGAGGCTTCTTGGCAAGAAATAAAATCTGTATAATGCATAACCTCTGGCTTTTTCCTTAAAGAGCTCAAGGATAGACATATGGATAATAGCTTAAAAATATAAATATGGTCTTTCCAGTCATAGAAACCTTCCGATCCAAGAGGTACTTTTCCCACTTTCCAAAAAATACAGGGCTATATACACATACCCGTAAGGCACCCAGGCAAAATACATGGTATTTGACACTAAAAAAAACCCACTGAACTTTTCTTAAGTATTGCAGCCCTGTGATCAGACAGAGTGACTTGTCGTCAAATCTAGATGCCAAGTTGCTGTGTCACCTTCTAGCCACTAAGTCCTGTAACTAAGCATTTTTGTTTGGTAAAATTATAGAAGGGATGCTGTTGGGTAAGATATTTTGTTCTATTTTAGTACCTATAGTTCATCTAGGAAAATGGCTGTCACTTGGTTTTCTCACATACTTATTTCATTTGTCTATTTGAATGTATGCATAGGGAGAAATGAATATTTATAGTGTCCTTCTAAGGAACTGTTATCCACTCCCACCCCAGGATAGACTGTCCTGACCTCTAGGAGTCTCTTTAATGAGTCCGCAGTGGGGAAGACATGATACTTTCCGGTTTATGCACACATATAGGTTGGCAGTGTGGAATTTATGAATGCTTCATTAGGAAAGGCCACTGCCAATATAGGATTAGTTTTGAAAAGAGTTGTCTAAGCAGCCTTCTTTTACCAAGCATGCAAATATGAACTAGTTAACTTTATTAGGATAATACTTATAGACAGTAATATAAGGATTACAAGTTGCATAGTCAAAATCATCATAAATAGTCTAAGTAATACAGTGATAGGGCCTGTGTCAGATGTCATTCATGGAGGTAAAGATATTTTTATGAAGTGGAGAATTGTGGAATACTTGTTACATTTCCTTGGTAAAGTGTAAGTCCTTCAAAGGTAAAACCAATTCTTACTCATCTTTGTATTTCTAACACAGTACCTAGCACTTGTTTGTTGAATGAATAAATGAGTGAATGAACCTGATCCCTTAGATTTTTTTGAAATGAAGAGGTTAAATTGTTTCCTGGAAATAGAAAATGTACGTGCAAACCCATCCTTGCTGCTCCACTTTGACTGAGAAGGATGCCTTAGGATCCCTTCTCCAGTAATCTTTTAATTGAGCAGGTGAGAGAGGTCTTAAAATGTTTACTGAATGGCTGGATATGGAATTACAGCAGTGGACCACAAAGCTCCCTTCCTCCCCACTCATTTTTTAATTCCTTTGTGGAGAGGAGGGATAAATGGTAGAACAAAACATTCCAGAGCATTGTGACTAAATGAGCTATCACCAGAAGAAATCAAACAAAGGAGCATTTAGGCACAAATTGAAGAATGCCACCAGGGCTGATTCTGCATTTGAGACATCCCGCTAAAACTGGAACATGCTTATTTTTGTGTTGCCGTAAGGATAATCTGTTTTAAAGAAAGTGTTCCCATACACACCCCTACCACTAGGTTATAAATTCTGCATTAGACTCAAGGTTTCTGGTTACCTTGTTTAAACAAGCTTATAACTAAATATTAAGATGTTTCTCCAATAGAGCATGTTTGAATTTTACAGCTGGCAGGGAGCCTATGGCTTAGGAAATTGAGTGGCTTCTCCAATTTTGTGCCAGAGATAGGGCTAGGGATTTGGTTTTTCTAATTCTCCAAATAGTGTCTTTCCACCGCACGGTGTTGTAGAAAGCCATTAAAAAAAAAAATGATCCTGGAGCGTTTTGATCCCAGAATGTTTTTAAAAATTGATGCATACTCTAAGTCAGTAAGTCAGGAATTATAAACTGTGGCATGTGGAACAAAATCCAGCCTGGTTTTGTATATAAAGTTTTATTGGAACACATTCACACCCATTCATTTACATATCATCTACAGTGCTGCAATGGCAAAATGAGTGATTGCATCAGAGACCACGTGACCTGCAAAGCCTAAAATACGTATTATTTGGACCTTTATAGAAAAAGTTGGCTAGCCCTTAGTATAAAGTAAGGATGAAAAGTTACCTTAAAAATTAACATTACCAATTTGTAATAAATTGGAAGTAAAATAGGATTTCTGAGAAAGCTAAAAGTTAGCTTGTTGTTGAGAGGTATAAATACTCTATATAAAAAACTAAAACACCTGCTTGCATTAAACAAACAAAAAAAAAGCCCTGGGTTTCTAAGGAATCTCTGAGCACTTAGACTCAGAGATTTTAGTAGCCACAGTGAAACTTGTGACTTAAATAGCCTTGACTTACAATGGGAAATGCCTCAGACTGTCATTTATGTTGTAATAACCCTGATGGAACGTGAATACTCACCAAATGTCCTTCTTGACAGGTGGAATGGATCCAACAGCAAGTGGTAAAAAAGCGGACAAAGAGGGATTATGACTTCAGTCGTGCCCAGTCTACCTATTTCAATGATCCCAAGTGGCCCAGCATGTGGTATATGGTAAGCTTGCTAAGGAAGCCTGGCCTAGGGCCATGTCATCCGGTTTTGTGTTGTATGCAGAGAATCTGTTGGTCTTGGGAGGACACAGAAATACTGACCAGGGATTGTTTCCTATTTTAATACCCACCATTTGAGATTGGTTAATGGCCTATGATGCTGTCTGGATTTTCTTTCTAACTTGGCTTGTTGGTTAAAATAAGGAGAAAAAGAAGGGAGTTCCGACTCACAGAAATTCTGTTTGAGAGCTTACTTTGTGCAGTAGCTTTCTAATTTTGGGCCAGAGGATAGAAAAATACGCAAAAGTGCACATACCCTTAGACCTATCAATAATCATGTTACCTCTGATACACATTTACTGTACCTTGAAACTAGTCTAGCTAATGCACACTGGTTCTTGAACATCATTGAAATGACTCTGCTGGTAAGTAATAGGCCCCAAAATTATGTCATCTGATGTGTGCACTCTCACTTTAGGTAATACTTTGTAAAAGTAGACCAGGAAAGGAAATCATGGAAAGTGTTCGATTTGGTAGTTCATGGTTCAAGCAAAAGATTTTTCAGTGAAGGAAACCTACTTAACATGTTGGGAAGAGTAATCCACCAGTTTACTTGGCATGGCCTCCTTTGAAAACATACATCTCTAATCTCTTAGGGATTTTAGGTTCATGATCACTGAGAAATGAATTTGAATATGTTACTTACTCATGAAATCCACATGTCACCAATTTGCTCTATAATGTGTAAATCACCCTTTACTTTCTTCTTTCTTGAAAGTTTTTATTGCTAAATTTTGCCAGTATATTATTCACTATACTACTTTAGTTTTTGTATTCCTGTTCCTGCTTCTTTACAAAATGTCTCCAAACTGAAAGAAGAACATGAATCCATAGCATTCCCATAGCTGCCTCATGCTTTCCTGGCTCCCTGCCTCCCATTCCTTCTGCCTGGAATACGTTCCCTGCCCTTCCCCACCTCCTTGGGTCAGGATCCCCTGTCCTCAGAACCCACACCTGAGGCTGACTGCTCTGGAAGGCCTTTCCTGTGTTCCTATCTTTTGTCATTTTCCCTCCTCTGGTCTCTTGGACCCTCTCCCTGCTGCTCATGGCATCCATCATGGCACTTTACACTGTAGTTATTCATATTGTTTTTTAACCTTCCCCATTGGACTTGTGGGGGGGCGGGTCTCTTGAGGGCAAGCTCTGCATCTTGATCCCTTTTTATATCTCCCCAGAAACCTAACCCAGCACCTTGTAAGGCTAGGAATTTGTGCTTATTTTGAGATGGGTGAATGTGGCTGGTATTTCTCTTAATTTCCCTTTTCTTGGTCTTACCCAGAAATGAAAGGTTATGGAAATATTTTGGATCCCAAACAGAATTTTACACAGAAATTTTCCTCATGTTTAAGGGGAAAAAGGGAGGAATCATAAAGCTAAGTTCAAGGGAAGGCGGATCTAAGCATCCTTAGCCCCAGTAGCCGCAAAGAGTGAACCCCAAGGGAAGGCATTGGAGTGAGCACTGGCAGGAGCTAAGGAGCTTTGTCTGCACTGACAAAATGATAAGAATGTAATGGGATTAAGAGATAGGAGGAAGCAAAGCTGCCTCTACACCCCTGTTTATAAGACCAGGGTGAGAGAGACCCTTTTTGCTTGTTCTCATAGGAAAGAGCCAAATTGCTGTCTATGCATGATCCACTGGACAGTAGAACTATCTAGTAGCTTTCCCTGATCCTTTCATCACCCCAGCAGGGCAGACTGGACTCTAGCAGGAGCCATGACCAGGGCTTTAGCCCTTTGGCTAGCCTGGTGGCTGAAGGTTTCAGTGCCTGCATAGTGAGATCTTGTCACTCTGAAGAACCACTATTATTTCATGTCTTTCCAACATGAGGAGAGACTGAGAGAAGAGCTTTTGATTGGCCATTTAACATGTTTGGTGTTTTTCAACACATATTTGATGATAATATTACAAATACATAACATTTATTGAGCACTTACTATGCACCAGGCAATGTGCTAATACTTTATGAGGTTTTTCTTTTTTCTTTTCTTTTCTTTTTTTTTTTTGACAGAGTCTCGCTCTGTCAGGCTGGAGTACAGTGATGTGGTCTCAGCTCACTGCAGCCTTGACCTCTTGGGCTCAAGCAATCCTCCCATCTCTGCCTCCCAAATAGCTGGGACTATAGGTGCGCACCACCATGCTTGGTTAATTTTTGTAGTTTTTGTAGAAGAAGGGTTTCACCATGTTGCCCAGGCTTGTCTCGACCTCCTGGACTCAAGTGATCCTCCCACGTTAGCCTCCTAAATAGCTGGGACCACAGGTGCATGCCACCGTGCTTGGCTAACTTTTAAACTTTTTGTAGAGACAAGGTCTCACTGTATTGCTGAGCCTGGTCTTGAACTCCTGTGCTCAAATGATCCTCCCACTTGGCCTCCCAAAGTGTTGGGATTACATGTGTGAGCCACTGTGCCTGGCCATGAATATTTTTCTAATGCAGCTGGAACAAATGCATGTGTTAAAATTGGCCTAGTTTTAAAGTGAGAAACCTGTGAGGCTTGCGAAATTTAGTTAACTTACCTAAGATCACCAAGCCTGAAAGTGGTGGAGATGCCAATACAGGCAGGTTGATGCAGAGTCCATGGGATTAGCACAACATCCTGTCTCCACCCTTCTGCTGTTTACGGTGCTGTGAGGAAGCCTCTAATCTATCCAAAGAGAAGTCACTGAAACACTTGGCAGAATGGTGGGTCCCCTGTGGGATAAATAAAGTATCTTGAGGACAACCAAAGTACTTCACAGATTCCTGTTAAATGATTACTTTCCCTTAATAAAAGGGATGGGAAACAGGTTCCATACCTTATGCTTCTCTGTTAGGACAGAACGAGTCAGGACTTTCAGATCTGCAGATCTGGATGCCCATCCCCATTGCTTCACTTAGAATCTCCATGATTGAATCAGTCAAACTCTCCTCAACTGTAACATAAAAGTGTCTAGCTCTTATGTATGAGTGGTATCTTGCTGCATAACAAAACTTAGTTTTTAAAGCAATTATCTCCCAGCCTGGACAACACGATGAAGCCCCATCTGTACCAAAAATACAAAAAATTAGCTGGACGAGGTGGCGTGCTCCTGTGGTCCCAGCTACTTGGGAGGCTGAGGTGGGAAGATGGCTTGAGCCTGGGAGGCAGAGGTTGCAGTGAGCCATGATTGTGCCACTGCACTCCAGCCTGGGTGACAGAATGAGACCCCCTCAAATAAAAAAAAAAAAACAATTATCTCATAGATTCTGAGGGTCAGGAATTCAGACGGGGCCCAGGGATGATGGCTTTCCTCTGTTCTGGGATGTCTGGGGCTTTAGCTAGAAGACTCAAAGGCTTGGTGAGAGCGGGAAGCTAGACTTCAAGGTGGCCCAGTCACAAGGCTGGCACATGGGTTCCTCTCTATGTGGGCCTCACCACAGGGCTGTGTGAATGTCCACTTGACGTGGTGCTGGCTTCCCAAGCAGGTGATCCAAGAGATCGTGTTGGAAGTAGTGATGTCTTTTATGACATCTAACCTCAGAAGTCACAGACCCTTATTTCTGTAGTTTTCTATTGGTCACATGAGTCAACGCTGATTCAATGTAACAGGGAATATGTGTGGGTGGCGTACTAGGAGGTAAGGAGTGTCGGGAGCCATCTTGGAGGCCGGCTACCACAATTAAATGAAATTTTTAATGAGAAGCCTTTAACACAGTGCCTGACACCAGAAAACCCTCAGTCAATCATAATTGTTGTTATTCTCTGACTTCTTAATTGCAATACATAGTAGTTCCTTTTTACCTTTTGTTCAAATGAGTCAAAGAAAGGTGAGATCCCATGCCCAGTGGGCATTCTTGGGAGTATTGTTTGGCAGCACATCACTGACACAGCCCAGGCAAGGTGCTGATACCCTTCTTCCTTTTCCTGAGCCCTGAGCTGCTGCAGTGTTTCTGACCTCCGTAGGGTCCTGCCTCCAGCTCGTTAGCCTGGGCCCATTTCTGTCGTTCAATATTTATCACAGGAGAATGGAGATTAAAGAATGGCATGAAGTGTGCCTGCGTGTCTCTTTTAATTAATTTACAAGCTTTTCCCATGTCGCTCCTCCCCTTGGAAACTGGTGTGCAAAATCATTATGTGTAGCCTTGAGGCTTGGGCAATATATTCAGGGAAGAGTACATTTATGAGAGTTTGTTATGGAGATGATAGCTGTATAATTACTGCTGTGTCCTGACATACTGTGTTGAGATTTCTAGGAGTTGGAGGGTTAATCCTAGAAATTCAGTTCACTTCTTGTTGCATTGACAAGCTTCTTCTGCATCTATTATTTGCTAGACATGATGCTAAGCGCTGAGAGTTTAGAAAAACATGATTTGTGCCTCCTAAGATTAATAAAGCAGGGGAGTAATATGTAAGCATCAAAGAAAACTTGCTGGACAAGCAACTCCCTGCTAAAAGTTTCTCTGGGATCACGTGCATATATCTAGCCTCTGCTCCCTGGACATTGGCCTGTAATTTTTGCTCACAGATTTGTTTCTTCCATTAGAAGCTCCTGCAGAACTGTTAAACAGATCCAAGCTTGGGCCTTCCTTTAGTTTTTGATGTGGAGTGGGGCAAAGGCAGTGGGATTTCATCAGAACTAACGTGTAGTATGTGGTAAATGCTCAATAAATTTTGATTGAATAAATGGATGAGCAAACTCTGTAATAAAAGCAAACCTGTGTCATTTCCATAGTAGAGAACGCTTAGTGTGTGTCAAGCATTTTGCCACACTTTCATGTGTATTATCTTATCGCCAGTGTTCCAGTGAGTTAATAACTACAGTTATAATCTTCATTTTATAGATGAGGAAATGAAAGCAAAGAAAAGTTAAGTCACCAGCCCAAAGTCACACCATTTACCAGGGACTGACCCTGGTGTTCAAACTCAGCCATTTACTTGTAACGTAATTCTACATCATGCTTCATAAAGGACAGGCATTAGAATCACCTGGAGGTCTTCTTAAAACCAGATTTTTGCCTACCCTCCCACCCCTGGCACAGAATCTGGGAATTTGTATTTCTGGCGAGTTTCCAATTGATGCTGATGCTGGGGTCTCAAAACCCCTTTGAGACACCACTTCCCTACCGTATTTAATTAACCAAGGTTATGTGAGCACAGCCTCCCCAGTTATCAGATGGGGAAAGAAAGGCTTTTAAACTTATGGGGCATTTTAAAGCACACTTGGTCAATTTAACTTTTTCTTGATCTTATACCTTCCTCTTGCTGACACTATTTTCTATTTGGAAAGCTGGCAGCTTTAATATGAGAAGATATTTTCACTTTACCTTCGCTGATTGAAAATACCCTTAGCTTATATATTCTTTCAAGCTGCTCCAGAGACAGAGGATATCTGATAGGAAAGGTCGTGAGGATTTGGCCACGTCTTTGGAAACTCAGTGTAATAGAATTGGTTTTAAGGTACCCAGCTGATACAGTGGCCCGTTTTTTCACGACTAAAGAAAACTCAGTTTGACTCTAGAGACAGAGAGGTGAAGTAAGACTCTTCCTTAAGAATCTGGGACTACCAATTGAGAAAGTTTAGGGAGTTAAATATTTTAAAAATTATAAAATGTTTAGAATGTTCAAGACAGCCTAGGCAACATAGCGAGATCCCCTCTCTCTAAAAAAATGTAAAATAAAAAAAAAAATTAGTTAGGCTTGGTGGCATATACCTGTAGTTCCTGCTACTTGGGAGGCTGAGGCAGGAGGATCACTTGAGTCTAGGAGGTCGAGGCTGCAGTGAGCTATGATTGCACCATTATGCTCTGATCTGGGAGACAGAGCAAGACCCCATATCTAAAATCATAAATAAACATTGAAATGGCTGTCCACCTACCCCCAAACTAAGGAATGGAGTATCATCTATATAATTGAAGTCCCTCGTGATCTCTATTTTAGTAGCATCTCTTCATCCTCTACAGAGTCATCACTTGCGCTGAATTCGAAATACATTGAGGGGTTTCTCCCTTGTTGGTGGGAGGCTTCTCTTTGTAGGAGGGCTTATTCAATTTACAATAGATGTATGTTTTTGAAGTCAACATAAAACACATATTCGTACATGGAATTCAACAGTTGGGCTATTGCATAGTCCCAAGATGACAACTTAGAAATGACACTTGGCTGAAAATGTGAGTTTAATAGAAAAGATCTTTTATTCCTTCACTTATGTAAATATTTCATTGCTTAAGGAAATTGATGTTGCATTTATGGTATTTCAAGTTTAACTGTTAGCCAATAATGATTTTGGAGAATCCCGTAGTAAATAACTTTAAATACACACACACACACACATACACACACATACACACACACAATTTTTTTTCTGCCTCACAGAAGGACTCAGAAGTGTTTCTATTTGACTCTCAGACTCTAGTAATTCATATGACTGGTACTCTTGACTCATCATCCTAGTTAGCACAGTAGAACTTTTTGTGATGAATATTGTGTGGCCTATTTAATATGCATTATTTAAAGGCAGACAGTAATAAATGGATTCATTTTTGATGCACTACCTCGGATTTCATGAACGCTCTCTGGGTGGTTTTTCTGAAGGAAAAAAAATTCATATTTGTCGATCAGCAGAGTGAAAATTAGCTGAGTTCGGTTATGCGTGTGGGGCATATCTGCCAAAAGCTATGAACTAGCTAGGATAGTAATTGTGAAAAATGATTTTAAGCCCCATGGCTTTTTCTCAGCCAACTGGATGGTGTTCAGTACTCCAAGAGTTTGAGACATCACTGTCTCTGCGGTTGGCACACATTTTTCTAATGATTTATACTGTCATTTGACTCATAAAATCTGGTGGAGTTTGTGGCATTATTGTCCTGGCAGCTTGGAAATCGACCTTTTAAGACACCCCATTTAGCTGTTTTAATTGAAAATGCAACATGGTAGAAATCTGCAACCATGTGGCACATTCTGAGGCAAGCAGGAGACCTCCTGAGAAAGGACAGATGCCAGTGAGGCAGTAAATAATGGACTGGTAGGAACTAGTAAGAGTTGAGATGTGGTTTTGTTGTACTGGTCCTAGCTCTGTGACCTCTAGAAAGGTATTTACCTCTCTCAACCTTAGTTCATTTGAAAAACTGAGGAATCTAGACTAGATAATTTCTTAAGATCATCCTGTTTGAACATTTAGTTCTACATGGCTAGTTGTACTGAATATTGAGCCTAGAGAGATCACATACCATCAATGGGCCCATGTCTTGATCTCCAGCCAAGAGCTACCCCATGAGATGTATACTGTGCTTTCATGACATTACTAATTCAAAGTCAATATGTACCTTGTTTCAGAGATCCCAAGACCACCTACAAATCTGGTAAATCACTAGGAAGACTTACATGACTCATCATGTAGTCATTCTCATGGCTATGATTTATTTCCTAAAAAGGGTACAAAGCACAATCAGCAGAAAGAAAACGCACATGGGGCGAAGTCTGGAGGAAACCAGGATCAAGCTTCCAAGAGACTTGCTTTAGTAAATCACACAGAAAGCACTTAGTTCCTCTAGCACTGAATTGTGACCACACACGTGAAATGTTATCTACCAGGGAAGCTCATTAGAGACTCAGTGCCCAGTATTAGGAGTCTCATAGGCATCCCTTGCCTACCATATACCAAAATTCCACATCCACAGAAGAAAAGCAGGTGTTCATAATAAACCATATCATTTATATAAATGGTTTAGGTGCAGTGAACAATTCTAATTGGGGAATGGCAGGAACCCTCCCGAAACTCAAGTTCCCAGATGCCAAACAGCCCAACCTTGCACACAGGATTTTCAAAGGCCACCAGTCTCAGGTCTGCTATGTTAACTCCTCTGCACTTTTCCGAACCAAATTCATGATCCTACCCCCCAGATTTACCTGCTTCCACTGTTTCTGCTTTTAGTGAGTAGAGAGAAACCTGGATGTCATCCTTGACTCTACCCTTAAAGCCAATCCACCACCAAGTCAAAGCTACTTTACCTCTTGAGTCAGTTGCCATCTTTCCTTCCCCACCACTACCTTTAGTCTAAGCCATCATCTCTTAACTAGACTACTACAACAGCTAGTTATCCGCCTCCCAACCTCCCAGTTTCTTTCTTTTCTTTCTTTCTTTCTTTTTTTTTTTTTTTTTTTTTTTTTTTTTTTTTTTTTTTTTTGAGATGGAGTCTCACTCTGTCGCCCAGGCTGGAATGCAGTGGCGCGATCTTAGCTCACTGCAACCTCCGCCTCCTGGGTTCATGCAATTCTCCTGCCTCAGCCTCCCGAAGCTGGGACTACAGATGCCTGCCACCATGCCCAGCTACTTTTTTGTATTTTTAGTAGAGACGGGGTGTCACCGTGTTAACCAGGATGGTCTTGATCTCCTGACCTTGCGATCCACCCGCCTCGGCCTCCCAAAGTGCTGGGATTACAGGCGTGAGCCAGTGCGCCCGGCCCCACCTCCCAGTTTTTACTTCTGCACTCTTCCAGTCTGTTCTTCATACAGCAGCCAGAGTGATTATTAAAACCCCCAAGCAACCAACCAAAGAAAACACCTCCCCATTTAGTCATTTCCCTTTGCTTAACACTTCTGAAAAGACTTCCCACTGTTTTAAGAATAAAAACCCAAATGCATACCATTGCCTTGAAGGCCTCACATGATTTGTTCTCTGCTCACCTCTCCAAACATCTTGCAATACTTTCTACTTCGCTTTCTGCTTTCAGCCCATAGGCTTTATTTTTCTTCATAGAACATACCAAATTCCTTCCCTTCACAGATCCTTTAAACATGTTCTCTCTCTGCCTGGATGCTTCTCCCATGTCCCTCTGCTGGGTTAATTCCAATGCTCCCTTGAGATTCCCATAATCTTGAGTAGCCAGGTCCCCCACTCCATTTGCTATATCACCATGCACACCTCTTTTTGTGTACTTAATGCAGTTATAACTTTCCATCTCTGTGTGTGATCATGTGATAACTATCCTTCCCATTAGATACATTCCATGGAGGAAGAAACCATAAAAATCATCATGGAAACCTTAGTGACTCACACAGTTCCTGATATATATATAATAGGCCTTTATAAATGTGTGTTGAATGAATGAATGGATTAATAAAGCATGAATCAGTAAAACATTATTTGTGCTCATGTTTATACTGTACTGTATTTCTAGTTTACATTAACTTCAATAAACTGCCAGTAAAAGAAGAAATAAGTGTTTTATGATTTTTTGGTATGTTTTGGAAGAAGTTGTGTCTTTGTGATTTTATCTGGGAGTGCTTTTTCTGATATCTTGAATTGGGAGTTGTGTTCCTGAGATATTGTTGCGATTTGGTCCTCATATCTGGTGTATTTACAACTGTCCTGCTTGGCTTCTAGTCACAGAGGACTATTTCTTTAACTTAGGTCTGTGGGCTAGATGGAGGTCCAATCTGTTAGTAGTTGCAAATGTTGATGATACTTTTAACAGGATTCATTCATACACACACACACACACACACACACACACACACACACACTCACACCTCTCTGATCTTGTTCTCTTCCCAATGATAATGACTTCACTAGGAAGAAAAAGTCAACAATATTTCATAATATTTCTTTATCATTTGTTTTCTACCCATTTTTCTTTCATTATGGGTAGTAATCATAATTTTCTGTGATAGTTTGTGAAGATCTATTTCTACTATGGCATTTTGAAAAATCTGTCATTTCCTTGATGAGTTTAGACCTGTAAGATTTTCAAATACTGGTCCAAGGCTATTTAGGGAACCAAATATGTGAATGACTGAGCTGGAATAATAGCACCTCCTTAAAAAAATACTTTGTATTCATTAAATCAATAACACAAAATAAAAATTTTCATAATTAATAATTCCAAGAAAAAGCAAACTCGTATCTCAGGTGTGGTCTGTATTTGTTCTACAGCTTAGGGAATCCCAACTGAATTAAAGTTCCTATGAAGAAGACTTTTATTAATGCATTTATTTATTCATTCATTTATATTTAGCAAAGATTTATTTTTTCCAAGAACCTATATTATTCCTGATGCCAAGGATAAAATAGTAAATGCAATGACCATGTTGCCTTCTTTAATGAAGTTTAAGGGGAGCATTTTATGGGTAGGGATTTGGGTAATTTTCATCCTTTTGCCTAATCAGTTGATGCTGGCCTACCAGGACATGGCAGAACTGTAATTGGTACTTGCTAATTAAGTTATGATAATTATGATAACTGCGATTTCATTGTCCCACATGATGGTTGTGATGGAAGTGGCTATATTAAGAATGTCAAATTAACCTGTAAGTAACTAGTCAAAGTGCTTCCAGAAGAGGCTAATAATTAATGATCCACTTAGAAAAATCATTTTGATAACATCTATTTCTGCCAGTGCAAATTATTACAACCTTTTAAGAATTTGCTTGCACAAGATACAACTTATTTCATACAGGTAATTTATCTTCTTAGCTTTGCTTTCAAAGAGTAAAAAATGTGTGAGTAGTCTTGCCCTCTGGGCCCCTCTCTGCCATGATGGTGGTTCTGTTAACAAAGTTTTTTTTTTTTTTTTTATCAAGATCTTAGCTAAGATTTTTCTTTAATTAGTAACTCATTCTCTTTTGGAGAGCAGATAGGATTGACCCTTGACCTATCTTAATCTGTGGTTGTCTTCCTGAACATGTTGATTCAAGTTCTTTTATCAAACAGCTGCTCTGATGCCTCATTGCTCATTTACTTTTCACTCAGTATTGGGATTAGTTGTAGTGATCAGGGCACATTTTTCTGGCTTACTGTAACCTATCTCTCTGCCAATAACTAGGGTTCTTTTAGTAAGTGCTCAATAAATGTCTGTGGATATAAAGTGAGGGGAGAGCCGGTCATTTAGATTTCTTCATTTACAAATTCACAGAACCGAGTTTGGCTACTTCTGAAAGGTGATTTTGCCTTCAGATGTCCTGTGTTGAGATTCAAGTTCTAAAATTATCTGAGACAGAAGCATCTGGAATGCTTCTTTTTCTTAATTTTGGTTAGCAGTGAACTTGGCTAGGAAATTCATGGAGTAAAAGGAATGATTTTTAGCAATCCAGTGATGAAATGAATTGGAAAGAAGACAAATGCCTAAATTGTCTGGGGAGAAAGTATTAACCATCTTCAAATAGAATGCACATGCACATCAATATGATTTTTCCAGTTTCTCCAATGTAAGGAGATCCTTGATAGGCTGCCTCAGCCTAAGGTTGAGATTGTAGACTGGTGGTGGATAGTCCAAAATGCAGATGATTCAAGCCGAAAGAGCTGCTCCACAGCAGATGAAGTGAAATTACAGTGAGACATGCAGAAGAAAACTATTAATTACTGAAACAGGATTTGATTGCTTAATTGCATAAGTCAGAATTGAAATTGGGTTCAGAATGCAGAGGTGTTATTTTTTGATGGTAGATGATATGGACAGTCAAAAATGCATTCACCACTTATTGTTTCCATGATTAAAAAGAGGAAAAACCTGATGAGAAACCTAATTTCTTTCTTTATGCTAAAAAAAAGCCAGTCAGTTTGTCTGGATGGTGTCTATTCAAACATTTGGTACAAGAGTTACAGAATAATCTTAAACGACTATTTGGAAGAAGTCTAGCTTTTGTTCTACTTCTTTTCTCTTTTAGTTTCCTGGTGAGTTGAATTTGACCCTTATAAAAAGCCTACTGGTATAGAAGTTCTGATCCAGACATTCAAAATTAGTGTGTCTGAAGCAAAGTCAAACAAACTATGGTCAGGTAGCACAGAACTGTGTTCTTCTAATAGTCTCGTTGCATGGTGTCCTGAAACTTAGTTAAATTAGTGCCTTTAAAACTTGGTCTTTGGATGTGTTACCTAGTGATAGAGAAATCATTTTTATCTTTTAGAGAACTCATAGAAATTCAACAGTATTCTCAGTCACAGTAAGTCAAGCATAGCAGGCCCACATAATTTTTTTTTTCCAGCTCATTCCTGGTCTGCTGAAATGTTTTAAGTGCTAATTCTGACTTTTCTTTCATTACTGTGCTCTGTGTCCCAGGCCCTTCCACTTAACATTTGTGCATTTACACAAGCACACAAAAACAAACACTGTGCATGTTTTTGCAATTAGTGCTTACTTTGAATCAGGTGGTCTTTAAGAAGATAGTGAAAAAGAACTCACAGACCACTAAATTAGAATGGGTCTAAATCATAATTCAAGCCCTCAGCTCATGCTCAATACCGCTCTAGTAAGTTTTCAAAAACTAGAAATATACTCTACTCAGATGGCTCTTTCTGTAATGGGTGATTCCACTCAAAAACACTTCCTTGTACTTTATCAGAAACGTAACGTCACTTGGTCTAAATTCCAGGTTGGTGATCACATATTTGATCTAGTTTACATGCTTTCACTGTAAATATTATAGAAATCTTTTGGAAAATTTAAAAGCAAAAGTCAGGAGACTAATATATCATGAACATCCACGTCTCCATTACCAACTTCAATAATTACCAACTCAAGGCCAGTATTCTTTCATTTATTGCCCCCTTTACTCTGATTGTCTTAAAACAAATAGCATACCTCATTCATCACCGAATAGCCTAGTATGTATCTGTTTAAGATATGAACTACTTTTCATAAAACCATATTACTATCACATAAAAAATTAATTTGTTTATATTATCAAATATCCAGCCAGTTTTCAAATTTCCCGATCTAAAAATTTTTTCTTTGTCATTTGTTTGAGTCAGGCTCCAAATAAGGCTTATACATTGTGATTGATTAATGATGTGCCTCTTATTTATTTATTTATTTTTTTATTATACTTTAAGTTCTGGGTTACATGTGTAGAACATGCAGGTTTGTTACATAGGTATACATGTGCCATGGTGGTTTGCTGCACCCATCAACCCATCACCTACATTAGGTGTTTCTCTTAATGCTATCCCTCCCCTAGCCCCCCAGCCCCCAACAGGCCTCGGTGTGTGATGTTCCCCTCCCTGTGTCCATGTGTTCTCATTGTTCAATGTGGAGTCGGTCGGGAGACCCTAACCCAGCGGGGCTAGAGGAATTAAAGACACACACACACACAGAAATATAGAGGTGTGAAGTGGGAAATCAGGGGTCTCACAGCCTTCAGAGCTGAGCCCCGAACAGAGATTTACCCACATATTTATTAACAGCAAACCAGTCATTAGCATTGTTTCTATAGATATTAAATTAACTAAAAGTATCCCTTATGGAAAGCGAAGGGATGGGCCGAATTAGAGGAATAGGTTGGGCTAGTTAATTGCAGCAGGAACATGCCCTTAAGGCACAGATCACTCATGCCATTGTTTGTGGCTTAAGAATGCCTTTAAGCGGTTTTCCGCCCTGGGTGGCCCAGGTGTTGCTTGCCCTCATTCCCGTAAATCCACAACCTTCCAGCTTGGGCGTTAGAGCCATTATGAACATGTCACAGTGCTGCAGAGATTTTGTTTATGGCCAGTTTTGGGGCCAGTTTATGGCCAGATTTTGGGGCGCTTGCTCCCAACAGTTCAACTCCCAGACCTAAAACCATAAAATTCCTAGAAGAAAACCTAGGCAATACCATTTAGGACATAGGCATGGGCAAAGACTTCATGGCTAAAACACCAAAAGCAGGGGCAACAAAAGCCAAAATTGACAAACGGGATCTAATTAAACTAAAGAGCTTCTGCACAGCAAAAGAAACTATCATCAGAGTGAACAGGCAACCTACAGAATGGGAGAAAGTTTTTGCAATCTATCCAGCTGACAAAGGGCTAATATTCAGAATCTACAAAGAATTTAGATTTACAAGAAACAAACAAACAACCCCATCAAAAAGTGGGTGAAGGATGATATGTCTCTTACATCTCCTTAATTTTACAGGCTCCTCTCCATTTTTTTCTCCTTTGAAAATTTTTGGTTGAAGAATCTAGGTTATTTCAGGCTTCATGTGATCTGGATTTTGCTGGCTGCAATCTCATGGGGTCATTTTGCAAGTTCTATCCCTGATATTATCAATAAATTGGTAGGTAGTAAGAGCAAAAGGCTCAAATTCAAGTTTAATTTTATTTTTGAGAAGGTGAGGGAAGACTGCTTCCCAGTGACGGTGTGTATTTCCATCTGTAGGTACAAAATGTCTGCTTGTCCCTCCCAGTGATGTTAGCAGCTGCCATCACCTAGATCCTTATAAGTGTTCATTGAGGTTTGCCAGATAATGACACTCATTCTGTTATTTCTTCTTCATTTACTCGCTAGAATATTTTTATAAAGAGAAACTTCTCATCAATCATTTGTTACAGTGAGATACAGTTTCTGTAGGAAAGGCAAAATTAATCCTCAGTTCTTTCATTTTATTTATCAGGGGCTATTTCCCTAGTATTCACTGAAGGGCACCAATGAGATGTTTTCCTATTTTCATTGTAAATTCATTAACTTAAACATAGTTGATGTGTTTTATTTCATTGAAGTCGTAAACCTGTTCATGCTTAAACTGCCCCATCTTTGGCTAGAGAGAGCCTATTCAAGTTGACTTCTAGGTCCTTTAATGTGACCCCAGTATATTCTTTTTCTGGTATAATAAATGCTTCCATTATTATCTTGCATATTTTGTGTTCCAGGCCTGGAATCAACCTTTTCTCTGAGACCCTTTGTTCCTTTTTTTTTTTTAAACTCATATTTAGAGACCACAATATGAGTGTTGTGATTCTGATTGCTGTTGGATTAATATTTAGGAGTTTTCAGTGAGCAGAGTTGAGCAATGTTTTTTACATATAAAATAGCCCATGAATTTATACAGATATTTTCAATTTAAAATCAATTCAGTTTTACTCTCACCAATTTTACATCTGCATCTTTTCCCCATGTTGAAAATTCTGTTCTCAGTGTCACCAATATAATTACTCTTTGATTTTATCTCGCGCTGTGTACAACACTCTCTTAGAATGACAGAACTACCATCAGCACTGTGATAGCTGCCAATAATTTAAATTTTATATAGTTCTTTTTGTCTTTAAAAATGTATCCCACACATGTCATGTGGTCAAGTTATTTGTTCAAAATTAATTGAAATATTTCTCTCTCTCTAAGTATTTTGAAATGACTCTCATGCTGCCCAGAATCTTCTCAAGATGAGCTATCTTTAGTCCTCCAGAAAAAAAATCTTTGTTACATATTACATGATTTCAAGTCTGCTCTACCATCATAGCTTTTTTTTTTTTTTTTTTTTTGCCAACATAGTTTAGTTTATGCTCTCTCTACTGTCGTTGGAAGGTTAGAAAATATTCCAACGATATGCATTACTCTAGCTTGCACAGGCAATAGTAAGTGGAAGGTAGCAAAACCATCTGTTTCAGCAACCTGATGCCCTGGAAATAAATATTCTATCTTGAAGGGATGACATTAACTCTACTAGGTCTTGCACAATAGTGTATAATTATTTCCCCTAATGTGCCTGTTTTAGAAAGGAGTGTGTTAAACTTGCCATTCTTTATTAGTCTGAAAGATGAGGTAAAGCAGGGCTGGAAACATTTCTAATTGTAGAATTTTGTCCAAGAAAATGAAAGATTAAAGAGATCCATAATAATCAAACCTGATTCATTCTGGACAAGTGAAAGGGAATGTGCAGTGAACAAATCATTTAAACTAGTTGTACACACTAATGAGCATTAAATTCGTTCTATCCTCCCAGGACTAAGAACTAGGAGTTACTACAGGCTGCTCAATAAAGGCATTAATTTAATGTGTAACAGAAGGGAAAATGAAGGAAAGAAACAAGACATGTAATTCCCATAGAAGAAAAGTAAATTGGTAATGATTTTATTCATTCAACAACATTTATTGAATTCCTCCTATGTATCAGGTGTAATTCAACCTGCTAGAGATAACAAGTATGAAAAGGTTGTATACCCTGCTCACTAGCAGGACATAGTCAAACTGGGAAATAGCTAGCTTTATGTAATATCTAATAGTATAGTGCAGGCATGCATGAAGTACTGTGAGACCCTTGCAAATATACTCAAGCATTTCAATCTTGTTAGGATCTTTAGTTTGATTACACGGACCTCAAGTTCCTAATGTGAGAACAAACATATGTCATATATCAAAATTATGTGATACAGGAGAGGATTTTTTTGCATGCAAATGAACAAGTTTCACACAATTACTGCAAAAATTGCCTTCCTTGGAAGACCACTTTTAAGGATTCTTAATAGGCATCTCCAAACGAAAATCATACTGATAAGAACAAACGTAAGATTTATTTACTGTGGGAATTCTCATAGACTTTGTTATCCTAATATGCTGTGTGAATTGACAGAAGAGATGTAAATAGGCAGTATTTGTTTCCCTGACCTATTTTTCAGTTTGTCCAGAGGGTACATTTTTACAGCAAAACATTGTGTCCATCGAGATTGGGTTGTAAGTGATCAGAAAATTCAATCCAAACTGGCGGAAGGGAAACAAGTGAAAGAAGGAGGGAATTTATTGGCTTCTTGAACTCTGGCATGCCTCACTTGATCTCAGAGGTAAAGCAGGGCTCCAGGAACTCAGTTCTTTCTGCCACTCAGTGTAGCCCTGATCTCTCCCATTGCTGGATTCTCAAACAAGCCTCCTGCACATCATTGCAAGATAACTGTCAGGAGTCCTCAGTTCAAGTCTAATACGAAAAAAGTGAGAGCCTTTGCCTTGGTATGCCGAGAAAAATTCTCGTGGGTACACACTTTGCTTTCCATCTCTCCTTACCTCTTTCTGCAGTCTGTTCTTGTTTTCTTACTATGGAGCCTTGAGTACCTTGTTGGATGCCTTTGGGACAAAGTGATTTAGAGGGAGAGTAGCATGTAAGAGATAGCAAGAGTCTACAGAGGACTACGAGGCTATGGAAAGAGGTCATCCCTCCCCAGTAGAAATCCTGGAACATGGGCAGGCATCCTTATCACGTGTGTTCAATCGTAAAGGCAGCTCTTGATGAAAAGCCCTCACCTGACAGCTTTCAAGAAGAGACAGCTGGCAGGCTGAGGTGGGAGTATCACTTGAACCTGGGAAGTCGAGGTTTCAGTGAGCTGTGATCATGTGTCTACACTCCAGCCTGGGCAATAGAGCGAGACCCTGTCTCAAAGAAATAAAAATAAAATAGTGTCTGTGATTTTTTTTTCCTTCCAATAGTTTGTTTTAATAAATTTGAAAAATACAAACAAGTTGAAAGAGTAGTATAATGAACACATATTAATACCTTCCATTCACCTGGATTTACCAAAAAGTTAATATTCTTTTCTGTCTCTTTATACACACATGGAATGTTTTCTCTGAACTCTGAAATTAAGTTCCAGACATTGTGAAAATACAGTCCAAAATATTGCAGAATGCATCTCCTAAGAACAACATTCTCCTGTATAACCAAAGTACCACCCTCACTTCTAAGAAAGTTAATGGTGATTTTATCAAAATTACTGTCCATATTCAGTTGTCACAATGATTTTTTTTATAGATCTATCCCTTTTGATTCCAGAACACAGGGTCATACATTGCCATTATTTATTCCATCTCTCTCTCTTTTATTTATTTTTTTAGAGACAAGGTCTCACTCTGTCACCCAGGCTGGAGTACAGTGGTGTGATCACGGCTCACTGCAGCAAAAAACTCCTGGGCTCAGGCAGTCCTCCGGAATAGCTAGAACTGCAGGTGTGCACCACCACAGCTGGCTAATTTTTTTATTTTTATTTTTTGTAGAGCAGGGTTTCGTGTTCCGTAGGTTGGTCTCAAGTTCCTGGCCTCAGGTGATCCTCCTGTTTTGGCCTCTCAAAGTGCTGGGATTATAGGCATGAAACACCGTGTCCAGCTTGTGCCATCTCTTTTAACTATTAATCTAGAAGAGCTCCTCTGCCTTATTGCAGGAATGGGAAACTGAGGAGGGTAGGAAGTGGTCTTTCATGTTGATGATTTTGATGAGGCCAGGCTTATGGTTTGTAAAACAAGTCTCACTTTGGATTTCTTTGATGTTTTTTTTTTCAGGAGTAGATGAGGAGTTAAATATTTTTAGCATAAAATCTACCTAGGGTAAGACTGCATCCTTTTCACGGCTTCCTGTCAGGTGGTATAATGTCAGAAGTCCCATTTTTTGGTGATGTTAACTTTGTTCACTTGGTGGATTGAGATGATATCTGCTAGATTTCTCTATTGTAAAGATATGGTTTGTCTTTGTAATTAACAGGATATCTGAGGGATGATATTTTGTAGCACGTGCATATCCTATTCCCTGTCAATTTTTCCCCAAGATTTTAGCATTTATTGATGACTTCTACCTAAATAAATCATTACATCAGTGCTTGCGAGGTGTTGGTTTTCTAATTCTGGAATACCTTCTTTACTCTGCTGTTTTTTAAAAATATCATTATTAACTCATGGATTCTATTCAAGAGTGATGATTCATTACTGACATTACTGACTTTCTTTTTTGGTTCTGAAATTGGCCCTAGTTTGATGAGTGGGAGACCTTTCAAGTTGACTCCTGTGTCCTTTTCAGAAGTTCCCATCAGTTTTTCAGTACTTCTTCCTTTACAGCACAACAGAATGTTCACCTTGTGTCTTCTCTGCTCCAGACCTACAAATAGCCATTTCTCAAATAGGTGGTTTCTCTTGTTTAGGAGTGGTGTTTAAAAATCAAGATATCGGTGAGAAGGGTGTCATTGGTTCTTATGTCCTTTTTCAGCAGACAGAGCTAAGAAGATATATCTGGAGGTTATAGTGGTACCTCCAAATGCAATTCCATACCACAGGTTCTTCCTCTTCCTGACACATTTCAGATTTCTTTCCCTTCCTTTCACAGTGAGAATCATAGTTATTAACCATATCCATACATTTACTACAGTACATGCAAAATACTGTTGGAATTACCAAACCACTGCTACTACCAACCACAAACTTATGTACAATTTAAGATTTCTCTTTGTCCTTAGAGTATATTCCCTGAGGCAATAGAGTCAGACTCTTTGGTTCCAAAGTTGCTTGAACAAATTTTTTTCTCTATGATTATGTCATTAATTTGATAATACAGTTAGGTTAATTTTCTTCTGTTTTGTTCAGTTTTAGAGCTCTCGCTCATCTTTATATATTTAATTGTATTATTTACTTAATTTTATGTTAAAATATATAAAACATATGGTTCAAAGTAAAATACGTAGAATACTATATACACACTTTTTTACGTTTTGCTTTTATCACTTAATCTGTTCTTGGAAATCACTATATATTAGTTCATAGAGATCTTTATTCTTTTTTGCAGTGGTGTTCTGGTAGAGTTACCGTAATTTATTTAACTAACTACCAATGAGTGTGCAGGTAGGTTGTTTCCATATGTTTCTACAAATAACTCCAAACTGAATGACCTTGTACACATACTTTGTGGTTGTTTTTGTAGGTGTATTTTCAGGATAAGTTCCTGGCAGTAGATTGCTCATTCCAAAGGTAGAAGGGAATATAGCATTATTAGATATTGCTAAATCTCCCTCATTAAGGGCTAGGATAGTTTACATTCTCATCAACCATGTTTGGGTGCCTTCTTCCCCTCACCTGGCTCTGTTGTCAGTTTTTGAAATTTTTCTTTTTAAGAGACGGGGTCTTGCTTTGTCACTCAGGCTGGAGTGCAGTGGCACAATCGTAGCTCACTGCTGCCTCAGATTCCTGGGCTCAAGTGATCCTCCCACCTCAGCCTCCAAGTGACTGAGACTACAGCCTCCCAAGGGGCTAGGAGCACACCACCACGCCCTTTTTTTTTTTTTTAATTTTTTTCTAGAGATCAAGTCTCACCATCTTTCCAAGGCTAATTTTGGCTTGTTTGATGGGTGAGAAATGGCATCTCTGTGTGTTTTATCTGATATCAGAATCACAACCCTGCTTTGCCCCAACTCTTTATTCTTAGGCATTTGAATTACTCTATTTTAGGTGTTAGATTTTGCTTTGTGAGACAATTTTAATGTATTTTTATTTAATAAGATTTTTAAGCTCATTTACATTTATAAATATGACCAATAAATTTCATCTCATCTGTCATATTATTTTAGATTTTATGTATATATAGTTTATATTTTGTTATTGTGTTTTGTATGTGGCCCATTCCTTGTTCTTTTGAAATAATTTATTTTGGCTATGGGGAAGGTTGTATTATTATTTTAATGATTATTAAATGTAACCTTTATATGCCCTTCATTCCTTTTTCCTTCACTTGATCTATATTTGGTTTGTCAGCTTTAAATCAGATCCGTTGAGTCTACCTATGGAACAATTCATTAGCTTATCCTGTTTTACCGTTTCTGTCTCTTTTCTCCTTCTATTTTAAGTTCATTATTTCTATTTTTCAGAACACGTTTCCTTATTCTTCTTCCACCCTGGTTCCCTCCTTTGCTTTTATCTTAGATTTGCAAATAAATATGTTTCATCCACCATCAGTTCTTTTGCGAGTCATATCTTGGTTGGACAAAACACATCGGCTAGATTACCTAGAAAGGGCTTGTAAGTGCAGTATACCCTGGGTTCTTAATTGTATAAAATGTTTTCTAGAGGCTTGATATTTGAAGGATAGCTTCACTGATAGTTTTTTCCCCTGCAGGTAACCCTTTATTTATGTATTTTTTGGTGTGGAGGTCCAGGAGACTTTTTTTCTTGAAGTGTAATGTTAAAGATTAGACACAGGTACAAGCATATTAGGTCTTATTTGCCAGTTTTCTTTATTAGTTACTTTTTCTTGAATACTTTTGACCTCTATGTTGCTTTTTTGTTCTCTTTCCCATATTTATGCCTTTCTTCAATGCTCCTGATTATATTTTCAGTTGAATCACTTCTCTCTCAGACACCTTGTAATTAGTTTTTATTTCTAATATAATTTAGCGTTCAGTTTATTTCCAGGGTTTAATCAACTCTGGTTTTACATCTTGTTTTTGTTCTGTCCATATATTTTAAAAATATTTCTTTGAGCTGTATTTCCATATCTTCAGATTCTATTTCAGTGTGTTTCACTTAGGTTCAGATGTGTTTCATTTGTGTGCTGTTGCAAATTTTTTAGTAGAATTTTAATCAACTGCAATATTTTGATTCTCTTTTTATACTTTGTTGTTACAGAACATTGGGTAGATATTTGTCTACTAGTCTCCATTCATTTTGAGATGTTTTATTTTCTTAGATCATTAGTAGCAATTGTGTGTAGAAAGAGGTGGGAATTTGAATGACTTATTAAGTCTCCTAGTTCAAAAGAACAATAATATTTTGATACAGTAAGAATTATTTGATTTTATCAATGCATTTGGAGGGTGTGAGAGGAGGGTAGATGGCCTTCTGATTTAGTGATTCTCCGTTGCTTTAATATGACTTCTGCTTTTCATCACTTTCGTTTTTTGAGACAGGGTCTCACTCTGTTGCCCAGGCTGGAGTGCAGTGGCGTGATTATGGCTCACTGCAGCTTTGACCTCCTGGGTTCAAGTGATTCTCCCACCTCAGCTTCCTGAGTAGCTGGGACCACAGGCGCCTGTCACCATGCCCGGCTAATTTTGTGTGTGTGTGTGTGTGTGTGTGTGTGTGTGTGTGTGTGTGTGTATTTTTTGTAGCCACAAAAAAATACAACATGGTTTAGCCATGTTGCCCAGGCTAGTCTCAAACTCCTGAGATAAAGTGATTTTCTTCACTTTCATATCTCTTTCTCCATCAAGTCTTCAACGGGTTCCCCTTCTAATTTGCTCCTTCACTCCCAGAACTGGTGCCTTTCTATAATTTCCATCTCTGCTCCTTTGCACTCTGAGCTCCGTGCAGGTCTCAGATCTGTTCACCTTATTTCCCTACTGAGGAGGGGCTTTCTCTGTGTAAGATTATTCTATTTGTGTCTCACCATTACTGGGCTTCTGCTTCCTTTTACTTTTCTGCTGTCTCTATCTGACTTTCTGCTCTTGTGATCTCAAGAGCGGGTTCTGCTGGATTTGAGTATTTTTCTCCTGCTTATGTGTAATTTGAGGTTTGTTGTGTTCCTTTTTTCCTACTTATGATATAAATCTGTGTTTAAAAATTTCATAGTTTCTCTTTGTTTTATCTTTATGTTGTTTTATAGGATGCATGGGGAGATTAAGATTTAGATGGCTTTCATTATCCTATTGAAACCAGGATTAGATTCTTTAGATCCTATTCTGGGTAGGAAGCAAATAGAACACTGCATATTTCCTTCTTTTTGCCTTTTTTTTTTTGAGATGGAGTCTCGCTCTGTCACCCAGGCTGGAGTGCAGTGGCGCAATCTTGGCTCACCACAACCTCTGCCTCCCAGGTTCAAGTGATTCTTCTGCCTCAGCCTCTTGAGTAGCTGAGATTACAAGCGTGAGCCGCCACACCCAGCTAATTTTTGTATTTTTAGTAGAGACAGGGTTTCACTGTGTTGGCCAGGATGGTCTCGATCTCCTGACCTCGTGATCCACCTGCCTCAGCCTCCCAAAGTGCTGGGATTACAGGCATGAGCTTTGCATTCTTACCATAGGCATCTTAATTCTTCCTTAAGAAAGAAAGATGCAGTTAATTAAAGTTGGAGATGTCATAGGACAAATTAGTATTATGCTGTAAAGTTACCCACCCTTAGACTGGTGGCACCAAGGGTTGGCAGATTTAGAAAGTGAAAATAGATGTTAATTTGAATTTCAGATAAGCAATGAATAACTTTTTAGTATAAGTATGTCACATCCAATATATGGGATCTACTTATACTAAAAAAGTGTTTCTTGTTTATCTGAAATTCAAATTTAACTGGAGCTCTTGTATTTTATCTAGCAGCTCTACTTTAGGGAAAGAAATGTTTGTTACTATTTTTCATAGTCCGTGTGGTACCTAGAATGATACCTGGGATGGTGCTGAGCAAAAAGCATGCGCAAAATATTTGTTGAATTAAAGATGCAAATTTAATTTTATAACAAACGTAGTGATCATAACATATTATTTCCTAATGAAATGTGAGGATAACAAAAAAAAGGTTCAATTCTATTCAATCTCAATTTCAGTTGGACTAAAACTTTTTTTTTCAAGTTAAATGAATTGATGTTCTACTTAATGGTTTTCTCTTCATGTTTGATTTTTCAAGTAACCTTTAAAAATCCTACTACCCACTTTGGGAGGCCGAGGTGGGTGGATCACGAGGTCAGGAGATCGAGACCAGCCTGGCCAACATGGTGAAACCCTGGCTCTACTAAAAATACAAAAATTAGCCAGGCATGGTGGCGGGTGCCTGTAGTCCCAGCTACTCGGGAGGCTGAGGCAGGAGAATCACTTGAACCCGGGAGGCGGAGGTTGCAGTGAGCCGAGATCACACCACTGCACTCCAGCCTGGCGACAGAGCGAGACTCCGTCTCAAGGAAAAAAAAAAAAACAAAAAAGAAAAATCCTATTACCTTAAACTGTCACAAGGTGGAGTGTATATATATATTTATATATGAGAGATCATATATAGCTAGATAAGTGCAGTGAAAGCTAGATTGATAGATACATGGAGCAATCACAAAAGCTAAGGAATAACCGTATTCAGACTTTTTTCTACCCTACAATCATACTTCATTATTACCTGCTTTATATCCCTAGGTTTATGTTTATGTAGCTCTGGTGGAGATTACCTAACCTCAGAGAAGGCAAACTGTCTCCTCGTCCTAGGGAATAAATCATGAATGGTCCAAGCCAGTCACGGGATGCATGTGCGCTGCACCAGGCCTGAAGAAAGAGGTATACCAGTGACCCAGTTTTAGCCAAATAACAACTACCGATGAAGTTGATACTGAGGGATTTCTTTCTCTTAGGAGAGAAAGCCTTTTGTGATGTCTTTCTTTCTACTTGGGATACTGATGAGGGATATCATACAAGGAGCTGTGGCAGTTATCTTGAAATCAGGAGGCACTTTCAGAGGACAAAGGGCCAACAGCTAAGTCTGGTGGCTGAGAAAATAGTCTGGTTCCGTAATGATGTAATTAACTTGGAACCACCAACTTTCAGATTAACTGGATGATAATTAAATGCTTTTTCTGATGATGGTTAATTGGGGCTTTTTTTCCTTGCAGCTAAAAACATTCCAAACTATTAATGGTACAAACTTCTCACTAGAAAGTAACTTCAGGAATTTATAGGTTAAACACATCCTTTTAAAGGAAGTTCTGTTTTTTGTTTGTCTTAGTTAGAATCTTTGGAGGACTGTGATCTATCACTTTACTGTTCACTATGCCCTTTCTTCCCTTTTAATGAAAAATAAGGTGTTGGAGAATAAAGTGGAAAGGGCTGCATTTTTCTGCTGTGTTGACTGAGCAGCTTTTTGGATCTCTGTAACTCCAATTTAACATCTTTCAACATCTTTCTCCACTTTTTCCACTTTGGAAAGCTCTGTTCTAAATAATCAGTGAAAACATACCACTGTCAGACATGAGGATGTTTTGGACTTTGATTGTCTGTAAGGTGTTTATGTTAGTTACCCATGAAGAGCTTACTAATTAGATAGAAAAGACAACATGCTTGGAAAACTATGTTCTAAAATATGTATGTGGGCTGCTGAATGTGGCTGTGGAAAGCTGCTACCCTAGTGTTGAATTTAATTGTGTTAACGTTATTCCTTTCATTAATGAATGGAAAAAATGTGGTTTAGGTTACAGGAACAGTATTCCAGTTTACCTTGAATATGCCACTCTAAGAGTTTAGGAGTTACTATAAAGTTCAGTGTCCTTGCTCTATACATGAAGATGTGTCACTGTGTTTGGATAGTGACTTTTCTGGAATTATTATTTTTCTCTAACAAGAAATTCTGTTGGATGCTATTAAAGCAAGTTGCTTGGTTAGATTCTTGAAAGGATTCGACATTTTTTATTAATAAGAAAAACATTTGCAGTTACGCTTGCTAGTGGAGGATAAAAATAAGTTTGTTTTCTTGCTCATTATACTCCAGGGTCTGGAGAGAATCTCACCAGGTCGAAGAGGCAATCTTCTCTGTAGGTTCCTTTATTGAGTGGCCAATCAAATGCATTATGGGATCCTTCATCTTTTCTGAAGCCTCTGCTACTTGCCACTGTGCAAGAAGCCCTGGACATATTATTGGCCTGTCCAAGCAAAATGTTTCATCTTCCTTGCAAGCAACTTTGTAGATTTTATACTAGTTTGCATCTTCAAGTGGACAATAAAAGCAAAGATGTCAGGTAGATTTGGACAATTATTTTTATTCAGCCTAAAAGGAATGATATTAAAGTGGTCTTTTTAGTAGCTATCAGAATTGATTTTGCTGATTGTCAGAAGTGAGATGGTTTTTCCTTTACCTTGTAAGTAGATTTATTTTTCTGTGGCTATATCATAGCAATAGCAAATTATCATGCTCTTTAAACATCACACATACTACAGTGTGGATTGTTTTTGTCATAAGTAATTTTTTTGTTTCCAAATTTTTATTTGAAATGTGGAAATGTGTTTTGTTTTGTTTTTAAATTTTAAATGACAATAGGTTGGGAACCTCAATTTTGCTCTGATTTGCCCTTCCATGGCCAGAGTTTATTGCCTGATGCCTATAAAAGCCTCTTTCCAAAATGAAGTTTCAGTGTTTATTGAATAAATGTCAGCTCAGTAACAGAAAAACTGTAAAGAACTCAGGGTATAAATTTAATAACACATTTCCCTTAATGTCATGCAAGGTCTTTTTTTTATTTCCTTCATAACTATTACCATGATCTCTAATTATAGTTTGTCTTATTTGCCTACTTGTTTAGTATCCATCTGCCCAAATTTGAATATCACCTTTATGAAGACTAGATCATGTGTTTTCTCATTCCCAGATGTAGACTTAGTATCTAAAAGGCATTGAATAAGCACGGTTGGAAATTTTAAAAAATAAACACACACACAAGCAAATGAATACATGTTTCGACAGTTTACAGATGTAGTATAACTGTAATGTAACTGCCATTGCTTCTAGCTATTACGGGGTAAACCATTATGCAATAGATATATGTCCTTCAGAAGGACTTTCAGATAACTCAACTATGACAAACACACATTAATAACTAAATCGTACACATCAGATTGAAAATTCTCTTAGTGTTCACATGAATGAAAAAGCCATATTAACTTCCATGTCAGTCAAGCCTTCAAATGGCTTTATCCCCAGTGGACATCTGACTGCAAAGTATGGGAGGCCCCAAGTGAAAACCACACAGCTGATCCTACTCAACCGTAGGACTGTAAGTGGTAATAATAAATTATTGTTTCTGGCTATTATGTTTTGGGATAGTTGGCTTGTGCAATATGGGAAAAACAAAAATTTGGCAATATAAACTTCAACTATTGATACTAAGTTATTCTCCTTTTCTAAGCAGCGCACCTTTATTTGAGGTCATTATGTGTATTAGACATACTCTTTGATTATATAAAAGCATAACGATGAGTTATACCTGAAGAAGTCATGTTACTAGGAAAAAGAAAAGATTTGTGAGGGTCACAGTGGGCTAGTGTGTTGGCAAGAAAGCAAAGTTGAATTCAGATTTTGTCTCCAACTACTTATGGTCCATGTGGGTCTTAAGAAACCCTACCTCTTCTGATATGGTTGCTTGATTTTATATTACTCCCTGTTTTCTGAGCTTCCATACCACAATTGCTTCAGATTTCTTATAGAAATAAATGTATTTTGGGTAATAACTTATTACAGGGCATGGCAAAAATCCTTTAGAACTGTTAGAATATTCAAAAAGTTGAGCCAGTAATCTCGTAGATCTAGAGAGAAGCAAAGCCAAAAAAATCTGGAAAGACCCATTTGAAATTCTGCATCCCCTTTATTTTTAGATATAATGTCAATACACTAATAAGTCTTTTTTGTCCTTTGAGGTATCCATCTTAGTGCCTTAATTTGAGACAGTAATTAGGGGACCACTGTTAATGTTTGATACCAAAAGTCTGCTGCTCTCTGTTGAGTTTAAACAGGTTAAACTTGTATTTTGCTAGGAAATATCAAGTGATTCTTGTTCTTGGAGGGGCCAAGACTATTTAATGATCATGTGTCCATCACTTGAATGTGCACAGCTTCATTGTTTTGTGCATTTATTTGATCCTCTCTTCCTCTTCCATCCCTCTGTGTCCTCTTCTTTTCATATACATGCCACCTGTGTGACTTGGCTTTGAAAATATCCCTTGAAAGCATCTTATCTATGGGAGTTTCAGGGGTTGACTTAAGGAAGCTGAAGCGGCTTTTACTGTTCAGAAGTTCTGCAGAGTCCTGGAAAGAGATGTAGCCTTCAGTAAAAATTTGTGAGAACTTGAAATGTGATAGGACTTGGAGAGTAAATTATGTATTGCTTTTCTATTTATTTGTCTTTCTTTCCGTCTGTTAATTCGTCCATTCACCCATTCATTGAAAAGATAATGATTATGTTGTCAAAAGCTGATTGCAGAATGAATGAAGGTTTGGGAAGATATTGTATCAATATAACCTTGTGCTGCTTGATTTGTTCAACTGAAAAACGGATTGGTTTCTCACCTAAAAAATAGCTGCCATTGTATTTCATGAGATTATTGTCATTTTTGAAGCAATATAAATGAAGAAAGATGACATATTAAAAGTTGTTTTTCAGTAATTTCAAATGATGTTTAAATTCCCTCTCCTTGACCCTGTATGTCTCCAACATTAGAAAAAAAATTATTTCCCATAATTTTTTCTCAACTTTTTTTTTTTTTGACTTTGAAGAAAAAAGGAAGTGGGAACTGAAGTCCGTTGGTTGTGCTTATCCAAGCCACACCACATTCTACTCATTTTTTAAAAAGGAAAAAGTACTCCTCCTGAGACCTCAGTGAATAGAGAGGAGGCAGAGGTTTCTCAGCAGATTTATGCTCAGAGGGGACCGAGAGGGTGAAGAGTTCTATGCAAGCAGAATTTTGCAAATAATAGAAACAAAAAAATTACATTTTAGAAAAGAATGAGAGGTGCTTACTGCTCATGTTCCCATAATTATTAAATACTGCAGCTCAGTTGCTTCTAAAATTTATTTTTATGAGCTCCGGCATAGGAATTGTTTCTTGGCATATAAGCACTTAAGGAAAACATTTTAGTTGAGATCATCCATAAGCAAACACGATTAACTAATGTACTAATTGCACAGTTTGTGTGAGAGGGTAATGTGTTAAGAAATATTTGATTTTTGATTCATAGCCAGGAAGAAAGTCATTTGGCAAAACTGAATTTCTTCTCAACTTAGGTAGAATTGCTGCATGACCTCAAAAGGGAAACAATATTCAAGTTCAGCTATATACCAAAACCAGAGGAGAGTTGAACAGTATTTGCTTCTGTCATGCCTTGTGTTATTCCAAACAAACTTCTGCATCCCTGAGCTCCTCCTGACAGCAGAAATTTCCCACCGGACCTATAAGCCCACCTGTCGCTATGTTACCGCCCTTCTGACTTCTTCTGCCAGGAGGATTGAACTTTGGTTAGTGGCATATTAGAATAATCAACAACCCCATATGAATGTCTTCTCTTCTCATAGAATTCCCTGTGAAGGCTTCATTCCCTGCACATTCCCTATGCTCTTTCTTAGACCTTTACATTGGCAATGCCCCATCATGAGTCAATGTGCAGAAGATGAAGATTTCTAGATCTTATTTATACCTTCATTACCTGTATTATATATATTACCTGTATTGTATTATCTGTATTATATATATATCTGGAGAAAGAGAGAGAAAGAGAGGGAGAGGGAGAGACAGAGATTTATCATGAAGGATTGGTTCATGTGATAATGGGGGCTGAGAAGTCCTGTGATCTGATATCTGCAAGATGGAAGCCTAGGAAAGCCAGTAGTTCTAGTCCAAGCCCAGAAGGCTGGAGAACCAGGAGAGCCAAGGGTGTAAGTCCCAGTCTGAATCTGAAGACAGGAGAAACAGGAGCAACAGTGCCCAAGGGCAGGAGAAGATGGATGTCTCAGCTCTACCAGAGAAAGCAAATTCACTCTTCCTCTGACTTTTTGTTGTATTCCGCCCCTCAACAGATCAGATGATGCCCACCCACATTGTGTGGACAGTTTTCTTTTACTAGCTCCATCTATCCAAACGCTAATCCCTTCTGGAAGCACGTGCACAGACATATCCAGAAATACTATTTACCAGCTCTCTGGGCATTCCTTAACCCAGTCAAGTAACACAGAAAATTAACCATCACACCGTCTCAAGAAATATTGATTTATGAATGATTATTTTTATTATGAACTTTAAAGATTATAAAGATATAATAATCATACAGCACAAGTGGCTTGTAATTTCATTAGGCAGATAAAACACATATATAACCAAAGATGACCAATATGAAGAGTGGTGGATGGGTGAGCAGAAAAACACTGGGTTTTCATTGAAAAGAATGTTCAGTGGAATGCCCAGGGATCTTAATTTGCTTTAGAATCATATACTGGACAACTTTAGGTGTTCTTATTGCCTTTCTTCCCCAGTTATACAGCCAACTCTCAGAGAAGTGGCTTCAACTTGATGCACGGATTTTCTCCTGCCCATCTGGTTTGGCCAACTTCCCTTAGATTGATAACCTTAAACATTAGTGAGCTTTTTGTGGTTTTAGCAAACCACACCTTCCTCACCTCTCCAGCCTCAACTCTTCCCATTTTTCTCATCTCCCACCTCACCTTTTGTAACTTGTATTCTCCAGCTATACTGTCTTAAGTTCCTTTAACACTCCAGTCTCTATGATTATTTGACACTTTTACCAAGATGGAACATATCTTCTTCATCCCTGACTCGCCCTTTGGCTAGTCAGCTTGTATTAGGGGCTCAGTTTAAATGTTATTTTCTCAAGAAAGTTCTCTTAGCCTTCCTACACTTCCCCCTGACTGGGTTCCATGTTCCCACAGTATCCTGACAAACTGTGTTAATGATACCTAACATGTAGTGCCAGAGGGCAAGTGGGGGATGGAGAGGATATGTTACATCTTGGTAAAGGTATGGACCAACCATAGTGGGCTGTTTCCAGTGGTACACTGGATCCACTTTCTGTAACTCATGAACAATTTTTTGCAATTGCTTGTCTGTTGCATGGACTAGAGTTCAAGGACCTAACAATAGGGACAGTGTCATGGCCAGTATGGTGATTGGAATGTAGTAAGTGAGAAGGAGAAGTGACAATAGAGATGGAGGCAATGGTTTCAGACCTAGATTTCTGAAGCCTGAATCAGTTCTTTGAACTGAGGTACTTGAGATTGGTGTGAACCCTGGCAGCTCCAGAGAGTTATACATATAAAAGATAAGCTTGTTCTTGGTGCCTCAGAAATGCCCGCTAAGTTTTAGAAGCATAAAACATGGTTTAGCACCAAGGCTAGGTAATATAGTGGAAACCAGTTCTCCATACACTAATATGAGACTTGTAAAGATTCCTTAAAGGTGACACAAGATGTGTTTCTTGGTTTATTGGTTTTTATTTTGTTAAATGGTTTTAAGACTGAAAGTTTCTAATGCACGATGGGTCAGGTTTGGAAAGATTCAAAGAGGGTCACAAAATGTACAAATGAGAAACACCATCCACTTAACTAAACCTAAAGACCATCCAGTTATACTTTGACTTCTATGCTTTGATTTCTTAACCCTCAATTATGAGTAGAATTTTGGAACAGGATTTATTCTGCTTTCCTCTCTATAAGCATATCTTGTAGATCACAGCCTTCTTCTCCCAACCTCCACTATTTTCTGATGTTCCCTTGGCATTATGTCTGGCACTCTTAACATTTCTAACTGAGAAATGATCTTATGTCAAGACTGTATCATAGTAGATGGGGACCATGGTTCTAGCAGAGTTGGAATAGTGGTATAAATGTGTGGAGTAAAAAGGATGATTCATAGGATACCAAAAACGTTTGGCCAGTGTGCCAAAAGGACGTTGCATGCTGTTTCCTCCTTGTGCACCCCCTCCCCAGGCTCCATTTCCCAGTTCCAGCCCACGACCTCAAATGTAAAAAATAATTCAGGTCATCCAGCTAACCTTACAAATGATCAATTGCCCTTTCAACTTTGCCAATCTATCTCTCCAGACAATGAAGAAAATCATCCTCTCCTTATTTTATGATAATCAATCTCCTTTTTTAAAAAAACTAAAATTTTCTTCCCTAAATTATAAGAAGGCTTTGCCCCTATATAGGTGCTGCCATCAACAGTAGCATGATCATAACAGCAACCAATTGTTATGTACTTTATCTTCTTTCATCTTTATAGCAATTATCTGTGTTCAAACTACAGATGAGGTTTTAAGAATTTGGTGACTTGACACTCAAGTCATACAGCTGGAAAGTAGCAGAGGTAGAATTCAAATTCTCCTCTGCCCAATTCCCTTTAGCTCACCTCCTTATCTGCTCTGCTGAATTTGGTGTTGAAATGTATTGGGCTTCCATGGGATTTCTGGATAATCCACAGACTGAATAATCATCCTCTGAATAATTGGACAGAGCATCTGTTTTGTCTGGGGGCAATTGTGTGTGTGTATGTGTGTGTGTGTGATAACTAAGGATTTGAAGTCCATCAAATTGACTCATTAAGTATTGTAATAAACATCTTAGGACTTAACTACCTTGATTTGTATTTCCAAGAATCTGTAAAGGCACCTGCAGTTTTAGAGGCACAGAATCTCTACTTCGTATACCTCAAAAAGAACCCATCAACTTACGGCCTTCCTCACACGTGTCGAATGTTCATTTTTAAAAGGTAATCTTGAGAGGAAAAGGTTAAAGAAGGTCTCCTCCAAAAAAAAAAAATGTGTGAGGGAGTGAAACTATTGTCTGAAACTGCAAAGGGGAGAACGGAGCCTTCGGTAGTTCCCAAGTACTGAGAAGCAGATTTCAGATCCATTGGAAGGCATGACTTAATCAGAAATGGAGCAGGACTAACCATAGTGGGCTATTTCCAGTGGTACCCTGGATCCACCTTCTGTAAGTCATGAACATTGATTGTTACACATTTAGAAATTTTGCAGTTGTGGTAGTTTAAAACTAGCCATGATGTGAGTATTTACACTGTGGAAATTGGGAAACACTAACACATAAGGGCTGTTTTTTAAAGCAGGGGTCCCCAAGCCCCGGGCTGCGGACCAGTATTGATCGCGGCCTGTTAGGAACCGGGCTGCACAGCAGGACTTGAGTGGCAGGTGAGCATTACCGCCTGAACTCCGCCTCCTGTCGAATCAGCAGCACCTTTAGATTCTCAGAGGAGCACCAACCCTATTGTGAACTGCGCATGCGAGGGATCTAGGTTGCGTGCTTCTTATGAGAATCTAAGGCAATGCCCAGTGATCTGAGGTGGGTTCATCCTGAAACCACCCCACATCCGTGGAAAAATTGTCTTCCACAAAACCAGATCCTGGTGTCAAAAAGGTTGGGGACCGCTATTCTAAAGAACTGATTTACCAGCACTTTATTGCCTATTTAATAAGGAAGTGAACTTCCTGTTGCTGAAAATTTTCAAATATAAACTTGGTGTTTCCAGAAAGATGTGATGCAATAAATGGAATAAGGAAAAAGTAGGTCTCTAAGGTCTTAAACAACTGTATTCCACTTTATCACTTGAATGTACTCATCAAAGTGCTAAGGCCAGAGTGATTTCTGTTATTTGAGTTTCTTTACTGGAACCTTTCTCCAACATCCGCGCCTTATCTACTCCTTATCTACCCTCATCTGAATTTGCTTGTTTTTGGCCCTGCTCTAAGCCCTTTCTGTTTTAGTTTTAACACAAGAGTTACATAGTCCTATGCTGTGGTGTCAGACTGCTTGGTTTGAATCCTAATTTCACATTGGCCAGCTGTTTGAATTCTGGAAGGTTACCTAGGCTGATTAAGTCTCATTTTCTTTATCTGTTAAAAGCAAATGACCAAAGTACCTCTTGCAAATGGTTGTTGTAAATTTTAAATGATGGTAATCCAGATAAAGTGATTAGTAAAATGCTTGGCCATGTAAGGACCTAGTAAACGGTAGTTATATTTTCACTTAAGGAATATCAATTCTTTTTTTTTTTAACTTCCAACAACTCCTGAACTCCAAATTTTACAAAGAATTTTGAGTATATGTACCCTTTACCTAGTTGATTAGATGTATGTCTTCATTTCTCTGTAAAACAGGTTTTTGGATATTTAATTTTATTTTCTTGTTAATGTTGTATAGTCGGAGATGAAGTCTTATAAGCCACTCTATCAATAATAATGAACAACAGATGTTTTCATTGTTAGCAGATTATTGACAGCATTTAAATTGGCAGTTCATTGGAGACCCTCAGAACTTAGAGAAATTTAAAAAATATAATACCATAAGCCCTCCCACCCATAAACCCTGCCAGCACCTCCCACCTCAGTCTTAAAATAATGATGATGAGAACATAATAAAGGTATTTATTTGGGGTATAAACTGTCTTTCATTGAGCTGTGAGATGTTTATGAAGACCCAAGAGAAGTGGATGCACCCAGAGTGGTTTATAAGCAGAATAGCTCATAACCCTGGTATGGAAAAGGCCATTTCTTGAACTCACAGGACAATGTCTTTAAAATTTCATTCCTAAAAAAGTACAAGCTGATATGGATAAGAAAGTGGAGACCTTGTGATATTGGCTGTTTCTTAAGGATATTTTCCATTTTATGTGTCCAGTGTCATTTCTAAATACCTAATAGACCATCACTGAAGTACAGTGCATTATTCAGAACTGAAAATACCTACATTTACTATAAATATTTATCTTGCATATACTGTGCACGTATGTGGTTTTCAATAGCTTCAAATATGCTGGAAATTTCTGACTGGCCCCTTTGGTGAACACCAGGCTGTGGGCTGCATGTGTGGTAACACAATTCTAGACACTCTTCTTTAGTTCCACCTCTGGCAGAGACCTTCTCACCATGGTTGATGATGTATGAGGGAATCATGGCTAATATGTGTTCCGTTTGCCTCTGGGTGCTGCTGTAACATAGATTCCTGTCAAATAAATAGGGCCTAGTTTAAAGACCATTTCAACTAGGCGGTTAAGGAAATGAACTCATTTTCATCTCTGGTCAGTGTTGGGTGACATCAGTATTTCCCATAGCCTTTGGTCTCTGGATTCTTGAGGTATAGGAAACAACTACATTAGAAACATATTTGGAAGCCTGGGCCACTTGAAATGCATTAAAAGTCGAAGATCCACATTCAGGATTCAGGGTTCTGATTTAAATGCCCTCTCACCTTATTACTCACATTTGCAAAAGACACCCTAGGCTTTAACATTCCTTTTTGTCATCTGTATTTTGGTGGCTTGCTATATTAGATTATCCGTATGAAAGCATCAGTTGGATATTTCTTCTTTTTCACCTCCTACCATAGTGATGTATATAAAGAAAACAAGCAAAAAGGTGGTACAAGAATATTTAATGGTAAAGTCAGATTCAACAGAAGCAGAGGTGGAAGAAAGGAACCTAGTTGCTTCACTTTTAACACGCATGTTTTCCGTAGACGGCTGGTTTTCTTCAATTTTCGTAATTACAATTTCAGGCAGCATCCCTCCACTCCAGGCCGGTTATCCCATTTGTGGGTTACCCATTTCCTGTGCATTTCCTTCCTCCGGCCCACCTCTTGGCCACATTAACATGACTTCATGTCACAATCGATACCGCAGGTGGCCACGGCAGGTTTTGAAAGGAGAATGGAATAAAAACCTGTCAAGGTTGCTTTGTGTTAAATTAAAATATGTGGTGAGGAGAGGCCCAAAAACTCTTGGCCAGAATGAGGCTTCTGAAAAACGGAGGCATTTCAGAAATCTACACTATTTTTTTAATCAATCTTTGTTAACCAAGTGTTTGCTGGCAGTGTATCTTGGAAGAAGTCAGAGCAGTACACATAGTGGAAATAAAGTTGAGAATATGCCCCCATTTTTGGGATATAATTAGCCAATATTTTTGAAATCCTAGGGCAGACTTAGTTTATTGCTTGGTCTTCTAAGGGCTTACAGTCAGGGAGACAAAATTCACACCCAAGATTCAACAGTCAACAACAGTTTGGCACAATTCACTGGGTCGTTGTTGGATTGCATAGAACAGAGAGAGAGGGAGAGACACAGAGAGAGAGAGAAAGTGTGTGTGTGGGTGTGGGTTGGGGGGTGTATTTCTAAGTTCAGAGAAGAGACAAAGACAAGTAGGCTGAAAAAGGCTATGTGTTAAGAGGTAGGTCCATAGCTGGGCCCCAAAAACTGAAGGCACGAGGGAGAGAGAATTCGGGTTAGTAGAGTAGAATAGTAGAGAGTGTGTGTTCAGGGCCTCAGGTGCCAGAAAGAAGTCAGGAAGATGGGGGAAAGATACAAATGTTCATAAAAATGTAGAAGCCCCTGTTCTCTAGGAAATCAATGTTGTCTGTCATAAAAACATGGGTGCACCCTTTCTTAGAATGAATCTTTGAAACTACTCAAATGTATTTATAACACTCAACAAAAGGCAGTCTCATTTGGGGAATAAATTAATTAACAAATTTATTTCGGAGGCATTGGAGGCACCTGTAAGGGATGAGGTTTGGAAAGGAGCTTCTGCTTAGGATGTAGTTGGAATAAAAGCCGAGTTGTGGCCTACAACACCCTGAATGATTTGACCATGCCTCCGCTTCTAACTTTCTGCCTTCTGTGCCATTCTCTCCCTGTTCTCTAAGCTCCAACAATACCCATCCTACCCATCCTCTTTCTCTTTCTTTGATACGCTGAACTCTTTCCTGCCTTACCATCTTTGCATTTGCTGTGTCCTCTACCAGGACACTTGTCCCTAGGCTCTTGGGCAGACCAACTCCTTCTCACATTTCACGTTTGCAGAGACTGGAGTCTTTTTTCTGACCATCTCATCTAAAGTGGTGTACTCAGATCCCTCAGCATTCACCATCATATCACAGTGTTTAAAACACAAAGAGCCTTTAAAACACAGGGAGCTCTCTGAATGGTCTTGTTTATTTGGTGGTTTATCTTCTGTGTCTCGCCTTTAGGACAGGGACCTCATCTGCCTTGCGCACAGCCATACCCTAGCATATAAATTCAAGCCAGGTAACTGAGGAACATATACTTTATAATTTCTTAATTATAGTAGGTACTCAATGACGTGTGTGTTAAGTGAATCCATGGCAGTGAAGTCTCCATTGTATTTAGGGCATATTAAGCTTCTATTCTCTTCCATTCCCGATATGCTGAACTATTTGTTACAAAGCAGGAAGAAAGTAGTGAATAGGGAAAGACCTGGGGTGGCTCGTGTTACTATGGAATTATGTAGCAGCACAGCTCTCCTCTTTTGTTCCTCTCCCGAGTCTTAAGAACCTGGAAAACAACATCACACATCACACAGAGGGATATTTCAAAGAGTCGGACTTTAAAGGAACAATTGTGTGGGTTAGATGAATGCTAGTAAATTATGTCAGGAAAAGCTGCTGCCTTAATTTGTTTTTCAATATGTTTGTATGTTGTAGCCATTGCAGAATGAAATTACTATATATAATGAGCTCAGGTTCCATGTTTTACAGCCTTCCCCTCGAAGCCTTCACACACATTGTCCTGTGTAGGACACCTTTCTGGACTTGGCACTGTTCTTCTTTTCCTTCTCAAAAAAATAGTGCTTGATGAATTTGTCTACTGGCTACAAATTATGGTACAATAGCCATTGTTAATTTAGTGAAAGAAGTGTGGAGAACCTGTTATTTTTTTCTCGCCCATGGGTTTTTCATAGGAGCACACATCTGGCTGCTGTACAGAGAAGCTGCCTGAGTGGTTCGATTTGTAGCTGGATGGGCTTCTAGGCGCGTGGTTGAGAAATTATAAAGTCTATGTTCTTCAGTGACATGGTTTGGATTTATAAATGAAATGCTATGATGCCTATTTGTATGTCATTAAAACATGTTAACAATAAAATGATACATCCATTTTTCTGCTGTTGAGATACACTTTATTTAGTTTATGCTTTTCCAAAAGACTTACGGTATCAGAACAGGACAGAGCTGGTGGCGGAGAGATTTCTGTTTCACTTGCTTTTCCCACATCTTTCCTTCCTGTCTTCCCTTGTTCATGCTGGAGATCTATGTTTTTACACTAGTAGACAATGTGCCAAATTGCTGCTAATTTAATGCATTATCTTAAGAAGTAGAGCCAGGCACAATGGCTCACACTTGTAATCCCAGCACTTTGGGAGGCTGAGGTGGGAGGATCACTTGAGTCCAGGAGTTCAAGACCAGCCTGGGCAACAAAGCAAGACCTTGTTTCTGCAAAAAATTTAAAAGTTAGCTGGGCATGGTGGTGTGCCTTTGTAGTCTCAGCTACTCAGGAGGCTGAGGGAGAAGGATCCCATAAGCCCAGGAGTTTGAGGTTACAGTAAGCTCATCACACTACTACACTCCAGCCTGGGCAGCAGAGAAAAAAAAAAACAAAAGAAAGAAAGAAATAGGTAATTCTTCCATTTCCTCACTATTTAGTAATCTTGCAGCATGCTCTTCTTCTTTCAGCACTGCAGTGACAATACACATCCCTGCCAGTCTGACATGAATATCGAAGGAGCCTGGAAGAGAGGCTACACGGGAAAGAACATTGTGGTCACTATCCTGGATGACGGAATTGAGAGAACCCATCCAGATCTGATGCAAAACTACGTGAGTGTATGCTGTGGTTAGAAGGTCTTTCCTTCTGGGAAACAGAGAAACTCATGTTAGGATTATCAAAAAGGTGGATAGCTACTGAAAAATGTAGCAACGTACAATAGGGTATTGTGTTTTGCTTCTCTCTGGTAAAAGATGAGAATTCTTTGAATACAGGAAGCATGAGATAACCCTTTCAACTTTCCAGTGCCTTTGATGTTCTGACTTACAAAAAGAAAGCAATAAGGTAGCAGAAACTCCGCCACCACACCATCTGCTACCAGCAACATTCGCTGTTCTCAACAATTTATCCAACCAGCCAGGCAGTACTCTTTGTTTCTTTTATGGAGAAAAATGTACTTCGAACTTTTCTCCAGTTATCTGCTGGTCTTTTTCTCTCTCTGCCTCTTCTTTTTTTTAAAGGACAGTAATGATCAGCCTCCCAGTAGTCTGTAGGAATCAATTCCTTTCTTAAGAAGAAACCACAAATTCATTTAGTTCTCATTTGAACAAAACAGTTGAGTTGCTGCATCTAAGTGCACTCAGATAAACTGTCTCTTTACAGAATAGAATTTTCAAGCTAAAAAGGAACTTCAGGTTAGTCTCCTCCTTTGATAGGAGAATAAACTGTAGCCTGAAGACTGAAGTGAGTTATCCATGGTCAGATAGAAGAATAGAAACTATGGCTGCCTGTGCCCCAGCAGAGATGTCTTTCTTGTCACACGCGAAGAGGGTTTTACAGCATGCTGCTGTTCCCCACTGCATACAAATGTATTTGACTAAATACAAATAGCATTCATGTAATTGTGAGTGCCGTCTTTTATGTTTGTCATTTTCTCCTCTTGAGAAAAAAATTCTCCAGAATTATCTGTGCAATTAGCATGATTGGTGCCCTCTCGGTTCTTCTTTATGTTGGACCTGGTGGGTAAGAGAGAAAGCACGTTCGGTAACATGTCAAAGACTTGGGTTCCCTCCAGTCTGGATTTGTTTAATCACTTTTAAAGGCAAACAAGCAAATCCAACTTTGGTTTTGGAGATACTGTTTCTTCATATTGAAATCTTGGCATAGGAAAACTTTATCATTTTGGTTGGTCCTCTGTTTCGGGCCTCTTTTTCCTTATCAGTAAAATTAGTAAGGTACATTAGATACACTCTGAAGCCTTCGTGCTCCAAAGGACACTTAGCAGGTCTGCAGAGCCTCTTTTGCACAAGAAGCAGGAACTTAAACCACCTGTATATACAATGTATATTTTACTTGATTTCCCGAAACATTTCAGGCTCTATGTACTAAAAGTTATTTTCAGAAAGAGGAGCCTTTGATAAAGACAGAAAATCAAGATAGTGTTTACTTTCACGAACATTGAAATTAGGAATAATAATAAAGTATAAGAACATTCAGGCTAGGTGCAGTGGCTCACACCTGTAATTCTAGTGTTTTGGGAGGTTGAGGCAGGAGGATTGCTTGAGCTCAGTAGTTTGAGACCAGCCTGGAAAACAGCAAGACCTCATCTCTAATAAAAGTAAAAAAAATGAGGAGAGAGAGAGAGAGAGAGAGACCAAGCCACTCAACAGACCACCAGAACTGAAAATAAGCCAAATTATACTCCAGAGAAGGGTTCTCAATAACACCACATTATTCCAGGCTAGAAGGAGGAAGCAGCCCATTTTTCATTTGATAGTAAGATGTTGAGTCACCATTTTACCCCGCATCTGTATTCCTATACTATTTATCTACATATGTTTCTTATAGCCACCTAACATAAAGAGAAAGAAACTTCTGCCAAATTGTTGTAGTGACCCCATATCTTTGTGGTCTTAATCTCTTGTATTCCCTCTGAGACTTCTTTTCCCTCCTTATACTCTTGTATCTTTCTTAGGAAATTTAACTGAAAAAGACATAGGGCAGAAATTATGCCCATGTTTGAAGTAAGCATTCATTAAGTACTCAAATAACCAGAAGTGCTATAAAAATGTTCTACTATACTAAAATGAATGCCCCTCAGGAGTTCTAACCAAATTATGAAAAATAGCTCTAACTGAATTTTTAAAATACCAAAATAATTAATTTTAAAAATAGTAAAAAAAAAATAACTGGGTGTGATGGCACCTGCCTGTAGTCTCACCTACTCAGGAGCTGAGGCAGGAAGATTGCTTGAGCATAGGAGATACAGGGTATAGTGAGCCAAGCCGTGATCACACCACTGCCCTCCAGCCTGGGTGACAGAGGAAGACCCTGTTTCAATTAATCAATCAATCAAAGAAAATTGAAAGCATATTAAATTAGGCTGGCTACAGTGACATAAATTTGATCAATTGTAACTAGTAATTTTTTTTCAGTAATGCAGGTATTTTTCACAATCAGTTTTAAAAGCAAACAAGCAAATCCAACTTTGGTTCTGGAGATACTGTTTCCTCATTTTGAAATCTTAGTGTAGGAAAACTGTTCATTATTTTGGTTGGTCCAAAAGCCAATGGTTATTAGTAGAATGTCTAAATTATGGACTCCTTTATAGTAGATACAATACCTGGAACCAGACGAGGGTTGTCTAATAGCGGTCCCAAGATACCTGACATAATAAAGATCGAATATTGATTTTTAATTGGCTTGCCAATGATATGTGAATGATTTTTGTCTTCTGAAATCTATATATTATGATAAGGAAGTTGCAAGCTGAAGAAATCAAGTAAGGAGTAGGGAGAGAGTCTATGGAGAATAAATCACTTTGTGCCTAGGTAGTCAAGGTGTACCTCAGAGAAAAGGTAATAATGAGGATGTCTTTGAAAGATATACGTTTCATGAATTGGGTCATTCTAGGTATGAGGGGAAAAAGTGCTGGCAAGAATGAACCAGGCACTTGTTTGGTCTGTGTAGAGTTCTTCTTCACCTTAAGGGGGAAAAATATGGCACTAATTATCACTGAATGAGCACTGCCTCCCTAAGGCATCCTGACACCACTGAACCGTGAGGTGAGCGTATTAGTTAACCTAATTACTTTCTGGCAGAAATGTATTTAAAAATGCATGAGCCTGTGGGTCATTGGCTAATTAATGAATGTCCATTTCCTTTCCCTTGCTCTCTCCTCTGTGGCCATAGGATGCTCTGGCAAGTTGCGACGTGAATGGGAATGACTTGGACCCAATGCCTCGTTATGATGCAAGCAACGAGAACAAGTAAGGCCCAAGTGAGGGGTGGCTGGCATGTGGCTGGCAAGGAGCTTTGTTTTCTGCTCATACTGAGGGAAGTATTTTCTTCAAAATCCTTGATAACATATGATTGCTAATTTGCTCCAAGATTAACAAGTGTCTTTCCACTGAAGCCTCTGAGTAAGAAAAAAGGGGTGGTCCATATAGAAAGAATGGTTGCAGAGAGAGCCCTGGGGAATGGCTCAGCATTTCCAAATCTTGAGACTGGAACTAAGAGATGACCCCTCACGTGGTAATTGCCCTGTGAGCCATTTGTTTAGGGACAGGGGTGGTGAAGGGAGAGGCCAAGCAAAGTGCCTCCCAAAAGAATTATTTTGTTCTGTTAAATTCAACACATGATTGAATACTGCATTTGAGGTCCCTACCTGAGCATTTCTTTACTCCTCCTTCGCTCCTCTCTCCTCTGTAGTTATTGTGTTTTTCACTAATATACCTGAAATACCTAGAAGGATTATTGCCAACTGAAGAAGGCATTACCTTTCTTATTCCCCGCCCCCCGCCCAGGCAAGAGGCACAGAAACCCGGTTAACCACAATTATGCTTTCCGTTTACTACTGTGGTTTTTAGTGAATGCAAATCAACATTCACATCCATTTGATAACAGAATATTTTAACATTCCTCAGGCAAGTAAGAGAGAATGGGTTTTCTTGCTTACATAATGACCCAGATTCCTTACAATATTAGTAGACATTTCTAATCTCTAAATCACAGTAATTTTTTTCCCTTTTACTATGAAGCTCCTCAGGATAATGCTGTAATTTAGATACTTTCATTTGAATTTTTATTTACATGTTTTATTTACATAACATGCACTGAAGTTGCAAAGAGAACTGTTTAACCCATTTATTTTGTTATTTCTAATCTGCTTTTTTCTTTAGGGAAAAATTTCTCAACTAGGTTTATTTGATTAAGTCAGTAAGTTTAGATAAAACCATATGACCTAGAAAACTGTCACTGTACCTATGTGGTTTTTCTTTACTGTCTACAAAGAAAGCTTAACAAAATAACTGTAGAAACATGCTGTTGGTTGACATGAACAACCAAGTAAATCTTCTCGATCAGATTCAGTGGTGAAAGCATTAATACACAAATTGCTATAGGTAGAATTTTCCAGAACTTCCAAGCGAAAAGAGAGACCTACATTAAACTGGATAGTTTTCTTTCAGACTTACTGTAACTGCCCAGTGGGTTCACCTTGCCTGCTGCCTAGACAGAGCCATTTTACCAAGACAGGGGAACTGCAATGGAGAAAGAGTAATTCACACAGATCTGCCTGTGCTGGAGACCAGAGTTTTATTATTGCTCAAATCAGCCTCCCCAGACATATGGAGATCAGAGTTTTTAAAGATAATTTGGTGGGTAGCGACTTAGGAAGTGGGGAGTGCTGATTGGTCAGGCTGGAGATGGAATCATAGGGGGCTGAAGTGAGGTTTTCTTGCCATCTTCTGTTCCTGGGTGGGATGGCAGAAATGGTTGAGCCAGATTACCGGTCTGGGTGGTGTCAGCTGATCCGTCGAGTGCAGGTTCTGCAAATACCTCAAGCACTGATCTTAGGTTTTACAGCAGTGATGTTATCCCCAGGAGCAATTTGGGGAGTTCACACTCTCGGAGCCAGAGGCTGCATGACCCCTAAACTGTAATTTCTAATCTCATAGCTAATTGTTAGTCCTGCAACGGCAGACTGGTCCCCAGCCAAGAAGGGAGTCTTTTCAGGAGAGGGCTATTATCAGTTTTGTTTCAGGGTTAAACCATGAGCTGAATTTCTTCCCAAATTTAGTTTGGCCCACACCTAGGAATGAACGAGGACAGCTTAAAGGTTAGAAGCAAGATGGAGGAGTCGGTTGGGTCTGATCTCTTTCAGTGTCATAATTTTCTCAGTTATAATTTTTGCAAAGGTGATTCTAGTCCCTCCCCTTGGGTTTCATAACACCTTATTCTTAAAGTGCGGCCTATGAAGATGGGAAAAGGCTGTCGATCACTCTGGCTTCTTCCTGCTGTTGGGGGCAGGTGGGGTAGATGTTGACCCTAAGGTGAGAGGAGCTGAACCGCTTTGCTGCTGTCTGAGCTGTCTGACCATACTTAACGCAGGCCAGGCTGGGGTTCCGAGGCTTTCATGACAAAGATGTTAGTATTCTCATCTATAGTTTTAATATAGCGTTTAAGCAGACAGTGTACTATAAGGTAAATAATGAGTTTTAGGATAAGGAGTGCAATTCCCAGTTTTAAAAGTAAAGATTTGAAAGCATTAGTTTGGGGACTTACATACAGTCCACCAAAAATTTAGGATTTAGTTTAAATGGAAGAAAAATAAAAATAAAAACTCAAAAACAACTAACAACAGGTGTACTGTAGTTTTTGGAACATAATTTTTCTCTTTCCAGTCCTTATTTTTATTAAAACAAATCATGATAGGACTGATTTGTTTGCCAATAAACTTTAGTTTTATTATACTTGACCTGATTATTTGCTTAAGGTGCAGCAAGAATAATTATTTTTTACGTAGGCTTTTTAAATTGGCTTTGATGGAACTGCGTTCCATAAGGAATCTCAGATAAGACTTTTTTAAAGCCAAGCCCAGCCATGGGTTTGTACCCTCTAATACCTATGAGTTGGGTAAATTTCTCTCCTCTTGAGCTCCCAAGGTAACTTGGGGCTCCTAGGCCTGTCAGAAAGTGACAGTCTTCACTTAGCACAGGTCAGGAACCCTGTAGAGGAGGTACGTAGGCAAGGTTTGAGGCAAGTTTTCTTAAGGGGCTATTATTGACTTTACAAGTCAAGTTTGATTCCTTAAAGGAAAGCATGCCATTCCAGTCAAAGCCTTGGTAAAATAACCAGTTTCTTCAACTGTGTCCTGTTCAAAAGAAAACATTCTTATTGCACTTATGCAAACAATTATATTGCCATAAGTTAAGAATACTCAAAAAAAGTTTCTAAATTCTGGAGAAATTAGGTAGAGAGAAACAAATATGCTCTAAATTTTATTCACAGGAGTATACTTTATTCAATTGTTAAAAGCTGGAAATAGCTCAAAAGAAGTGTTTTTCTCTCTGAAAAACAAAAAGGATCAGCAATACTTTAAGCAAAAAAAAAAAAATCTAAAAAGTTTACTTCAGTTTTCTGTTATTTAAGTCCATTTAGTTAACTCCTGTTCTGCTGGATATTCATAAACATTTTAGCTCTCCATGAGAGTCCTGAAAGGTTTTTTTCCCTTTATTCTAATGTCATAATCTCCAAAGTTATCAGAAACTTGCATTCAAGAGCACCTGTTAAAGTTTTATAGCTGATTATAAAACCATCTAAAGAGGACCAAATCAAGATAACAATTATCTGTGGATGACAAAAATATTTTAGGGAAGCCACAGTCAAAGACACAATTGACAAGGAAATTTGTTACCTCTGTGACACACAATAATCCAACATAACAATTATAATTATTACTGATGACATGTATTGAGACATATCAGAATTATAGGAATCTTATACAATTTTATAACACATACTAATAACAAATTTATATGACTATAACCAAAAGAAAGTTAAAAACCTTTTTATATTCAACAATGTTTCCTGCATGATTTTAATACATTAAATAAGCCAAATATGTGTTGTAGTCTGTATTATAATACAGACTATATGTAAAGGCAATTCTTTGAATATTGGCTTTGATGGCTTTTTATAGACTATCCTTTTAAAACTGCTTTTTTTTTTCCTTAAGGATTTCTTTTAAACTTGGCCACTTCCCAAGACCCTTGTTCAAGAAGAATCATGACAGTCGTGCTCATCTGGGGTATTCTAGGGTGTCCTGCTTTGACCCATCCTAAGCACTGGCCATGGTTCATTGAGTGCAGTGGGGGATTGATTGTTGGAGGACACAGACATTGTTCCCAGTGTGTGCTTAGGTTTGCCATCCTGACGGTGAAATAGGGAATTTTCACAGGTGTAACACCAGCACTCCCTGCCTCTGTTTTATGGAAGTCAGCAGTGCCGAGGGTATAGATTTACCTTTAGCTCCTCTCAGTAGTTCTGCCTGATTTTTTTTCTCAGCTGACCAAGAGCATGTAGTCAGGCATTTAGGATTAAAATGCCCTCTTTGCTCATTAGACCATAATAATGGATATGATCAATGGATCTATCTTTAAGCATGAATCCACAGATAGATAACTCTGTTTGGATAGTGGCCACCTAGAGTTAGGAAATGAGTAGCTTTGTAGTTTAGAGAAGTTGACTTTTAGCCTTGGCTCTCCTTGATTATCTTTATGGTCTTTTGAGCTAACAACTGAGCTTTCAGTACTTTCTAAAAAGTCTCTAGAATGGGCATAATAATACTTCCCTCTAGGCTGGGCACAGTGACTCACACCTGTATCCCAGTACTTTGGGAGGCCAAGGCTGGAGGATCACTTGAGTCCAGGAGATTGAGACCAGCCTGGGAAACATAGGGAGACCCTGTTTCTACTAAATACATAAATAAATAGCCAGGTGTGGTGGCATGCACCTGTGGTCCCAGAAACTTGGGAGGCTGAGATAGAAGGATTGCTTTAGCCTAGGAGGTCAAGGTTGCAGTGAGCCAAGATTGTGCCACTGCACTCCAGCCTGGGCGAAAGAGCGAGACCCTGTCTCAAAAAATAATAATAATAAAATACCTCTAAAGATTATCAATAAAATGTGTAAAATACCAAGCTTACTACATAATAGATGCTACATAATTACAGTTGTTATTATTATAATTGTGTGTTCTATTCATATATCTAATTCTTGATAAATAACTAGTTAAAAATTACAGTTATCTCAAAATATGTGTGCCTATGAACACTTCAAATTTAAATTAAGACTTGGGGTTTATTTCCGGAGTTAGAAGTTGAGATAGGTTTGTCTGCGTCCTTGGGGGACTTAAGGTTTATTTCCAGGGTTAGAAGTTGAGATAGGTTTGTCTGCTTCCTTGGGGCTGGGAGCTGTGGCTCTTTTCCGTCTACAGTAAATCTGCTTTTCTTTAATTCCATTTTCCCATCTCCCTTAGTAGAGCATGAGTCCTTGAATTTGATATAAAATAGTGAAGGTGAGGAATTTGTAATTATCATCAGAATAAGGAAGTTGAGGCATGTGCTATGCAAATGCCTCCTCACTGAACAATCAGACCAGTAGGCTTCAGAACATATTTGGAATTATGTCATACTTGCCTGCGTTTGTTTATTCATTCAAGCAGTATTCATTAAGACGCTGCTTGGCGAGTGGCTCTGTGCTAAATACCTGGGGAATCAATGATGAAATAGTATAGATTATTAATGGGCTGAATTGGGAGAAAATTTAGTAAGAAACTCTAATGCCTGAAGGGTTTTTAGTACTAACAGAGGATCTAGCCTCAAAACTATGCAAATCATCTCTTAGACTTGCATGATTACATTTCTAGTGCCAAGGCTTTGGAGTGAAGGAAATCACCTCTGAAGTACAAAAGTTATAAAAATCCCTTTCTCGTCACTTTTGCAAGTTCCCAAATGGTGGTATGTCAGACTTAAATAACTGATGCTAAAGAAATAGCGTGATTAGAGGAGATCATAAAAACCCATCCTTCGATTCAGCTTTGCCTCCATTCATATTAGCTTGCCAAATAAAGCTGACTGCATTGTTCTAGGCTTAAAATAGAAAATGCCTCCCTGCAAATGAAACAGTCTGCTAGCATTTCATACTACTACTCCTATTTCCAATAAAATGAATTATTGATGTCTGAGTTATATCAGCCCCTCCCTAGGTTACTTCCTTTTAGAAGTTCTCTGCTTAAAAGTCACAGCAACATTTAGCAGGAGTTGAAACCACAGCATTATATTTTGAACGAGCGGTATGTGGGCCCAGAGTCTAATTCCTTTTCAAAATAAACCAACCTCTGGGTTAAAGACTTGTTTTCTAAAAGGAATAGATTTTTCATGTTGTTTCTTATCTCTGATTCAAGGAAGCTTTAACCAGGGTGAATGGAAGTGAATTTCGTCTAGTTCTTTAGTTTCTTGTCACACATCATTTCTGGTTTTACGAATGTTGCCATGTTGCAGAAACCAAAATGTGTCCTTCCCTTTCCCATTTCTGTAGACAAGGACTGTTGTGAGGAGATAGTGTTCCAAAGCAACCAAAAGATATAGTCAGCATTTTCCGCATATAGGGGAAATATGTTAACTTATTATAATAGTACTAGAGGAAAAAAACACACTGTAAGTCTGTGGCCTTAACACGTACAAACATTTTTTCTTTGTACCAAGGATTTGGCCAAATATGTTAAGATAAAGTTTTCCTATAGCTTAGTAGGTCAGACAAAACTTAACGAAGAAAATGAGGGTCAATATCAGAGGCTGATTTGATTTTCAAATATTTTCAAATTTTTTTCTCTAATACTTTTGCAAAATAACATCTACAGTATACTACATAGTAGATACTTGATCAATGATTATCAAATGAATTTACATAACGTGGACTACAAGTGTACATGTACATTACTAGAGGCTTAATGTATACCAAACATGCAATTGTGGAAAAAAAAAAAATCTGACACTTTCCATATACAGCTGTCTTAGTTCAGGCTGCTATCACAAAATAACTTAGACTGGGTAATTTATAAGTAATAGAAATGTAATGCTCAGTTCTGGAACCTGGGATCGAGGCACCAGCCATTTTGTTGTCTGCTGGGGGCTCAATCCTCATGAGATGGTGCCTTCTTGCTGTGTCCTCACATGGTAGAAGGGACAAACAAGCCCCTCAGGCCTCTTTAAAAGGGCACTAATCCCATTCACTAGGGCTCCACCTTCACAACCTAGTCACCACCGCCCAAAGCCCCACCTCTTAACACCAACATGTTAGGGATTAGAGTTTGACACATGAATTTTGGAGGGACACAAACATTCAGATCATAGTAACAGCCATAGATTTTATATTCATGAAAGAACCTACAGCAAATATTTTAGAAAATTCATTTCTATACATACAGGTTCACGATGCATTACACTGAAGTAAGTAACATCTTTGATCATTGTGTAGGTTCTGGGAAGTGGCCTCCCACGGAAAATTGCGGTGTAATAGGAAAAGCCTTCTTTCACCCCAGAAGCCAGCCATCCCTTCCCCTTCATCTCAACAACTGTTAGTCAGCAAGTCCTGACAATTCATACCAATTAATTCCTCCTCTGTAGTAGCTCTCAAAAGCCTTAGACACAAACCCCCAGCCACCCACAGTAGCCACTATGTTTATTCCCCTTCTCTTACCTATACCCTTGTTAAGAGTCTTATTAAATCGTTTCCTTGTTTCTGGTCTTCCCCTATCCTGCTCCCTGAGTGATATTTCTGAACCAAAATAAGAACATTAAAATCCTTTACTATCTTGACATATGTTAAAAATACAAGACTCTTCAGGACCCATTCCCTTCCTTATTATCGAGTCTATTCTACTCTATGTATCCCCTCCTCTTCTTCCTCCTCCTCCATTCGTCAGGATTTGTGTCATTCCTCTAATGTGCTCCAACTGTTCACCCTTCCACCATCTACACTTGGAGAATTCCTCCTTCACCTCCCACGCATGTCACTTTCTAGTGATGCCTTCTCTCATCCCGCATGGTATGAGCTGGTTATCCCTCCAATCAGTTTCACAGCACCTGTGAACTTATTAATTCTTTTATAAAACTTTTTTAAAATCCTAGATGGGGTCACATTTGCCAGAGTAGGAAATAGAAAGGCAAGAACATATACTAAGTTGATTTTCAGTTTAGTTCGGGATATAAAATATCCATTTGTTCTTTCTTAGAATAATTACAAGAGTACTGACCTTGATTGGTTCATCTAGATGAGTGAGCAAAATGTGTCCGAATTGAAGTTGCTGACCGATTAAATGGTGTTATATACAGTGGGCCTTTGTGCTAGATATCTTTTTTTCTGACCTTCCATTTCTGCTCTGTATCCCAGAAGGCTGACTTTGAGGGGCTGCATTAATTGTCTGTCTTGCCCTCTGGCTTCCCATTGGGTTTGGGAAGTCAGTTGACTAAATTCAAGTCAATAAATTCAAGCCCCTCGAATAAATTCTTCTCAGGTTATCTATTATAAAACAGCCCAGTGTTTCCTGATAGGCACTTGACTGACACAAGTATGTTTGTTCTTTAGCCTGGTATCTTTGGTAGAATAAAAGGGAAAATGTTTAAATACCTCTGAGAATAAACTAAATTCATGGCAATTGTCTAAATACCTGTTTATTCTTTAATGAAAGCCAAGTAAATATAGAAAATGATTATCTAACCTCGAATTCCTATATACCTGTTACCTGCAGTGTAAATATTCATCTTTGTAAAACAATGCATTAATTATTCCCAGGCTCGTAATCATGATGATGCAGCCTTCAGAACTCCTTGTTTTTCTCTGCCAATTTTAGTATGTTCTTCTCTGGATTTGGGGACTTCAGTTTTGATAAAGGGTCTGATTGATGTTATAGGTTCAAATGAGGTATGAGTGTAATTTGTGCTAACTTGGTGTATTATTGACATGAATAATTGATAGTTGCTTGAATTTAAATTTCTTATTTAAGAAACAGACTCACAAATTCCTGGGGCCTTTACAGCAGATGGAAATCGCAGTAAAGGAAACACATAAGTATCCTTTTTAAATAATGGATTAAGCATTTAAACAGGTTTTCAAGACAGGTGTATTTAATTAGCTTTCTCTTTTAATCTTCCCTTTTAACCTTCTCTTGCATCCTTATATTTTCTTGTTTCCTTATGTTTAGAAATATGTAAGAGGTAGAGACTGAGGCCCTTGAGAGGTCAGCAATAGCAGTTTTTTTCTTTATTTCATTACTAAACATTGGAGAAGACATCCAAGAACTTTCAAATCTCATCAGCCAGTGAACACTCAGGTTAGTTGCTGAACAAGGAGGAAAGAAAAGCCCTTATTTTATTTTTTTTTCACTCCCTATACAGCTACCAGAAGAGCATGCTGAAAAAAATAAATAAAACCTCAAGCTTATAGATTATTCATTTTAACATTACCAAAATATTGTTTAGATATTGGTTACCCTGCTATTCATATCATACAGCTTCTGAGTTAAAGAACTAAAGTTAGAATTTTATTTTTGTAAGCTAAAGGAAAGGTTATAATTTTTGTATTCTAGCAATTTAGTTAATTACAATGCAAGCTTTCTAGTCCAGTGTATTTAAGTATTTGTGTATGTGTATTTAATACCAATGATAGGTATGCATTTTAACTATAATCCTTAATAAAAGGTGAATAACACTGGGTCTGTAGGCTATTTAAATAAAAGTGGAAAGGAAGAAAGTATGTTCTTTAGATTACAACACATTTGATTCTCATAAAATCGTTCACCAAAGAAGGCAGGGGGATAGAGTAAAAAATATTCTGCTTTTAGAGGAGACCTAGGTACCAGCCCCAGCCTTTTTATTGACTATGTCTGTGACGTTGGAGAAGCATTCTTCTCAGAACCTTCCTCACCACGTCAGTTTCTCCATGTTCCTGTTTCAATTAAACAACCAAAACACCTACAAATGTCTGGGGTTGCTATTTGACTCTATTTGAGTGCAATGTAAACAACTGCTAATAAAATTAGTACATCTGCATGTTGTCTCATTTACTACTCACAACAACCCACATTCAGAGAGAAGTCTAGAGAGGGTAAATAATGTGCCTAACGTCACTGAATGGCGGAATCGGAATTTGAGCTTGTTTGTTCTCACACTGTCTGATTACCTGCATAACTAAATTAATTGGTGGTCAAGTAGATGAGTAGATGAGAAATCAATTCTTGTGCGGAGCACAAGCTTCAGTAAGTTTACTATCAACAGAGAACTAGAATCACCAGAATTTACAGCATTGTGTTCAGTAAACACTTAATAACTTGGCTGTACCAAGTGCTGGTACTCAGGTCCCTGTTTCTCCAGAGAGAAGGGGTTGGTCTGCATAGTTTGCTAATACCATGTGTATGTGTAACTTCGAACAAGTAACAAAGATTATATTTTACAGTAAATGATTATATAAATTTGACTCCACAGTGGTATTCATTTTGTGGAAGTAAATGAAGGCCACCCAAATGAGACAAGACACTGTTCAGAGCTTGGAATAGCAAGGAGTCAGCCACCATCGCTTGCAGAGACTCCAAAGCAGACACAAGACTGGGAAAGCTTTGTAGTGAGGGGAAAAAAGCCAAACAAAGGAAAGGGAAAACTTCACATTTGGTCTGTTGGAGAATGTCTCAGAGAAGCTGGAGCTTGGATCTCTTTGTTCTCAAACAGTTCTACTTACATGTATTGACAAGTTTGTTTGTTTGTTTGTTTAATTAAACTTGAATGAGTTCCAGCTGGTCATACTATAAACAAAAGGTTTTTGGAGACTATATAAAAGTACCACAGGTACAGATGTTGTTAATATTATTACAGGTGACAGTAAGTAAAGATAAGGTTTTAGTCTAATTCTCAGAGGGCAAGTGGTTAGTTTTCACATTTCTCTATTTGGGGATATGGATTCTTTGAGGTTGGAATCACATAAAGTAAAAGACACTTTTCCAATGTTTTTGCACTTAAGCGACAACCTTTGTGAGTCCCTCTGGAAATGTGGGCTGTGGAAGAAAGATACTCTGTAGGAGGAAAAGACTGAGCCAAAGAAGAGCCTGTGAAAATCAGAAACCTCCTCTTACCCTAAGGAGGGGATGGGATAGTGAGGTTGTGTCGTACGTGGGGAATTGTGGTGAATTTTCTTGCCTATACAACACCTAAAATAGCTCCAAGGAATTGAGAAGAGCAGTAGAGTACCTGGAGAATCCCCGCCAATTCTCCTGCATCCCCTCCTTCTCCACTCTCAGGCGAAGCTGCCATCTCATGAATTTTAGAAAAGAGTGACCTTTGTTAAGAGTTTACCACTTCCTATTTTTAGATATCCACGCACCAGCTGCATGTAATTTGCGTATGCTAGTAAATGCATTTGAATTTGCATGAATTGCAGATAAAATCCCTTGTGGTGACATCCTGAGCTGAGATGAGCTGACTGCTAACATTTTTGTATGACCTTTTTGCTCTTGGTTGGTATTCCCTCCTTCTGAGGTTCATTCTCAAAGGATCACACCCCCTCCCATGCCTGTCCCAATTACCATATATAGACTCTCATTTTCTCTCCAACCCTTCCGCCCCGACAAGTATCAGGTTGTCACATATCCTTTTCTTTTTCCACTATCCTGATACCTTGATCTTCCCATAGGCTCTAGTATTATGTTGTTATTCCGCAGAGAAAGAGGGACACGTTTGTCTCTAGCAGTTGCCTCGGTCTTGGGACCCGTTCATTTTAGTTTATGCTAGGTGATTTGATTTGAATTCACACTGGTCAGCAGTCTTAATTGTGACCTGTGTTGTTAATTTTATTGAATGTCATACTCTTTCATAAAATTTTTTATTTTTCCTAAAGAATGACAAATCCCTTTAATGTTTTCCAAAGGAGTGGGAAATAGGTGTTGTTATACTTGAAACAAAAGCACTTGATTGTTTTCTTCTCTTATCCACCCATCTCGTGTATCACATAAGAAGTAATGGGATAGGTTGGGCAGTGGAGCATCCAAGGGGAACTGCAGTTGGAATTGAAGAGATCAAAGAGTTGGGATACTTGGCTTTGTTGAAATGTAATTCGTAAAGAGGGAAGGGAAATCCCCAAAGTCAGGAACAATCTTAGATGCAGCTCCATTGACAACCATGTATTCACTTTGTCACCCATACACTGAATGACACCATTCCTGGGACAATAGGAGCCCCATCATTTTGACTTTTTTCCAATGCGGAGATGCCACAGCAACTGGGGTTTAATTCTTCCATAGGTTGATTTTTATATCAAATTGTTCAACCAACCTTCCTGCAGGGAGAAATACTAGTGGCATTGTTTTAGTAGAACCACATTCCACAACATGGAGCGCGGGAACAATACCAATTTCACTGTTACATTTGTAGGTGTGTTCATATTTGTTGAAATCTTTGTAGCCCAAATGCAAATATGAGGAGGTATTTCGGTAAGCAATTGCAAATTATATTTCTGTTCTTGTATATTTCATGTTTTCAGATACTGTTTTTACATCAGTTCATTCCACTTATGTTCGTCCCATATTCTCATTGTGTTTTTATAAGCTTCAGTTAGAATCCGCACTGTAAAACTTATTTCAATTATAGGATATACTAACACAGGTTTAATGCATCCCGGTTGAAACAAACAAACAAAAATACCCAGAACTTCTTTATATCTGTGATATCACTTTTCCCCCCTTGTCTTTGGTTAGGGAGATGTCATACTAACAAAATACTTTGTTAAGGATGGTACCCATATCTTAAATTCACAAAATGTTTTTCTTAAAAAATTTATAGGTTTCTCAAATACATTTGGATAGTACATACTCATAGATTTCCAAGACAGGTATTTGGAGGGAAACAGAAAAATGTGTATGAGGAAGGGAGGCCCAAGTAACTGCTAGGTAAATTGTTTAATAAAATTTAATAATTCTGTTATATGCTAAGAGAATGTACTAAGCAATAACCTATAAAAGCATGCCTATGCTGATCCATGGACAAACACTACATGTTTGTACTTGAAAAGTTATTGTTATGTTGTTACAATGATTTTAAAAATGCAATACACAAGAACTGCTTCTTTGGTCTTCCTGTGAGCCGTTCTACAGCTTTGAGAAGCTTGGTATATGATTTGGGTGGGCAAGTGAAGAATAATTTTGTCTTCCAAAAAAACTTTGGCTGCTTTTGCCTTGGGCTATAAACTCAGTAAAGACTAAATAGAGTTCAGCAGGGTCATTATGTGTTTCTCATGACAGAATGAGAAAAAAGAGCAAATCTCAGGTTCCCTCGAATGGCATTAGCGCCTCCAAGCTCTCTGGGATCTCACCTTGTCAAGCAAGGAGGAGCCATCAACTAAAAATAATAATTTATCTAGAGTTTTACAGTTCACAAAGTACTTTTACATTTATGCCCACATCACTTGTAAACATTCATGTCAGATAGGTAGGGTAGATTTTTGTTTTTGTCCCCCAGTTTCTGAATTCTTTTTTACGTATAAGGAATCTTCTGTCTTAAGAGTCTTGGTTGAGGACAAAGACTGCTCGGTAGTATGGCAGCTGAAAACGGTTAACACTCCTCACTTCATGTACTCTAGGGCACAGGCCATGTGATCCAGATTGTAAAAATCAATTGCACCTGCTATTAAGAGCATAAGCCAAGTAAGGTCTCACTCCCTTAGATGTGTTCTCTGTCTCTCTCTCTCTCTCTCTCTCTCTCTCTCTCTCTCTCTCTCTCTCTCTCTCTCTCTCTGTCTCTCTCTCTCTCTCTCTCTCTCTCTCAACAGGTCTTTCCTCATAGATCAGCTGTGTCTTTTTATTGATCCTTAGCTTCCACCCTGGTTAATCAGTGCTCCCAACAATTCCGAGCTTCCCAAGATCCCTTTAACAAACTACTTTTCTGCTTAACTCAGTCAGTTACAGCAAAGAACCAGAGATTAAATGTCATTACCAGTGCCCCCTTTTTGCAGAGGAAGAAAGTAAAATTGAAGGCAGGCTCTCACATAGCTTATGAAAGTGAGTCTGGCCTCCAAACCCATGTTCCTTGTATCATAATACACTCTAATTTGGAGCAGGACCCTAGATGCTTTTTCTGAACATAGTGTTTATAAGCAATAAACAATGTTTAATTCATGGAAACAATTGTAGTTAATTTATGAGAATTTAGTGTTTATTTTATGGCATATCATTTCATTTAGAAAGGATTTCTGAATACCTAGTAGAAACATAGCAGTGTTTTGGTTATTCATTAAAAATCTACTAGTGATATACTTACAGTATGTAGAAATTTAGTATTGATCCATCACTTAACTAACACAGTGCAGTTAAAACAAACCACTAGGCAGGATGTGATTTGGAGACCATCAGTTTTCCAAAAGCATTTCATGGAACCCTGGAGTCTGCTGATGGATCTCACAGGCTGTCCAAATGTGGCTCAAGAGGTTGTGTGGATGGGTGTAGCTCTCTCTTCCTCAAACAAACCAAAATCTATTTTAAAATCTTATTTACGTGGTAGAATTTCTCTTAGAATTATATTTGAAGTAAAAAGTTCTTTTTATGTAAAATAAAATACACAATTGTAAACTAGGGCCATAAACCATAGGAATAGGATTTAGAGAAGTTACTACTGTAGGTTAAATTCAGAGAAGACTTCTGGAGGCAATAGTATTTCACCTGAGTCTTGGAAAATGACTGACCAAAGAGAACAACCATTCATGAGATGACTTTTGTAATGACTGACAGTGCCCTGGTATTAGTGAGCTCCTTGCAAGCTTTGGAACAAAAGGCATCCTCTTGTTAAGCCAGACATTTCTTATTTTCCCTGGAGCTTCTCCTTTATCTAAAACTTAAATCTGAATGTGTTTTGCCTCTGTCTTCAAACCCCTTATGACTATGTCCAAACTCTTTAAATGTATGTAAAGAATTTATGGCCAGGTGCGGTGGCTCACACCTGTAATTCCAGCACTTTGGGAGGCCAAGGCGGGCGGATCACGAGGTCAAGAGATCAAGACAATCCTGGCCAATATGGTGAAACCCCGTCTCTACTAAAAATACAAAAATTAGCCAGGTGTGGTGGCTGTGCCTGTAGTCCCAGCTACTCAGGAGGCTGAGGCAGGAGAATCACTTGAACTGAGGAGGCAGAGGTTGCAGTGAGCCCAGATTGTACCATTACACCCCAGTCTGGGTGACAGAGCAAGACTCTGTCTCAAGGGAAAAAAAAAAAAAAAAGATTTTATAATGTGTTCACTGTCTTTTTAGCCTCACCCCTTAACCCTTTCTACAATATGCTGTGGTTTTAACTAATGTTTTTTACAGTCATCTGAAAATAGCATACCTTATTCAATACTAGAGACTGATGAATAGTAGATACTCAATAAGTGGTCATGTTGTTATTCTACAGTGCTTGGAGATCCTTATATATAGGGTGTTACCTTGTGTATTACGATTAATTCTAATTTAACCTAGTTGGAAGCTGAGTTTTGCTACATCCCTGCCCTGTGGCAAGATCATTGCCCCCTTTTCACTTCTTGAGCAAATAAAGGGAAAGAAAAAACACCATGAAATGCAAAATATTCAAGTTTTATGGATAAAAAACCTAAAACAAGTGGCAGAAATAAGTTTTAAATGAACTTTAGTCTTATTCTGATATTCCAAACTTTTGTGTAAAAGCGTACTAACTGCCATTTTTGTCTTTTGTTTCTATTTCTCTTAAATGACTTCAACTAAAAGTTTCAGGCCAGGCACCATGGTGGCTCACGCCTGTAATCCCAGCACTTTGTGAGATCAAGATAGGCAGATCACTTGAAGTCAGGAGTTCAAGACCAGCCTGGCCAACATGGTGAACGAAATCCCATTTCTACTAAAAATACAAAAATTAGCTGGGCACATTGGCATGTGCCTGTAATCCCAGCTACTAGGGGGGGCTGAGGTGGGAGAATAGCTTGAACCTGGGAGGTGGAGGTTGCAGTGAGCTGAGATCACGCCACGGCATGCCAGCCTGGGTCACAGAGTAAGACTCTTTGTTAAAAAACCTAAAAGTTTCAGCAAAGGGAAAAAACTTTACTATAGACTGAATATTTGTTGCCTGAGGAAGTATTTTCCCTTAGCTAGAAATAAGAAGCACTCCACTCCCACCAAATCTCCAACTTACTTATGTACAAACTTACATAAAGTATTAGCACAATCACATAGTGATGTTCCTTGAGATGTTTTTAATGAACGTGCATCGCAACAGCCTGTAATTCCTTCCCATGAAGTGCCTCCTCAAAGGGGACAGTGATGACAGCTTTACTGTTATCACTGTGGGTTGGACTGTAGCATTAGTGAGATGAAGAGTTTGAGGTTTTAATCCCAACCAATCTGCCAAGATTTTCCATTGCTAAAGGATTGGCAGACTAGGAAGGGATCAAAGATGGTAAAGAAATGTACTTTCAGGCCAGGCGCCGTCGCTCACGCCTGTAATCCCAGCACTTTGGGAGGCCGAGGCGGGCGGATCACAGGGTCAGGAGATTGAGACCATCCTGGCTAACACGGTGAAACCCCGTCTCTACTAAAAATACAAAAAATTACCGGGCGTGGTGGCGGGCGCCTGTAGTCCCAGAGGCTGAGGCAGGAGAATGGCGTGTACCCGGGAGGTGGAGCTTGCAGTGAGCCGAGATTGCACCACTGTGCTCCAGCCTGGGCGACAGAGCGAGACTCCATCTCAAAAAAAAAAAAAAAAAAAAAAGTATTTTCGAGGTATTTACAGATATTAAAAGGCAGGCTTCCATTTAGACTCTGAAAAAAAGACTGCAATTTTCATGGAAAGAAAATGTTGCAAGTTACCTGGGGCTGTTTTCATTAACACTGACTAATTCTTATTCTTAGGCCTCTGAAAGGAAATTATGAATTAACCTTTGATTTGGAGGTTTTTGTTTTTCTTTCAGATGTCACGTGCTGGCCTTGCTTATAGGAGGTAAATAAGTGGTATAAGCTTTACAAAATGTGTTCACTAAGAAATTTTAGAATGAAAAAATGAAAATGGGCCATGCACATATAATTATTGATTAATAAAACTTTTTATTTTATGTATGTATTTATTTTGAGTCCGAGTTACGAGACTGGCTAATTTTTGTATTTTTGGTAGAGACAGTGCTTCACCATGTTGCCTAGGCTGGTCTTGAACTCCTGGGCTCAAGCAATCCACCGGTCTCATTCTCCCAAAGTGCTTGAATTACAGGTGTGAGCCACTGTGCCCAGCCTGATTAATAAAACTTGTGAAATAATTCCTTGAGATTTGAATTTTAGCCAAAATCAGTCAGTCTTTCTCTCTTTCTCTCTCTATGTCCCATCACACACATGTACCCCTAACTAATTATAATTAGGGACAGTTTTTTTTAAATAAAAAAGGGTGGCTTGAAAAATGTTACCAACTTTCTTATTACATTCTTATGTATTAACCATATAAATGTTAATAAATATAAATGTTGGTCTTAAAAATTAAGGTTAAGCCTCTTAAATAGCATAAGCAGAAATAAGGAAACAAATCAGATATAATTAGACCAACGTAAGGAACAACTTCAGATGTAGAATTTGGCTATAATTTTAACAACTTGAGATTTTAAAAATCAGGAATATGAATAGTAAATGAGTTGGCATGTATTCATGGTAGTATTTGAAGTCAGACATTTCCATACTGATTTATGTTTTACTAATATGAGGAGATTAGAATTAATGAGATGGGAAGTAAATGTGATGATATTTTTGAATTGGGGTTACAAGCTAGAAACATGAAAGTGTGCCTGTGCAGGACGATCGTGAAAGTCTGATATTGGGAAAGAAGCTCAAAGGTTGTAGGAATAACTTAGGGTAAGTCTTATTACCACTGGGAGACTTAATTATCTTCTGTGTGTAAAACAGTGGGGGAAATAAAAGCTACCAGCAGTTTTCTGTGAGCATTACAGATCATGCATTCTGAATGTTTGGAATGCTGTACGCAGTGCAACCCTTTTGTAATAACTTTTGGTATTAGAGCTAATTTAGAGATTTTGGTCATCAGGAAAGCCTAGTAATAGCCTAGTAAGAGAGCTCCAAGTTAAATGAATTATTGACATTTTTTCATCCTGTTACTCCTTTGTGGGAAATTATTGGGATGTTTGTATTTTAAGTGTGCAAATAGTCAAAGTAATACTTGAATTTTTATTTATTTTTTTGTGAAGGGGACTATTCAAATTCTCTTGGAAAGGCTGAATGGTTTTAAGAGCTATGAAGACTATTTCTGCTTTGTAATAATTGGTCATTTAAATAGTCTATTTAAAGTCTGATTTTCATGGTAGAGTTCCAAAAAATTGAATACTCCTCCAAATCTTCTCGCAAAAACAGATCACAGTCTATTCCTTCTCTGAAAATCACCATGTTTCTTTCCTCATACATTTGCTAAGAGGATGTAGAAGAGGAACATGATAATACATTTTGAATGGATTTCTTGGCTTTGGAATTTTCCCATTTTCAAATGTAAGTTATTTATTGGATTTATAACAATTTGTCCTTCAGTGAATGATCAGAAAACCTCACTAGAATACAGTAATTATCGTGATTATGAAGAAGAGTTGCAACAATAAAGCAGCAGTGAATTATTTATCCACACAGACATCTCTGTGTGTTTTCGGAGATTAGACTATGCTCTTCATCCTGATGCAAGAGAAAAGTTTTAAAACAGTGATTATTTCAACATTCTTATTCAAAAATTTGATCTACCTTGTTTTCACCAGTTGGTGATTGGTTTCCATGGAAATGGAAATGGAATAAGCATTCCTCCTTTTAGATTCTCAGCTACCCCATGCCAACTGAGAGCTGTAAATGCCATTTGGTTAACAGCAAGGATTCAGAATTCTTCGATTTTAAAGTGGCAGAGGGAGAGGAAAAGAAAAGTTTTGCCAAGTCATTTCACTTTTCTCCCTTTGAAAAGGACACAGTTTTATGATTGTCTGAGCTATTGACAGATGACTGTCAGATGAAACAAAGTCCAACAATGTCTCTTGACTAATCAATTTAAATCTCTTTTCTACCCTTCACAAAGTTCTTTAACTCATTGTGATTTATTAATAAATTAATAACTGACTTGTTATGGTCTTCCTGGTTCTCTACCTGCTATCCCTATGGTGGGCACTGAAGTGATTTAGATGTTGGGAGGAGATGATTTGGTGATCTCAGTGATCTGTAACCTAAGGGAATGATAATCTGTTGATAAAGGGTGTGGCGGGAGTGGTAGAGAGACTGGGGTTGGCAAATTCTCACTTCTGAGAGATTGTTAGTTAATTTGCCATAAGGGTTTTCCATTTCTGCAATTATTGTTCATAACTACTACATTTTCCCAAACTATTCCATAGGAAGGAGAATGAAGAATATTATAAATAAATGCTTTAGCATACAGTGGTTAAGCATTAATATAGTTGTTTTCTTTTGTCTTGTTTTATGACTCTGGACAGATGAATCAATATGAATGTTCAAATACTAACTTTAGTAGCATTAACACATAATTTTTTCTTTTGTTTTTTTTTTTTTTTTTTTTTTTTTTTTTTTTTTTGAGACGGAGTCTCGCCCTCTCGCCCAGGCTGGAATGCAGTGGTGCAATCCCGGCTCACTGCAATCTCTGCCTCCCGGGTTCAAGCGATTCTCCTGCCCCAGCCTCCCAAGTAGCTGGGATTACAGGCGCGCGCCGCTATGCCCAGCTAATTTTTGTATTTTTAGTGGAGACGGGGTTTCACTATGTTGGTCAGGTTTGTCTCGAACTCTTGACCTCATGATCCGCCCGCCTCGGCCTCCCAAAGTGCTGGGATTACAGGCGTGAGCCACCGCGCCCAGCCAATTTTTTCTTTTATATTTTATGGTGTTTAGATACTAGAGTGAGAAGGAATACAACTCTAGTTCTTTTTTTTTCTTTCTTTTTCTTTTTTTTTTTTTTTTTTTGAGACGGAGTGTGGCTCTGTTGCCCAGGCTGGAGTGCAGTGGCATGATCTCGGCTCACTGCAAGCTCTGCCTCCTGGGTTCACGGCATTCTCCTGTCTCAGCCTCCTGAGTAGCTGGGACTACAGGCACCCGCCACTACTCCCGGCCAATTTTTTGTATTTTTAGTAGAGACGGGGTGTCAACGTGTTAGCCAGGATGGTCTCCATCTCCTGACTTCATGATCCGCCCGCCTCGGCCTCCCAAAGTGCTGGGATTACAGGCATGAGCCACCGCGCCCGGCCAACTGTAGTTCTTAAGTATTGCCCAGTACAGTCTGTGAACACACTTCTTCTCTTGGGGATAAAAAGGAGTTTCTGTATGTCCCAATGTCTGACATTAATGAAGAAAAGAAAAGCAGACATAATGGCTTCCAGCCATGGACTGCCCCTGTGTCTCTAAGTGTGATATCACACCTAGCCAAAACAGGTAATATGTCAACCAAAGAAATGAGATCCTTATTTGCATGGATACTTCAAGGAAATCTTTTTTTTTTTTTTGAGACGGAGTCTTGCTCTGTCGCCCATGCTGGAGTGCAATGGTGAGATCTCGGCTCACTGCAAGCTCCGCCTCCTGGGTTCACGCCATTCTCCTGCCTCAGCCTCCCGAGTAGCTGGGACTACAGGCGCCCGCCACCATGCCCAGCTAACTTTTTGTATTTTTAGTAGAGATGGGGTTTCACCGTGTTAGCCGGGATAGTCTCGATCTGCTGACGTTGTGATCCGCGCGCCTCGGCCTCCCAAAGTGCAAGGGAAATCTTACTGATGCTGAGCATGCAGTTCAGGGCCTGACATTTTCTATTATCATATTGTATTCATGGGAGACTATCACTTTGATAACTATTTTGGTGTAAACAGCTTGTGATTTCTAGTGACTTGAGAAAGAGTCATTTAGGATATGGAAAGGGACTTGCACAGAATATACATTAGAGGTCAAGGTAGCAAACCAATTTTGCATTTGGCAGTGACTCAATTGCTGTCACCATTTCTGCCCTCTCAAGAGAGGGGAGCAATTTCCTTATTCTCTTATTTAATCTACAACTTGCCCAATTTGGAGAGGCAGTGTAGGAGGGACTCATTAATGGGATAAATGGGCGTTGTGAGGAGAAAACATTAAAAATGAATCTATTTAAATTGAGGCCAGAGTCTTGTTATAAACATCGCAAATGGTGCTTTGTTTGTAATAATAAAAGTAAATGTATGAAAATTCATGAGTTTATTACCTAATAGAGCATGCAGCTATAGTCATTCTTGTATCAAACAAAAATGAATCATGTTTAAAGTTGTAGGTTTTCTGTAATATTATAAAATTTGAATTTTAGTAGGGTCATAAACAGACTCAGTTTATAAAAATCTTTATCGGTTTTTCCAAGGGCATTTGGAATCATTTTATTGACAAATCATTCTCATTTAAAGCCGCTGTCACGTTGCCGTCCTTGTTGATTTTCTTTCTTCCATTTTTACTGATCTCACACTTCTGAATCCTCTTTCAACATGGCTTTGAGTGTGATGGAAGCTGTTCTTAAATATTATTTTCATTGTATAAAACCCTGTGTCTTTTTGAAAGTTCATTAGGAAATCAGTTTGCTTGATTTGACTTTTATTGTTTGTTTGCATTTTATGTCCACACAGATATAAAGTCATGGCACTGAAAAGGAGAGGGGTGCTCGAATTGGCACAGGTTTCATTAGTAATAATATCATTCTTGCATGGATTTGTTTGGCTTTCTCACTTAGGAAACCTAATAATTATGGTATCCTGTTAGAAGGAGCCTGTGAACCCTGATCCAGATAGCTTAAAAATGCAACTTCTGAGCAGTTGTCTCAGGAAAGATCTCAAATCATCATTAGTTTGTTCTGGCACTAAGTACGTGTGTACCTGAGGATGTATGCATGTTCTTGTTTAAATATATTTTGCATTTTCCTGTTAAGCTCTAGGACTTGGTTTCAGAAGTTCTGGGTTTAAGTTCTTTCAAAGTAAGATGGCTGTATTACTTTAGCAAAGTCACTTAACCTGCAAGAATTTCCATTTTCTTACCTATAAGGTGGGGATAAAAATACATGTAGTACACGACTATTAGAGAGATCAAATGAAATTAAATGTGAGAACCTAAGTGAAACTGCCTGACAAGTAAAAGATAAGTGATCCTTACAACTTTAATTGATTTGATGTCTAAGTTGCAAATTATATTAAGTATTCTTTCCAATGGTTATTATTTCAGGAGATATGAATGATGCATTGTATTTATTGAGTTTATTGATTTACATAAAACAGAATTCAGTGTCAATATAAAATCATAGCGAGTGGAGGTAGAAAAGGTAGAAGCATGTGTTTTTTGGTTCCCAAGATGACATAAATGGCTACGATCATATTTATCATATTTATCCTTTATGCCTAGAAATTAGAGATAGGCAGACCACAGACTGGAGGTCAAATCTACCCAGTGACCCTCTACCTGAGAGCAGTTTTTATGTTTTCAAAGGGTTAAAAAAAAAAATAAAGAAGAAAGAAAAAAGGAGACATGTCAGAGACTGCATGTGTCCCCATAAAGCCTAAAATATTTACTACTTGGCCCATTGCAGAAAATATTTGGCGATTCCTGCTCATAAGCTCATGCAAATACCATCATAATAAAAACCCATCCCGTAAGTTATTTCTAAATGAAATATGGTGTATATGCTAAAATGTTGAATAGATCATTAGGGATTATAATAAATTATACGTTTTGAAGGGAAGCATTCTTTAATTTTTGGTTTAGTACTTCCATAATGTTGATAGTCTCCCAATGTGAGTGGAAATGGCCCTGATGAACTCTGCAAAAGGAACCAGGAATAACTGTCAGTAAACAGAAGGGCCCGCAGTTGCGTGGTGTAGCTAATTTGAAATGGTAACAAGGAAACTCAGTGAATAGATGGTGTTAGCACTGCTTATCTCTACTTCAGCACTCCCTGTGCAGAGTGCAGAGTGCAGAATAACCCTGGGACAAAGCTCCACCCACCTTCTCACACCCTGAAGTGTATTGCAGAAGAAGCTTAGTAACCCCAAGGAGCCCTTGGATCAGAATTTCATGGCCATTGTTTACCTGTATTTCAGTCAAACAGATAATTGTCAACCCTTACTCCCTGCAAAGGAAGCCTCCTATTTTCAGAAGTGTGTTCAGTTTGCTTATGATCAGGAAACAGCCCTGAGCAGAGTGAAGTCAGGCATTTATAATATCATCTTTCTCCATCACTCAATCATTAACAGATTTTGGGCAAAACAAGTATTTTTGGCCTATTTAACAAATATTGAATGGTATCTTTATTTGAATATTTTAATAAAAGCAGATCCATTAAATATATTTATTGTTAAATAAATGTAGACTTGTAAATTATTGTCTATGATTCAGGATTTTCTGGCCAACAGAATTTATTGAAACTATGTTGTATCATGTCTTTTTTTCTCACTGTTGAATCCTTAGTGAATAATCACATTCTTAGCAGGTAGTTGGTACTTGATAGATATTTGCTGAATGAATGCTTCAGAAAAATTAATTATGAGTCAGAAGATGGAAGTAGTCTCATTAGGTGTAGTTAAGAAGGTCTTTATAATAATATTCATAAAATTAGATTTTACCTATATACAGGAGTATAGGTAAAGTTGAAACATGGTCTGTTTCCATTCTGCCAAGCTGGTCTGTTGCTTTGCTACTTCAGAAATATTTACATGACATCGATTTCAGTGTACATTTCAAAAATATATATATGGAAAGAAATAGACCACAAAAATCAAAATTATAATTTGATACAGGTCATTATTTCTTTCATTCTCTTTATAGATCTTTTCTAGTCTCTTAGCATATACACTCAGTATACACTTCATATTTCATGCATTACTGAGTTCTAATTATAAAATTTTCTTTTAATTATGATGATGTGAAATTATAGGAAAATCAGTTCAGGTGTAAGGAGGAGGAAGTTGCTTAGATTGCATACTACACATTTTCACAAGCACCAATCCCAAACCAGAACAACTGGAGCAGAAATTCTTATAACACCTTGTACGTAAACCTTGATTAACTTGTACCACAATACTTGGTGATTATTTGCATAAGTCTTGCAATGCCCCTGTCAGTGGTCTTAGGTTCCATTAATCAGTCAAATTCATAGAACTCATTAGGCCACAGGAGGTAATTATTCTATCCTTCTAGGATAGAAACATAATGTGCTAATAGGGTAGTATCTGGTTTATGTCTTCACCAAGAGAGTCCAGCAATCCCAGAACAATTTTCTGCTCCTCCCCTGTCTCACTGCCTCCCAAGTGACACCACAGTTGTAAAGAATGAGCCATATGGTGGAGGGGGATATGACAGTCATTTTACCTTAAAAGCCCCATGCTCATAAGAGCAATATTTTTTGCAACAGCCTATGAATATAACTTCCAAAGCCCTGCAAAGAAGGCCACACTCCATTTCTAGGGGTCTAACCTCAGAAGCCCAATGCTAAGACTTCATCATTTATCTGTAGTCCTGGTCACAGATCTCCCAGTTCATGGTAATTTACCAACCAGGGTTCATTTTTACTGTAAGCAGCATTGCTTAGTGTCTGACATCTCACATTTCTCAGATATCAGGGAGACCAGAGCTAGAAAGTTAAACCAAAGTAATTTTTCCAAACATGAGGAAAAAAAGATTTTGTTAATCCTTTACTCAGAATATTCCCCGCCAAGACTGTGAGCACCACACCACAGCCCTGCGTTATTCAGCTTTGTATGCCCCAGGCCCCAGAAATGCTTAGGACATAGTATGTGAATTATTTAGACTTGAGAAAGGAAGGAGGGAAGAAGAAGATAATTAATATTGTTGACCAAAATATTTCTTAAGTGGTACTTTGGTATTTTCCAGGAAAATGAAAACAGCATTTCTGACAGTTCATTACTTGAAAGTGTTATATTTTTATTTTCTGATATCATAGGTAATACTTATCTCAGTAGAGCAGACAGATGTCCAAAAAAAAAACAACAACAACAGGCATCACATTGACCCCTCCAATTTCAAGGAAGATTTTGATCCTCCAGATTCACATTTGTATGAGAAAACACTGCCTCCCAGCACCTGAGAACAGACCTAAAGTGAATCAGCAAGAATGACTACTTTCTGTATATTCATTGTCAAGGAGTAAAGGAGACAATTTCCCAGTCCTCTATTTGTGGTGGAAAATCAGACAGGCTGCTCCCAACGCTCCAACCACATGGAGTAAAAACTAGTGGATCTAAGTCTCAGAAGACTAAACAGAACCCTCTGATAGAGTTAGAAAGCTTGAAGAGCAGGATTTGAGAGTCCTAATAGACCCAATGCAGAAGGAAAATCATCATGGCATAACTAGGGGCTGCAGACAGACATGGGCAATCTTTTTTCGTAGAAACAAGCTCAAGTCTCACACCAAAAACTAATCATTTAAAGCAGAAAAGGAACCAAAAAGCATGGCAGGTTAAATCTGGAGTACTAACCAGGGAGCCAAGACAAGGGGTCGCATTTCATTGTCATGATTAGTATATTTCATCAACAGGAAGCTCTCATACACTATGGCCTTGTTGTTGTTGATCCCCAAGATACAGATGAGAAGAAATGTTAGTAAGGAGGTGCTTAGTGTCTTGGTCAGAACCATAAACATATATACATACATAAACCCTGTGCATTAGTCTGTTCTCACGCTGCCAATAAAGACACACCCAAGACTGGGTAATTTATAAAGAAAAGGAGGTTTAATGGACTCACAGTTCCACATGGCCGGGAAGACCTCACAATCATGGCAGAGGTGAGGAGGAGCAAAGCCATGTCTTACATGGCAACAGGCAAGAGAGTGTGTGCAGGGAAACTGCTCTTTATAAAACCATCACCTCTCATGAGACTTATTCACTATCATGAGAACAGCATGGGAAAAAATCCACCCCCTGATTCAATTACCTCCCAATGGGTCCCTCCCACGATGCGTGGGGATTATGGCAGCTACAATTCAAGATGAGATTTGGGTGGGGACACAGCCAAACCATATCATTCTGTCCCTGGCCCCTCCCAAGTCTCATGTCCTCACATTTCAAAACCAATTATGCCTTCCCAGCAGTCCTTCAAAGTCTTAACTCATTTCAGCATTAACTCAGAAGTTCACAGTTCAAAGTCTCATCTGACACAAAGCTAGTCCCTTCCACCTATGAGCCTGTAAACTCAAAAGCAAGTTAGTTACTTCCTAGATAGAATGGGGTACAGGCATGGGTAAATACATCCATTTCAAATGGGATAAATTGGCCAAACTGAAGGGGCTGTGGGTCCCATGTAAGTCTCAAATCCAGCAGGACAGTCAAATCTTAAAGCTCCAAAATGACCTCCTTTGACTCCATGTCTCACATCTAGGTCACACTGATGCAAGAGGTGGGCTCCCATGGCATTGGACAGTTCCGCCCCTGTGGCTTTGCAGGGTACAGCGCCCCTCCTGGAGGCTTTCACAGGCTGGCATTGAGTGTCTGCAGCTTTTCCTGGCAAATGGTGCAAGCTGTCAGTGTATCTACCATTCTGGGGTCTGGAGGATGGTGGCCCTCTTCTCACAGCTCTGCTACGCAGTGCCCCAGTAGGGACACTCTTTTGGGGGGGCTCCCACCCCACATTTCCCTTCTGCACTGCCCTGGTAGAGGTTCTCCATGAGGGTTCCCCCGCTGCAGCAAACTTTAGCCTGGACATCCAGGCATTTCCATACATCCTCTGAAATTTAGGCGGAGGTTCCCAAACATCTGGCTTATGGTTACTTATGCAGATTTCTGCCGTGGGCTTGAATTTCTCCCCGAAAATGGGTTCTTCTTTTCTATTGCTTCGTTAGGCTGCAGATTTTCCAAACTTGATGTATCCTCTTCTTCCTCTTGAATGCTTTGTCGCTTAGAAATTTCTTCTGCCAGATACCGTAAATCATCTCTCTCACGTTCAAATTTCCATAGATCTCTAGGGCAGGATGAAAATACCACAGTCTCTTTCTTAAAGCATAATGAGTCACCTTTGCTTCAGTTCCCAGCAAGTTCTTCATCTTTATCTGAGACCACCTCAGGCTGAACTTTATTGTTCATATCACTATGAGCATTTTAGTCAAAGCCATTCAACATGTCTCTACGAAGTTCCAAACTTTCCCACTTTTTCCTGTCTTCTGAGCCCTCCAAGTCTCTAGGAAGTTCCAAACCTCTGCCTGTTATACAGTTCCAAAGTCACTTCCACAGTTTCGGGTATCTTTACAGCAGCACCCCACTACCCAGTACCAATTTACTGTGTTAGTCTGTTCTCATGCTGCTAATAAAGACATACTCGAGATTGGGTAACTTATAAAGAAAAAGAGGTTTGATAGACTCACAGTTCCACATGCCTGGGGAGGCCTCACAATCATGGCAGAAGGTGAGGAGGAGCAAAGGAATGTCTTACATGGCGGCAGGCAGGAGAGCATGTGCAGGGAAACTGCCCTTTATAAAACCATCAGCTCTCATAAGACTTACTATCACAAGAACTGCATGGGAAAAACCCACCCCCATGATTCAATTACCTCCCAACTGGTCCCTCCGAGGATGCATGGGGATTATGGGAGCTACAGTTCAAGATGAGATTTGGGTGGGGACACAGCCAAACCATATCACCCTGCCTTGGGTTTTTACTGTACTTCATCATTCCTTGCAACATTATATTTGAGAAGACAACCAAAGTGAGGTGAAGAACTATATTTTCTGATAAACCAAGCTACTTATTCCTTTAAACATGGACCAGCATAATTTTTTGTGTTGTTTCAGTTAACAATGAATAAGCTATTTTCCTAGACTGGGGCAGATAAAAGGAGAGAAAAGATATCAAAGATCTAGGCAGGGAAGGATAAGGAAGAGGCAAAATAACAGGTAAGAAAACACTTCTAAAGCAGTAGATTGACCACTTGAGTTGATGTTATTTTATTGCCAATACTGTTTGTGCTCTGACTGAAATCTACTTGAATTACAACCAGTCTTACAAATACCTGACGATTCTTCAAACCTACAACTATTTTTAAAAATACTGTTTTTGAGAAAACATTATAAACTCACAGAAATTTGCAAAAATAGTACAGAGTTCTTTACTTAGTTTCCCACGATGGTAACAGTTTATGTAATTCTAGTATAATATCAAAGTCAGGTAACTGACATTGATACATTTTACAGGCCTTACTCAGATTTCACTGGTTTTGACATGCATGTGTGTGTATGTGTGTGTGTCAGACAATACTTTAACTCACCATAAGAAATATTTTCTTGTTTTTAAAAGCTTGCTAGTTATTTACATTTGATATATCTAATGCTAATTATCAATAGTGATCTATTATTACTCAATACTATGAAATATACTTTTCATTTTTTTTCTTGCCTACAGCGTGTTATCTGTCAGATTTTGGAGCAGTTGATGAATGCTTTTAATAATTTCTTAAAATATTGTACATTATTCCCGATGGCCAAAATGAGGATTCAGAATCTCTATTGCTAAGTAGAAAAACCATCATAATTAATTTAAAAGTTCATGCTTAAGATTATTTCAGTATTAGGCTATCAAAGGATCTCTGAACATAATCTTGTATTATTTTATGTATCTATTTATTTGTTATTTTGAACAAGTTTTCCTGACTCTCTTCCCCCATAACAAAAAATTTACTGTTTTTAAGGCCTCGTGGACTTCATGTAATTCCAAGTACTTCAGAAGTTATTATCATCGAGTCACAAAAACTGATCACCACAAATAGACTATATGATTTCTTTTTACTTCTTAAATTTTTAAATTTTTTTTCTCAAATATATTTTGGTAAGCTTTTCATTGACAACAGGGGGATAATGCATTTTCGGCTATTTTCCATTCTTAAGTTTCATTTTTAAGATTATTATTATTTCCTTCTTGTAATTAAGTTGAAAAATACAACTTAATTTTGTGGAGGTTCAGTAAAATATACTATCAAATATGCTGTCATCAATACTAATGAAGGAATATAGTCACTGCTCCTCCACAGAGCATTGATAGTAGGCAAAAAGTAGGGTTGCAGATAAAGGAGCCATGAAATCTTGGCAATTATTCAAAGCCTTAAGAATGTAGGCCTCTCTGAGTCTTAGCAGAATGATAGAAAGTCATTATACAAGGAGCTAGGATACCCTGGTCTAGTTCTCATTTGTAAAATAAGAGAAATAATATATGTTTTGCTTACTTCACAGGGTTGATGTGAGAATCAAATGAGGCAAAAGTACTTTGAGCATTACAGAGTGTGATATAAGCAGAAGGTGGTAATATGATGATGCATAACATGACCAATTAGAAACATCAATTTTGCACAATATGTTGGAGAACATATCCCTATTTCTGGCTCTCCTCTCTCCTTCTAAGAGGGCTTTTGAAATAAATGGTTTTTGCTTAGATTCATACAAAATTTAAAACCTGCAAGAAAGAATAGACACCCTAGGTGTCAGAAGGGAATACCAATGGTGAAAGTAGACAGAATCCGTGAACACCTGAAGATGTTTGTTCCAAGAAAAGAGTGAAATATAAAGTCACCTTTCTCCCACTTGCCATTGCTTGATAACCTATATGTATAATTGTGACTGTCAAGCAATGCAATGTCAAGGGTAAAGGGTGACCCCCTTTGTGTGACCTGATGTCTCTGATTCATTCTGAGCTCTCTCACATCTTGTCTTCCGATCTGGGATGAAACCTCAAATAAGTTAATGTTTCCATCCACATTAACAGATACGGAAGAAAAAAAGTTCTCAAAGCCGTGTGAGGAGAGGGCAAAAGGAGAAGTGAAGGCAACATCTCCCCACTTAGCAAGATACAGTGACCCCATGAAGGCCCTACACTCACTTCACCTAATTTGTATGTGTTCATGATACACAGAAATTAACAGGCACTTTCTCATCTGATTTTCCATCTTCTCAATAAGGTATCCCAGGTAAAACTTTAGACCTTTAATTATAGTGGTTTATTGTTAGTAGTAGATGATAAAACTTAGTAAGAAAGGCAGTAGAACAAGGCAGGCATGATCTTTAAGTCAAGATGCTCTTCAAGAGTTAAAATGGTTTTTTGAGGTAAAAATTATGTAACAAATTGTTTCATGTTTACTAGGGCTTTGACAGTAATGACAGTATCCTTAAGAGAATCAGAAGTGATGCAATAAGAGGCATTTTTTTTAAGTTATTAGTTTGTCTACAGCCAATTTATTTTAGATGACATCCTATTTCTTTTAAGTCATTGGTCTGTAGATCAATTATGATTTATATAATGGGTTGTCTTCTGGAAGTCTAGGAAAATATGCATCTTAGTAATATTGTGGGCATATGCAAGAGAGCTTAACAGATGACTAATATTCCAATGAGTATTTATTACATAAGAATTGACTAGTAAAATTCATGTGTAGGTACATGTATGTTAGAGTGTAATATAATGAATATATTGTTTTTCTGGAGTAAAATCTACTAAAGTTTTCTCCCTATGCTGAAAGTATTCTAGATGCTCATACTCTGTGGTCTCTGAGCAAAAACACATCTGAAACATAGACTTTTCTTTTTGTGACTTTTATATTTAACTGACATCATAAACATACCTCTTGCTGACCACCCTTATAATTCTGTGGGAATAAAAAAAATGAATCTTGTTCATACACTTGAACTTCAAACAGGTCATGATGATGTCTATTGCTCTATAACTTGTTTTAAATCCATGTGAAAACACTGAGTCCAACTAAGATATAAAAATTTAAGATGACTGATATTTTTCTCGGGGTAGTGATCATTGTCATCTGAAGAGAATGGGCTAGGGTGATTTAAATGTAATTGAGCTAACCATTTGGACCATCAATTACAGTATGCTGAAATGTATTATTTAACTGTTACATAATGCATATGTATCAGCAGCAGAGTGAAGGTTCAGCTCAGATAATTTCACTCTCTCCCAAAAATGGTTCATATAATATGGTGTAAAGCAATGTACAGAAATCTTTATAAGAAGCCCTTTATAAGGAAATAGTCACTATATTATTCACTCAGGAACAGTCACTACGTATTAATGATGCATGTAATCTGTGCAGGGCTTTTTTACATTTTTGGACTACAAAACCAAGTTAGCTCTTCCATATTTTAATAATATGGTAGAATAAATATTCAATTACATCTTTCCTGGTATGGTACATCTAAAACTCAGGAAAGTATTCAGGGGCTTTTTTTTTTTTTTTTTTTTTTTTGAGACAGGGTCTCACTGTTGCCCAAGCTGGAGTGCAGTAGCACGAACACAGCTCACTGCATCCATGAACTCCTGGGCTCAAGCAATCCTCCAGCCTCAGCCTTCTGAGTAAGCGGGACTACAGGTGCTTACCACTATGCCCAGCTAATTTATTTTTTATTTATTTATTTTTTTGTAGAGACAGGGTCTTGGCATGTTGCTTAGGCTGGTCTCCAACTTCTGTGCTCAAGTGATCCTCCCACATTGGCCCCAAAAAACTGCAAGGATTACAGATATTGCAACCATGCCCGACCTTAAGGGACTTTTTAGTGCATGGTTGAGTTGGTGGGACACCAAGAGAATTTCTCTGAGAAAGTTCAAATCTATAAGCCTAGGCAGGTACATGCATTTTCGAGAGTGAGCAACCAACCTCATCCAGCCTGGAGGTATTTTTTAATAAGCTCAGGGCCTTGGTTCAGTGGGATGAGTGAGGATTCTGCGTAAACCAGAACCCCTGAGATACCATCTACAGTACTTTAACTATATGGGAAAAACAAAACCTACACATAGTGAGATAGAGGACATATTTGACTTTCTCAACCTGGGTAATAGATGAGACAAGAGGATAAATAAATACACTTGTGTATATGAATTACTAACATCCTCATAGGATTTACACCTGTAATTCCTATTACCCGTACAGCCCAAATTTTAAATGTGGAAGTGGCAAATTTAAATCTTCTTTGGATCAAGGAGCGTCTCCCTCAAGCCTCAAAGAATTCACAGAGATAAAAGCTCAAGCAGTATGACCTCTAAATGGAAAATTCATCAGCTACATGGGGAAAAAAATTGACATGAAAACAGAAGGGCAGCAGACACATCAGTGGAATTAAATTCACAATTTTGGAATTATTAGATACAGGATACTGTATATGTTTAAAGAATATTTTTAAAGTGTTTAAATCAAAAGAGACTATCAGAATTAACCAGGCATATTTGAAAAGGAACTTCACAAAATGAAACTTTTAAGCCAGACATGGTAGCACACACCTGTAGGCCCAGCTACTTGGGAAGCTGAGGTAGGAGGATCACTTGAGCCCAGGAGTTTGAGGCCAGACTGGGCAACTTGGCGAGACCCACACCCACTTCCCCACACAGACGAAAAAAAAGAAAGAAAAGAAATGTATAACAATCTAAGTGAATAATGCAGTGAATATTAAATAGCAGATTAGTCATGATTGAAGGTAGCTAAAGTGAAATATAGAATTGAGCAAGTTACACAGAATGCAGCCCAGAGAGAGAAGGTTATGGGAGTCTGAAGGAGAGAGTAACCATTAAGGTGATATGAGAATGTCTGATGTATGCTTCATTAGGACTTCGATTTTTTTCTTGTAAATTTGTTTATTTGTAGATTCTGGATATTAGACCTTTGTCAGATAGATAGATGGCAAAAATTTTCTCCCATTCTGTAGGTTGCCTGTTCACTCTGATGGTAGTTTCTTTTGCTGTGCAGAAGCTCTTTAGTTTAATTAGATCCCATTTGTCAATTTGGCTTTTGTTGCCATTGCTTTTGGTGTTTTAGACATGAAGTCCTTGCCCATGCCTATGTCCTGAATGGTAATGCCTAGGTTTTCTTCTAAGGTTTTTATGGTTTTAGGTCTAACGTTTAAGTCTTTAATCCATCTTGAATTAATTTTTGTATAATGTTAAGGAAGGGATCCAGTTTCAGCTTTCTACATATGGCTGGCCAGTTTTCCCAGCACCATCTATTAAATAGGGAATCCTTTCCCCATTTCTTGTTTTTGTCAGGTTTGTCAAAGGACTTTGAAAAAAGGAACTAGAGAAAGAAAGGCAGTTTTCAGAGAGTATAGCTGAAAATTCTGAGGAATTAGACTTTATAACAACAGGTTTAAGAATTCCTAGAAAGAAATTTTTTAAATTCTAAAAAATTATAAATGTTTCAAATTTTTTATCCTACAGGATAAAAAAACGTCAAATAGAAAAGCATCCAGAGAAAAATAGATTGCCCAAATACCTGATTTCTTATCAGAAATAATGCAAGCTAGAAGACAGTGGAATGACACTTTTGAAGTGGGCTTACTCTAGAACTCTGTACCCAGTGCAATCATTTTTTAAGAAAAGTAAAAAGTTATTTTCTGAAGACTTTCAAGAGCCAAAAGACTTTCTCAAAGGTCTTTTCACATTTGTAGAATAAATGCCCAGATATTTATGAAATGTTCTTCAGAAAGAAATCAATGATCCAAGAGGGAAGTATGAGCTGCAAAAAGAAACAGAGCAAAGAATGTACACTTGACCCTTGAACAACTCAGGAATTAGGCATGTTGACTCCATTCCATGCAGCTGAAAATCTGCATATATCTTTTAACTTCCCCCAAACTTAACTACTAATAGCTTACTGTTGACTGGAAGCCTTATTAATAAAAATAAAAAACCAATTAATGTATATTTTGTATGTTACATGTATTATATACTATATTCTTACAATTAAGCTAGAGAAAGGAAAATGTTATTAAGAGAATCATAAAGGAAAATTATTTTAGTATTCATTAAGTGGAAATGGATCATCATAAAGGTCTGCATCCTCATCGCCTTCATATTGAATAGGCTGAGGAGGAAGAGGAAGGGTTGGTCTTGCAGTCTCAGGGGTGGGAAGGGTGGAAGAAAATCCATATATAAGTGGACCCAAGAAGTTCTGTGCTGTTCAGGGTTCAACTGTATTTGTAAATCTAGACAAATACTGTTCAAATTACTAACTAATTAATTTCTAGGGTTAAAAAATCCAGGGTATCACTGTAATCATAAGAAGCTTGTACATGGGTATAAGAGATGAGTAATCAGAGTTGAATCAGTCTAAAGTCTGTATTGTTTGGAAAAAGAGGATTGATAACGTTAGACTTTGTATTGTTAGCTATTTGTGATCAAATACCTAAGATTGCCACTAAATAATAGAATACATAACAACCAAGCTGGTATAGGGAAAAAGGTTACAGAAATGAACATGAATATATCAGTAAACACAGTTACTATAAATGGTCTTACTCTCTAGTTAAAGACTCATTGAAAGTCTAGTTTCAAAAAAGACCAAGTTATATTCTATTTATAAGAGATATAACTAATATAAACAGAGTATTTGAAAGTAAAAAATGTGTATACAAATTAAATAGTCACTAAATATCTTTTTTTAACTGCAAGAGCCATTCAGTGTTAGTACATATTTATAAATGGTGTGTTTCATTAGAAAGATTACTAATTCCATTTTAAGTAAAACAAAATTCATAAAACTGCAAAGCATATTAACAAACCAACAGTATAATAAATAAGCCTGATATGATGGACACATAAAGAGTAATTGGAGAATATACATCATTTTCAAACACATGGAACATTTATTAACAATTTTCACAAACTTGGCCATTGGGTAAATCTCACAAAATCCAAAGAATTGGTTCATAGAAATAATATTATTTTATCACAAGTTAATCAGATTATTATTGATACCAAAAGATAACTAATTACCCACATATATTTAAAAATATCAAAACATACTTACAAGTAAGTCGTGGGCCAAATAATAAACCAGAGCTGAATTTCAAAATAGAGGCCCTTGTGGTTCAGTAGCACTGGGCATTAATTAATAATAGATACAATGAACTATAAGAACAGTCTCATTAAAGGAATTACACATTTGAATAAAAATAACTTACGAAGACTAATGAAGGATTATAGTTAATAATTGCTAGATTTGGGGGAAAATTAATAGTTGAGCTTGGAGTTTCCAAAATAAATAATTTTTCTTTTAAAAATTGATCATAGTTTACAATTGATTATAGTTTACAGTAATCTATTTTATATCTCAAATTATCTAAAAGAGAATAATTCAAATGTTTCTGACATAAAGAAAAGACAAATATTTAAGGTAATAGATATCCCAATTACATTGAATTGATCTTTACAAATTATGTGAATGTATTAAATTATCACATGTACACTGAAAATATGTACATCTCTTATGTATCAATCTTTAAAATTTTTGAAAAATGTTTTAAATTGATCATTTTTTGATGATGACAATGATATAATCAAATGCCAGAATGGGAAGATAATTATGAGTACATCAAAATTAAAGATAGTCTGTAATCCCATTGGTTTGGGAGGCTAAGATGTGAAATTCACTTGAGGCCAGAAGTTGGAGATTAACCTGAGTAACATAGTGAGACCCTGTCTCTACAAAAAAATTTAAAAATTAGCCTGCTGTGGTGGTGCACACCTGTAGTCCTGGCTACTCAAGGGGCTGAGGTGATACAATTGCTTGAGCCCAGGAGTTTGAGGTTACAGTGAATTATGATCAAGCCACTGTACTCCAGCCTGGGTGGTAGAGCAAGAGCCCGTCTCCTAAAAAAAAAATGAAATTGTGTATGACAACCCAAAATTGATCTAAATAAGATTGTATGTTCCAAATATCAAATTTGGAAACATCTGAGACAGATATGACAGGGAAGAAATTAAGAAATTTGGGCAAAGGGCCTGAAGAGGTTATTTACAAAGCAAGAAATAGAAATAGCTAATAAATATTTGAAAAATGTTCAACATCAAATATAATGGGCAGGAGGAGGGAAACAACAATGAAATAACAATTTTCATGTCAAATTGTCAAAGATGAAAGAGATTGGAAAACTCATATGCAGGGGTGTGTGTACACAGGGTTTATCCAGATATTTTCTCCATATGTCATTCAGCTTGGCTTATGGCCTTTTTGTTTGCCATGCACAAAATTTAATTGTTTATAGTACTATTTTCTTGTTAAAAATTTTTTATTGATACATAATAATTGTACATATTTATGGGTTATATATGGTATTTCAATATATGCATGCAATGTATGATGATCAAATAAGGGTAACTAGGTTATCCATTGCCTTAAATATTTATCTTCTTTCTGTGGGTAATATTCCAAATCTTCTCTTCTAGCTATTTTGAAATATACAATAAGCTATTATTAACTATTATCATTCTATTATACTATTGAACACTAGACCTTATTCCTAATATCTGACTGTATTTTTGTACCTATTACCCAATGCCTCCTCATCCCCCACACAGTCCTACCCTTCCCAGCCTCTGTTAACCATCATTCTACTCCACATTCATGATCAGCTTTTTCAGCTTTCACATATGGGTGAGGACATGCGATATTTGTCTTTCTGCTCCTGGCTGATGTCACTTAACATAATGACCTCTGGTTCCATCCATGCTGAGAATGTCAGGATTTAATTTTTTTTTCTTTTTTTTTTCTTTTTGAGACAGGGTCTTGCTCTGTCAGCCAGCCTGGAGTGCAGTGGCATGATCATGGTTCACTGCAGCCTTGATCTCCCGGGCTTAAGTGATTCTCCCACCTTAGCCTCCTGAGTATGTAGGACAACAGGTGTGCACCACCACACCTGGCTACTGGCTAATTTCTTTTTTCTTTTTTTTTTTTTTTTTTTTTTTTTTTTTATTGATAATTCTTGGGTGTTTCTCACAGAGGGGGATTTGGCAGGGTCATGGGACAATAGTGGAGGGAAGGTCAGCAGATAAACAAGTGAACAAAGGTCTCTGGTTTTCCTAGGCAGAGGACCCTGCGGCCTTCCGCAGTGTTTGTGTCCCTGATTACTTGAGATTAGGGATTGGTGATGACTCTTAACGAGCATGCTGCCTTCAAGCATCTGTTTAACAAAGCACATCTTGCACCGCCCTTAATCCATTTAACCCTGAGTGGACACAGCACATGTTTCAGAGAGCACAGGGTTGGGGGTAAGGTCACAGATCAACAGGATCCCAAGGCAGAGGAATTTTTCTTAGTGCAGAACAAAATGACAAGTCTCCCATGTCTACTTCTTTCTACACAGACACGGCAACCATCCGATTTCTCAATCTTTTCCCCACCTTTCCCGCCTTTCTATTCCACAAAGCCGCCATTGTCATCCTGGCCCGTTCTCAATGAGCTGTTGGGCACACCTCCCAGACGGGGTGGTGGCCGGGCAGAGGGGCTCCTCACTTCCCAGTAGGGGCAGCTGGGCAGAGGCGCCCCTCACCTCCCAGACGGGGCGCCTGGCCGGGCGGAGGGCTGACCCCCCCACCTCCCTCCCGGACAGGGCGGCTGGCCGGGCGGGGGGCTGACCCCCCCACCTCCCTCCCGGACGGGGCAGCTGGCCGGGCAGAGGGGCTCCTCACTTCCCAGTAGGGGCAGCTGGGCAGAGGCGCCCCTCACCTCCCAGACGGGGCGGCTGGCTGGGCGGAGGGCTGACCCCCCCACCTCCCTCCCGGACGGGGCGGCTGGCCAGGCGGGGGGCTGACCCCCCCACCTCCCTCCCGGACGGGGCGGCTGGCCGGGTGGGGGGCTGACCCCCCCATCTCCCTCCTGGACGGGGTGGCTGGCCGGGCTAAGGGGCTCCTCACTTCCCAGTAGGGGCGGCCGGGCAGAGGCGCCCCTCACCTCCCGGACGGGGCGGCTGGCCGGGCGGGGGGCTGACCCCCCCACCTCCCTCCCGGACGGCACGGCTGGCCAGGCGGGGGGCTGACCCCCCCACCTCCCTCCCGGATGGCACGGCTGGCCGGGCGGGGGGGCTGACCCCCCACCTCCCTCCCGGATGGGGCGGCTGGCCGGGCGGGGGGCTGAACCCCCCCAACCTCCCTCCCGGACGGGGTGGCTGCCGGGCGGAGACGCTCCTCACTTCCCAGATGGGGTGGCTGCCGGGCGGAGAGGCTCCTCACTTCTCAGACGGGGCAGCTGCCAGGCGGAGGGGCTCCTCACTTCTCAGACGGGGTGGTTGCCAGGCAGAGGGTCTCCTCACTTCTCAGACGGGGCGGCCGGGCAGAGACGCTCCTCACCTCCCAGACGGGGTCTCGGCCGGGCAGAGGCGCTCCTCACATCCCAGATGGGGCGGCGGGGCAGAGGCGCTCCCCACATCTCAGACGATGGGCGGCCGGGCAGAGACGCTCCTCACTTCCTAGATGTGATCTCTTTTTTATTTTTGTAGAGACGCAGTCTCCCTATCTTGCCTAGGCTGGCTTTGAACTCCTGGGCTCAAGTAATCCTCCTGACTTGGCCTCCCAAAGTGTTGGGATTACAGGCATGGGCCACTGCATCTGGCCAGGATTTCATTCTGTTTTATGGCTAATATTCCATTGTGTACATATACCACATTTTCTTATTCATTCATCTGTTGATGGACACTTATCTTGGCTATTGTGAATAGTGCTGCAGTAAACATAAGTGTGCAGATATCTTTTCAATAGGCTGACTTCCTTTATTTTGGATATATACCCAGCCATGGGATTGCTGGATGATAAGCTAGATCTATTTTTAGGTTTTACGGGACCCGCCATACTGTTTTCTGTAGTGGCTATACTAATTTACATTCCCACCAGCAGTGTTCTCTTTTCACTGCACTCTCTGATCCGATCATTTCTTCGATCTGTTTTTTATAGCATTTGTTATTTTCTGTCTTTTTGATAATAGTCACCTTAACCAGGGTAAGATATCTCGTGGTGGCTGATTTGCATTTCCCAGATGATTAGTGATGTTGAGCATTTTTTTCACATACCCGTAGTCCAATTATATGTCTTCTTTTGTGAAATGTGTATTCAAATCATTTGTCCATTTTAAAATTGGATTACTTGGCTTTTTGCTATTGAGTTACTTATACATTCAGTTTATTAATCCCTGGTCAGACAGAGTTTGCCGGTATTTTCTCTCGTTATGTGAGTTATCTTTTCACTCTGTTAATTGATTCCTTTGCTTTGCAGAAGGTTTTTAGCTTTATATAATTGCATGTATCTATTTTTGCTTTTGTTGCCTGAGCTTTTGAGGTGTTACTCAAAAAAATCTCTGCTGAGACCAATGTCCCAAAGCATTTCTTCAATATTTTTCCTTCTAGTAGTTTCATAGTTTCAGGTCTTACATTTTAATTTGATTTCCATATAGGGTGCGAGGTGGATGGGGGTGGGGGGTAATAGTTTCATTTTTTATGTATGGATATCCAGATTTCCCAGCATTATTTATGGAAGAGCCTATTCTTTCCCCAGTATATGTTCTTGACACCTTTGTCAAAAGTCAGTTGGCTGTATATGCATAGATTTATTTCTGTGTTCTCTATTCTGTTCTGTTGGTCAGTGTGTCTGTTTTTATGCTAGTACCATGCTGTTTTGGTTTCTACACCTTTTAGTATATTTTAAAGTCTTCAGCTTTGTTATTTTGCTTGGGATTGTTTTGGCTATTTGGAATCTTTTGTGGTTTCATATGAATTTTAGGACTTTTTTTCCATTTCTGTGAAGAATGTAATTGGTATTTTGATAGGGATTGCATTGAATCTGTAGATTGCTTTGGGTAGTATGAACATTTTAGCAATACTAATTCTTTCAGTCCAGGAGCATGGAACATCTTTTCATTTGTTTGTGTTTTCTTCAATTTCTTTGATCCGTTTTTTATAGTTTTCATTGTGTAGTAATTGTTTCAGTCTTACAACTTTTATGAGTTTTGGTTATATTACTTTTTTGTGCTGTTAACAATTTGACAACATACTCTCTACTCTTTGATCCAGTAATTCTACTTCTAGGAATTCGTCCCAAGGCATAAAATGATGTCTGTACTCAAGATTGTTCTTCGTATTGTTGTTAATATTAGTGAATAACTGAGCAAAGTTCCAGGAAAAGAGGACTTGTTAAAAAGCTTACGGTGTGTATATATATAGACAGATACACACACACTACACAAACATTTATATATATCATTTAAGGAATTATGCAATACATTAATAACCATTAAGTAATATATAGATTAATGTTTAGAAAAATATACATAATATTACTAAGTGAAAAAAGCAGTATATATCTCTTTTATGTAAACTTGCATGTGTACCTATCAGTTGTAAGCAGTAACTTGATTATAGTTGCACAGAGAGTAGTGGTCTGAGGCAGCTGTGCTGTAAAATTAAAAGCACTGAAATGGATTTGGGGGCTTGAGTTTTAGTCACTGTTTTGCTAACTGTGCTACTCTCGATGTACCTTTTCGTATCTCTGGTCCTCCTAGATGCCCTCCTCTCTAAAAATGAGGGAAGGGATGGGCATTTAACTTCATTAGCAATGACAGATAAACCATAATGACTGTCACATCCCCCTTCTGCAGGCATGGCAGACATTAGAGGTCAGTCTTGGTGTTCTTTCTCTGGGCTCAGTCACGCTTTAGAATTCTTCCCAGCACACAGTTTTAGGCCACCGTTTCTAAGCAAATTGTACTTTATACTGAAAACTTCTTTGCCATCCTTGAAAGAGGATCTTAAAAGTTCTTTCAGCTAAAAGATGTCTCTAATCAAGGCACAAAATTATGGTGACAAAATAACAGAGAATGCTTTTTCTGTAAATAATTTTTTTAATTTTCTAGTATCCACATTTCTTTTAAAAAGTAAAAAGGTAAAAACAAGTAAAATAAGTGTGGATAACATATTTTATTCAATAAGATATTTTAACATGTAGCTGGTATAAAACAATGATTAATAAGATATTTTACCTTTTCATTTTTGCATACAAAATCTTTGAAATCCACTGTTTATTTAAAGCACATCACGTTTCTGCTAATAAATTGTTATTGGAAATACTTGATCTGTATTTAAATTTACAATTTAAAAAGCAGATTCTCATACCCATCTTAAGTTTTCTAATAATTGATTTGAGTATTAGTTCTTAAGCTTAAATAAAAAATTGAGATAAGGTTGCAGTAGTCACATTTCAAGTATCTGGTAGCACATATATCCAGTGACAACTATGTGGATCAGTAGAAGTTTGGGGGATATAGAAACGAAGGTTTTCTAACTTTTAGCTTTCAAGGAGATTGTCCGGTTGGGAAAGCAAGATATGAAAAATAAATATGTCAAGAATATAATCCAAAACAATCTAATTAAGTGCTAGAAGTTTGCCATGGACAGACAAAGTGCTACTTGGGAAGGAAGTTCCAGAAACACCACAGCTGGGTACATTCTTCACCACTCTGAGTGGTGGCAGTGACGCGTTGGCTTTGTGAGAATGGTGTGTCTTACTTGAGAAAGTGTGTGTGTTCTGCCTGCAGGCATGGGACTCGCTGTGCTGGAGAAGTGGCAGCCGCTGCAAACAATTCGCACTGCACAGTCGGAATTGCTTTCAACGCCAAGATCGGAGGTATGGGAAACCAACTCACGTGGATGTAGAAATGCGCCAGTTAGCTCTTTGGCTGACTGGCTTTCAGAATCCTTTTTAAATGGAGGTTAAACGATTGGGCATATCTCTACCTAATAGTGTTCAACTATTGCTGGCCCCAACATGACCATGTTAGCATGCGCCTTTAAATACATTTAGTTAAAGACTTCTGAAGCAGTCACCCTAAAATATTGTAAACACTTTTCTTTTAAACAGACTTGAAAAAAATGTTATCTAGTAGTGAAGATGGGGGTCATTGACATTTGTACCAAAATGCTACAATTGGTGCCTGGGTTAGAACGAACTAATAATATAAACATTAGGCCATAATATCTCTATGGAAAGAAGCATTTTGTAATTCTCTCAAAGTGGAAAATCCTGGTTTTTTGTTTTTGTTTTTTTTCCTTTGGCTTAGGCTTTTAAAAAGTTCCTTTTAATTGTAATTAAAATGATATATGGCAAAAATCTCCTTTTGTAATCCCATAATATAGTGATACTATTTCCATGAATGATTCAGATTATATCTATATGCAGGCATGTATACGTAAAAACTCAATTATACATACACTTACTATAAGGACCCAGCCAAAGCAGTATAAATTTAAGCATTGATAAAAGCAAACTCTTAACTTTCCCATTTGTAATCATCTTTGTAAGCAACAGCCTGGTGCCACAGCCACACACAAATGGGAAGAAAATATTGTAATAGATTCTATGGATCCTCATGATTTTATCATTATGCCTGAAGGTATTCCCTAGGGGTCTCCTAAGAGCGTCATAAGATGAATGAAGCTCCTGGAACCAGATTGACCTCCTTGTTTCCAATGCATTATTTGTTTTCAAGTGGGAAATAGTGTTAGAACTAAAAAATAAAAATGACAATTCTTTCTAGGATAGGAATATAAATATAGAGATTCCCTAACATGAAATATTTAAGGTATACAATAATAGAACTAAGAAAAGGCTTTCTGAAACTACCTTGAATATTGGTCCATAGTGCATTTGACCTCTTTCTTTCCTTTTTCTCACCCTGAATTCTTATGAGTATGATAGTTTGTTAAGCAGTAATTAATTAGCGGGGAGCATCTGCTATTTATTAAGCACAATGCATATGAAAGAGCTAAAGAAAAGAGGCAAAGAAAAAAATTCTTCGTTCCCTGAAGAATGATGAGTTTTGGAGGCCCCTCATCATCCCAAGAGAATTATATCAGAGGCGGCCAGGTCAGCCCTTCTCATGGTCCAGGATATAGTTTCTCGCATACACAGACACACAGCCCCAGGTTCTTATCAATACTCTCCAGCACAAACCCAGAAATCTTAATAATTTTTAAAAAATGAGAGGATGAACTTGTGAACTCACAGATAAACCAATGACCTAGCTTACAGAACCTTATTTAAAAAAAAAAAAAAGGATATATGGCAACAAATCAAAAATGTTCTACAACAAGAACATTCTGAATAATAAATTTAACCCCCATACCCAAGGCATGAAGGCTTGGAGTTAAATGAGGAAAAAGCAGCCTTTTATCTTTAAACTTGACAAAGTAAAATTCTTTTTTTGTGAAATTTCTATTAGAAAATGAACATCACCCTCTAAGTATGATTTACAAGCATTTTTTCATGCATGACATAGAAACTGAATTCAAGTGTTATGTCCTACTCTCCTGTTGGCATTTAGAACACTAGTGAGCTTATTTGGGGCAATTACTGTGTTTGTTTCAGACCTCATTGTACCAATAAAATAGTTTCATTTTATGCTTTTCAATAGAAAGTAAGAGGATGGAGTCGTTCATCTTTCTTTGCTAAGAAACATGCAGACAAATTTTGAATATTTAAATTAAATTAAACCAGTGTTACTCAGGATGCAGTACATCGAGATCATTATGTAGGGTTTTTTACTCACACCATGGACAAACTTTCCAATTTCCATTCCAATTTTTTTTTTTTTTTTTTTTTTTAGACGGAGTCTCGCTCTGTCACCCAGGCTGGAGTGCAGTGGCATGATCTCGGCTCACTGCAAGCTCCATCTCCTGGGTTCATGCCATTCTTCTGCCTCAGCCTCCCGAGTAGCTGGGAATATAGGTGCCCACCACTGCGCCCGGCTAATTTTTTGTATTTTTAGTAGAGACGGGGTTTCACCATGTTAGCCAGGATGGCCTGGATCTCCTGACCTCGTGATCCACCCGCCTCGGCCTCCCAAAGTGCTGGGATTACAGGCGTGAGCCACCGCACCCGTCCCCAAAATTTTTAATGGAACTTGTTCACAGCTTTCATTCTCCACCTCTCCTGTTAACACACATCTCCATTAAAAATTCAAGAGTCTAGAAGAAAGACAGTCAAGAGACATTAACAACCAAATGCAATGTCTTTAGAGATACATGGAGGGGAATGGAATGTTGGCTAGATGTTAGATGGCAGTGGGAACTTATGTCCCTATTTTTTGTAAAAATTTTTAAAGGATAAAGGGTCACATCTGTCATGGAATTTAAAATGGTTCAACCTAATATTTATATTTTTGGATTAAGAAAATGAGACAAAATGTTAACAGTTATTGAGTAGTGGCTATGTATATATATGTTCATTCTTCGTTCTTTCTATTTTTCTTTGTTTGAAAGTTTTATAATTAAAAGTTAAACATAGTTCCTTCAATAATATTTTTATTTCTACCAGTATTCCCACCTCAGTTCACATAGTCTCTATCTAAACCTGTTTGATGTGGGTTTTTATTATTTAATCCCCGTTTGTTGATAACCAATAAAAACTTAAAATCCTACTGATGACAAGGTTTTCCTAAGGATTAAATTTGGCCTGTAAAAATATAATTTTTAAATGATACAGTGTTTCAGTGATGGTGTTTAATTTAAACTGAAGGAGAGATATGTTTACTTAACAATTAGATGCTTGGTTGTGGTTGTTTTTATGAGCCTCCAAAATAGAAGGAAAAAAGGAAAGCCTGACATTTGGCATAGAATTTATTTCTGAGTATCTTAATGTCTCTTTTTGCAAAATAGGGTTAATAGTAAATTCCTATCTGTTTGATAGAAATATACTTAAATGAAGATTAATAACTAAACATTGCTAAAAACCCTTTGAGAATTATTTGAAATGTTACATCCACAGAGATTATTCTTATTTATTATTTGACATAAATAACTTAGCAAAAAAAGAAACATGAAGTTCACATCAATCTTATGATTAGGGGCTAATATTAAATATGGAGGATACGAGACCATCCTACCTTGGCAGCTTTCCAAATAGTATATGACTGCTAAGGTTAGATAGAATGTTTTATATCAATTATGAACACAAGTTATTCAATAAAGAGTTTAAGGGAGATGGATTGCTTGAAGATCTCTTTGTCAAGTACTCACTCAAGAGAGGGATGAGAAGGGAGAGACTGTGGCAGCTGTTATAAGGAAAGGAACCTTAGAAAAAGAAAATGGATTAAAAAAATTGAAGTTTTGCTCTTTTATATACAATATGACATCCTTTCTGCCCAAGATACTGCCTGCAAAGTATACATTATCCTTTTGCTGGGGGAAGATATGCTCACTTAAGTGTTGATTAAAAATGTATTCTTCCCCCCGAGAATCCTGCAGCTCTGTTCTTTGAGTGTTGTGTAGGGAAGCCCTGTAATGAGCTAGTTCTCCTTTCTGTGTTGAAGGAGTGCGAATGCTGGACGGAGATGTCACGGACATGGTTGAAGCAAAATCAGTTAGCTTCAACCCCCAGCACGTGCACATTTACAGCGCCAGCTGGGGCCCGGATGATGATGGCAAGACTGTGGACGGACCAGCCCCCCTCACCCGGCAAGCCTTTGAAAACGGCGTTAGAATGGTAGGTTTTAAAAGCATGGAGGCTTATACTGTGTGGATGGGTGATGATTCTCATATGAAGAATCTATGGGTTTCCAGCTGCAGTCTAGAGAACTGGATGGAGCTCCTAGGCTGAGCCAGCAGGTAGGCTAATGGAAAGAGGTGGTGAACATTTGGGATTGTGAGTTATTTCTGTTCTGCCAGTGAACTAAGAGCTAGAGAGTTTCTTCTGAAGAGAACAGAGGTATGTTACAGTGCTTAAATTCTTTCAAAGAAAATATATTAATACGTTAATCTTGCATTTGGAGAAATAAATTCTTAGGACTGTGAAATTGAGTGAAGATATTTAACACTCTCCAGGTAGCGTGAATACATTGCATAGTGATGCCCCTTGGGGCATCTCCCTTTTTTAATACTTTCCCTAGTTTCTCTCACCTCTGTCCCAGGACAATATTATTTGTGTTCCAGCTCCTGATCGCTACAACCAAGTAGCTTAATGCATCATTCTTTTCCTTAATTACACCAAAAAATTGATTGACCACTCTCCCACAAAAAACTAACCATATAATCTAATGTAATAAAATGTCTATTTCAAATTACAGATCTTAAGAAACCCTGTCTCATTTAAATTAAATTTTAAAAGTGAGGATACTAATCTTTGTAATCATGAAAGGAGGAGAGCTCCACCAGAAGTAATGTCTTTTTCTTATTCATGAATGGACCTTTGGGTGATTTAAAGCATACAGTTAGTCTTGTTCATTTAAGGCCATTATTGATCTGGCCCTAACCTGCCTTTTCTTCTCCTCTCTTTTACTCCTTATAATGTAGACGTGCTCCACTCCTATCCATCAGCACAGAACGCTTTCCTTGTTCCTCCTGCATAGCTCCCGTGCCCCATCCCCAAGTCCTCCCACTGTAAGCCAAATCCTGTTTGACCATCAAGCGCCAGCTAAAAAAGGTTCACGTCTTCCCAGAAGCCTTCTCACTGCCCAAACTGGAATTAACTATAAACAGCCCCTACCTATGCTTTATATTCTTACTAGCGTTACATAGAGTTCTTATCATATTGTGCTTTATATCAGAGTTAGTTCTGGGTATATCTTCCTTACTAAATTGCGAGTTCCTAGAGAGCAGCACTTGTGCTCCACACATCTTCATGGGCTTTGCAAAACCTAGACAGTGCATTGCATTCTAGTGAGTATTCAATGAAAGTTATTGAATCAAATTTAATTAACTACAAATGATGCGAACCACAGGGTTGTTAAATATCCAGCTCAGATACTTACAGTGGAATGCATTGTTGATTAATGTAATGTTGCAGCTGGAGTAAAAATAATAACGATTTGCCCACATCTTCGTGGGATTTTTGTTAGGGTTTTAATAGAAGACTGTGCTAAGCTGTCTTCTAATTATTCAGAAATAGACTGGAGGATAAAATTATATACTTATTTTGTAGGTACTTCCTAGCTGAATGATAGTTCAGGTTTGGTTAAAACATTCACTTTTTTTAGCTCTTTGTCAATTTTCAGCTTCCTATATTAGAGTCTTTTAAACCTTAGGTAATGTTTTAACTCATTGTCTAGAAGTTTTCTTTCAAGGTGCCTTAACAGCAAATGAATATATTCTATGTAATCTGGTGATTTCATTACTGAAGCCACAGACTACAAATTGCTATGATCTCTATGTTTTCAATAGAATGATCATTCAAATTCAGTAAACCAAACACTGTTCATATTTAATCATAAAATTATATGTATATGGCTCTTATAATAAAGAGCAATCTGGACTTTCTCATTAATCTGAAAATACTTAAATTAGTAATACACATAACCTCATGAATGCGCATATATATATATAAAGAATGCCCCATATTCAATAGCTGGTTTTACTAACAGACTAGTAGGCGTGTCACTGAAGCAGAACACATGAACCAACAATTTTCAAATTTATTTTTGCTGGGGAGTCTTTCATTCAGTGGAAATCTTAACTGGAAGCTTAGTGTGTAAAAAATTAAAAATATGGTACTTTGGTTAAAAGAAGAGTAAAAAGGGGTTAAGATTAGAAACAAAATCACCTGAGAAAATTATTCCAACACATGAGGAAGATTATATTTAGAAATAATTTGGAGGAAATTTACTTTATATTCATTATTAATTATGAAAGTAAACTATGCTTATTGGATAGATTATACACAAATGAGTGTAAAGATGAACTTAATAGATTTCCCCACCCAACTGGGTAACCACTGTTAAGAGTATAAGCTACATGTTTCCATACTCTTGTGCATATTAACATGCAAACAGAGATTATATACCTCTGCACATTACTATTTGAACCTAACGGTCTACCCTAGGCATCTTTCTGGGGCAACCCTTAAGAATAGAACTCATTTATTTTATTTGTTTCAAAATTTTTAGAGTATAGAGATACCATAATTAATTCAACATTCCATTGAAGATCTTCCAAGGTTTTACTTAGGGAAAAAAAGGAATTCAGTTTTAAATCAAACCATTTGCTTTTAGAGTTGAGGTAGTAACAAAAGAAATAACTATCAATAAGAACAGATTGTTTTTTGGCTCATAGCATTGCACATCTAAATATGGAAAAACTGTGGTGATGCATTTAAATGTGATGAGGTCAAGAAGATAGTGTTTTCATGTGATGAGGTCAAGAAGATCGTGTTTTCATGTGTTTAATACAAATAGGCTTTCAGGTTAGGCTAGGATTGAGTCCAATATTTGCCATTTACTTCTCTCTAACCTTATGTAGATCAAATTACCTCTCTGCTTCCATTTTCTCATCTAAGGTAGGGCACTAATAGTACTCACAGAGATGTTATAAATGCAAAATGAGATGATAATGCATATAAAGCAACTAGTATAATACCTGCAATATAATAAATGCATTTTATTTTTCAGAGAAAAGATCATGTCCTCCTATAAAACTATTTAAATTTGTCCTCAGTCCATCATCCTTCTCTCCTATACCATTTCCACAGTGCCTAGTTCCTGATAATTCCAGTAAGTTACCTGTTGGGGTAGATTAAAAATAATATGATGCAGGCCGGGTGTGGTGGCTCATGCCTGTAATCCCAACACTTTGGGAGGCCAAGGAGGGCGGATCACCTGAGGTCAGGAGTTCGAGATCAGCCTGGCCAACATGGCAAAATCCCATCTCTACTAAAAATACAAAAATTAGCTGGGTGTGGTGGCGGGTGCCTGTAATCCCAACTACTCAAGAGGCTGAGGCAGGAGAATCGCTTGAACCCAGGGAGTGGAGGTTGCAGTGAGCCAAGATCACGCCACTGCATTCCAGCCTGGGCAACAGAGTAAGACTCCGTCTCAATAAAATAATAATAATAATAATAATAATATGATGCAAGTCAACGTAGCCTTCCTGAGCTCTGTAGTGTCATTTATTTTGTTCTTCCTATGTCTGTACAAACCTTCAATTTCACTTGCCTTTAAAAGCGTATCTTCAATTTCAGTGAGATAGCCTCTGGATATGTAAATTCAGTCTAGTTATCCGTGTTTGTAGTCCTGAATTTTGTTTGTATTTTCCCAAAGGATGTTCCTCTAAATATCTATTAATATATAATTTAATATTTTAAGCAGTATATTTCTCTTTTCCAGGTTAAATAAATCTTTCTTGGGGCATCAAGTGAGACAGGAAATTTTACATTCTTTGATAGTATTATCATTTGTATTTTTGTGTCACACACATTGTCAAAGATAAAGAAAATAATTGAATAAAAACTTAATACAATATTAGATTATAGGGTACAACAAAGAAATAAATGTGATTTATTGGCTTAATTATTTAAGGAATGAAGAAATAAATGACTGATAAAATAATTCCTTCAGTTAGCTGGCTGAAAACCTATGCAGCAGCCTAAAGTCATTCTGGCCTATTGGGGTTTATCATCTACAAAAATGTAGGGATTGGAATTTATTTATTCATCATATTAAGCTTAGCGAGCTCCCACTTTCTATATGCTGTAGATAAAGGGGTGAAAAAGACGTCTGCATCTTCTATGTAATACATAAAAGTTCCTACATTCTAGCAACAAAACAGGAAACAAGGATAGAAATAATCAAGACTATTTCAGCTCAGGGTAAGTGTATGAATAAAAGTAAAGTGATTTCTGCTGAGGGAAAGCACAGCTGCCTTAGTTAGGGAAGACAGAACATCCTCTTTGAGGAGGTGATATTTGAACAGAGACATAAATGATAACAAGCCCATCATATGAAGAACTATTATATGCAGAAGGAACAGAAAGAGCAAAGAACCCCAGGTAGGGAAAGATTTAGGTGTATTTCCAGAACACAATACTAATGTAGGTGCTGGGGGCAAGGTGGAACAGGAAGAGGGCCAAGGGAGATGTGTTGGAGGGGAAGGCAGGGGCCAGCTCAGCAAGGCTTTCTAAATCATGGTGGGCCTGTGAATTGTGTTCTGTTATAGGAAGCCATGAAAGACTAAACAGAATTGTGGCCTGACCTTATACAATTTTAAAAGATCACTGCTGTGTAAACAGTAACTGTATGTGGGGTGAGAGATGAAGAGGCATGACTGGAAGATTGAAGTGGTCCAGGAGAGTGTTGGACCAGGGTGGCAGCAGCATCAAGACCATCAAAGAGATCAGGCAGCAATAGATAAGCCCAAGTATCAAGAGAGATTTTCACAGAGGAAATAAATACATTTTGCTCAGGGAGTCCAAGTATTGATTGCATCCATTCTTTCTGCAAGCTAATGAAAAAATGTAGCAAATATTGAATTTCAAAATGCTCCCTACTTGTTTACTATAAGATAAGCATTTGGCTCAAAGAATGTAATACTGTTTTCAGAGACTTTAACAAATCAGAATTGATTCAATTTATAGCCCTTTTAGAATTAATGTGGCAAAATTACATTAGAGAAACTATGTTAAACAAACCTTGTCACAGTTGACAATGTGCTCTTTCTTCTAAGGAGCTATAAAATTAAGTGCAAGAGTTAGAGTTATATAATTTGGGCTGCATACAATTAATAGTAATAATAATAATAGCAACATGAATATTTAACATTTTACCCAGTTTATTATACTATAGTCATCTTCTGGGACTTAAAATAAATAACATTTAATCTTCATGATGATCTCAAAAGATAGGTACTGTTTTTCCCAATTTATAGGGAGAAAAAACAGAAATTCAGCCTAGCCAAAGAAGACAAAACATAGGCTTCAAAGAAATCTGGTAAATTCTGTTACATGTTGTCATTTTGATTTTATTTGGCACACCTGACCTTCCATCTTTATCTGTGGCCACATACTCTAGCTTTTCTTCTGTTACTATGGTGAATTAATCGTTCATCTTCCACCTAAGGCCACCTCCTCCATTTGTTCACTGGACCTTACCCCATGTCACCCCATCAAAGTTCTGCCTCAAAAAAATTGTTTTATCATCAAAATTTCTCTCTCAACTCTATTGTTACCATCAATATCCATTTGTACTGTTCATCCTCCTGTCTTAAAAGAACAAGAGGAGACTCCTTCTTTGGTCTTTTTAAAAATAATCTCAACTTTATTTTAGATTCAGGGGTACATGTGCAGGTTTGTTACGTGGGTAAATTGTGTGATGCTGAGGCTCACCCAGGTAGTGAGTATAGTACCCAGCAGCTAGTTTTTCAACCCATCCACCCCTTCCTCTCTCCCCTCCCCATAGTCTGCAGTGTCTGTTGTTCCCATCATTATGTCCATGAGTACCTAATGTTTAGCTCCCACTTATAAGTGAGAGCATGCAGTATTTGATTTTCTGTCCCTGTGTTAATTTGCTTAGGATAATAGCCTCCAACTGTATCCATGTTGCTACAAAGGACATGGTTTTATTCTTTTTCATGGCTGTGTAGTATTCCATGGTGTATGTGTACCACATTTTCTTTATCCAATCCACCATTGATTGGGCACCTAGGTTGATTCCATGTCTTCACTATTGTGAACAGCACTACAATGAACATATGAGTGCTTGTGTCTTTTTGGTAGAACAATTTATTTGCTTTTGGATACATACCCAGTAATGGAATTGCTAGGTTGAACGGTAGCTCTGTTTTAAGTTCTTTGAGAAGTCTCCAGACTGCCTTCCACAGATGGTATCCTATAGTGGTTTTGATTTACATTTCTCTGATGATTAGTGATGTGGAAAATTTTTTCATATTTGTTGTCTGCATGTATGTCCTCTATTGAGAAGCGTCTGTTCATGTCTTTTGCGCATTTGTTAATGGGGTTGTTTTTTGATTGTTGAATTGTTTAAGTTCCTTATAGATCCTGGATATTAGACTTTTGTTGGATGTGTAGTTTGTGAATATGTTCTCCCATTCTGTAGGTTATTTATTGATAATTTCTTTTGCTGTGCAGAAGCTTTTTAGTTTAATTAGACCCAACTTATCAACTTTTGTTTCTGTCACAATTGCTTTTGAGAACCTGGTCACAAATTCTTTCCCAAGACCCATATCCAAAATGGCATTTCCTAGATTTTCCTCTAGGATTCTTATAGCTTGAGGTCTTACATTTAAATCTTTAATCCATCCTGAGTTAATTTTTGTATATGGTGAAAGGTAGGGGTCCAGTTTCATTCTTCTGTATAAGACTAGCCAGTTATCCCAGCACTATTTATTGAATAGGGAGTCCTTTCTCTATTACTTATCCCAGCGCCATTTATTGAATAAGGAGTCCTTTCTCTATTGCTATTTTTTTGGTTGACTTTGTTGAAAATCAGATTGCTGTAGATGTGTGGCTTTATTTCTGGATTCTCTATTATATTTTATTGGTCTACATGTCTGTTTATGTACCAATGTCATGCTGTTTTGGTTACTGTAGGCTTTTAGTATAGTTTATACCAAGTAATGTAATGCCTCTGGCTTTGTTCTTTTTGCTTAGGATCACTTTGGCCATTCGGACTCTTTTTTGGTTCCATGTGAATTTTAGAATAGTTTTTACTAGTTCTGTGAAAAATGACATTGATAGTTTGTTAGGAAAAGCATTGAATCTATAGATTTCTCTGGGCAGTGTGGCCATTTTAACAATATTGATTCTTCCAATTCATGAGCATGGAATGTTTTTTCTATTTGTTTGTGTCATCTCTGATTTCTTTTAGCAGTGTTTTCTCTTCTTCTTGTAGACATCTTTCACGTCCTTGGTTAGACGCATCCTTAGGTATTTATTATGTGTGTGTGGCTAGTGTGGATGGATTGCATTTTTTTTTTTAAATCGAGATGGAGTTCACCCTGTCACCCAGGTTGGAGTGCAGTGGCGTGCGTGATCTTGGCTCACTGCAACCTCCGCCTCTGGGGTTCAAATGATTCTCCTGCCTCAGACTCCCAAGTAGCTGGGACTACAGGTGCGCACTACCGTGCCCAGCTAATTTTTGTATTTTTAGTAGAGATCCCCATCTCTACTAAAAATACAAAAATTAGCTGGGCATGTTTCACCATGTTGGCCGGGTTGGTCTCGAACTGCTGACCTCAGGTGATCTGCCCGCCTTGGCCTCCCAAGTGCTGGGATTACAGGCATGAGCCACCACAACCGGCCAGATTGCATTCTTTATATGGTTCTCAACTTGAACATTATTGGTGTATAGAAATGCTACTGATTTTCGTGCGTTGGTTTTATATCTTGGAGCTTCACTGAAGTTGTTTATTGGTTTCAGGAGCCATTCAGTGGAGTCTTCAGGGTTTTCCAAGTCTAGAATCGTATCATCAGCAAGGAGAAATAGTTTGACTTCTTTTCCTACTTGGATGCTTTTTATTTCTTTCTCTTGTCTGATTGCTCTGGCAAGGACTTCCAGTACTGTGTTGAATAGGAGTGTTGAGAGTGGGCATTCCCTGTCTTGTTTCGGTTCTCAAGGGGAATGGTTCCAGCTTTTGACTGTTCAGTGCCTTGTTGGCTGTGAGTTTGTCATAGATGGCTCTTATTATTTTGAGGTAAGTTCCTTTGATGCCTAGTCTGTTGAGGGTTTTTATTATGAAGGGATGTTGGATTATATTGAAATATTTTTCTGTCTCTATTGAGTTAATCATGTAGGTTTTGCTTTTAATTATATTTATGTGGTAAATCACATTTATTGATTTGCATGCTTGAACCAGCCTTGCATCCCAACTTGATCATGGTATATTAGCTTTGATGTGCTGCTGGATTCAGTTTCTTATGTCCTCCCTAATACTGCCTCATTTCTCCTTTTTTTCCCTTTAAAATGAGATTCCCTGAAGCCGTTGTCCCACCTTGCCATCCTCCAACTTTCTTTTTCCATTATCTCTTGAAGGCACTGCTTCAGGACTCCACCCCAGCAATCCACTGAAGCTGCTTTTTGACAAGGTCACAGTGACCCTGTATACAAAACCCCATGCTTCTCTGAGCTCTCATCTAACTTGTCTTTTTAAAAGGCTTCGCTGGTTTTCCCTATATACAATATGACACACACGCACTCCAGCCCTTCAGAATCCCTTCTTTGTAATTATTATACCTCCTTCTATTGATTATTTCTACTGATCTCATTGTCTCTTCGATGCTTGTACCCAAGTACCCACAATAGTATCTGGCACTCAGCAGGGGTTTAGTGAAGAAAGGATGAATGAGTGAATGAATTTATAAATGACTTCCATGCCAATTTGATGCATGTACTGAGATAATTTACTTAAGGATCACACTGGTATTATTTTTGCTTAATATTCTAGAAATGTTATAAACATACATGGTGTAGTATGGTGGTTAAAGTACCCAGACCCTGGATTTGGAAATATGAATTCCAGTACTTTTGTGTCATGTTCAGGTTAATTAGCCTCTCTGAGGATCAGTTTGTTTCTATATTAAAATGGAGCTAAATGCTAGTAAATGCTTTATAGTAATGTTGTAAGGATTATATGATTAATTCCTGTAAAATATTCAGCAGAGCTCCTGTAACAATGTAAAGTCTCTAAATACGTTATGAATCTTAGTCATTATCACTATTTAAAATGGGCAAAGGTAATAAAAACAAAATACTGACTAATCATGCAAAATACCATAAAATTTTTATTGTTCTAAATCTCATGTTGCTGAGTAACCCTTACAGAAGGTCATTATATAATCTTGAGATTATTATAAAATAATGACCTATGTAAGTGGGAAAAATATCAAAGATAATATTTTCTAAAGTATATGGCATAAACCACTAATTTAATAAAATGATAGGCAAAAGGGGTTGGGGGTAGAGAGGTTTTATTGTCAAGTATACTTAAGAAACACCACTTATTATATGCTCCTTTTGAAGATTTAAAAGCATATTAAGGCTGGGTGTGGTGGCTCTCGCCTGTAATCCCAGCACTTTGGGAGGCTGAGGTGGGCAAATCACCTGAGGTCAGGAGTTTGAAACCAGCTTGGCCAACATGGTGAGACCCTGTCTCTACTAAAAATACAAAAATTAGCTGGGCGTGGTAGCCCACACCTGTAATGCCAGCTACTCAGGAGGCTGAGGCAGGAGAATCACTTGAACCCGGGAGGCAGAGTTTGCAGTGAGTTGAGATTGCGCCATTGCACTCCAGCCTGGGCAACAAGAGCAAAACTCTGTCTCAAAAATAAATAAATAAATAAACAAACAAACAAATAAATAAATAAATAAATACATAAAAGCATATTAAGGGTTCTGAGAAGTCCTGTAGTAAAATGATGCATTTAACCACGGTTCTCAACTTTAACTACATAGAAGCTTTTCTTTTTATTACTTTTTTGAATTGCTTTTAAATTTAACTTCATTTTAAAATTTGCGGAATTAGTTTGTGTAATTCACCTAAAGTCATTAGACCTTTAGAGTCCAAACATTGGAACTAGAAATAATATTAGTGGTTAATTTTATCAACATTTATGTATTCTCTCACTTGTTGATGGCTCTCCCATTCACCCAGTCTCCCTTCCTAACCCCGAGATTTCTTCCATTCCTCATGCTAGTCATCTAGTAAGTCTTGCATGTACTGTTTCCTAAAACCTTAGGAAATCCATCTGCCTTCTTGTCCTCACAGTTAGAAACAAATCTCTCATACAGACTTCTACTATAGCATACTTTCCAAACTTCCCAGCTTGAGCTTCATCTTTCAATTCTGCCTGAATACTGCAGTCAATGAAGTATTTTCATAGGCAAATCTTGTCATTTTTTTTTTCTCTTTAAAACTCATCATTGCTCCTTATGACTGACAAGGAACATCCTAGGCTTCTTAGTAGGGCATATAGGTTCTCTCACAGGTTCTTTGTCAGTTTTGCCAGGGTCTCAGAATTGAAATTTTACATGTCATCTTAGGAAAGGACAGTTTAAAAGTTTCTCTCATTCAGACTTACACAGTTTCATTTACCATGGTGAGCCTTTGGCTTGGCTCCTTGGCATGGCCAGCAAAGTGTTCTCTCAGGAAACATTCTTGGCTTCATCTTCCCAGTCAGTCCTAAATAGGAAAATGATTTTATAAAACAAGTGAGTGAGTTGACAATGCTTCAGCTGTAGATGACCCCAGGGTTTGTGTCAGAATAAGAAGCTAAGACCCTGAAGTTTTCTATGATTGATTCTTTGTTCATTCATTTATTCCTGGTTGCATTGAAGAGGCATTCACTGAGGGGTTATAATATTCCAGGCACTTTTCTAGATGGTGGGGAAAGATGAATAGCACTCAGCCCTTGTCTTTGGGGAGTTCACTGTATAATGATGAATAAATGTTCTAAATGAAGTGCAAGCGAGCTCCGAAAGTCCCTTCAGTTTACACAATCTGGTAAGCTAGAGCAGAGTAAACAGCCCACAATAAGAAGACTTACTGTAGCACAATCTAGTTGCCTTGGAATCATCTTTTTTGCCCCAATTGGATTTTAATACACTTGTTGCAATCGATATTCATCAGCAGGTGTATAATATTGACAGCATTTCACAATTTCCTGACAAGTGTGTTTAATAACATTTTTTAGAAAAAGAGAAAAAAACTTGAAATGGTATCTTTTTCATAGTCAGAAAAGCCTATATTAAGGTTACCAGTATTCCCATTATTATTTTACTCAAATATTTTTTAAGACCGGGCACGGTGGCTCATGCGTGTTATAACAGCACTCTGGGAGGCCAAGGCGGGTGGATCACTTGCAGTCAAGAGTTCGAGACCAGCCTGGCCAACATGGTGAAACTCCATCTCTACTAAAAATACAAAAATTAGTTAGGCATGGTGGTGCACGCCTATAATCCCAGCTGTTCAGGAGGCTAAGGCAGGCGAATCGCTTGAACCCGGGAGGCCAGTGTTGCAGTGAGCTGAAATTGGGCCATTGCACTCCAGCCTGGGCAACAGAAGCGAGATCTCAAAAAAAAAAAAAAAAAAAAAAAGAAGAAGTATTTCTTGAATACCCACTATATGCCAAGCACTGGTTTGGCATTTATCTTAGTCTTTTTTTCTGGAGAAATCATGCAGTTTTTTGTAGATGTTTTAGGAGCATAGCTTATAGGGTTTGCTTTGTCATTTTATCTACAAGTATACTTTGAAGTTCAAGTCATTTTTCTTTGAGTTTCTTCGGCTTTAGTAATACCAATTAAAGCTTTCCAGTGAACTCTAACAGAACAGAGCCATTGTCAAGGATGGTCAAGAAGAGTCAGTGAAATCAGGATCATTGGCCCCTTTATTCTGTTGAAACTGTGTATCTCATCCCATCCTGACTCTATTGTATTTAGGGGTCCAGATGGAAACCAAGACATTTGATAGACATCCATTGGCGTATGTCTGTTTAGTCTCTTAGGAAGACTCTGACCACTATTTTCCCTTCCCATCATCAAATGCCTTTTCAATTCACCAGATTTAAAAACTGATGGATTATGTGGAGTGTTTGCTGAAAGCAAAGATTGCTTGTACATACACACAAGTGAACATACACATATTTCCCCACCCTTAAATTAAAGACATACATTCACCACGAGGGGACAGAAGAGATATAATGAAAGCAGTAGTAATAATCATAATAAACTTAACTAATTCCATCCAGGAGGGATATGTTTTTATCTGATATACACCCAGCTGTAGCAGGATTAGTACCAGTTTGCTTTTTAATAAATGACAGATTACTGTTAAACTGGTCAGCAAATGTAAAATTTTGGAATGATATATAGCTAGGCGGAAAGAAAAGGGAGCTTATTTAAAAATTGGTTCCACTTAATGAAAATTGACTTTAACTGGGATTTGCTTTAGAAATTCTCCCTCAAGATTTAACTACATCCTGGTGGAATTCTGTGTATTTAGAACATTAACAAAGCTAAGACTTGGTTTGCCGAGTGTACCCAATATAATATCATCCATTTTGGAAACAAAGAAATGTGTGTTTTTCATAAATACATATGTGGTTTCACATTATTTAATTGCACAAAGTTATCTGACATCCAAGTATCAAATTTAGGTTACTATATTAATGTGAATTGTTGTGCATTTTTGTGGAGAGGAACACAAATCTATTCTAACCTTGTGTAGGTGCAAATTTCAAATTTTTATTATCATCTTGTTTTCAGTTTTAGTTTAGAGATCCATTAGTAACTGTGTGGGCAATTTAAATCAACTTCTGCAAATCCTATTTTAAATCCCTCTGTTAGACTATTCTACTCCTAGATTAATCAGTTATCAATAACAGTCCTTTGTTCTTTTGGTTTGGTTCGTTCTGTTTATAGTGACTGCTGGGCTACCTGGGAGGTAAGTGAACTCCTCCTCACAAGAGTGTTCTAGTATGGTATAGTATGGGTGTCCCTGTTAAGGGAAGATTCAAAATCATGTAGGGATTAGATTAGGTCAAGTTGAGGTCTTTACTAATTTTGAATTTCTATGATTCTAAACAGAGATTTGAGAAAGTTGATAGGGAGAACAGACAGATCAGTTTCCTTCAATATAATACAGCAGTAGTCGGAAAAGAAAAACCACTATGTAACAAACAAGGGCCCATGGAACTCAGTTGATAATATCAACTGATTTTAAAGTATATATGGCTTAGATAGCAGGTTTGTTTTTCTGCTTCACCTGAGCTTGCATTCCTCACCTCATGTTTGATGAATACAGTCAAACCTAATATTTAGCTGTGAACATTATTATAACACCTATAGCCAGTTGAGGTGGGCATGGGCATGAGCCTCACAGGAACACTCAGCTTATTGATTTGTAAACTGAGTCTTGGCAAAGTTAGGCAACATGGCCAGTAAGAAAAATGACTGTGGCACTTTCTGCCATCGTGCTCTGTGCGATAGCAGCTCCTGTCGAGTGGGTCAGGTGGGCCCATCTGTTCACACTCAGCTCCTAGTCAACCGTAGCTGAATTGTGGTCACCAAAGTGAACACTACAACAAAGATCTTCTCTGAGTTCCTGGAGAATTGATCATCCAGGCAACTGATTTGGCACACCCCTGAACCCTGCTGTTTGTTCTGTTCTCTTCCTGTTCATCCTTGGATGAGGCCTATAGTGGTATAGAGTCCCTCTCTTGCTCCATTTGGTTACTGTCTAGCTATTTCACCGGAAACAAATTATCAGCGCTTCTCTTTCCCAGAGAAAAGGCTATGATAGGACTTGCTTTACAGAGCTATCGTGAAGGCTGAATAAGATTGCACATATGAAGTATGCAGTCCTGCAATGGGTTTCTTTTAAAAGGAAGGGCCACATTGGATGCATCTTTAAGGACCCAAAAATAGTCACTATAGAGGCTTGTAAATAATGCGAGCCTGATAACAGCTGTAATTTTCTCTAAAGCATAATTTGTTTTAATTAAGACAGGATTGTGTTCATGGGTAGGAAATGGAGAGGGCTGATCTTCTCTATTTCAGAAATGTTAGGAGTTACTCCGTGTAAGATCAAGTATTATTACTTCATGTAGTAGAGGCGTGTGACAGTTCAGGCCCCATGCTGGGCTCTAGATGAGGGTAGTTTACCCTTGCAGACTTGAGCTGGCACTTGGAACCACTTCACAGTGAGAGATTTCATAATCTAGAGCTAACTTAGAGAAGAGTATGAACTTTCCATTATTGCTGGAATATCCCTCTATCCTCCTTTCCAAGTGCCTGTCCAAATATTTACAGTAAGTTCCTTTCATACCTCTGTCAATAATAAATGTTTTTATTCTCTATGAAAGGAATTTTTCAAATTTTACCCCTTCCATATACATTTAAAGGTGATACACATTTCTGAGCAGTTTCAACATTGGTAATCAATGTTAATATTAGAAATGTCCTTCTTAATTTCATAAACCTGGCCCTCCTGAAAGTCTGAGCATGGTTTTGCCTTTGCTCTGGGATGAACCAAGTTGTAAAAACTTTTGGCAGGTGTGAGAATAGCTTTTCTTCTCCCAAAAATGGCAATGCTGGGATGGTGGATGTACCCAGAACAGCTGTGTTGGTGCTAGTAATTGATTGTGGTTATTTCAGAGAGCATATGAAATATACATTTATTTTCTTAGCTGCTTTGAGTGAGGAATTGAGAAACCTAGTCTGCCTGCCCCTCTTTCCAGCCAGTGTGAGATGCCCCCACAAAATGGGAAAACTGTGCAGGGGCTCAAAGCATGGAGGATGTAGGAAGGAGTGACCGGAAGTTAATCACCTGAGTCCTGCTGAGGCCTCTGTGAACAGATGAGATGAGGTCTGAGAAAAAACAGAATTGACCAGTATGAATTGACATCGAGGGACTATTAAAGCAGCTAATTATTTGGGAATTGTTGATTTGGCAAATGAGATAAGGCAGAAGAGAAGGTTGTTTTATTTTGTTTTTTTAATTTTCTCGAATCCACTATTGTTAAGCATGTTTTCCTAAAGAAGTTGTTAAGCATTTTTAGGAACACTTGGTGTCAGTACTAGTCAGGGGAAATCAGCACTGGATGAGGCAAGACTGGGTGCATTCTGGTCCCAGCCTAGCCTCTAACTGGCTCTGGTAACATCATTTCCTTAGTTCCCTTATGTAGAAATGTAAAATTATACTGAATGAAGCTTTTATGTGTCCAACTTTACATAATATCCATAGGACATTATTCAGCTCCAAAATTGTATTATTTGAAGTTCCTGAATATACAGAATATCTAAAGGTTCATCAAAATAGAATTCTTTGTATGAAAGCATATTTATTTCCATTGGTAAACACACCCAGTTTTTATTTCATCACACGTATTCTACTATTCTTTCTCCATGTAAGACTGATTTTCTTCTTCCAGTTATACTGTGAAAATAAACAAAGTAAAAGAAATCTACACAATTGTGATATTGCTGTCAGGAGCCAAGGGTCACACCAACTTGTACACTGTTTTGATAAAGTTAAGAAGCAGTGTTAAGTGTGTAAATCCTCAGTGTCAATCAACCCTTATGAAGAAAGGGCATCTCCGATAAGGAAATTGATTCTACTAAGCCTTTTGTGAGTTGATGTTCTACCAAATTTATATTCTAGCAGATATGGTGGATAAGTAACTCAATTTTTTTCTTTCTATTCACACAATAAACATAAAATTAGCTAATGATAGGGTTGTAGGCAAGTTCTGTATTTGCAGCACTGATTCATTGTCCTTGACACTAGTCTTTGACCACCTTACTCACCATTTCCAAGTGTCACTTTAGAAAACTGACCTGAAGTCCCTAAATTCAGTGCAACGTGCTCTCCATTCATGGACTAGGATATGAACAATATCATGACTAAAAGTAGCTTATAAATGGCACTTAAAATTTTGTCATTTACAGTTGATCCTATAGTCATTATTAGGCTCTCTATTTTTTTGAAAGTGAGGTCGGCTGCATTTGATATGCTCAGGAAGCACAGAAAATGGATTTTCATTTGTGAATGGTAAAATTAATATGATTGCTAATAACTGCATCTGATAACTTCAGTGCATCATTAAAAAGTCAAAAGAACATTAAAAATTTCTTGGTTTAGTGACCTATTGTGTGCACAGAAAATCATAATACGGACTACCTGGTATGGGGCTGAAAAGATAGATTGGTGAGGTTCAGATGTGGAGGAAGAGGAGGGAGTGAAGTCATGTCGCATAAGAAATGGCAAGAAGACAGAAATGAGCAGAAATAGGTTACTATCCACAAAAGCCTTCTTTGCTCCATTTTTCTCACCAGAGAAGTAGAAAATAACTGCATTTGTATTTCCCATCTCTCTCATCAGCCATCTTTTGAGTGGCTAAGTAGCATAGAATGTGAATAATGAAGGTACTCCCATACAGTGTTGTCTGGAAGCCAGTCTGAGGATGTTTAGACAGCCCTTCCTTAGAGTGTCTCTTAGGCTGCATGTGTGGGTCTGGCAGCTGACAGGCTAAAGCAGGTGCGTAAAGATTGAGACCAGTAGCAGGGCCAGGAACTGGGCTGCTGGAAGTGCTGGACATCAGCAGGTGCTGGTGGAGACCACTCACTGGTTGTTGGCTGGTTGCTGAGATCAGCTTTAGGGAGCTGTTGCTTTCCATTGGTAAGCATTTTTAATCCTGGAATTTTTGCTTGGAAACAAGTGGAATTAATGAACTGTTTCCTTTACTCAAATCACCAAATAAATAAAGCATAATTAATGAGCGTTTGCTTTAAAATACATATAATAGTTCCTCTGTTTACCTTAGTTATTCTGAGAGCACAATTATGAAATATTCGAAGTGTAGAAGCAGAACAAGAGAAACCTGGATACTCTCTACATTGCATTGGACAAAACATCTCATATTGTCTCATTCAAGTTACTTGTGGATTTTTTGAGGGGATGGATGATCTTATTCCCTGAGTCTTAACTCGATTCCATATAATTAATTTCCCTAACCTCAGCTCCATCTTACTCGGATGAACTGATTGAAAAAACAAGTCTGGGGCTTAAGTAAGCTCTTATCCCATAGATGTCTTCATACACCTTTACCACGACTACATTATCTCTGTGCATCACCAAGAATGCTTTCTCCCACCAAGTTATGATAAATGTTATCAAAAAGTTATTTAAATTGCTTAAAGAAGCAATATGTTTCAGAATTCTGGAACAAACGTTTTGTGTGAGTGCTACAAAAAACAGTAGTTTTTAAAGGGGGTTTTGGTGGTGTTCGTGAGGTTTTTTAATTTTTTTTTTTTTTTTTTGGTCTTTACATTATGTTTCTAGATGAGATCTATTTCTTTCAATGAACGCTGTTCTATAAAGCAACAAGATTTATTTCGGAAATGCTAGTCAGAATGTCCTTGAGCTTTAAAAATAGGAACAGTTCTTTATTTCTTAGCTACTAAGTCATTAGTAGTAAGTGTCCTTGTCTCTCTCCAACTTCTTCCCCTTATCCCTGGATCCCCCTTTATCCAGGTAATATGGAGTACGGAATAACCATGGCATAAAGAGCTTACACAGAGGACTGTGCTCTTTTCTCCCCGAGAGGAAGAATATCAAAAAAGATGGGGAGTGGAATGACAAGGGGCTTTGATAAGTTGGGTATTGAGGCGGTGCTTGCGAGACATCACGGATGAGTGGAAGTGCCTCATTCCAAAGTTGTTTTGTTGTGTCTCTTCAAGTCGACATATACAGATCCAGAGGTTCTGATCAGATGCAGGGTCTCGACCTCTTGTCTCTACCACGTCCTAGTTATATGATACTGGGCCTATTACTTAATGTTATCAGTTTCCTAATATGGAACAATCCATTTAGTGCTATCTACTTTGCTGATGTTGCTCTAAATTTTGCTCTAAATTAACTAACAATATGTGAAAGCTTCTAGCACAGTATCCAGGCACATATTAATATATGCTACTATCTCTCTTACTCCTTTTTATATCACAAGAAACCTAGGTCATTTACTCATGGCCTTTTAAAAATACTAAGCAATACAGGAGAAGAAAGTAATACTAAAATATCAAATAAAACCTAACTGCACTGACTAAAAAATAATCACATGATTTTAAAGAAAGAAATTTAGTTCCATCATAGACTGATGTTCTCAAAGCCTGGCTCGGATTGTATGATTTAATTGGTAATCCAGCATAAAGTGGCCTTTTCTGACTTTCTAAGCCACAAGGAAATCCAATTCTTTTCTATCCTTTAATAATAATGCTGATAGGGTAATACAAATTGATTTTCATAGGGCATTCTTGAGAAAAAAAATGTGCATTTAGATACAAAGAGAGTATTTACAGGTTGTTCAAATGGATCCTGCATGGATTCCACAATATATTTTGCCTTAAGTTAACTAACTTTTAATGGAGCACTCAATTAAATTGAAGAGATTTTTCTTTTTTTGCCATGCAAAGCCATATTTAAATAGCCAATTGCAATCACACTACTTCACCAAGCTAGAAAATGTCATTATTTCCCACACTTTAGGAAAATATATGCCTCAAGATTCTTTTCTCTTCATAGTACTCCATGCACCCTCCCTTCTCCCTGCACCCCACATTAAGATTTAATTCTTAAATTACTTTTTTTTTTGAGAAATGTGGAGATTTTTAATTTTTTTCCCACATATGTTTTGGTTTCTGGATATTTCCTATGAATGGAAACCCCCTGTGCCTCTGTAGGAAATGTATCTTTGAATTGCTAATTGTTTAGGATTAACCCCATAGATCTTTAGCAGCTGTCTTGATGGCATTTCCAGCCTGCAAATTCAGTCTGTTTATTTCTGGGACTTCAATCATAAACCATACTCGCAGGAATAAAGGTCAGATTACCTCCTGGGTCGAATGATGGCAGTCTCTATGCATTCTGTGGCAGAGCACACAGAATCCAATGACGGGCAGGCCATTGTTCTTCTCTTCCTCTCTCCTCGTATTAGCCTGGGCTACTGTAACAAAACAGCACAGACTGGGTGGCTTAAACCAGCGGTTCTCAACTTTTTTGGTGCCAGGGAACGGTTTCATGGAAGTCAGTTTTTTCACAGAATGGGGGGTTGAGGGATGATTCAAGCACATTACATTCATTACGCACATTATTTCTCTTATTACATTGTAATATAAAATGAAATTATACAACTCACCATAATGTAGAATCATGGGAACCCTGAGCTTGTTTTCCTGCAGCTAAATGGTCCCATCTGGGGGTGATAGGAGACAATGACAGATCATCAGTCATTAGATTCTCGTGAGAAGCAGGAAACCTAGATCCCTCGCATGCGTAGGTCATAAGAGGTTCGAGCGCCTGTGAGAATCCATTGCCACTGCTGATCTGACAGGAGGTAGAGCTCAGGCGGTAAGAGAGTAATGGAGAATGGCTGTAAATACAGATGAAGCTTCACTTGCCTGCCCACCACCCACCTCCTGCTGTGTGGCCGGATTCCTAACAAGCCACGGATCAATTTCGGTTGAGGACTCCTGGCTTAAACAAGGGAAATTTATTTTCTTATAGTTCTGGAGGCTGGAAGTCCAAGACCACGATGCTTGTAGAGCTGGGTCCTGGCCCTCCTCTGCTTGCAGATGGGCACCTTCTGGCTGGGTCTTTACATAGCCTTGCTTCTGTGCCTACAATCTGAGAGAGAGAGAGAGAGAGAAAGCGAGCGAGCTAGAGAGATCTGAGCTCTGTTATCTCTTCCTCTGTTTATAAGGACACCAGTCCTGTGCGGCCCCACACTTATGACCTCATTTAAGCTTAATTGCCTCACTGAAAACCCTTTTTCCAAATATAGTCACATTGGTCTTTAGGGCTTTAGCATAGGGGAACACAGTTCAGTCCACAGCACACCTTCGGGACTGTTCTGGTGTCTTCTAGTTAACCCTTAAGATCTCTTCTTCTCTTCTCTCCATGAGCTCTGTGCATGCAGACACTGATCTCTCTGGGTTTTAATGAGGTTTGGCCAGTGGGGTATGCTGGCCAGAAACTGGAATGTAAGACGAGGAGATTGGGGGCTCAGGTATGCATTCACCAGCCCCCTGCCTGCAGGTCCAGCACAGGCTAGCATATCCCCTGACCAACTCCGATTAGCCCCTCTGTCACCAGCTCCAGTGACTCCCCTCTCTCTGTGCCCCTTCAGGCCTGGGAGTGTTTATTGACCCCATGCTGTCCTTTGAGGTTTTCCTTTACCATGCTCGGTTATAAAATAATTCCCTCAAATTATCTGTTCGACACAAGGACGTCACCTCTGTCTGGAAGGGACATTTTCAGGGCAGCAGCAACCTACTGTCCTCTCAACTCAGGACTCTCAACCCCGTGGATCCCCAAAGGACCCCTCAGCAATGCCATTGCTCCTTCTTAGTGGTATCTTCCATGAGTGCTACTGGAATAGAATGACCTGTGTTCATACTTCTGAGGGAGTCCCCCCTCAGGATGGGATTTCAGGGGACTTGGGGGTTGGAAACTACGTCCTACCTCTTAAGGGCAAAAGATACATCTATTCTTTATCAGTTCTAATTCTACTGCCAAGTCTGGAAAGGACTTTAGGACTTTTCTGCTCTTATATCCTAAGGCCAAGCTGCAATGGAGACATGGGGGATTTGGCCAGAAAGGGTACAATAACCACTAGCCCTCTTTTTGCCCAAAAGAAGACTATTGTAAGGATTAATAGCTCAGGCTGTGGCTCCAGTCAGTTTTCAAGGTCTGGCGCTTTCTTTTTTTGTTTGTTTGTTTGTTTAGAGACGGTCATTCTCTGAGCCCTGTTGCCCAGGCTGGAGTGCAGTGGTGTGAGCATAGCTGCCTGCAGCCTTGACCTCCTGGGCTCAAGTGATCCTCTCACCCCAGCCTCCCCAGAAGCCAGGAATATAGGCACATGCCACCATGCCTGGCTAATTTCTTATTTTTTTCTTAGAGACAAGGTCTCGCTATGTTGCCCAGGCTTATCTCTAAGTGCTGGGATTACAGGCATAAGCACTGCACCCAGCCCGTTAGTGAGCACTTCTGAGAGAACCAGTTTGCTCATCTGTAAAATGATGATAATATAAACTTGGATTGTGCAGAGTAATGTTTGTACAGTGCTTGGCGCATAGAAGGTTTTTTAGAAATGTTAGCCTCTGTTGTTTTTAGTACACAGTGGACCGTCTATGGGTAAAACCCCTTTTGGCCATAACATTAAAAAATTATCTCTTAACAATTGACTCTTTGTTTTCCCTCTTAGTAGAGGAATTAATGTTCTTGTTTCTTTTTATAAAAGTAAGACATGGTCATAGAAGACTGACATAAAAAAGAAAATAAAAAGCTTTTCTGATCTTACCATACAAGATAACTTCAATTACATTTTCACTTTATGGTATGCATGGAAATGTATGCATATAGACTTCTTTACACACGCCCTTTTTTGTCTTTCCCTTTTTTTTTTTTTTTTTTTTTTTTTCCAGATACAGGGTCTTGCTTGCTGTGTCACTCAGCCTGGAGGGCAGTGAAGCAGTCGTAGCGCGCTGCAGCCTCAAACTCCTGGCTCCAAGCAATCCTTCCACCTCAGCCCCTAAAATAGCTGAGACTAGAAGCATGCACCACCACCCGGCTATTTCTTTTTAATTTTTTGTAAATATGTGGTCTCACCCTATTGCCCAGGCTGGTCTCTAACTCCTGGACTCAGATGATCCTCCTGCCTTGGCCTCCCGAAGGACTAGGATTACAGGTGTTGGCCACTACACCCAGTCTACACATTGTTTCCTAAACTGAGACTGTGCTATACCATTTTGTATCCTATGTTTGTAACTACATTATCACAAAAATGCTTCCTAAATATTTTATTAAATATTCTTTAAAATCAAGTTACTTTTTAAAGATAGTTTAATTGAATTTTATTCATGGGCACACTGTCATAATTTTATATATATATATATATACACACACACACACACACGTGCTTGTACCATATATGCTTTTTAATTGCATTGTGAGTCTTTGTCTATCATCTGTGATGGTGCTGTTTAAATCAGGTGGGTTTTGCACAATCCCATATATTCTATTGACCTATCACTGAGGCCCAGTGAGACCCTGATTTTTGCCTGTAACACAGCCCCTCAGTGTCTGATAGAGAGGGAACATATTGATGATGAGTTGGAACATTCTTTCTTTCCCTCTGGTATGTTGTTGTCTCTGAGGTCTAGACAGGAGTCCATCACTGTAGTTTCTCAGTCTGACCACCCTCACCATAGTGATGCATAATCCCTCCTAGAGATTGTCATAGCATTGAACAAGATTCTTAGTTTGTGATGGCTTGGTGATTTCTGTACCTTTCTCTCTATTTCATGAATATTTTGATGAAACATTGAGGGATGGTAAACCGAGCCCAGCTGTCGAGCAGCAATAGCAACTGAAAGTTTATCCCCCTCTCTATTCATGAATATTTCCAATTCCTGGGTAATTATAAAGCATTTTTTCCAAGTTCAAGGACAAAAAGAAAGGTATGAACAGGTCTATCAAATCATGTCATAAATATACTGTTCCTTGAGGATTCAAGGTCAGGAAGAGTTTATCACAGATACTCCAGACTTTGTTGTCTCTTTTTCTTCGGCTCTTTTTCCAGAAATTCTAAGACAGCATCCCCCAAATGCTTTTGCTTCCACCTGGGGACCAGAAAATTAGGGCCTGGAAGGAAGAAAGTCTCTGCCATCACTAGCTTTGTGACTTGGGTTCTCACTTCCTAATAGAAAATGATGGATTTGGCCTCAGTGTCTTCCAATTTGCCTTCTAGCTTTAAAATGGCACAATTTCTTAGGGATTCAGCTGCAGCTATTCCCAGAAATACTTTCCATTTTGGCTTAATTCTCTGTTTTCTCCTGAAGACATCATCTTATAGTCACTTCACTGTGTATGTCTATATTCTACTTTGCTTCTATTCCTTGATTATTGAGGACTTTAAGAAAGTCATTTTTTTTTTCAAGATGGAGTCTCACTCTGTCGCCCAGCTGGAGTGCAGTGGCATGACCTCGGCTCATTGCAAACTGCAACCTCCACCTCTCAGGTTCAAGCGATTCTCGTGCCTCAGCCTCCCGAGTAGCTGGGATTACAGGTGTGCACCACCACGCCTCGCTAATTTTTGTATTTTCAGTAGAGATAGAGTTTCCCCATGTTGGACAGGCTGGTCTTGAACTCCTGACCTCAGGTGATCTGCTCACCTCAGCCTCCCAAAATGCTAGGATTACAAGCATGAGCCACTATGCCTAACCAAGAAATTCTTTTAGTTATTTTTAGCTACCAAGCTTTGGCATGAAGAATGTGACACTGTCTTGTAGCATTCTAAGATAATGTTAATGGATCTATGGTCAAATATGTTTGGAAAAATTATATTAGACTGTATCCTGTTCTTAGAATTTTACAATAAGCATTCATTTATTAAAGGTTCTTAGAAGTTTTGCAATGAAGAGGCTCACTTAATTTTGTTTAATTCGGGGATTCCCAAACATATGTGATCTTGAAACCCTTTTATTTATGGTAGCATCCATTAACATCCCTCAGTAATTAGTGTCTACACCACTCATGGGAAGATCAGTTCTATAGAAAGAAGTACACAGTTAGTACTTGCTTCTGATGCTCACCAACAGTGTAATTCAGCATAGAGGCATAACCTCTCTATACCTCATGTTCCTCAGATATAAATGAGGGTGCATAATAGCACCCAATTCATGGCAGATTTGAAGATTTTAAACAATAGTGCATAACTACGGTAATTACAACTAATAATATCCCAACTCTCATATCTCACTCTCTGGGTTCAAATTTTGGCCCTACCACTTACTGTTTATGACCTTAGGAATATTACTTAACTTCCTTTTAAAAAAAAATTTAATTGAATTACTTAACTTCTGTACCTCAAGTTTCTCCACAGCATAACGGGGACAGGAATTGTGCCAGCCTCACAGGATCCTTGAAAGAATTCAATGCAGTTCATGTAAAACACTTTGAATTGTGCTTTGTCCATAAATAATTAGCCATTATTATTGTCATTATGTGTACTCTTGTAACTTTTCTGACCGTTTTAGTCTATAAAACCAACGCCTCTTACTCCACTCCCAGAAGCTGCTTAAGCCCAGCATATTAAGATAGCAACACACCCCACCTGCACCTACTCAGTTTGGCTCAGTGGATTCTGACCTCTTCATTTAGAGTCATTTCACACCATCATTTAGCTTTCTCTGTTTGTGAACAGGGGCGGAGAGGCCTCGGCTCTGTGTTTGTTTGGGCATCTGGAAATGGTGGAAGGAGCAAAGACCACTGCTCCTGTGATGGCTACACCAACAGCATCTACACCATCTCCATCAGCAGCACTGCAGAAAGCGGAAAGAAACCTTGGTACCTGGAAGAGTGTTCATCCACGCTGGCCACAACCTACAGCAGCGGGGAGTCCTACGATAAGAAAATCGTACGTGACATGTGCATGCCCATCATGATCTGTTTATTTAATGTTCACTTTGAAATACAAAGGGAGAACCATAAACATATATATATATACACACACACACACACACACACACAGAAGTAATATATGGAAATAGGAAATTAGATTCGCTGATAATAGAAGAAGTTGTAAACATTACCAATTGAAAATGCTTGTGCAGTCATCACATTGCAACATTTAATGTGGACTTAGATGTTATTAAGCTTCAATTTTATTGAGGATAAATGATTGGTTCACGTTCACATTGTGAGTTAGTGGCAGAGAAGAGACTGGAATCTACGCCTGACTCAGTCCTGTACTCCTATCACTGTGTTTCCGCACCGACTTTTAACTTTAGCTTTAGTGCTTGGTTTCTGAGTATGGCCAATTCAGTGTGAAAAACAAAAGTGTATAAGGAAACTCAGAATTTCATTGAAATTATACTTATTTAACATGAACTAAACCTCTGTAAAAGGTGCGTTTCTTTTTTTTTTTTTTTCCTTTGAGATGAAGTCTAACTGTTGCCCAGGCTGGAGGGCAGTGGTGTGATCTCAGCTCACTGCAACCTCCACCTTGCAGATTCAAGCTATTCTCCTGTCTCAGCCTCCCAAGTAGCTGGAATTACAGGTGCGCACCACTGTGCCCAGCTAATTTTTGTATTTTAGTAGAGACAGGGTTTCACCACGTTGGCCAGGCTGGTCTCAAACTCCTGACCTCAAGTGATCCTCCCGCCTCAGCTTCCCAAAGTTCTGGGATTTACAGGCGTGAGCCACTGCGCCCCACCAAAAGGTGCATTTCTTTATTTTTATTTTTATTTTTTATTTTTTTTTTTGAGACAGAGTCTCGCTCTTTCGCCCAGGCTGGAGTACAGTGGTGCGATCTCGGCTCACTGCAACCTCTGCCCCCCGGGTTCAAGTGATTCTCCTGCCTAAGCCTCCCGAGTAGCTGGGACTACAAGCATGTGCCACCATGCCCGGCTAATTTTTTGTATTTTTAGCAGAGGCAGGGTTTCACAGTGTTGGCCAGGCTGGTCTCAAACTCCTGAACTCAAGTGATCTGCCTGCCTCGGCCTCCCAAAGTGCTGGGATTACAGGTGTAAGGCACCGCGCCCAGCCAAAAAGTGCATTTCTTTTTTTTTTTTTTTTTTTTTTTTGAGACGGAGTCTCGCTCTGTCGCCCAGGCGGGACTGCGGACTGCAGTGGCGCAATCTCGGCTCACTGCAAGCTCCGCTTCCCGGGTTCACGCCATTCTCCTGCCTCAGCCTCCCGAGTAGCTGGGACTACAGGCGCCCGCCACCGCGCCCGGCTAATTTTTTTTGTATTTTTAGTAGAGACGGGGGTGCATTTCTTATAGACAGCACAAAGTCTGCTGGATGAAGAAGCACAGAAGCTGTATGGGATCTCCCGTTTAGCAACATATCCTGCACTCTAGGCAAACAGCCAGTGTAATTAAGAGTTCAGGTGGCAGGCTCAGCCTGCTGCGTGAGTTTCTTTCACTCTTGAGATATTTGTAGTTGAGTAATTTTGGACAAATTAATCTGTCTGTCTCAACATGCTTATTTATACAAAGAGGACACTTAGTAGCACATAGTTCATGGAGTCATTACAAAATAATGAGGAAGGCAGTAAAAAGTGCCTAGCACAGTACCCGGCCCTTCAGTGCTTAGGAAAGCTCTAACTTTTCGGGGATGCCCAACACTGTGCTGCTGATTATAAATTTCAGACACCTTTGCACTTTGCCCTTTTTCCTGATCATGATTTTGTAAACTGTCTCTGGATTTGTCTTTTCAAGGTAGAGCTAAGCTGCTGTACCTGACACTTTTTAGCATTTAGCCAAGACCCTGCTTCTGGCTCTAACAGATCTACGCAGGTTGGGGTCACTCTAGTGGTGCTCCATCTGCCTTTCCCGCAGTCCATAGGGGATAGAACTGTACCTCCTTTGTGCAAGTCTTAATCCACATCCATTCTATTCCTCTTGATTCCTGGTTATTATATGATTTTTCTGTTTCATTTATCGGCTACTTTTTACTACCTTCTTTAGTTACATTTTGTAGATTGATTTAGGTAAAAATTGCCTACCCATATACATGTCCCCATCTTTCCCTAATTGCTCCACAATGTCTGGGTTTAAATATATACACCCAATTCCACCTGTCAGTACCTCCAACATTCATCAATAAGCATAACTCTGAAACAGCAAGTAAAATATAAAAGGCAAAAATGCAGAGATGAGCTTTGCATTTGAGGTTTCTGGCTTCCTTAACTGGGAAGTGATGCCCCACTGAAATTTTGCCTCCATTAGAGAAATGTTATAATCTAGAAATATCCCTTTGCTTTTAAATAAGAAGACCTTGTGTCTTCTAACTCATGGTCAACGTCCACTAGCACGGAGTGACATCCATCAGTCCTGCATCGTGAAATTCCTGATGAAAACTCGAATAAGAGTTCTCGTTTTTTACCTCTGGAGTTTGAAATCATCTTAAGTCAAACTCACTATTGCTTCAAAGTAATTATGCCCATTTAGTCAGTCCTATTATTCTCTATGGGGTGATTGCTATGGGGAGGGTATTGTTAACTTTTATAAATGCCTTCTGTAAGGGAAGCATATAGTCTCATGGTAAAAATATCAAAGAAGAAGGAAAGGTGGTCTCGTCCAGATGGGAGAACACAGTATGTACAGAGGGACTGCAAAATCACTACTGTGAGTTTTACTCTCTAAACTTAACCTTCCTGGGGCCTTCGTCATTGTTTGCTGTGATTGTGTGGTTGCCGCTGTGACTCCCATGGCAGGGGTGTCATTTAGGATTCTCCCATGGATAGACAAATTGATCCATTCTGTGGGCAGGAAGAGAGCTTACAAGGGAAAGTGGACACCATGACTAAATGTTAATACCCTTTCGCGAGGTCATATACTTTTCCCCAATTTTTGCTTGTGATTTCAAAGCCTTCTGTGACTCACTCTATGTATTTAACTTAATTCGTTTCTTCCTTTTTGTTTAATGCATTTCTTCTGTTTTTGTGAGATTATATTAGTAAATTTTCTCTAGCTAGTTCTTAGATTCCCTTATTTTGCCTGAATTCCCAAATTACCCCCAATTGGAGAGGAAATTTGGAAGCTGTTTATATTAGTCTCTAGCTTCAGAGAGACCACTCAGTGGATAAGCAACCCTCATGGAGTCTTGATTGCCTCATCTGTAAAATGGAGATAATACCAGCACCTACCTCAGAGATTTCCATGAAGATAATAAAAGACTGAGTTAAGGTGCCTGATGCCTGGTACACAGGAGCAGCTCAGTGCATGTCCGGTCGCATTGTCGCCTAAGCTCCTGTAGCTTTCTGCAACCTGGGAGGTTAGGGTGTTTTTCCAGCTGCTGTTAGGTGCCTATCGCACCTCAGTTTTTCCAATCTATAAAACACTGCGATCTGTTCCACTCATCCCATAAAGAAAGACACTCTGATCGGGAACATGTTAACAGTTTGAACATGAGTGGAGTTGGCAGTAACATCAGCCTTTTATGGTCCGGCTGACCCCTTTTCCTTCTAGATATCAGAATGACAAATAATCCTGTGTTGCGCCTGGGACCTTTCCTTCACCAGGCTTTGAACCCAGACGCCTTTGGTCCCTCGGTGATGCCCGCATCCTGTTAGTGGCATATGTGATTGAGTGCTACAGGAATGGCAGTGCCTGTCTTTGTACTAAGCCCCCTTCCCTGAGACATTCATTTCCTTTTGTCATCTGCAGCCTACCCAGAAGAGCACGGTTGTCATTCTTCATTCATAGAGCACCTTTGTGATTTGAACCAAGACAGTTGCTGAGGATCTGAGGAGAGAGGGAAAAAAATCTCTCTGCTTCTGGGAAAGCATTTTTGTTAAATAAATTTTACTTGTTCTGGACAAAATGACTTTTCATGATACGCAAACAGGAAAGCCTTGCCCTGGGTTTCAAAACATAAGGAAGTCCCTGTCCCTTGGTTTCCTGCCATTACTTCTAGCACAGTTGTGGACCTCGGTATTGCATTCATGCTTTAGTAGATTTGGATCAGCAATGACCTTATATCTTATTACAGCAAAGGAAGCGTTCAAAGTATAAAGATTACTATGAAAGAAGCTCTTTCATAAGCTAAATAGAAATCATTTAAAATTACTAGTTATTTTAAAGTTGTATAACGAAAGAATTCATTAACATAATTGTTCACATTTCATGTCTCACATGTAATACATTTATATATTAACATGTTGAAAATATCACATTTTTTGTCCTTCTCATTTGTGCCTGACACTGTGCTATGCACATCAAATGCAACATCTCATTGTATTCTTGGGAAACCCTATGCAGAAAGATCATGGTGTCCCCACTTTTTACAGATGAGAAAACTAAAGCTTGAGAAGTTAAGCAAACAAAAACCATAGCTAGTAAATGGTAGAGCTTGGATTCCAATCAAAGTCAAGATAGACCCCCAAACTCATCTTGTAGCCAGTGTGCATCCCATCCTGATGCATCTTAGGGATATCCAGTATGGGGCTATGTGAAAGAATAGTGCTTTTCTTACCTGTTTTGAGTTCTTTTCAGTCATAAAGAAGCATTTAGAATATATACATTTCCATTGTTTTTCACTATTTAGTCTCCTCATTTTGAATTTCATTCCTTTACCCTTTTTCATACCCCCTCACACAGTTGAACCTCTTGCAAAAAACTCAAGCTGAGTTGCTAGTTCCTATGGCAGCAGAGTTAGCACTGAGCTCCCAAGGTCATGGCTTTTGTATTTTCTGTATGATGTTCAAACCAGGGCTTCCTGATGTGCAAAGTCCCGTCTGTTAGAACACTCCTCTACCAAATATCACTTCATTTTTGTCTCCTCTCAAATTTCACCTCAAAGAGGATTTTCTTCATCACCTTTTCTAAAATAGAGGCACACCCCTCCACCACTCTCTACTCCTTTACCCGGTTCAATTTTTTTTTCTAGTGCACTTATAGCTACTTCACCTGGTAGTACATATTTTCTTATTTACTGTCTGTTTTTCGCACTACAATGGAAACTACTTGAGGATGAAGACCGTGTTTTGTTCCTTTCCAGAGCCTGAGCTTAATAAATATTCGTGCATAAATGACTAGCAAACATTTGGAAGGATGGAGGCTTTACAAGTTGTTTATATAGCTGCAGGAAGACAGGGAGCTGCTCTGTTTCTTTCAGAGAAACTTCTTCTGTCGGTAGGTTGGTGAAAGTGAAACGTTATTTGACAGGATATTTAGCATAGAAAATTGCCAGCAGGAATCCTGCAACATGATAAAGCTGTTCATGTAACCTGTTTTTAGTGTCAAAAAGCCTAAAAGATCCTATCTATAACCCCTCACCTCCTCCTGACATTTCTCTCAAGTTCTGTTTTATAAATAAGGCTCCCCTTTCTTTCCAGTCCCTCCCATCATTAAATTATCTCTTTCTTTTGGGACTTTGTTCAGACTTTGACTTTTTTCCCCCTAGTAATTTATCTTAGTGATTGGGACATAGGGTTTCTCAGATTCCTCCTGGGAGGGGTTCTCTGAGCCAGAGTTGGGAGAATATATGTTCTGCTTAGCCCTCTCCTGATGTCATTTTATTTATTTGTGTTCAAAACAAAGTTGCTGCCTGGGGTATCTCAGAGTTGGCCTGAAAAACAAATTCCATGTGGAGGAATTATCTTATTGCTTTTAATGCTTCTAAGCAGCTCTACATTTTCTTTTGCAGAAATATTCTGCTCCTCTTCTACCACCCGATTCATTTTTCAAATGCATTCACCATTTGCACTAGGTTATTCTCTGTCATCTCTCCATTTCTTCTTTTGACTTAGAAAATTCCATTATTTTTCATGAGTAAAAGTCTAGTGAATCCAGATGTGTTTTTGTTTATTTGGAAGTTTGATACATATTCTCTTGAGAAAGTTAAAAAGCTAAAAGGAAACGTTGCTTCTGAAAAGGTCTCATTTTAATGGCCTGAAGGAACCTCTATACGGACTTGCTGACTTGGGCTGGGTCACGAGGCTAGTTGTTGTTACCTTTGCTCTCATGAATGACTACACTTTGTAACTCAGCTTTTTTTTCTTTTGCTGCTATTTTACAGTTTGATATCTTTAGCACTGACGAGCCCTTTTGTAGCTGTTTGTCCTTGGGCAAGTTACTTAACCCCTCTGAGCCTCTATTTCCTTAGCTAATAAAATATCTTCCTTGCAGTGTTCCTGTGGGTTTATATATCATTTTATATGGACACACATAAATACCTCTTGCATACTGTCTCATTCATTGCAAGCTGCTCATTGTGGTAGTTTTAGAGGAAGCAGTGGAGCTGGTGGTAGATAAAGCATCTCTAATACAAAAATTCAAAATCTGTAGCATTCCAATGAACATTTCCTTTGAGTGTCATTTTGGCGTCCCAAAAGTTTGAGATTTTGGAGCATTTCAAGTTTTCAGATTAGAGATGTTGAACTGGGGTAATGCAGCTATTCCATAATCTGCAAAAATTTGAAATCTAAAACACCTCTGGTCCCAACTATTTTGGGTAAGGGATACGCAACCTGTAGTACTTGTGAGAGTATTAGCTGTACTTTAAACCCTGGATTGTATATACACATATGCACACATAATTTTTGTAGGTTGACTACAAATTTCTGTGAGTTTTGTTTGGATGGTGGAAAAAGAAGTGACTTTGAGTGTTTCCTAATGAACGGAAGAGTTGAAGTATAGAATGAAATGAATATAAAGGAGCTTGATTTTAGGGATTCAACTTAGCAAATAAATATTGTGCCTCTTGGTACATGGAACTGAGCTGAACATTATGGAGATACAAAAGTGATGTAACATGAGATTCTTCTTTAGTGATAGTAACCCTCCATTTGTAAGCAAAATCTTCTATTTGTACTTCACATTTACAGATTCTTTTAGCAACACGAGAGTGGGATTTTGTGTGGACTTGTCAGTCATGACTGAATTTTACACTAGTCTTTGTGACTTCTGTGGACACAAAAAGCTTTCTTTAGTCTTCGGTTCTTTTTTATTTTACTGTGCTTAATAAATCAGCTTCTTCTATTTTAGTCATTGACACATTTAAAATTTAGTTTCTGCCCTTCTCCCCCATAGCTGTGTCTGAAACAGCTTTCTTGGCACAATTCTAGTTCAAATCAAAATCAACACCAGAAACAAATTCAACCTAACAGACAGTAAAATCATTTCATGTTTCAAAAATATCTGTTCAGTTGCTCTTTTAACAGATACGAGACAATATGGCACCTTCAAAGTAAAACGGATCACTAGATATCAAGGAGAGAGAAACTCTTGACTGTGGGGTTGCTATAAAAGCTTGTCACTTATGGCCAAAGTCAATCTGAACTGAGATTCCCTGGAGAATTACATCAACAGGCTAAAATCAAAGGTCCAATCAGAACAAGTAATGAAATGTGAAATACTAGGACATAATTGCTTAGGGTGAGAAAAAGTGATGGTTCATCTTAGTGGAGGCTGTCTAAACCTGAACAGTACCCACCGCTTGTCATCAAAGGATGATGACATCCCTAACATAGTGGAGTCCAAAAAACCATCTGCTACTGATCCTGAGAGACGCTGAAAATCTAATTTGCTGATCAGGACAGCTTTGATCTGGCTCAGGGCCTGGTGTCCTTTCCAGTTTCCATCACTCTGATGGGCACAAATGATATTTTCTTGAGCAATCTGAGAAGTTCTTTGGAGAAAAATTCTGTTTCTGATTTGTGTAGTGAATTGGGGGGATTTGGAGCATGCAAGATGTGCCATCAGGATTTAAACCAAATTCTGAGACATTATTTAAAGTGGAATCTAAAGTGAAAGTGCTTGCATGTAGAATCTCTGTGTTCCCCACCCTATGTAGTGGGCCGACTGTTGAATGCAACTTGCCTTTAAATTACACTGTCAGATCCTATATACATGTGTTGTGATTAATGGGGATATTCCATGTGGTTCCAGTTTTCATAACGTCATTTTTCTTCAAGATTGCCTGCTCTTTGGTGGCCTTTGCCTTTTATTTCTAAAGATAGACACAAAAACTCCGATGCTGTGGCTTCTCTTAATGACGAAAACCCTGCCTTAGATCTTTCCAGTAATTTACACCTAAATATTGCCACCTCTGATAGTAACTTCCTCTTGAAATGACCCAGCTGGAATTTCCATTTCAAGCAGGATGAGAAGGGAGTGGGGATGTTTTTGTTTCTTTTCTCCCCGTTCCTTTTAACTTTACCCCTTTCCATCACCTTTCTCCTCCACTCCATCCAGTCCTACTCACCAGTCAAGTTTCATTTAAAGTGGTTGAAAAAAATTATAACACAGTGGGGATTTGGAATTACACAGATGTGCCGACATTAATAGCATTTAACACTTCATTGGTGTTTATATATAAATGTACTAAGTAGCTTTATATTAAAGCATAAGTTGTATGCCTAGATACCTTGTCACTATGCAGACGAAGCATATTACTATTGCAAATGCAAGATCATAAAATTTTGATCGTTCACATTTGAGGTTGGCTGAAGATGGTTATTTATTAGACTCAAGTGCTACACACACTTGGAGTGTTTATTCTGGATTTGTTTCTGTGCATTGAAAATGTCTGGTGCGGCTGAAGAATAAGCAAGGAGAGCCAAGTGGGAAAATATCATGAAAAATCTTGAATCCAGGCACAAGTCATTGAAAAAAAATAAAACTTGGACAAAGGAATGTGACCATGGGTGAGATAAAATAGGAAGAATGCAGGCAAGGCCGTCTCAACAACAGCAGATCTGGACACCTGGAAACAAGCTACTTCTGGTGTGTTCATGCATTGACTTAGGGACCAGGGCTTTGGAAAATCAGGCTGCAAATTCACCCATAATTTCAAATGAGGCAGCAGTTCCTTTTAACAATCCAGCAATTCCTCTTCTGGAATTACCGATTTGAAAGAACTGAAAACAGGGTCTCAGAGAGATTGCGGCACCCCCATGTGCATGTTCAGCCTTCTTCACAATAGCTGAGAGGTAGAAGCAACCCATGTGTCCATCAACAGATGAATGGATGAAGAAAATGTGGCATAATGGAATATACTCAGCCTTATAAAGTAAAGAAATCCTGTCATATGGTACAATATGGATAAACCTTGAGGACATTATGCTACATGAGATAATCCTGTTTTGAGAAGACAGATACTGTGTGATTCCACTTACATGAGGTATGTAGAGGAATCAAACACATAGCAGTAGAAAGAAGAACGGTGGTTGCCAGGGGGCAAGGGGAGGGAGAGTGAGGAACTGTTCAGTGGTTACAGAGTTTGAGTTCTGCAAGATGAAAAAGCCTAGTGATATTGTACAAGCTTGTACATATATGGTTAGCAACATTGTACTGTACGCATAAAAATTGTTCAGAGGGTAATTGTATGTTATATGTTTTTTAACACAATAAAAAAATACCTGTTTAAACTCAGCAATGAAAAGCCCAGACAGTTTCTTAACATAAAAGTGGATAGGGCCCTATTTACCCAAACATCCTGCAAGCATCACATGTCGAGGTTCAGTAGATGGCTTCAGGGTTCTTGCACACCATTCATTCATTCAGGAAAACGTAGTGAAAGGTTTGACTCCTTCCCCCACCACCATATCTATGTAGTTCTATAGATCTTTGTTCATTCTTTCACTCCTTTTATATCAGTACCCACACCTATCTAGTACAGATAATCTGGTAATGTTAGAGTTGTCAAAAGGAACAAAGAAAGGATAGTAAGAACTTATGGTCTCATGTGAAACTAAATCAGCCAGAATGCCTATCTAGATCCATGAGAGGTCATAAAAGAGTCTACTTAGACATATTCATGTGACATAGAATAAACTTCTAAGTGAGAGTCTGTCTCTAAGGAGCTATACAGCACTTTGTTCCTGTGAAGATCAAGTTTCTTTCCAAACCAAATTTAACTAATTTTCACACTCCTCTTGAAGGAAGCACTTTGAAGGAGAGGCCTTTGTTTTCAGCTGCCTGGATCCCCCTTCACCTTTCTGGGACCTTTCATGACCGTTTTCCTATCTGTAATATATGGTAATATACTTGCCTTGATGCGAAAGACAGATTTACTAATAGCCTTCCAATAACTTCAATGAGACCACTAACTCCTCTCACAGACTTCTATACTCCCCCAGAGGTGATACTGTCCCAAAGAGGGCAAAAAATGGATTCTTGTCCAAGAGGGAGGATTTAAAAAATCTTAGAGCTATTAGAGTGGTTTCCAGAATCTTATTCCATAGTATTAAAGGAGAAGTTAAATTTAATGTATTTTTTCCATAGTGAGAAAATAATGAAACAAAGGTTGAGAAACATTGCCTTTGCTGGATGGTAATATTATTCCGTCACAGCTGAAGTGAACTGGATTTAAGCCAAGAGGATAAAAATGACTTAGTTCTCACATTTTGATTAAAAAATAAAATGGAGAAATAACTAATTTTCTCTAATATACAAGCTTACACTTAGTGCTGTAATTGCATATCAAGTACACTGGCTTCAGCCTTATTTTTAGTATCCATGTTATATCTTTGAGGAAGTCTTGGTTCATCCGTGCAACATTTCTATTGATTCTAGAAACAGGTCCACAACCAAAGGTTCTTTCTACAGCAGAGCATACTTTTGGCTTGAAATCTGTGGTTCCCCAAGGTAACAGTTCTAGGCTGCAGGGACCATGTACTTTTATTCTGTATGTTGCCAATGCCTGCTCAGTGTCTGGATTTGATACAATGTGCTTGATTATTTTAAAATGTTGAGGCAAGGAAAGAACTTCAGTTTTAACCAGAACTGGCACTAGGGAGAAGCAAGCAAGATGCTTACAGAGCAGAATTTAAGGAGGTATTTGCATGATCTTTATGTTTTCATCCATAAGCTCACCCTGGTTTTGACCCTGGTTTGAACAGAAATGGAGTTCAGTTTCCAAACACTTCCCTTTTCAGAGTTGATCTACACAGTCAATTCTCTGGAAGTGATATGATTTACAGGCGTGTAGGAACAAGGAATTTAAAACAAGTATTTAACATATACCCCCATTCTATTTTTATGAGTATATTTCTTTCTACTTGCAGGTGACTCACATTGGCCTCAGAAATCTAAACTTTTCACTTTGTTTTCCAGATCACTACAGATCTGAGGCAGCGTTGCACGGACAACCACACTGGGACGTCAGCCTCAGCCCCCATGGCTGCAGGCATCATTGCGCTGGCCCTGGAAGCCAAGTAAGCCTTGATCTCTATATGTCTTCAATGGTGACAACCCCTGATCTCAGGGAAAACGTACCCCTTCCCTTGTATAGGACCCCTAGCATGACAACCTAGAATATAATCTTCCCAATCCCACCTTTAAAACTTCAAAGGTTTGGGCTTTTTAAAAAAAATTCCCCTATATTAAGAAGAAGATTAGGTTTTTGGTTTTACATGCTTAAAAAATCAAACTGTGTAATTACTTTATTATGGAGTCATAGCACATGCATGCCAGTTGGCTCCAACTCTCTTGCCTTGTTGAGGTTTTTATTCTAGTCTGGGAATGTTCCTGAGCGTCCCAGAGAGGTTAGGTCTGCCCATTTCTGGTCTGTTTCTCTGAAGCATGACTAGGCAGCTCCGATTCCACGACAATAGCACAGTCACAGACTGGCTCTGCAGAATAGAATATGCCAGGGACGAGGACAACCCATTTATATCAAATCCTGTTCAGTATAGTCAAATTCTATGTCAAAAAGATTACTGTGAAAGACCCCTTTAGGCTATTTGTAAATAAATAGGTCCTCATCTCTTTTTTCTCTAAGAACAAATAGGTTAATTTGCCTTAACGTTTTGAAAACCTAATAATACAGATCTAATATCTCTTGTCCTCAATTTTAAAATCCTAAATGCCAGGAAAACTGAACGTTCTTTTGCAAATTTAACACTAGAATTCATTTTTTGGCAAAGTTTGCCATAAACTCATTTGAGGCTATTTACAGTATTATTTATAACATTTATTGTGAAATATTCATGTATTTGATTGTGAAGTGCTGGCTCAGACCCCGCTGGAGATTTTGTATCATGTATGTTATAGGCATCATCTCTGAAAAAATTTTGAATTCCAAACATGTCTTGTCCAATTTTAGAATAGGGATTGAAGGCCTGTTCTCTGAGGTTCTCCCTGCAGGAGGATCATAAGAAAAAGGAACTGAACTAATGATATAAGCGATTTTCTAAAAATAGCCCTGCACCTCTGCCCTAGGGAGGAAGGGAAAGGCCCATTCATCTAGCTGCACCCTGAAGTAGAGCGATAGCCAGTGACAGAGAAGGAATACAAGGATAATGAAGAGGCTCAGGGATTACAATAAGAACCGTGTGGCCGGGCGCGGTGGCTTATGCCTGTAATCCCAGCACTTTGGGAGGCCAAGGCGGGTGGATCACGAGGTCAAGAGATCGAGACTATCCTGGCCAACATGGTGAAACCCCTTCTCTTCTAAAAATACAAAAATTAGTTCGGTGTGGTGGTGGGCACCTGTAGTCCCAGCTACTGGGGAGGCTGAGGCAGGGAAATCGCTTGCACCCAGTAGGCGGAGGTTGCAGTGAGCCGAGATCGCCCCACTGCACTCCAGCCTGGTGACAGAGCCAAGACTCCATCTCAAGAAAAGAAAAGAATCATGCTAGTTCATTCTCAGGACACAGGTAGTTTCCCAGCATTCACAGCTGCCCCTCTGTAAGACGGAGAGCCTATGTTAAGGCAGCTGGACCTGAATATAACGTGGATACAGCAAATTGCTAAGTCATGTGTTGGACTGAAACCGGGGGAAGGACATGGGCTCTGGATATGGTGCCCTGTCTCTGGGTGGCCTCTTGCCCAAGCCTGGAGATTGAGAGATATCCAAGCTCCCATGAATATTTGGATTTCTTTCTTTTTGACGAGGTTAAATATGAAGTCATTTTCAACAAATTACATCTTTTAAGGTGTTAAAAGTTTGGGTTTAGCAAGGAACTGGCACTTATCCTATTAAATTCTCACTTTACAACTTTTCACTAAAGTGTTCTGGCAGCGGAAGTCTCAATTAAGTGTCTGTGTTTTTAATTTGGTGAACTCTACCCAGGATTTTTGAAAAATATATTGTTTTTATTCTGAAATTCTAGGTTGTTTCTCTGGAATATGTTTCTGTCCACAAAATATTAAAAGAAAAAACATTAGGAATTCCTCTACCATGCTCCCCCTCAAAGGCTATCTCAAACTAAAACTTAGCAACCTGATACTATAACTATTGCTTCGTAGAATTAGGTGATACTCAGCTCTTTGAGATATTACTGTAACACTATTATTTTTTTAAAAAAAAAACAGTTCTTTTAATCACGATTTAAGCTGAAATGCAAAAATCTTGCTTTATGCCTCAAATAACCTAAGATAAGGTCACTTTGGACTGCATAACACATTGAAAGACTACAATTGTTTTTTTTTTTTTTTTCTCTTTTGCGTTTTGAGCATTTTTAAAGATCTATTTTTGACACAACTGTGATGAGTAGAAGGAGGTTCCTAAGATACAGGCTACCTGGAAAATGCACTGTGTTTTAAGATGTTAACAGTCCACTCTAATTGTGGGGCCAAAATGGATGATGAACTATCTGATAAACTCAGAAAAAACAAACCTTTTTTTGTAACTCCATTGGTTTGTTGTACAGCTCAATCTTTGCCTGTAAAGTGAAGCTGAAAATCACGGGAAAGACGTGTGAGTACTAAAAGGGTGGGTCAGATATTGATATTAAATTAGCATCAATAAGCATCGGGCCTCCAGCTTAATGTGAAACATATCTAAAACTAAGAAATTGAAGAGAGGAGCTCCAGTAACAGTGCATTAAGGCTGCAGTTGCTCTAAAACTAAACCTAATCCTTGTATATGTGCCTCACTCATTTACCCAGCCCCACCCCTTGCAATCTCCTCTTACACTATTGCTTCTCAACAGCCCTTGAACCTTGGTATTTTGAGATTCAGCCTTTACTAACACAAGTTGAGGAGCAAGATCTACAAGATACGCTCTTTTAAGAAGAGAGGAGAGAAAGCCACAGCTCTAGGCAGAGTTATGACTCAGGACACTGCCCTACTCGCTGGGTATGCATGGCCTGCCAGGGTTCATTCAGTAACTGGATATGCTGAGCCTTTGAATGAAAAGCTGCAAGAGTCTGCCAGTCCCTATTTGAACTGCATGTCCTAGCTATCCCTGTACTGTCAGGAGAAATTTATTGTTTCTCTGAATATCACCAGATTACTGTATTTACTCAGTCATAGGAACATTAGAGAAAACTAGGTCCTGAGCTTTTCGCCAGCCTCTCTTCCTTACATTCCAGATGTCTGCCTGCATGGGTAGGACTGTGGTTCATTCTGTGATGCTGCTTCTACCATTGGCCTCTCTGCCATTCAAAAACCTTCCCAGGAAACTAAGGGAAAAGAAAACAAATACATCCGGTAGTCCTAGCTACTCAGGGGGCTGAGGCAGGAGGATCCCTTGAGCCCAGGAGTTCAAGGCTGCAGTGAGCTATGATCACACCATTGCACTACAGCCCAGGCAACAGAATGAGACCTTATCTCAAAAAAAAAGGTTGTGGGGGAGAAAGAAAAAGAAGTGGAATGAAATACAAAACATAGAAACAGATAAACTTAAAAGTATCCAGATATCTTTTCCAAACATAACAAGTTTGATCATGAAATAACTTTGCTATGGCCAGGAACAGTGGCTCACGCCTATAATCCCAGCACTTTGGGAGACTGAGGCAGGAGGATCACCTGAGGTCAGGAGTTTGAGACCAGCCTGCCGACTTGGCAAAACCCATCTCTACTAAACATATAAAAATTAGCCAGGCGTGGTAGCATGCGCCCATAGTCCCAGCTACTTAGGAAGTTGAGGCAAGAGAATTGTTCGAACCCAGGAGGCAGAGGTTGCACTGAACTGAGATCATGCTGCTATACCCCAGACTGGGTGACAGAGCAAGTCTCTGTCTCAAAACAAAAAAAAAAGTAAAGAAAAGAAAAAAGAGAAATAACTTTGCTGTAACAGCTAGTACGACTCCCAGGCCATCCTTTTTCTACAGAATGTATAAGAATATGTGTTGCAACAAATTCCACTCTAATATGCTCGCAGATACTTGAATGAAATTGTTCTGCTCCCAAGACTAGAAGAATTCTCAGTTCCTCTGAAAATCTTTCTCCTTTACCTTTTTTTCCTGGGTTGGAGCCTCTTTGGTTTGGGTTGTGTTAAGCTCTACAGCCACCTTTGACAGTCTCATCATGAGTCTTGCCTTTCTGCTAAAGTGAGAGATTTCCTCCTTGTTCTCAAAGATGCTTCTAAAAATTATGGACGATTTTAGAATAAGAAAAAATACTTTAATCTTAAAAGAGAGGGGAGAAACAATTTTTTGTGATGTGGTACCCTCAGAACATTTTTATTGGTTCAGAATGTTTAATAGTATGATTTTTTTTCTGGATTTTTTTTGGTAACTTTCTGGTGTTTCAGCTAAATGAATAGGGAACATGTAACCAGTGATTATAGGATATCATTTGGGCGATTGCTGCTTAAAATGATGTCTTTTTACATAGCCTAACTCAAAAAGTTCAAATAAAATGAGTATGCAAGGAAGCAGGTTTATTAAATGAAAAACCAAAATGAAAGATGGCTGTACTAATTTTAGCTTAGCAACCTGGCAGAACACCTTATGTTTGAAAAGTGTTTTGCATCTAGGTCCTAGTATATGTTCCCAGTGCTATAGATCTATCAGGGGGAAAAAAATAAAAGAGCTTGCTGTTAAATGATGTTTTCTATAAAATTGTTTATAAAATAAAGTCAAAATAACTAACATTCATGAAAGTACAGAGTGCTCAGAATAATAAGTTGTACTGAAAGTTTTCCTCACCCATCTGCAATTATTAGCAATGAAAAGCTTATTTTAGTGGAATATTTCATATGTAACAATATCAGCATCAACTCAGAAAATACAAAAATTAAGTTCATCAAAGAAACCTTTCTGCTTCTAATTGCAAAGGGTCTTTCATTGGAAAATTGAAGAATATATGTTCAGTAATCAAGAAATGTTACACTATACAGTGAATGGTAAATAAAGGGGACTGAGTCAGGTTGAAACTTCTGAAATTATCTAAAACTTCCTAAAAGGGTATTGGTATAAAGAATCTCGTACAAATTCTTGCTTTAAATGACCGCAAAGCCTTTTTCTTACATTTCATATCTCAGAGGCCACAAGAATACCCTGCTGTGAGAAAACCCAATATATCTAGATCTAAATTTAGAAAATAAATTAAACTAACAGCTGCTCTTCTACAGTAGAAATACACCTGGTGCATATTGAACATTAGCTGCCTCTGGTATCTTATATATACACAGACATATACACATTCACATGTTTCTAGGTAGGCTCACCTACTTTCTCCTTATTACTTATCTTTTCCCTCCTATTGCAAATTAAATTTAAATTCCTTGAGAGTAAGGATTATATCTTATCTTTATTTATGAGTATATAACAAATATATTGAACACTACAAAAAAATTAAAGCATCATACTAGGCACTAAGTTACTCAGGACATAATTCAAATATGTATAAAATATTATATATCACTTGCTTTCAGGGGATTTTATATTCTCATTAGGGAAGCAAATGTACACTAACAGATATATGCAAATTATTTAAGGAAGTCAATGAAATCGTTCTGGGGGAAGGGTTGTAGGGGGTGCAGGACTTGGATGAAAATAAAAATGCCCAGCTTTGATGATTCAAATTGGAACATTGGTTCCATAGAAATTTGTATCCTCCACGACACCTAAGCATAATGTTTTGAACAAGGTCCATTCTCAACAAATATTAAATTAATTCGTCTAGTCCAACCTTACCTTTTGTACAATGGAACTGAGTCCTAGAGAAGTTCAATTGCTCAATTAGTTACTTTTACCGTCCATATCCTTTAGTTGATATTCATTAGTGACTTCTTTCTCCCATACTGCCTCAACTCGTCTCTCATCCTGTTGATTTATCATTTGCTAGAAGTGGACCTCACCTGGCTAAAATAAAGACATGAATGTTATTCCCTCTCTCACCTTCCAAGGGAATCCCCTCTACCTTTTGTCTTTGGAGGAAGGGATCATTCGAGACAAGGAAAGGTCAAAGTGTGAGAAGTTAAAGGAGTGTTGAGCCAAAGGATGATTCACACCGTATGCTGTTGATTTCACAAATCACATCTTGAAAATTTTCTCAGGAAATTAAACTGACCATCTGCATTTCTTGTAAACCTAAAAAGTCCGTCTATATAAATCTTACATAATTCAGATGAATCAACCACTCTATGTCTTTGTTTCACCTTTCATTATAATCTCTCTTACCTACATGTTTCCAGCGTTGGAAAATTGTAGGGAAATGACCAGAATATTTGGGATACAGTGACTGTGAGAAGTTAATATGTGGGACAGTCGAGAAGGGTTCTGGAGTTTTAAACAAGCCAGCTCTGAGTTGAAGTACTCACTGGGGCGAGGGGTGCTTCATATTTTTAGAACTGAGCACTGTTAAGGGAGGCCACATAGGAAGGATAGACATAAACATTTCTTAATATTGGGGTTAGCATCTTAGTACTGATATCCTGTAAACTAGTCTTATCATCTGTGTATTTTTTTAAATTAAAAACACATTTTAGTATAAAATGTCTCATTAAAAATTTTCCCGAGGGCCACATTCAACTCTATGAGATGCTGCAGTGGGCAGGGAGCACAAGTGTATTTGCTTATTGAGGTAAAATTGCAGAGGGCATACCAAGCTTTTCCTTTTAAGAGAGTTTTATTTATTTCAATTAGAACTTAGAAAGTACTTGCACAGAGAGAAATACAAGCATATGTGCCCTGATTCCACACAGTTACAAGGGTAAAGAAGCAGGTATTCCACACACCCTTCCTTTCATATACTCTTAGAGTTTTTTTGTGTATTGGAGTGTTGTATGTTGGGCTTAAAATTTTGCTGAAATTTCTGGTATGAATGCTTGGGGTATACAGCCTGAAGAGGGTGAAGAGAATTAAAAGAAAACAAGGGAGGAGAGCTGAAAAGGTTTATAAGGTAAAAACAATGCACATTTCGACTTGAGGCCTAGCGGACAGAGAAGGGATGTACTGTCCTGAACTATTCCCTATAGTGAAATAATTGTAACCAGACCCAAAGAGCAGTTACCACGGGCCTTCTGCCAGGACTGTGCATGAAAATAGCTTTGTTATGTCTACATATACACAGACAATACACTCTGTCCTCTAGTCCTTCTCAAGTTCAAATTATGTAGAAGCCAACTTTTCCTGGACTCAACTTTGTACCTTAACTAATGGTTTCAAAAACTACAGCTTCCAGAGATGTCTATTATAACTGGAAAAGCCCTGGTCAACAGGCTCATTCACCTTGGATTATCTTGAAATGTAGCCAGTGTGTTCCAACTCCTTCCCTATGTGAGAAAACTAAGAAACATGTTGGATAGTTGAGTTGCTCAGAAACTGAACTGAAGACAGAAAAGTTCTTAGGAGACTGTTACCTGCCTCTTTTTCCTTAGCTGTATTTTGAAAAATGTTATTAGTCACTAAAAACATTTTATTCTTATTACTATAATAATAAAGATTGCTTTTTCCAAAGAATAGTTGTCAGTCCTGTTGCAATCACCAGACCTTTTCCTTGTATAGCTGATCAAGTATCATTTTCAAGTGTCAAATGTTGGAAATGTCTCATGTTATAAATATCCAGTTTGTGCTGGAGCAAGGCAAGTAAACCATTTGGGAAGCCAGTGTAGTAGTGCAGGAGAGATTAGGGTAGCCTGGTCAAGGTGATGGGAATGGGGACAGAGAGAAGTGGGTAGATTTGATGTATATTTTGTAGGTATAGCCAACAGGTAATGAATTACATATGTGCCTTTGGGAAAAGCAAAAAAATCAAGATCTAGTTTCTTTGCTAAACTCAGGTAAATTGTGATATCATCTATGGAAATAGATACCCTTTATTCTCCCCATGGGATTCTGGAGATTAGAAGCTGCATAAAAATCCAGTTGTACAAGAAAGTCTCTGGGCCTACAGATTTTGCACCAAGACCTGTAGCAAATTTCTCTGGCAATTATTGACTGTCCTTGGGTACACCAGCCTCCCCATCAGCTAATTAATCTGCAAAAAGTGCCTACCCGGAGATCATGATTGCTATAAGTGACTGAGACAGTTCCCATTTTAAAAAAGTAAAAGAAAACAGAGAATATTATTTACATTATAAATTGCTCATCTGCTTCTGTGTCTTTTAATTTAAACAGAGTGTTAGCAAATTAACCTTTATGCAGTTACCCGATAAGATTGCTTAGAAACTCCACTGATGTATATTAGTGAGTTTACAAGAAATATGTGAGATTTAGTATTAAATTTAGTCTCTTGAGGGTTTGTGGATTTTACTCAATGCCAGGGAATTTTTGTTCTGATAGTGCCTATGGTAACACCCCAAATACCATCAAATATGATTTTTCTTGCTAAGAAAAAGAGAAGATGACTTTTTTAGGGTCCATTAGTTTCACATCATAGCCTGCTACTTAATCACTTTAGTCAAAGCGTATTAAAAGACTCATTGCATAATATATCATTGGATGGCTTCATCAAATATTGCTGTTTTTGTATTTGAAAATTCTCAGATTATATTCCTCTACTCTATATTTAAACATAGTTCAAACTTAATCTGTTTATGTGCCAAGTTTTCTTGGGCTGAGTTTTGAATTGATCTAGCCTATGGCTACATTGTCTTGCCCTATAATTTTTTACTTCCAGGACATTTTTGTCACATAAAAGTTAAAATTGTTTGGTGTCATTTGTTCAGAAGAGCCTAATTGTTCCTAGTGACACTGGAATCTAGTTTTTGTATTAACTGATACCAACATTCTTTTTTTCCTCTGTTTAAAAATTTATAATCATAATGCATTTTGCCATCAATAGGAGAGAAAAGTAAATAAGGAAAATAAAAATGACAGATTGAAAGCATGTCATTTTACTAACATGTAAGATTTTATTCATCCTGACATCAACAAGATGATTATGACATCTGATGTGTTGAAAGCTCCAAGCAGCACATTCATAGTGAAATAAACTGTAATACCTGGAATAGAACATGTAACACAAAAAGAAAGACATTGGATGTTTATAAGATTGCATTATTTCTTACCATCTTAGATTAAGTTTTCATTTCTCTATTCATAATTCTGAACCTTATTGAGTAAGCACCATATGTGTGACTAAGATGAAGTAAAAGTTTATGTTGTTTGCATATCACAGAAAACGCAATAAGTCTGTGACACCTGGTAGTATCATCCCTACCAGTAAAGACTGTAGTACATCAGACAGTGACATCCTGTCTGTGACCCAAAAGATTCTACTTGCCATTGTTCCCCCTTGAGTGTGGAGATGCTGCATAGTGCAAAAAGATAAAATTAAGAGATAAAATGGTGGAAAAAAACGGCAGTCAGCCTTCAATGAATGCTTTATGCCAAATACTGAGCTGAGTGTTTATATTGGTAATCTCATTTTATCCTCAAAGCAGTGCTCTAAGGTAGGCATTATCACCATATTTCCTATGTGGAAAATGAGGGTTAGGAATTCACACAGGTGATAGGTGTGGAAGGTGAATACAAGGTAATGTGACACCAGAACCCACCATTCTACCATATCACCTTTCTTTGTTAAGTACTGTAACGGGACATGGTTAATTACAAATGGGCACTATAAACCGTAAAGGGAATGAATGAGTAAATGGAGAGAAGGAACTTTCCCTACAGTTATTCAAAAGTATGGATAGGTATCTATTCAGGTATCTGTAGTTAGTGAGATATCGCGCCAACAAGTTTAAACTCTAAATCTTGATTGATTCATTCAGGAAATATTTATTGAGTCATGCTTGTTACCATAATTTCCTTATTTTGAAACAAACTTTTTTTTTCACATTTCTGAACCTGTAATACATCTTACAAGTCATAGTTGCAATGTTTAGCTAGTTTGGTATGTGCCTGGCACCGTGCTAAGAACTAGAATACATCTATGAACAAAACATGCATGGTCCTTGCCAGAGCTGCCAGGAACAGTCAAGTAAGCTGAGCACAAATGTGTGTGAGGCCTTGAACTTGGCTCCAATAGAGCCTACATTTCAGTCAAGGGAGGCAGAGATTAAAGATAATTACATCTGGCATGAAGGAAAAAATAAAACAAAGCATTATATTGTGCTAGAGGGATTGATGGTAGGGTAAGAGTAGGAAAGGATGAATAATGGCAAATAGGGAAAAGAAGTGGCAAGGCCATCAAGGAGATGACAGCATTTTTGCTGCAACTGGAGTCATAAAAGTGATTCAACTTACACTTGGTTTTTGTGAGTTTTTACTGAGTTATTGCTTTCTGGCAACGTTAAGCACATCTTACCTTTTTCGTCTAATAGAGCTTGCAATCACAACCAAGCCTTAATAGAAGGCCAAATGATAAAGAGGAATACCTGAATGATCCATAATTTTTACATTCCTATAACAAATTTAGAAACCTGCCTGTATATGATTGAAAACAGGTTGAAAACTGGCATCACTTCACAGATTAAACTTGTTCATCTAGTCAGCAAGAATGCAGTTATGTAGTCTTCAGTGAGCACTCGAATTTATTTGAAAAACTTGGTACACAACCAGGGAATGTTGGTACGAAGGAAGAGAATTCTAGTGAGATTTAAAATAGGGAGGTGAGGTCTCTCAAGGGCTCTCAGCAGAGTCTGCTTGTCATTTAGCTATTGGAAACCTTTGCGAACAACTTGGAAGAATGTCGTAGCGAGCTTCCTGGAGAGAGTATGATACAGGAGTGATCGTATTAGTCATGCTGAATTTTTATTCATTGCTCTGAATTTAGGTGCCATTGGAATTGACATCTGATAGCCTCATTTTCCATAGCAGATGTATTCAATTCTATAATTTTCATTGTGCTAAAATTCTCAAGCATTTGGGATCCCATACCTGGAATATAAAGCAATTGTTATCAGTTTGTCTGAGGAATCGTAACATTGGAAGGTTGCCCAGAAACCATCTGGCCTGTAGAGATGCTATTCAGTGAGAGTGTTCAGGGGTCACCAGGCAAAGGTGAATAACAATGGCAATGTAGGTTATTTTTAAAACAAAGGTATATTTTTTAATTTTAAAAAATAATTTTAAAGTGACTCATTCTGATTATATATACTGTTTTTGCATGACATTTTCTTACTTGTATGAAATGATGCTATCCTTACTTAGCAATGAAAGTGATGAATCTCACTTTGATTCCCAAGTTGAAAAACAATATTCCAGTCTTTGAAATCCAAAAGATTGAGAGCCTTTTTCATCACAGTGGTGCTTGCAAGCATTCTACTGATTTCATTTGCCACTAGTATCTTAGAAGCAAATAAGTATTTATTTAATACTGACAGATACCAGGAAGAGCAATCCCATGACCATTATAATCTATTATTAGCAATAGAACCATTTTTAAAATGTAGGTGTTTATTTATATGATGTATTATTTTGATAATATCTTCAAATTAATTAATATAAATTTAAATTATATTATCATCAAAATAACACATTTTACAAAACATATATATAAATCATGCAGACATGTAAATCAAATGTCTCCCTACACAGCCAACTTTAAGCATGTTTTAAGCTTTTAGTATAACTCCTAATGCTATGATGCTAGTTCCAAATATTCTTAATATATGCATGTTTACTATAAAAAATATTGCATACTTTGTCTTTAATCTGCATTTTGCTTTCCTTTCAGATCATGTTGTTCATTTTGTTGTTCCCCTCCCATTTGTTTTTTTAAACCAACCTTTTTTTTAACCAAATAATGTTTTTTCTAACCTGCAATCAAGCAAGATTAGATTAAAGAAGGTTTCAAGTTTTTGTGGGTGCTGTCTCCATTCAGTTGTTGGAAATTAGGTGCTGAGACATTTTTGAATTGTGAGGACTAGTATTCAAATTGAATTTCAAAAGTGTGTTTCAAAGTCACTCGAAAAGATAATCTTTGAATCCTCTACTAATCACCTAATACTCTTTCATGTTCATATTTGTCTTACCTGCATATACTCAACATATTACCTTCTGGCCATAGTTACAGCAAATGTTTTTTAATTTTTCATTTGCTTTTAGGTATTGTTTATATTGTTTTGAAATAGGGAATTTTTAAATTTATTTTAAAAGTATTATTTAGTCAAATATATGTGTCCTTTATGAAATCTTCAATTATATAGGCATACCTGATCTTTTTGTACCTCCTAGAGAATTTTACATATGCTGATGAAGCTATGTATGTTTTACCCTAAATGAGTCCAGATTTACATGTGGCAAGGAATTTCCTGTACCTTAGGGGAATTCATGGACCCCAGATTAAAAAGCCTCAGGCTAGGAAGCTCTTTCCTATGTCAACATTTATTAATTAATGACTGACATTTTCATGTAGTGTTTTCTTTATTCTTTTTTGAGTTTTTAATTTTTAATATTTTTGCATGTACATAGTATGTGTATATATTTATGGGGTCCATGAGGTGCTTTGATACAGGCATGAAATGTGTAATGATCACATCATGGAGAATGGGATATCCATGACACAAGCATTTATCCTTTAAGTTACAAATAATCCAATCACTCTTTTAGTTATTTTTAAACGTACAATTAAGTTATTATTGACTATAGTCACCCTGCTGTGCCATCATTTAGTAGGTCTTATTCATTCTTTCTAACTATTATTTTTGACCTCTCCTAACCATTTCTACCTCCCCCCAGCACTTCCCATCACCACCCTTCCCAGCCTCTGGTAACCTTTCTTCTACTTTCTATATTCATAAATTCACTGGTTTTGATTTTTAGATACCATAAATCAGTGACAATATGCGATGCTGTTTTCTTGTTTTATTTTTCATCATTAAAGTTGAACCAACTAGAGTTTATTTTGTTGTCCAGTATGAGGATGTAAATTGAGTTTTTATAGGGATCCTATTTGCCCAATGTCATTTGTTAAGTAATCTATCTCCTCCAAAAGCAGTTTGTTTTGTATTCTTTTAAGTTGTTGCATTTATGAGGATCTCCTTTAGCATTTTCTGTTTTATCTTCTACCAAATCTTTAAACATTACAGAATCACTTCATATTTTAAACATTTTCTTAAGCATTCTTATTTGTTCATATTCCCAGATAAAATTTAGAACCAGTCTTTTGTGTTCCAAAAACAATCCCAGTGGCAATTTATAACAATTGTGTAAATCTTGGCTTCTTTACAAGTTTTCCCAATCAAAAAAATCTTTCTACATTGTTTAGATCTTCTTTTTATTGGCATATTAATGTATCAGACTTGTCCTTAGTTTCATAGTTTTTCAGACTTATTTTTTGGAGTAGCAAGTATTTGTTTGTTTTGCTATTACCATTATGTCTTTAACTGATTATTGCTTATCTATAACAGAGCCATTATTTTTATATGTTTTTCTTATCTCTAGGTCCTTTAACTCACATTATATTATAGCTGATTTTCTTGTTTTTTTTTCCAGAATATATTCATAGCATCTGATGATAGTAATACTTGTCTCTTTTTAATAATTTTTCATATTCTTATTGGATAGTGGTACAGATTAGTCATTATAAGTTCAGATTTTGGAGTCAAGCTAACTTCTGTTCCAATCCTGCCTCTACTATTATTTCCTGGATAGCCTTGAGCAAGTGGAAGTCGTATTTCTTAACCTTGTTTAATTGGAGTTTTTTCATCTGAAATTTGGGTCAGTAACTCGGAATCCCAGGATTGTTGCTAGGATTAAGTGAACTTAGGTATATGGAAAGTACTAAAATAAGGAAGCTGATATCATCACAGTATTATTTCTATTACATTAACCCTTCAAAAAATGTTAAATATTATGAGATAGTAAGGGTTCACACTTAGATCCTGATTTTCTATTGATTTCTTTTTTCTTTTTTACCTTCTGTTTCACTTTTTGTCAATGTTTGTGTTTCTTTTAGATGTTCTTCATAATGCGTATGCAGCGTTTTTTGTTTTGTATTATCATTAGGAATGAGATTTGGGTGTTTCCGTATCTGTTTAGATGAATATATAGTTTCTCATACTAGATTTGTTGATATGATTTATTAGAATAATACATTGTTAATATTATTCCCTGCTTATATTTATGAATCAGATTTAGTTATTTAATATGCTATTGGTTTCATTTTAGCGTGTTTTATGTCTTTGAGTTTATTTTTCTGAGATTTTCTTTTACTACCTAATGTGTGTGTATATATGTGTGTTCTATGCTATTATTACAGCAGCTAGCTAACATTAGTTGTGTACCTACAGCAGATAAATAGCATTTTCTAAAGTATACTTTTGGTATATTTCATGTAATTCTCATCTATAAGGTAACATGGGTAGTAAACGGAGAGTCAAGCTTTTAACCCACGTTGGTTTGACCTTGAAACTGGCCTGTCTCTGCAAGTTTTTGGTATCAGATGATGTTAAATTCACAAAATAAATTATGGAATTTTGCAATTTGTATTTTCTCTCCAGAGACCCTTGGGATCAGAGTTCTCGCATGTTTGAAGGAAACCATCTGGCCTCAAAGCCATTTTTAGAAGAAATCCCAGTATTTTCTAATACTATAAACATCTCTTGTATTGGTTTTTTTTTTTTTTTTTTTTTTTTTTTGAGACGGAGTCTCGCTCTGTCGCCCAGGCTGGAGTGCAGTGGCGGGATCTCGGCTCACTGCAAGCTCCGCCTCCCGGGTTCACGCCATTCTCCTGCCTCAGCCTCCCAAGTAGCAGGGACTACAGGCGCCCGCCACTACGCCCGGCTAATTTTTTGTATTTTTAGTAGAGACGGGGTTTCACCGTTTTAGCCGGGATGGTCTCGATCTCCTGACCTCGTGATCCGCCCGCCTCGGCCTCCCAAAGTGCTGGGATTACAGGCGTGAGCCACCGCGCCCGGCCTTGGTTTTTATGACTGCCTTAATATTTAGAATTTATTAGTGTTTTCTTCTTATTTTCTTGGTTAAATTTTTTATTACTGTTTTTCAAAGGTCCAGTTTTGAGATTTATCAGTAATTTTTTTTCTGTTTTTCTTTCTTTCTTTTTAAAATTTCTTTCCTGTTTTCCTCTTCATTCTTTTATGACTCTTATTGGCTGAATCATGGTTCATTTATCTTTCCTTTTATATTAATAAAACTTTTTAAAGATGTGAATTTATCTCTGAACACACTTTTGATAGACTGTTATTTTCTAATGATATTTTCACTTGCTGTTTGATAGAATGACAATTGAGTAAAGTACTGTTAAGTGTTAAACAAACTTTGTCGCTATTGAGATTTATTATTGACCTTTTTTTCACTACATTGTGTCCAGATAATAGGGTTAGATTATCAGCAACACTGGTGTTTGGTGACGTATTGTTTTTGCTTAGGGCAATTGTTGAAATTTCCTTTTGGCCCAATGTAGCTTCAACTTTTCATTACAAACTCTTAAGTTGATCTGTGAAGTCTTAAAAAAAAATGACTCTTTGTAGGACATATATTTCAATATTATTAAATTTTAACTATAATGTAAACGAATCCTATGTTTTTCTCCTGACATAAATGGACTAAATTATCTGAACACTACTGTGCTTCCATCAGTTACTTATTTTTTCTTTTTTTTTTCTTTTTTTTTTTTTTTTAATTGAGACAGAATTTTGCTCTTGTTGCCCAGGATGGAGTGTAGTGGTGCGATCTTGGCTCACTGCAACCTCCAACCTTCACCTCCCAGGTTCAAGCTATTCTCCTGTCTCAGCCTCCCGAGTAGCTGGGATTACAGGCACCCGCCACTATGCCTGGCTATTTTTATTATTACTATTTTTTGTAGAGATGGGGTTTCATCATGTTGGCCAGGCTGGTTTTGAACTCCTGACCTCAAGTGATCCGCCCACCATGGCCTCTCAAAGTGCTGGGATTACAGACGTGAGCCACTGCGCCCGGCCTACTTTTATTTTCTTAAAGTCTTTGATTCATCCATTTTGATGCACAAATGTCATGCTGTTACATCTTTATTTTAGATAGCACTTTGTCAACAAATTCAACTTTTTGTCCTTTTAAGTGTTTTTGAATCTAAAACGTTATATTGTTTGCAATGAATCCTCCCATTCATGAATCTTTGTATATGTTTTGTGCAGGGGAAAAAATCTATGTCTATTATTTAATTTTTAGTTTTCATATTTTATAGATAGTTGTAAATAAAGCCATATTTTAAAATAAATGTGTTTTGTAATAGAAGAGTTATCACCTTTGACTCCTTGCTATATAAACATGGCTTACATTTACTTTAATGCCCTCATCTACTTATTTCCCTATCTTTAATACCATAATTTGGATTTCTGCAACAGACCATTTTTGTTAATTATTTTTTATTATTTTTTATCCCCAGAAGAATTCTTTTAAAACAATTATTAAGTCTTAATTCTGTTCAATTTATTTTGGAGTCATCATTAGGTCTTTTCTAATAACAACTACATATTTTACAGTTTTAAATTTTGAGTTATTCATAAATCAAAATAAAACTTTAAATTGTTTATTTTATTTTGACCTTCAGAGTCTGTATTTGTTGATGGTCAGTTTTCTCAATCCTGCAAATATATCTTCTGTATTCACTCATGAAGGACGACAAGTCTAGTGTAAAATTCTCAGGTTTATTTCTTTTAAATCAGTTCAACTGTTTTATTATCTTCTAAAATTAGCTTTGCAGAGAAAGTCTTTAACTAGAAGTCCTGTTTTGCTTAGTTTTAGGATTTCTTTTTTCATTTGTATTGTAATGAAAACGTATATATTTTAGGACAAGTCTAGGGGATGCAACTCTTTTCATTAATATGTCCTGGAAAACATTAAGTATTTTTAGTCCACCTTGAACATTTTTAATCAGATGTGACTTTGATTAGTGGCGAAGATCACCACAGAGCTTCAGAGCCTGGGCCCTGAAGTATATGAGAAACCTGCCTTCAAATTCCTGTTCTGCTTCTTACTAGTTACACGGCTTTGAGAAAGGAAGTGAACCTTTCTAAGCCTTAGTTTCCACACCTGTAAAAGGGGAATAATAATGCTGTTTATTTCATGGGGTTGTGTGTTCATTAAGTGAAGTTATATACATAAAGCACCCAGTAAAGCATCTGGTAAATAGGAAAGACTCAGTAATTTTTAGTCCTCAGAGCAAGGTAAAGCTAATATTCTGAAGCCAGGTTTGTTTCCTGTCCTCCAAATCCATCGGCTTGTCTTCCTTGTCATCTCTTTCCTTAAAAATATGCAAGAAGTGGCCGGGTGCAGTGGCTCACACCTGTAATCCCAGCACTTTGGGAGACCGAGGCAGGCAGATCAGGAGGTCAGGAGATCACGATCGTCCCGGCCAACATGGTGAAACCCCATCTCTACTAAAATACAAAAAATTATCCGGGCATGGTGGTGTGGGCCTGTAGAACCCAGCTACTCGGGAGGCTGAGGCAGGGGAATCACTTGAACCCGGGAGGCAGAGGTTGCAGTGAGCCAAGATTCATACCACTGCACTCCAGCCTGGCGACAGAGCAAGACTCCATCTCAAAAAAAAAAAAAAAAAAAAAAAATGCAAGAAGTCGTCACATTTGTATTCCACATCAACTCAGCTTTCTATGATATCGATTCCACCTATCCATGTCAATTTACTCTTTCCTGTGCATCCTTTGCTTTTGCTAATACCACTTCATACTCCTCATAATCTTCCTTACTCTCACTCAGTTTGCTTTATTGCTTGGTTGATTCCTTTTCCCTGCACTGTGTTTTCCATAAGCTCCATATTATTGTTATTCTTCTAGTCTGGACTCTTCTCTTTTTTCTCACCACCACTTTTTCCTTTCCCTATACTCTCCTCTTACATTTCTTTTTCCTTTCTTTGTTCCCATTCTTTCCTTTGTTTAAAAAAATTATTCATTCTCAATTTAAAAAAAAAACTGGCTACAGAAAGGCTGTGGCTATGTCCTTGCTCTGCTTAGCCTCCAAGCACAGACTTACTCAAATCTGCCATTGAAGGATGGGATGAGGGATAAACCTCCCTGTCCGATTCTGAGATTCTAGCAGAGATCCCTCTGAAGTGAGAAGATCATTTCCTCCCCCTTCTGACAAAACTAGAGGCTGAACGTCCAGTCCCTACAAACACCATTAACCTGACTCTTTCCATCACGCACCCCTCCAGTCCAAGACATTGCAGGTGGCGAGGGTCAGAGCTGAGGCTCTAGAATCAGGCTGCCTGGGCCATTCTCAACTGTGGCTAATTGTATGACTTTGAGGAAGATCGTTAAACTTTCCCTGCTTTGATGTTCTTATTTTGGAAATGAAAGTAATAACAGTATTTGTCTCACAGGACTGTCATGAAGAATAGATGAAATAATGAATATAGAATACTTTTGATAGTATGTATGCCTGGCACACAGTAAGCCTTCAATACATGCCATCTACTACTCTGTACTTTTGGAGGTACATCTTTTAGGAAATTTCTTCTGTAGTAAGAAAGAGGGTTGTACAAGAAAAAAATCCACAAGTTAGCAGTCAAGATGTTGACTCAAGGCTACCAAGCTCAAGCTACCAAGTCCAAAGAAGCTCAAGGCTTCCAAGGCCAAGGTCTATGTGGGGTTTTTTGTTGTTCTTTTCCGAATGGTTGCTGCAGCTCCAATCATCATATCCACATTCCAAATAAAAGGAGAAAGGACAAAATGATGCAGGACTAGCAATCTTTATAGCAGGAAAGCAAAGTTTTCTCAGAAATGCCCAGTAGACTTTATTAGTCAGAACTCTGTCTCCTGTGTACCCCTCATTATCAGGGATTCTGGAAAGATAGCATTTTGGCATCCCAAGATATATAATAGAGGGAGACAATGAAAAAGAAAGTTAAAAATTATTTTCCTCATAGTCACATTAGCTCATAAGTTTTTTTGAAATACATCAAAATTTTTGTAATAGATTTCTGTTAGTCTTTGTTGATTTTTTCCTGCGTGTGTGTGTATGTGTGTGTGTGTGTGTGTGGTGTAATTTTTAAAGTATTTTTTGTTCCTATCGATGATGTCTAACAATTAGAAAGACTGCCAGGAATTGATACACTAAACCAGGAGTTTCTAAAATAGGCATAATAATTCAGCCATAAAAAAATGAAATCAGCTGGGCGAGGTGGCTCACGCCTACAATCCCAGCACTTTGGGAGGCTGAGGCATGTGGATCACCTGAGGTCAGGAGTTCGAGACCAGCCTGACCAACGTGGAGAAATCCCGTCTCTACTAAAAATACAAAATTAGCTAGGCGTGATGGCACATGCCTATAATCCCAGCCACTCAGGAGGCTGAGGCAGGAGAATTGCTTGAAACCAGAAGGCAGAGGTTGCAGTGAGCTGAGATCGTGCCATTGTACTCCAGCCTGGGCAACAAGAGTGAAACTCCATCTCAAAAAAAAAACCGTTTTTTACAGCAATATGGATGGACTAGAGACTGTTATCTTAAGTGAAACATGTCAGACACGGAGACAAAATACTGCATGTTCTCACTTAAAAGTGAGAGCTAAGTAATGTGTGCACATGGATGTCGAGTGTGGGATGATGGACAATGGAGGATGAGAAGTGGGAGGTGGTGAGAGGGGATTAGACGATGAGAGATTACCTAAGGGGTACAGCATACTTTATTTGGGTGATCGATTCCCTGAAAGCCTTGGTTTCATGACTATGCAATATATGCACATAACAAAATTACACTTGTACCCCATAAGTTTATACAAATTTTTCTTTAAAAATGGGCATAATAACATTTACTTCAAATTCTAGAACCCAAAATGCTTATTTTCATTAAAGTTGACAGTGAAAACTGATCATTGAAAAGCTTCATTTTAAAATATACTTCAATAAACATCTAGAGAAGCATCATTTTAGTTCTTTTACTCAACAGGAAAAAAATGGGAGAAAACAGCTATAAAGTAATTTAGAATCATAATAATAATGGCGATGCAGTCAATGATTTCTGTTGCCTCTCCAGGGGTTTAACTACTGGTTTTTGAGGTGAGAACTCTGCAAATCTCTGAACTATGTAGAAAAGTATCAAAAGCACTTCAGTCTGGCAATTTGGCTAGGCAAATAAGTATACTTGTAGTCCTCATTCTAACATTCGATTCTCTAAAGCACTCTGATATCAAACCAAAGAACATCTCACTATCCTCCACAATTACATCAATGGCTAACCATCAAGAGAGAAGATCTCCCACATGTAGAGTAGATTTATTGACAATCCTAGTGGGTCCAAAAATTTCACTCCCCAGCCAATTAAATTGCCATCTACACTATGGGGTTGTGAAAACCAGATCTTTTTGACAAATCTTAGTAGCATTGTTGTTTCACTAAGCAGAAATATACCAAGGTGTTAAAAATGCTGTTTTGTTCATCTGTTAGTGAAACTAAAAAACATATTACTAAAGTTTAGGAACATTGCAGAAAACTTAGCCTAATTAAATACAGATTCATCAAATGCTGGTGTAAACTCAGCAAAAGTAGTCCTTCTGAGTTATAATGGTACAGTAGGTTCCTAATCTCAATAAATCATCATGACGCTTGTCTTTGGTAGCCTATGATATGCCAAGCTCTTTATTTCCATTACCTCAAATTCTTGCAGCCATCTTGTGGAGTCAGCGTTATTTTCTCCACATTGCGGCTGAGGAAACAGAGACTTTCAAGAGGTTCAGTAAATTGTCCAGTGTTACAGAACTATCAGGTAGGAGATCATGATTCACCCTAGGTCTTCCTGACTCTGAAGCGTAATTTACACCATTCTCGTGTGATTAAGAGGCTGTAGAATGCAAAACAAAATTTATTATTATTTTGAATGAGAAATAGAAATGAGGGGGGTAACCATGTCTTCCTGCAGGACTTAGTCTGTGGGCCTAGAACTGCATAATTTATACATGCTAAGTCCTGGGACAGCCCACAAAATGAGCAGAAAAGGGACAGTGAGCAAGAGTTTCTCACAGGTTGAGGGGGATACATTTAGGAACACTCACACTGTCACATTTTGCCTACTCTGAACAGTTTTCAAGCTTGGGGTAAAAATGAAGGCCAGAACTAGATTCTGGGTTATGGGTTTGAAGAAAAAGAGGCCTTAAGGATTATATTCAGGGCACAATTGTTGGAGGGAGTTAAGTGTACAGGGAGACCTGGTGGAAAGCTTCATAATTGCGATTTGATTTCAATGCATGTGATCTCAAATGACTGACCCTTCCTCCTCAAGTTCTATTTTGTAAGAGCTTATGTAGCAAAGTATTTCAAGGAAGTGATGATTGAGCTTGCAAACAAAATATTATATTTTCATAGGGGCTGCAAAAAACATAATTTTTGTCTTTTACATGCAGTAAGTATTTGCAGTGATAAGCCAGGATTTCTAAGGAAAAGACACCTCAGCTTCAATGACAAAATTTTTCTTTATAAATTAGGGGCTATCTTCTCTTAAGTGTGCTTAGAATCCAAATTTACCTTTGGTTTAGAGTAAATCCAGGGGATTAGAATATTTTCACAATAAAACTTTGTGTGGTCCTGCTTTTCTTTCATTTTTTCCACTTTGGTTCAGGTGTGGAGGAATCATAAGTGGGTATTTGGGTAATACCAATACAACTCACATTTCTAAATCTTGAGGTATTATTAACTGTATTTTCCAATACCACAAACCAATTTTAGGCCTGAAACTTTTGAATTATTGTAGAACACAAAACAAAACAAAGCAAAACAAATGCACCCCCAGTGGCAGATACTCCTGCTCGCAGTGGGACTGACAATCTGATGATCCTTTCGGGCTCTTCATTACCTAACAAAAGAGGATTGTTTTTCTTTGTTGGACGGTCAGTATTTTATTCTTGAATTACCACTTTCATACACTAGCTGCAATCAGAGTAATGTTTTTACCTATCTCAGCAGGCTTTAAATACTTTCTGCTTCATCTTTGTGTCTCCAGCTCACCATGAATCTGTTCCCGTAACTGCCGATTTCTTTTAGCATTGGTACAGTGACATTAATTTTCTGACTGCTTGTTTCTATTTCTATTTTACATAATCTTTAAAAAAAGTGGTTTTATTTTGGATTGAAGGAGACTAGTTTCATCTTGAATTGGTTTTGAACGTTTAGGAAGTTGGATATTTGCGATGCTGATTGATCATGCTATTTTTCCCATTGATCTGGGCCTCATCATTTCATTAGACAGAATTACTCTTTTATTTTAGGAAACAGTTTCATTATCTAGACTAGCTGTTGCTCCTCTTATTGATAAATTCTCTTTCTGTAATAAGATGTGTATCTGTTGTCTTTTTTATCAGCTGCCCCTAAATTACAATGAGGATGTATTTGGGTGGTGGGTTGAGCGGGAGGTTGGTTATTTTTTTCTCCTTAATAAGTGCAGGTGAGTCAGTCACCCAAGATTTCAAATTGGTCCTTGTTTTTAAAGACCACCAGACACAGATGTATTTCTAGCACTCACACATGAATTTCCCAGAATTATCTGGGAAAACCCTTTGGTGAAGGATTTTTTTCTTTTTTAATTGAAGTGCTAGTGGTTGCACTTAGCCCAACAAGAAGCACTACACAAAATGTCTCTCTTAGGAGATGTCCTGCTTCTTCTAAACCTTGTGTTGGGCCTGTGAAATACTCTGAACTGCTCAGAGTAAAAATGTAATGCAAATACTGGGTAGTGATAGTGTCATTAATTATGCTGTTTTTGCAGCTGAAAACTAGAAAACTAGAAGTGTTTAAGGTGAGGTTCAGCTGAGATTCACTGAACGGAGAAGAGTCACGTAGCCTGGCTGCGAACCACATCCAAGTGTGGCCATGGCAGGGGAGATGACAAGTTCATAACAATAATGGTATGCAATAATACACTGATGTTATGACATACGGTATACATGTAAACTATTATAAAAATCATATGATTTTCCTGGTGTGTTATTTTTCTGTTTACCTTTGAAAGAATGGGTAAAAGGCCTTTGGAACCTGCATAACAAATTAAGACTCAGGAATCCTCTGAATGCTATGGTAAACAAAAATCAACAGAGTCAAGAAAGAGAGTGTGTGTACAAAGTGTGTGTAACCATGAGGACGCGACGTGCCATACTTGGCTTTTTGATCCATTTGTCAAAGAACTTCCTGACAAATAGATGTGTGTCTCTGCTTCACCTTTGTGGATCCGTTTGGAAATAGTGTTATATGGTGATTGATAGCATAAGTTATACAGCCAAGTCCAGCTGGCTTGAATTCTAGTTCTACTTACTACCTGTGTATTTGAGTTACTGTGTGTAACTCAAAGCCTCAGTTTTGTCGTCTGTGAAACAGGAATAAGAATGTTACCCACGTCATGTGATTTTCAATATCATGCAACAATCATGCACATAAAACATACACTGCCTGGCCCTGGCCAAGTGCTCACTAGATGTTGGTTATTACTATGAGTTCAGCAAAGGATGCAAAACTATAAATGATTACATATACAGAACTCCCGAGAAAGTCATGTTCATTTCCTTGGTTTGAAAGGTCATAGATGGCTACCCATATCTTGTAGGTGTTTATAAATGTGACTCTCTTCATATATATTTTTGTTTAAGGGCATTTGTTAATTCCAGGAAGAAATTTGAGGGGTGTGTAGCATAACTACATGTGATTTATTATAGGGCGGTGGTCACGAGACTCAGGATTGGGAGATGTTGTTCTTTTCTCCAGGTGGGTTAGACTTTTGATCTCTCAATAGTTGCTTGCTTCAAAGCTCTTGTTGCACAAGTTTGTCTATTCTTGGAGATCAGAGAGGTCTCAGTTTTCAGAGGCCACTGGAGTGTGGGTCCAAGATACTTGGCAGAGAGAAATAGGTATTAGGGAGTCCTAAATTATGGTTGTGGACTGTGGAGTTCCCTGCAGAGAGCACTCAGCCTTCTCTCTCTGCATTTGTTTTATAAATGGTTTATGAGATCTCTCATAGTTTGACTTAGTCTTCACGTCTGCATCATCCCTGTGAGTATAAATACAAATGAAAAGTAAGATGTGAATCAGACGTATCCATAAACAAGAGTCGTCTCTGGATTCTAGCAATAAATAAACCATAATGTCCAGCAAAATTAACCTATGGCTATTTCCTGAGCTAATTATCTTCCCACAGATAGAAACACTACTGATTCCAGGTCCACTGGTTTTTCAATTTATCTTCTTTACTTTATTTTGGTGAAATTCAGGAAATTTTCAAATTAGATCATTTCTGAAGTTGTGCATTACCAAATATCAGAGTAAAACCATCCAAACACCTTCTTTTTCCATGTGTAGGTCCAATTTCCTGAAGCTAATTTCTTCCTTCTAATTACAAGCACTCCAAGAACTAGGTTTTGCTACTCAGCATGAAAACAAGTAACTCTTATTTCTTCAGTCTGAGTTTGAATGCAGGAGGCTTCCTGAATCTGCCAGAATACAGGTGCTTAAGGTATAAGATCAATGTAAATGTTCCCTGTTCTGTTATGAAAATTAAATTTTTAGTGCTAAGTTTCACTAGGGAAAATGTGGATCTCCCAATGATCAGAATTTCTTGCTTAATATTTCTGAAGAAATCTTGCCCTGGTGACAGGTAACATGAGACATTGACTTCTTTTCTTTTTTTCTCCTCCCTAAAGGAGAGTTAAATTTAAGGAGTTAAAACGTGAAAGTTCTGTGTGTCAAATGTTATTTTTAAATTACTAGGTTGATTTAGATATTTTCGTCAAATCTAAGTGTATTCTTTGGTATCTCACTGTTTACTCATGACAAAATAAAAACATTCATGTTCATTTGGGAGGATTCTGCTTTACCATAAATAAGTGGCTAGAATGTCTTTCTGGACCAAGCTTTCTTGTTATTTTTGTCATTCACTCTAATAACTAGGACATACCATCTTAGGCAGAGCTAGAACATCTTATGTTGAGACTGGCATTCAGGATTATCCCTTGACTTACTTTCTAATTTCCGTGACAGTAGTGCATTGAGTCTACTGAATGATCATGTGAATGAATTTAGTGTTTGTCAGCAAAGGCTCAAATCATGCTATTTGTTTTAGAAGCAAAACATCCTGCTCCTGGATTCCACCAAACAGCCTGCCTCCCTTTCTTGAAAGTTTTTTGCTTTATCAGGTTCTATAATTGATTCCTAACAAGTGCTGTATCCTAAGAAAACAAGAATAATTCTGTTTTCATCGTTCTCATATTTTTAAAGTTTATGTAGTTGGGGTTTAATTTCCACAATTCAAGTTCTTTTGTTGATATAACTTTACCAAGTAGTCTAGATCCAGTCTTAACCCGCTCTGGAAACTTTAAAAAATGGCAGGACTCAGTCTCCTTTTATTTTTAATCTGAGACCATAACAGAAAAAGTGTCAGAACTCAATAGTACTTTTCTTTCCCCATTTCTTTCATACTGAAGCCACCAAATAAGAGCTGTGGATGCAAATTTTAGCAAAATGCTTTGCTATCTACCACTTCTTAATAGCTTCTTATGCACCAGGCACAAGGTTAAGTACTTGGCATTATTTTAACTGATTCAATCAGTACAACGACATAAAGCAGATACTAGCATCCATGTTCTAAGTAGGAATACTAAGACTTTGAGAGGTTAATTTCACATGGAAAATGAAGGAGCCAGAATCTGATCACTAGACCCCTTCTTACTAGAAGGCCGCCCTGACCACCCTAAAAAACATAGATGTGGTGAGTATGATTGGGAAAAAAATGTAGTATAAAGTGAAGAAACATACAGGCCCTATCATGAAAAATTAGGTACAATTAAGATACCAAGTTCTCCCTCTGCCTGAAAGACCTCAGTGTCCATACACCTACAAAAGAGAGTGCAGAAAGACTACCCCAAGCCCCATCACACCTCAAGGCAGGTAGTGAGTAATTTTCTCCTCTTCCCTAAATCTTCTCTCCCATCCTTTGCAAATATTGTTGCTGAAGTGAAGGTAGCTGGTGAGAAACAAATAAAATGGCTGCACATGCTGCATGAAAATTGTCATATTTCTTAGTTAAGTAAAAGATCAGCACAACTCAGAATTCAAGACTGAATGAAATAAGTATCCTGATTAGAATTGCATGCATGCGCTGAGTCAAATGGCTTCGAGTATATACATAGTCTATGAAAGGGAATAAAAGTCTGTTTGTATGTGCTTGGATTTGTTTCTGTGTGATTATGATTAGCATTGCAGTTCTCCAATGAAAGTATCTCCTGCTCAGTAGTCTCTTTTGTGTTCTTCAGTGCTAGTAGCCATAAGAACTAGGTGTCTAATAACACACTATAATAACTACCCATTGCAAATTAAGAATACTCTTACTGCTGTCTGTGCCTTGGAGCCCAGCTTTGGGTTCTGTACCATGTTCTCTTCCTTAAAAATGCTGAAAATTGGGATGCTGTTTCGTTGAGATTTTTCCATATCCCACATATATATGCATAGAAGGTTAAACATTGCTACGTTCTTCTGGTAAATTGCAGCTCACTTACCAAACTATTCAATGATTAAAGAAGAAACGTTTCAGAGGCCTTCTGTTTTGATTTTAGCTTATCGTAATCTGATGATGATGATCCAAGCTTTTATACAAAGGATGACAGCACCATAGTAGGCAACCATTTTGTTGAGGAAACCGGAAACGCTCACCCTTTTAAAAAACTAAGTTACCCTGACTACAGTCTTATTATTTCTTCAGTTTAAGGTTACATTTTCTGCCTCCCACAGACTAATGTCACTTCTCCATGTTGAGAACAAGAGCGGCATTTGGCATTTGGTTATCCCAAACCCAAATCTCTGACCCTTTGTTTTTAGTACTTTGCCATTTTGATTTTGCTTTTTTAATTTGCTTGTGACTCTCTGCTTCCCCCATCTTTTTTTTTTTTGGTACAATGATTCTTACCTTGTCTTTCCCCAGTCCGTTTCTGACCTGGAGAGACGTACAGCATGTTATTGTCAGGACTTCCCGTGCGGGACATTTGAACGCTAATGACTGGAAAACCAATGCTGCTGGTTTTAAGGGTGAGAACTTCTTTCATATTCTGTCACAGGCAAAATATTTTTATTTTTCCCCCATTTTAAATGGAGAGCAGGAAACAGAACCCCTCAAACGAAACTTTAAACTTTGTGCTGACAAACAAAGAGCTTGATCTTTTAGTAAATAAAAGGCAGGTTGATTTTTTTAAGTTAAAACTACACAGATAAGGGAGATTTCTTTGGCTTCCCACATCATAGGTCAATTTTTTTAAAAGATCGACCAACCCCCATGTATAGTCGGCCTATGGGACCCCTGATTAGTTTACTATTTGCTGTCACTGAATATCTAAGTAATATTTATAATAATGTATTTTAAAATTCCTCACCTTCTATAGGACTACTTCCACTTCAATAATAACTGATATATATTGTTCACTTTAGTGTAGCACTGTTAGTTGCTAAGGCCATGCATTCTACAAATTTTGTTTTTGTTTGTTATAAATCTTCCACAAAGAAAAGCAGGTAATAATTCTAAGAAATGTTACTTTATATAAACTAAAAATTTTAATGAAGCTTTATAATGTCCAGTCCTTATGCAATTGTGCACAATATGTAACAAGTACTGAATATTTTCCCATGGCTAATACAGATCATAGTTCCCAAAATAGCTATTCTATTTGTTGTCATAGGTAATATATGTTATAATAAAAATAAAATTAGCTATATAAAACATATATCCTAAAGTTTAGTATATCTACTCAAGTTGTAAGTGACCTAAGTTATAATAAGGTTTTAATTCATTAATCTAACTTGTAACAAACATTAATTTGTTTATATCTACAGACTTAAAACATATTCCCAAATAATCTTAGTATCATCATATATCTGTATGGATGAAATACAGTGTTCCATAGCACAGGGCACATCTCCTTAAAAATTGAGGTTCTGATGGTCAGACCGTTGGTAACATGGTCCTGGGCAAGTCATTTAATTTTTAAGGGCCCTAATAATTTAAGCATTTTGGATGCTAAGTAATATTATCTACGTATCATATCTTACATATGATCTTTATATATCCTTATATGAGCAATATATGCAAATATTTCTGCCAGAATGTATATTTTTAAAATTACTTGTAAATAATTTATTATAGACTCATGCTGAAACAAAACCTATAAATATCCTAGATAACCAGTGCCACATTAATAATTATTTGATTAATATCTTCACAGAAAGCTTCACTCTATTTTTAGGAAAAGAATATTTCTCTGCTTTGAAGTATTATCAAACACCTTTCCATGCATGTAAACTATATAATGCAGCAGTGTTCAATGAACTTTTAATCTAGAGTTGTAAATACCCGTTGGCATTGCATTCTCTGAAGCCCAAATCAGGAGATTTGATCCCAAAATTGTAATTGTATGGGAGACATCAAAATTATTTGAAATTTCGGTTGTTCCGGAAAATCCAGGATGTAATTTGCCATATGTATGTTTCATTTTGATTAGCTTCCACATGCTCCCAACTCGTACAATATAAATCCATGAGGCTGCAGGGGAGAGAAGGAGCTGACACATAACCTTAGCTAGTTGAAAGCTGGAATGAACTTCTTAGTAGAAGGATCACAGACTAAGGACATTAACCTCCATGAAGCTGAAGAAACTTTAACCCGAATAAATATCTTAGTTTTACTTATTCCTTTTTGGCAATTTAAAAAGAGCAAATGGTTCTAACAAAAATGCAGCTCTTCTGAAAACCTCTGTTGGTTTAGGAGAGGGGGAGACAGAGGGTTTAGACTAAGTCACCAGACCCAAACCTGAATCTAAAGGGGTTTGTGCACTGCTTTAAGGAGGAAACGGTATTTTACTATTGCACGTGGCAATATTTAGTATAATATTTCACTCTTCTCTTAGATGGCTGCCAAGAGTAACAATTAAAGTTTGCTTTTTCACAGATGAATTATTCTGAATGGGCTGGGCTCCCAGTGGGATTGTTTTGTAATTTTGTTGATGGCGAGTCCCGTATTTCATCTAAACAGGATCATAATAAGATGACTTAAGAAAAAAAAAAAGTTATTCTCTACTCTAAACGTTACCATCCCCTCCCTAGAGTCCCACAGATAAATGTGATTAAGGCAGAGGCTAGCAGGAGAAGCAACATGCTTTGGGGAAGTGGAGAATGCAGGGTACTAGGACTGCAGAAAGATGCTATGACTTTTTATGAAATAACATCTGAAAGAACAATAAAGAGCTAATGGTTAGAAAAGGTTCCTACAACAAGAGCTCAACAAGGGCTTGTATTTAAATGAGGTCAGCCGGCTTTTGCAGGTCTTGCTTAGCAGGAATCCATAGTCACGTATTTCTCCTTAGACTGGGAAAACGGAAGTTGCCTGCCTACAGAAGTGTGTGGTCCTGGGTGCCCTTCTTTGTCCCACCCAACTCAGCCCTAACACTGAGTAAAATATATGTATGAAATGAATCTGAAAACTCCTGTTCTTCCTTGGGCTTACTTTTGTTTTCCCAGTGTTGAGTAATTTATTAATAACTTGTTGGAAAAGTAGTTTAAAAAAAAATAGGAGAACAATTTCACAAATTGCTCAATAGGTACCTGCCAGTAATAGGGACATCAGCGTCACCCATCAGAATTTCTTTCTCATCACGTAAAGCAGAAGCCACTTAGAGTAGCAAACAACTCAGTTTTGGAGTTCAGACATCACTAGACTTGATAGTCTTTGTTATCACTGATAACTTCAGTAAAGCCAACACCCCAATGAATAGTCTCTACCAAAACCCTACCAAATCCATTTTATCCAACCTCCTTACATTTCTTCAGACATACCCCCATGTCCTACATCCTAGGCAGACAGCAGGGCTGGATGATGTGTGAGCTAGACTTGTGTGCAGCCCTCCTGAAGGCAGACTTGATCCATTCTTACCCACATGTGTTATGGACTGGAACAGGGAAGGGTTTCTCGTCCTGAAGCAGCTACTGGCTTGGACAGATTCTCATTCAGGCCAGGAAGTTGGCCTTGAACAACTAAAGAATGTGGCTTTCTGATGACTCATCTCTGTTTCTCTGAGAGTGGGGTTACCCTGGAGGTGCTCACTGATGAGCTAGGGACAGAGAACTTTCTTCTCCTTTTTCTGTGCCCTCCTTATAAAAGCACTCTGTAAATGACCCTGTAATGAGATGACCTCACAGAGAGGGAAGACACATGTAAACATTCTTATGTTAATGGCACCTTAATTTTCAACAATTTTAATCAAACTAAGATTATTCTATCCTGCTGTTTCTTAAATAATAATAACAATCTCATAGTATAATTAAAATATCTTTTCTGGTAGATTAGTTTTTCACAATAAACATAATCTGATGAATACATACCTATGGAAACTGACTAAACATTGTTTGGCCTTGTTCATCTTGTGAATAATCCTAGCTAAGTTTCAGACAACAGCTTTTGACTTTAAACCTCCTCCAGAGATAGTTTTTTTAATTAAATGGTATAAATATCATGTACCTATCAGAGAATCTACTTTAGATTGCCCATGAGAATAGGGAATTATTTGCCTTAGACCAGATGAACAGATGTGATATTCTGCTACCAGAGAACTGAAATCCAAATTCCAGTATTTTGCTTCTGACCAATATTTGCAATGCCAGAAGGTGACTTTGGCATTCAGCTGTTTGGGGTTTTGTTAGTATTATTTCTTTCCTCCCCTTGATCCCTTCCCTTTCTGCTTAGGAAAAGTCTTTTCTGTTTTGTTTTGTTTTCTATTCTTTTTAATTCTCCCTTGTGTTCCCTAAAGCATATGAATTAGCCATAAAAGTGAAGGCTTTTGCCATTCCAGCTGGTTTTCCTTCCTGGAATTTAATGGATGTTATCTCTTCATTTATTTATTTACCAATATTTCCTGAGCACTTTCAGCATGCCAACCCAACACATGTTGAAGTGAGCGCAGAAAGTGGGAGGGGAAGAAACGTCAGGGACACCATGGCGTTGACTAATCTGACCTGCCCTGGTGTAACTTACATACAGAAACAGAAATTTACACTCCATCTCTTTTTTTCTTTAGTCAAGCCCCGACAATCTGCCAGGTCATGTTAGATAAGTGTTGATGATCCTTCTCTCATCATCTAAAATTCAGGTTAATGTCGGCAGCAGAAGGCATCTGCTATAGAGAATATCTTCTGTGGTGTCTGATGTGTATTTTGACCAGCTCCATTTGGGCATATAGTACATGCAGATCCATAGAGCCATGCGGAAGACTTTTAATTCAGGCATTTTTCATAACCTACGGCTTGTATCATTTCAGGAAGAAGTTAGCTCTTTCTTGTGATCTCCTCCCTTTTAGTGCTATAATCTGAGGAAACTGTAAATCCACTGACCTCTCCCACCAGTGCCTGGGCTGTGCAGGCTGATTCTTGGCCCGAGTCCTTATCTTTGGTTTGGGTGTGAAGTTATAATTATAATTGAATGCATGCAACATCAGTGATCTAGTTTTCTTTTTTTCAAAGTGTTTATATTGGATTATATGACTGTATACAGTTAAACTCTCTTAAATCTAGGAACAGGAATAGACGTCAGATAATAAATTAGGACCTTCTGTCATCTTTACTAGGCGAAAGAATGAAAAAAATGTCATTGAAAATCAAAAAATGACAACTAAGTGAGAGAGGTTACCACGCCTTCCATTTCACTGCCCTCCCAGACTATGTAAGTCTCTTTTTTTCTACCAGCATGTTGCTGAAACCTCCCCCATCCCCACTGACTCTTTCTTTGACCACAACTAAACTACTAGATTTTTTTTTTTTAATTTCTAACTGATTACCAACCGTGGGGAAAACAATTGACAGTCTAACATGACTTCTTAGCCTCCGAGGCCTTAACTTTTAATAACCTGTATTACTTTTAATTGCCATCATTTTATTTCCACTGGTAGGGTTGATAATTTTAAGATGTCCAATATATTTTTAATACCTACCTGTCTTGCTTTCAGTTTGTAACACTTATTAAAAAGAATTCAAAGTGCTGAAACCATTAAGCATGCTGTGTGTTCAATCAAAATGAAAGGTTTTGAAATGTGCTTTTGAGTTGTGTTTTGAGTATAAAGTGATTTCTGATGTGTTACCATTTGAAAGGGTAAAGTTTCATTTTCCTTTATTATTTCACTGTACAAATAATATTCCATCTTCGCCACCTACTATGCTGATACACTGTTGGTAGCTATGATTAAAGCTACATAAGGCACTTTAATTGGTAATGTGTACATTGTGGTTTTAAAGAAAGGTTGAAGTGAAGTGGTACTCATCTGGTCAGTGTCTGAGGTGGTATTATCAGAAAAATTAGTCCCTTGACTCCAGTCTTGATCCCACTTGCAGAAATGAGGCCCTTCCTACTTGAAAAGACAGAGGGAAGTAAATACATTTGATTCCACCTAATAAAATGTGCCCCCTGGAAATGCCGCCTAACATATTTTTTTAAGATTCTATGTTTTCTACCATTGTGCTCTGCAAACTCATACCCATTTCATATTGACTGAAACCCTTTCATTTTTGTATTTATTGACCATTGTGTAGATGAGCTTATCTTCTAGCTCATTTACAAAAACAAAAAAACAAAAACTAAACAAACAAACAAAAAAACAATGTGAATCACACAGAATTCAGGAATTTTACCCTTATTGTTTTGCCTGGTAGATGATTTACCCAAACATCTCCATGGGAATATAGAAGCCCTGATAGCAAACTCTGCTTGGTCATGGCTTAATCCAGAGTCTTTCATCCAAAATGCCCACTTGTCTCATCAGAATGTTCAACTCATGCCTACCAAATATGTGACGCTCAAAAATATTTTCTACAAATGAAAAGTGGTGTTTTCTCTGTGCCTGTCCTTGACTGAATGGTGGTATTAGGTTTGTTAGGCTTTTGGGGGTTTCATTTTGTTTTGCCCTTTCATCCCTGTAAGTTTTAAATGCATGCGGTTTCACACTTAAAACCCATTCTCAAAATAGAATTAAAATGATGGTTGCACTATTTACCTGTTATCTCTATACAAGATGTAATTAGTTAATGAAGAGAACTATGTTTGGAGTGGTTTTGTGATTTTGCCAAAATCTTAAGAGCCTTTAAATTCTAGAAGAAAGTCTATTAATGATATTTTCTGTGGCCTTTGAGGAAGCCAATTAGAGTTTTTGTACCTTGGTTTTTGAGGAATGTGGATAGCTAATACTAAACATAATGAGAAGAATGAATTGAATGAAAAGTGCTTTGAAAATGGAAAATACCAAACAAAAAGAGTCTTAAAAGTATATCTTCATACATGAAGCTTTCTACTCCCTGAAATGAGAATAAAGATGCGGAACTGTGATGTGAATTAGAATTTTTTGGGGGTTGAAAATTAGTTCAGTTACCTGGAGTGGGCTAGAGAAAATATATCAAGGACTTTATAATAAAATTATTACTAATATGGCATCAAAGTTTTTAAATCATTAATCGTGTATCAATGATAATGCAACTATACTTAAATTCTGTTTTGCAAATTAATTTAAATGTTTAAATGTCACCTTAAGTCCAACCTACTAAATCTTTAAAGCTGTAATTAATTGCTTCAACTTAGGAACTAATGATAGAAATCTGAACTGATTGTAGCCTATCAACAGCCTATCAACTCTAGTAATTGATATACAGTGTAAATCTGTGAGTTTAAAATATGATTTTTAGCAATGTGTAAAAGCATCTACATTTAAGAGAAAATAGACGTCTCTTTTGTGTAATCACCTGAAGAAATTCAAATCTAATTCTAATGAGGCTGGACTTTACCTAGATATTTGTAAAACTCTTCTTTCAGCACATGACTTTGACTATTCTTAATAACAACAACTCTTAATATTTTGTGGTTATGGTTGATATTTTAGGCAAAGATATATGTCGTCAAGCTCTAAGCTTGTGATTATAGAGGATGTCAGTCCAAAAGTGTATTTTGACTATCAAGTAATGAAATTGAACCACTTATAACTGGATTCTGAATCCAGTTCCAAAATAAGATGCCCAAAAATGATTTAAGTCAAGAGAGTCTTAGCAAAGTACACACACACACACAACCCTCTACATTCTTTTTACAGCCTATTTTAAAATTCAACAATCATTTTCTTATTTGAGGTTTTGTATTTATTTAAAACAAAAAAATTCACTCAGCTCTGAACTCAGTGGTTCAGTGGTTGGGCTCCAGAGTCCAACAACCTGGAAGTGAATCCCAGCTTTATACAGTATCTCTGGTAATCTTCATACATTCTTAATCAGCTTTATTGAGGTAAATTTACATACAATAAAAAAGCACATTATTTTATGTGTACAGTTCAGTGAATTTTGACACAGGTATACATCCATGTGACCATCACCACAGTCGAGTTATAGAAACCTCTGTCACCCTAACGAGTTATTCTCTGCTCCTTTTTCATCCTCTAGCCTCCTCCTGCTGTGGCAACCACTGATCTACTTTCTGTCCCTATAGATGAGATTGTCTTTTGTAGGCTTTCGTATAAATTAAATTATTTGAAACTGGCTTCTTTCTAGCCATATAAGAGTTTTGAGGTTCATCTGTGTCATTAAGTAAGTCAGGCATTCCCACCATAAAACAGAATGAGATCATGTCTTTGAGGGAACGTGGATGGAGCTGGAGGCCATTATCCTTAGCAAACTAACTCAGGAACAGAAAACCAAATACTACATGTTCTCACTTGTAAGTGGGAGCTAAATGATGAGAACTCGTGAACACAAAGAAGGAACAACACACACTGGGGCCTACTTGAGCGGGGAGCGTGGGAGGAGAAAGAGGAGCAGGAAAAATAACTATTGGATACTGGGCTTAATACCTGGGGGATGAAATAATCTGTACAACACAGCCCCATGACATGAGTTTACCTATATAACAAACCTGCATATGTACTCCTAAACCTAAAATAAAAGTTAAAAAAAGTAATGTTTTAAATTTTTAAAAGTATATCAGGCATTCATTCTCTTTTATTGCTATCTAGTATTCCACTGTATGAATATACCACAATTTCCATACTCATTCACTTTTCCATGGAACATTTTATTGTTTCTGGTTCCGAGTTAGTATGAGTACAACTGCTCCAAATAGTTATGTAAAAATCTTTATGTGGACAAATTATAATTTTAAAATATTAGTCAGAAAAGTCCTCTTTAATTTGAACAGAAACCCTGAAGAATAAGGGAGCATTCTAAGTGGCTAACTAGGTATAGAGCATTTCAGGCAAGATGAATAGCATGTACAAAACCTGTTCAAAGAAAAGCAAGGAGGCCATCCTAGCTGGGGTGGAGCGAGCAAAGAAAAGAATGAGGAAAATTGTATCATATAAAGAATTTAATGCCCCTCTTCATTCATAGTATGTGCTTAAGTAAAATTATTTATGAGCTATATGTCATGCATTCTAATAAAACATATTCAGTTAATAATTCTGTTCAGAGTTTTGTAAGATAAGAATCCAGTATATTTTATATAGAGATACAGATGTAGATGTATATAGAGCTATATCCATTAACATGGAATTTGTATTTTAGAAATGAAATTTGGTCTCTAACACTTTCAAATATTAAACTCACTACATGATAGTCACATATCTCTTGTGACACTTCTTTTCTCTTCTTTGTAGTCTGTTTTCTCTAATTTGGGCTATTGTTTTCATTTCATATTGTCAGTGATTTTAGTTGATGGTTCTGGATAAATTATTAACCTCCTTATTTTCTCTTTTTCATAAGATTACTTGGATTTCAATAAACAATAAATGGCCTCAAAAGTGTTGGAAAAAGCATAATCTGCCAATGATTATGAATTATATTAATGTCATACACCTAACCTAAATAAAGCACAAATAAGTACAGTGAGAGGGTGAAAGATGTTTGAGAACTTGAGGGTTACCAAAAGTTGGGGAACCAAGCTTATCTGGAATACCGTAGTTTCTTTTAGTTTAAACAAATGCCTTCTTTTGTTTGTGTTTCTCGGGGACTGGAAATTATAACTGGAGGAGACAGCCATGGTGAAGGCAACAGGTCAGGGGAAGGGGCAAAAGAGAGGGCTCAGTGTACAAAAAGGACAGGTATGGTGTGATGAGGAAAGTAATCTAAAAGAAATCAAAAGCAAAGCTACTTGAATCCTGCAGTTAGGAGTTCTCATTTCATTTGAAAAACATTTTGGAGCCGCTGCGGTGATTGAGAAAGTGAGCTAGATGATAGTAATGACTTTCAAACAAGTTGATTCAAGTTGCTAGTCTGATGTCAAAAAGAATATTATTTCTTACACTGATGGTGCGAATCCATTGTTCCTATGATATGTCTTACAAAATGGCATGTGTGTAACAAACTGACTGGTTGAAATGAAATTGTCTTGCAGTGATCATTTTGTATTATCTTAGTATGCAATTATGTATTTGTGACCTTAAGACTGAGACATTCAGCGACATTTTTTATCATCTCTTGGCCTTCTTCTAAATGAGGAAAGTTGTAGATTTGGGATATATAATCATCTTTGCTACATCCCACTTTTTTTTTTTTTTTAAGAGAAAGAAGTGCTTTTTGAAATGACTCTTTAATAAACCCCGGGCAAAGGGTGTGGTGAGAAGATTGCTTCTTGAAAAATGTCAGGTCAGAAATTGTGCTTTGAGAAGCCTTCACATATTTCCTTTGTTTGACCAAAGTCTTTTCGTTGGTTGTTATTGCTCACCATGACTTCCGAAAAGCCATCTAACTTCCCATATTTGAATTTCTTTTTAGCATACAATTGCAGTCTTTGTATTTGCCATATAACTCCACAAACATTTAAAGAGAGCAAGTATACATAATTGTGGTTAGCATCTTGAGTTGCTGTACACCTATTATGCAAGCAGAATGACAGAAGCACTTAGGGTTTATAAATGACTTTTCCTCCTTCCGAAGTATTGTATTCATATTCTTTTTCTCGGCCCTGAAGCCAACTTAGAATTTTTAGTAGTCTTAAGAAGCTGTATTGTTTTTCTGAACCCACCGGAGGTTACAATGTATATGCTTTCTTAATATACTGTATGGGATGGTTTTGTCAGGAAATCATCCGCTTCTTTTCATGTTTTACCTTCAGAAGTATATTTACAGCCAAAGTAGAAGATATGTATCCAGCTTGGTTCCAAAGTGCAATTCTATGCATCTTAGAGGCCTAAAACTCCCACTGAATTGCAGTCACATATCATGAAAGAATCAGAGAAGATAGCTAAAAACATGAGAAATGTCTGATTGTTTGACAGAGCTGCCACACCTGGTTGCATAGGTTGTTAACTGCACAAGGGAGCCAAACTAAAGGGTTGAGTGGGTGGGGACAGAAATCTGGCCTTGGATCCAGTCACCAAGGAATGTGCCCTGCAGTGGGATGATGTCCACCTTAAGGAAAGAGGTACCTTTCTCTAATCGACAGAAGTCCCACATGGGCATCCCTGTTGCATGGAATTCTGTTGTGATTTCTTCCAGAGCTAACAAAGGCACAGGTATCTTTTAAGAAGTATGCATCCAGAGATGGTTCTGTTCATTTTAATCTGCAGCCATTGCTTCAGTCTTGATACCCACAGAACCTGTTTCTTCATTGGCAAAATAACTCAGTGTTACTAGAGTCAAATAAAATTTTGCAATAGCTGGCCAGGAGTGGTGGCTTATGCCTCTAATCCCAGCACTTTGGGAGGCCGAAGTGGGCGGATCACGAGGTCAGAAGTTCAAGACCAGCCTGGCCAACATGGTGAAACCCCATCTCTACTAAAAATAAAAAATTAGCTGGGTGTGGTGGTGGGTGCCTGTAATCCCAGCTACTCAGGAAGCTGAGGCAGGAGAATCGCTTGAACCTGGGAGGCAGAGGTTGCAGTGAGCCAAGATTGTGCCGCTGCACTCCAGTCTGAGCGACAGAGCAAGACTCCATCTTAAAAAAAATAAGATTGCAATATCTGTGGCTATTTCATCACTATCTTTATCACCAGCTCTCTAAACAAAGTTTGAAGTAAAATCTCAGACTCTTAAGTGATCATAAGTGCCAAGCACAAATCTATAATTCTTTTCAGGTACTTTTTTTTACATTCAACAAAAATGATGGAAGCTTCATGAATTCAAATGTATGATTCTTTCATTTGAGTTCCAGTAGAAGTTTCATATTTGGGGTGGAGTGCTTGTAAACATTGGCATATGTTGGATACGTGAGCCCAGAGCAGCGGTGAAAAGGCTTCATTTGAAGTCTTCCATGATTATCGTCAACCTGTCTTGTGAAAATACCACCTCCCCCCCAGCTCATTTTTTCTACCAAGGCATAGAGCTTTAAATGTGAAAGGAATAAACTGTGATTGAGGTAAACAGGAGAAACTCTCTTATTGAAATTAATACATGCATATCAGTTTGGATTCTGGCATCAGATATTCCTAGCACAGACTGCAGCACCAGTTTCATATCCCACATCAGGGACAGAGGGCTCTAACTTGCTGTGACCACACTGAGACCATGGTAAGTGGGCACTGTGGAAACTAGTTGAGGATCAATAAGAGGGCCCAAATAAACAAGATGAAAGGGGGCTTATGATTACATCTTTTCCAAATTTAATTTTACTAAAGATGGCTTAGCCTATCCTATTTTGTTATCTAGAGAGATCTTTGTATTGGTGCCAATGTCTGTAATATAAACCAAATCCAAAGGCTCAAAAAGAAATGCTGAAAATTAATCCTTCCCTGGTTCTATGCATGACTTCCAAGGCCAGTGCACCTAGCACTATAAAGTGAGACTCCAGGCAGTTGCTTTGCAGAATCCATCTGGATACATCTTCTGGGAAATAAATAGATCCAGACTCTTTTTTTTTTTCTTAGAATCTCAATTCAGTCTCTTTACACATGCTCACATCTTGCTAGCCTTTGGCATTTCAAAGCAATTAAACTTCTATCACATGTCCCAGTAATGGCTTCAACAGGCTTCATTTTATGGTATTATACCAGAAGACACAGTTCCCCCTGAAATTTCCAAAGTCATCCTTGAAAGAGCCAAAAAGAAAGCTATTGTGATCACTGCTGGATGTTAACAAATGGGAAGTTGCTCTTTGATACTCAATGTCATTCTTCCATCTATAAGTGCCTGGTTAGCTCTAATAAAAAAAAATAGCCAAAGCGTGAATATAAAATAAAGTATCTTTTCCATATTAATATCTTCACACTCACAGAAAATCCCTGATAGAAATGACTGAAGAAGGTCATTTCTCAGCAAGAATATGGGAAAGTGTTAGGGACCAGATGTTAAACTTTCCTTCCAAGTCCAACATATAAATAAATAAATATGTATATATACATGTATGTATATATATATATGTGTATATATATATTGCACATGATGTTTTAATGAGTTCTGAAGTTTTGAAGATGAGAGCAGTACTTTGTGTGGTTGACTTGGAAAAGATAAGTTATGTAGATGATTTCCTCATATGTTTTCCCCCTTTATTACCTTGCAGGATTATTCTGAGGATTATGATTGATTTGAGTACCTTAGTGGAAAGAAATACTGTATGTCTTGTAGACCACAGTAATCAATGGATAAATATATAGTAGAAAGAAATTCTGAAGACTTGAGCTTGAGTTTCTATGACTTTGCACAACTTCTTTTCATGTTCATGAGACCTAGTTTCTTCAGCTAGAAAATGTGAATAATACCATCTTGCTAATAAGATCATTGTGAAGATTTTATTAGCTACTGTGTAATAAAATACATATGTAAGATATGAATTTTGCCTCCCCTATAAAATTTCCCCTCAGCCTCTCATTTTGTGAAGCATGCTCAATGCATTAAATGTGCTTCAGTTGTAGGGGCAGTAGGATTCAGAAATAGACAAGTCAGTGCATTTTCTGTTTTCACCTTTGTACACTGAGCATGATTTTTCATCTCAACTCAGTCAAACCCTGATTCTTTCCTAACAATGCCATATGTACTTAACGCCTTAAGTAATGTGCATTCAAAGAAGGAAGTATCTAGACCAATCTGTCCCTGAAGTGTGAGTGATAATGCAAGTCTAGGTTAATTAAGGGAACTTTTATCTTCTCAAAATGTTTCTGTAAGAGAAGCAGAAATATTTGGGATAACCATATAAAAAGATACTGACATCATATACTGTGCAGTCAACTCTCATTTCTTTTGCTCCTGGCATGAGGGAAGGGGTATTTGAGAATCATGCCTATAGAGTCTCAGGACCTATGCTGGAGAGGTTAGCCTAATTAATCAGACTTTGCCAGGAGATGCCATCCCTAATAACCTAAGTGTTCTCAAAGTGTGGTCCCCGGACCAACAATATACCAGCATCACCTGAAAGCATGTTAGAAATTCACATTCTGGGCCTTACCTCAAAACTCCTGAATCACTGGGACTGAGAAATGTGTGCTTTAGCAAGTCCTGGGTGATTCCGATACACATGCAAGTTTGAGGACTACTGTCCCAAGTCGCCCCCCATATGTAATGAATTATCTTCTCTCCTGTGCATCTGGAAGTGCCATCCTTAGAAGAATAAAGTGCCATCCCTGGAAGAAACAAAAAAATAGTCTCTCAAATTGTGTTTTTCCTGCTGTTTCAATAAGGAAGTTGTGAAAGGTTTTCCCCAAACATCTCTTGTCAGTTGCTGAGCCATTTGCTCCCAGCCACATCTGTTCTTTTTTCTGTCAATTGGACCATGACCCTATGTTTTCAAACTTTGTATCACTCGTAAAGGGGGAGAAAAGAAAAAGAAAACCTTTTCCATTCTACTGCCTTTGTTCCCTCCCTCCTTTCACAGCTAAAAATTCCCTGCAAGTAGTCTGAATTAGCTGCGTCCATTTCCTTAGTTCATTCAGTCCTTCTGTAATTCTTTGCAATCTTGTTTCTACTTTTATTGTTTCTACTTCCACCTTTGAAGGGAAATTATTCTACAACTTTGACCCATCTCCTGCTTGCCAAATCGGAAGACCTATTGTCTTCCTCTAGGATTCATGCTCTAGATCAACCCGGTCTAGATCTCTCTTTGTTTTTAATGATGCAAAGATACAGCCCTGGTTCTTTGGCTCTTTACTTATTCTTTTCTCCCTTTCTTTAACCTTAGCCATTCCCTGAAGTCTGTTGCTTAGAGAGGGAGAGAGAGAGGGAGGGAGTTTCTCTCTCCCTCTCTCTCCCTCTCTCTCCCTCTCTCCTTTCCTCTCCCATCCTCTTAATGCCACTGCTTTTCTTTCACATATCTGCCTTCTTTTCAGTTACAAGGATCATGTCTTCACCAAAGATTTTCAATTCTACGTCTTCAACATTGACTTCATCCACTACCGATCTAGAATCTCTGCACAAGGCCCTCTCTATGTCATTTACAGCTAAGAACTTCTAAAACAGAAGCCATCAGTCATCTTTCACAAAACAACTTCTCCCCAAAGCTGGCCTCTGTTGACAGGGGATACCCTTCTGTCCATCACCCTGTTCCTGACTCCTTGGTCACCTCCAGTTTTAATTGCAAAACTCCATTGCTTCTTCCTTACCTGATCTCTCATTTCTTTCACCATTTCCATAACCTGGTTTATGATCTCACATGCCTGCACCATTGCAATAGGTTCCCTGCCTTAGTCCTTCTGCCTCTGATATCCCGTATAACAAATCCCAGATTAATCTTTCCAGAATATCAATTCAATTATGTCATTTCCTTGATCGTTGGCCCTCATTGCCTCCAGAGTAAATCCAGCCGTGCATTCCAGGACCACACAGCTTCCTTGAAAATGTCACCATTCCAAATATTCTGGTCTCATTACCTTCTCTCCATGAATCCAAATCTTACTGAAGGATTTAAGAGCCATCTCAAGTCTTATTTCTTCTAAAAGAACATCCAGTTCTCAGTAATGGCTTACTTTTCGTAAATTTTACAGAAATTTCCCTACTGACATCCATTAAGCTTAAAAATCATTTGAGTTTTATGAAAATAAAAGGGAATGCTCCTGAGAAGCCTACATAGTGGCAGAAACTGAGAAGGATATGTGGTAGCTTTCTTCCCAGTGAAATAGTGACATTCCCAGTGACAAGGAATAATTTTTCTTTGTTTGCCATCATCACCTCCAACAGTGGGTGAAGAAGGCTCCTTGTGAGGTCAGCTGATGGATGTGTAGCTGGATGAAATAACCAAATCTTTGTAATTACTATTAACCACTGAGTAAACAGGCACTCACTTGAAATAAATGTCAACTAAATTCTCTATTCCCTTATCTTAGGAGAACTTAAGGGAAAAGCAAAGCAAAACTAAAGGAAAATTAAATAAAGAATTATCTAAAAGTAATATGTAAATAATCCACAAATAGGAATTTTGGCTGCCGGCTAACCAAAATCCCATTTCATTCATTGTTTGCTCAAGTTTTACATCAAGAAGATCTAGGCTGGGGAACTGACATATGGTCAATCTAATCTTCAACTAGCCTTTACCCAAAGGCCCTTGTAGTACATTTTTTATCTTGTTCTCATCTTTGTCCAGACAGTCATTCCTAAAAACAAGCAAAAATGGGATCTGGATATGATGTGGGTTACATGGCTGGGTCTCCCCAAGCTGGTATAGTAGTTTTCCTACTCCTGTTCAGGAAATACCCATCAATTATCTTAAGCAAATTACTTGCCTATTGTAACCATGCTGGGAGCAAATAAATGAAGACTGGTCAGAAGAAAATAAGAAAATAATCTGACACTTTTTTCTTTTCTTAAAATGGATAGAGGCCCTTGACAGAAAGCAGACATATCTCCTTCTTGTTTTAACTCTGCAAATGAAACAAATAGTAATAAATATGTTTCTGTATGTTCATACAGAATATAATAAATTGTGTGTGTATATATAAACATTATATTCCTATATGTGTATAATGAAGTACATAGTGCGTGGAGAAGAGGAGCTCAGCAGTATTTTCCTGAACTCCATTTCCTTAGTCTGTACTAAAGAGCCTGTCTGACTATGTACAGCTGCTGACCAAACCCATCCCCAAGAGTAGCTTTGAAGTGCAGGCCCAGGAGACAGTATCTGGAAACTTTCCATGTGCAAGTTCTCAGTAGCACTGGTGACGGCTGGCATGTTTGGATCTGGCTGGAGTTGTTATGAGAGCCTGAGATTTTAGGAAGAGCAAAGGAAAAATAAAAACAAACCAGGCAGCCGGGCGCAGTGGCTCACACCTGTAATCCCAAAAGTTTGGGAGGCTGACACGGGCGGATCACCTGAGGTCAGGAGTTCGAGACCAGCCTGGCCAACATGGTGAAACCCCATCTCTACTAAAAATACAAAATTAGCCAGGCGTGGTGGCACATGCTTGTAATCCCAGCTACTGGGGAGGCTGAGGCAAGAGAATTGCTTGAACCTGGGAGGCAGAGGTTGCAGTGAGCCGAGATCACACCATTGCACTCCAGCCTGGGCAACAAGAGTGAAACTCCATCTCTAAATAAATAAATAATAAATAAATACCAGGCAGCAGAACACAGGTGCCAGCTGCTACGTTTTACTACCCCAAGGGAGTCTGCATTTTTGCACTGAGCAGCAGAAGAAAACATTGCAACTATAGTTCTGAATCTCTCTCTAAGAAGCTCATGCTCCTTTCGCACTGAAATATAAGAGTACGCGAAGAAGAGGTAGCGGAGGAAGGGAATAAGACAGAGGAAGAAGTAAGTGTTTCTGGGAGCGTTCTGGCTTTCCACTATCAGATATTTAGGTGTGAAACTGCCGACATGAGACTGAAAAGTATCACTTCCCACTTTTTCTTTCTTCCGTAGGAAGTTTCATTTTGTTTTCATATTTAGCTGTTTCTTTTTACATTAAAAAAAAAAAAAAACTATACTTAGGTGTTTACATTATGCGTGTGGGACGTGGCAACTTGGGAAAGCGTCCCAGGTCCTCTCAGTTTCATGCTCTCCTCCTGTCCTGCACATTTGGCCTGGTTTGATTAGTAGGTGAGGGAGGCACAGGGTCCCTGGTGGGAGCAGTTATTTCAGAGCAGGTGGTTCAGCACATTGAGGATCAAAGAATCCAAAGGTGCTAGGACTGCAACAGCTGCAGGCAGCTCTTTGATCTCTGGTTCGGAATTTCTACCCAGCCCACAGATCAAGCAGCCCTCCTCAAGAAGGGAATTTGGGTAACTACCTTTTATTCTGGTGGTTTACTTATAGGTAGATGAGAATAGCAACAACTTGATTGATGGCAGCTGACACCCAGCAATCATGGTTGTCTTTGAGTTCTCCTGCAGTCTGGTCTCACCCTCTATTCCCTGCACACTTACCACTCTCCCCTTCCCCTGCTGACCATTCACCCGACTGCAGGAATGCTGGTTTCCTCTGTGCCTCAACGAACCACAGAAAGACTTAATTATCTAACCAGGATGCTCAGTCCTGGCCCCTGCGATGTGCTACCTTCGTCCTCCACCTAACTAAATCCTACACATGCATGAAAGCACAATCCAAATATGGATCACTTTCCCCTCAGGTTACCTTAACTGCAGATCTTGGCTCACATGGATTGAGTACTTACTATACACCTGGTTGCTTGATAGCCCTTGTATTTGACTGATTTCTTACTCTTTGGATGTCCTTTTATACTTACAGTAATTATGCAGTTTGGTGCTTTTAATTGTTTCTCAAATTATAAAGTTATTCTTGTCTCACCTTCTACTTGAGTGAGAACACAAATTATTTTCTGTTGCATTTGGATCTCACTGTTGAGTATGGTGTTGAATACAGAGTAGGTGCTTTACAACCTGAGTGATATAATAATTAATTGGATCAATTATTAGCTTATATTGGTGAAGTATATTGAAACTGATGCTTTCGAATAATCAAATAATTGAATCTAATTTATCGGCCACGTTTCATATTTTGATGGTTATGTGCATCCGAACAAATAGAAATGTAGGTGCAGGATGCCTGACTGCCCTCTAGGAACTAGATTATTGATATTAACAGCTGGGAGAGTACTCTCTCTCTCTCCATAGTACTGTCACATTCTGATTTCAGTTGCACGTACGGTGACCAGTCTCCTGGTTTGCCCAGGAATGAGGGAATTCCCAGGGCACAAGCATTTCAGTGCTAACATCAGACAGTCCTGTGCAAATCTGGACATTTACTCTCCCTGGTCATAAGGAATAGGAGATATTTTAGCTGGGCTTTTACATTAAATACTCAGTAATGGATAGTGGTTACTAAGTTGCATTTTTTCAGGTATAGGCAAAATTTAAAGTTTCTCCTAGGCTCCTTGGAGAGAGTTTTTGTTGCTGCTTGTTTGCCTTATTTTATTTGTTTGCCCTATTTTATTTATTTGTTTGCGGGATGCTGCATAACACTGTGTTTTAGCAGAAAGGTCCTCTTTCACTTTAGGAAGCTCAAACTGTTTTCAACCAGTCAATTCCTTATAGAGTGATTTACTAATAATCGTGTTAGTGTCATCATGAAATATCCATTCAGTGTAATTTTTAAAAAATGTTAAATAGCTGGCTCCAGTAAGGACAGTCCACTAAAAGAGATGAACATATACCCAATTTTCCTGCTTACAGCTTCTTATGCCCAGAAACTTCTATTTTTTTTCCTGCTGAGCTTTCTAGCTTATCTTTAGAATAGAGTCTTTTAGGCCTCTTAGCCAAAGCTGTTACGTATATTAACTGAATCTGCTTTCAAACTATGCAATTACCTACTTGTGCGCCTAACAATTATCTTCTCTCAGCACTTCCGGTCTCATCAGAAAATAAGAATATACCTGCCAGAGAATATTAACTGTTTTCCTGTGTTCTCTTGTCCATCTGACTATTCCAAGCAGGGAAGCCTTTGGATAGCTTTGAATAAAAACTAGCTGTACTTCTGGTGCAAGATGAAACGGCTTTCCTGAGCTTATGTGCATAAATGAGCCTATTTGTGAGACCTCAACTGATATCTTATACCTATCAAAATGTAAGCAGCCCTGAACTCTAAAGGAACAGATATAACAGTAGGCAAGTTTTGCAAACCTCCTTTATTGAAACAGAGCCTGTCCTACCTCACTCCACTAAAAAATAAATTTACTTTCTGAAATGTACTCCAGTAACTCTGCTTCAAGATCTTTAATTATTCTGTATACATAACTTGTTCCCTCAATATGTTTTTAATATTTGATTTTTGAATTTTAACTAAGATTAAAACTGAATTGAATGTTTCTGCCCCCACTCTTAGGAATGAAAAATTCTATTTGAACTGGTCGGGATTCCTGTTCACACCAATGTTAATAGTGCTCTGATTTCATGGAATTTTGCATTTTACACAGTGCTTGCACAGAGTGGCTTCCACTTGATCGTCATAAAATTATATTCAGGCTCAGCTTTTGCTCTGAACTGGGTGTGAGAAATGTGCATAAATAAGATTACTTTCGTTATGGAATGGCCGTATCGTAACCAACTGTTTGCATGGTATATTTGCTATAATTGTACATTGTAAAATGTGAATATTGGCTCTATCCTTGAGTAAATTTCAAACGTTAAGGGTGCCTTTACAGAAATCAGTAATAAAAAGAACAGGCCTCTTAATTTCCCCTTACAATTCCCTGGTAAACGCTTTATGACACTTGGTGAATTAAATAACATTTCTCTTCTAGGCACCATTCATTCATTTCACAAATATTTATGAAAGCCCTGCTCCAAGCCAGGCATTTCACAGCCCCTGGAGAGAATCATATTCTGAACCCTTGGGAGCCCCTCAGGGTAACAGTAGATGTGCAAGACAGACTTGACTCAAATGGTCACCAAAAACGTCAATGTTTCTCTCTTTACAGGTCATTTTGAGTATGAAAATTGTATATAAAAAATTGTTAGTGCTTCCAAACTGCATAATGGCTCTTTCCCGTATTCACACCAGATTTTGAGGGAGTTCCTCTGCCCAACACATTTATTATGCAATTTCCCTTATTGACTTAGTGACCTTCATTGATCTACTCAGCAACCAGTTTTCTTGTTCATTAATATTATATTAGTATGAAGTTTTTTTCGGTTGACCAGTCTGCAGTTTAACTGTAGCTAGTCAGCCTCTCTTCCGAGCATCTACTTTGAGTGTTTCATGAACAGACATTGTCTCTGGAGGGTAGAAATTGAATTGGAAAAGGAAACAAATTTATGGCCTTCATAAAGTCTCAAGGTGCTTTTCTACTTAAGTGGTTAACAGGCATGAAGTGTTTGCTGTATCTGATTGTTCATGTTAATTTATGTCCTCATGGTTGTTAGGTGGACAGTTCTGGAGGAGGGGAGAGTGAAAACAGGAGCCAGAGCAGCTGAGTGCAAGCATGGGCGCTCAGGTGGGGCACGTACCTGGTATTGCAGTGACAGCTCAAAGCCCTGGCCCTGTCCAAGTCCCCACCTCCCTTCTCCACGCCCCCAACATGCCAATCGAATCTTTCATCTTATTTCCCTAAACTGAAATAAAATGATGAGTTGTGCTAGTTTAAAACCACTTGACACTAGCATGGGGTATATTTAAGGACTGATCGGAGGTAGAGCTCCTGACATAACATCTTTGGTAAAAATTTCAATTTCCCCAGGGTAGGGGAAAAATACCATCAACTGTCCATGATGACCTGGTATATAGGCTATGGTTAAATGATGAGTAAGAACATAATGATTCTCATGAACTTTTACAAAAGATCTCCACAGTTTAGTTCCTTAAGCCCAAATTTGACATTTCTTCTGTATCATGTGAGTACCTCTGTCCCTTTTTAATTACCCCTCATGATGTTACGGAACTAAAACTAAATATTCAGAATTGTTCATAAAACTTATCAACTTGTGATCAGGTTTTTGATAATTTTCATTTTGTTTATTTTCTGGATAAGATGTTTTAAAATGAATATGCTTACTTTTTAATTTAAAAAAATAATAAAAATTGCAGAAGTACCTGTATAAAACTCCCACATTTATCCGTGCCATAGCAAAATAGGTTTACTTTTTTTATTTAATATGTCCTATCTGGCTAAGTACCTGATATTAAAGTAAGGAGACCTTACATTCATATGTTTCTTTACACAGATTTTCTCACATAGAGCTCAGTGAACTTAATAATGTAGATGAGATAGATCATAACATCCCCAAACAAGGAAATTGTGTATTATTTTCTGGTTTGCTAAGAATTATGTGATTAGCAAATCGCATAATTAAGGCAGTAATTTTTTCAACCTAGCACAGTGTTCGTTTTTATATACTATAGTTTATTTGTCCTCTATGTGCATCAAGTTCTGTTAACATAGAACATATAAAGAAACAAGACCCAGTTGCTGTCATCAAGCAGTTTATAATGCAGCTGGAGTAAAAAGACATATGCTGACAGAGAGAGTTAATTGGCAATGCAATTGATGGCACAGATAAAAGTGCAGTGCCTGATAACAGTGTGTGGTACATCAAAGGCATTCAGGAAATGATGGATGGATGGAGGGATGGATGATGAATGGATGAATGGATGGATGGATGGACAGAAGGGCAGATGGATTGACAAATTAATTAGTTACCAGAGTAGAAAGGAGAAAAGTTCACTGGTCACAGATAGTCAAATTTCAGTAAATGTCTTTTGACTATTTCATTGGTCAGAGAGTACTTCAAGAAGGAAAAGATAGACTAGCCAGGCCTTCAGGAACTTATAAGAGTAGGGCTTAACTCTGCAGAGAGAAAGAAAGAGGGGTTGTCAGGCCAAGTTCTCAGCCTGGACAAAGGCAGTGGGGCAGAAAGAGCAGCCTCTGACTGGGGTCTCTAAGAGGGGCCTTCCTAAAGCAAAGGTTTGGTGATGAGGTTGTTTTGCAAGTAGAATGGAACTACATCTGAGCACATCGCGACAATCAAGCTGATGTATTTAAGTAATCCATAAGTATGGGCAGCTACATAAATGTTTGCATAAAGTCATTCATGTGATGATAATAAAAAATGTTTTAGACAAAAACTGGAAATATGACATAGTGTTGAATGTAAAGTTATAAGAGACAGTTCAATAAGAAGTGGAGATTTTAAGTGCCAACTGGAATTTTAAAGTATTTTTAGAAAGATCTGCACATGTATATATTACTGTATCAGTCAAGTATTCCTATATCTAATTGAAGTTTCTGAGACAGTTATGTCAAATTCAGCTTTAGATCAATAGGTTTGCTAACTGAGAACCAAAAGATTCAAAGACCTGAAGCTGGCATAAAAGTCTAGAGGCCTCCAAATATTTCCTGGATAAAGTTTAATAAATTTTGTATATGCTAGAAGAAAGGTAATAATTTATGTCTTCTAAGGTAGTCAACCTAATTACTAGATATGTCAGAACGTTAGCATCTCTTGTATGTAAGTTCTTCTTGCACTATGAGAAGTCATATACATTGTTACTTCTCTTTAAACCTATTAATTATTTTATCTTATGAAAGCAGTGATGTCATCACTTAAATGCAAGTGATTAAACAGTGGGGCCCTGGAGAAAAACTACGTGCATTAAAATCTAGTTCGACCAGTGACTTGCTAGTCAATCTTGGCCAAGTTTTTCTGTTCTTCAGCTTTCTCATTAATGAATGATGATATAATAATGGCACTAACATCTGAAGATTGTTGGGAGAACTAAATGTAAAACTGTAGACTAGTGCCTGGCATGGAGTAACAATTCATAAATGATAGGCATATTACTGGTAGTGATAGATAGTCAATGAAAACTGTACATATGTCTTATTTTCTTGACATGACTATGTATTTGTTTTGCTGGATTTATTTCTCAAATCATTGCTGGAAAGATAGCTAGGATCCCATAGGGTGGTGTCTGGGGTCTCTACTGAGTGACGTTATAATTTGACCTATGTAGCTTAGTGAAGCTGACCAGTCTCTCGCTTTCCACAGTGAGCCATCTTTATGGATTTGGACTGATGGACGCAGAAGCCATGGTGATGGAGGCAGAGAAGTGGACCACCGTTCCCCGGCAGCACGTGTGTGTGGAGAGCACAGACCGACAAATCAAGTAATGCTTGCTGCCGGCAAACAGCATGACAATGCCCCAAAATAGAGCAAGCCAGTCAATTGCTCAAGACAGCCTCTTGTTGCACACAGAAGCTAAAAGCTTCTGTAGTTTCTCTCTAATGTGACTATGAAATGGTAATAGAACGGCTAGGATTCTGAGCGGTTAAATTCGTACTAGTATAGCCCAAGAATCCTTCAAAGAAAAGCATCTTTAAAAAAGGGATTGGGGGATATGCTTACCCCTGGGCTCTTGAAAGTTTTCTACTGTCGATATTTCTATTTGATGGTGCAAGTATTCTCCAGAAGTCAGTGTACTTTTAAAAACTGTAACAACTCTATACTGCGTAGTTATCCAAAGAGTGGTACAAAATGTACGGTAAAAGAGATTGCAGTTTACTCACAGCTTTCAGGGCCTATTCCCCAGTTTTAGTGGCACAAACTTGGAAGCTGTGCTGACAGGGTTTGCCAACAGGATTCTATCTTAGTAGGCTTATTAGTGTTTTGCTCTTGGCTTTCTGTTCAGAGACTTTTCTCTCTGAAAAATATTTTTGAACTTTGGTTGATGATGAAACTAGAGACATTGTCATTCTTGAGAAAATTTGTTTGGAAGCAGAAGTAAATCAACTAAAGTTGTTTGAGTTTATTTTCATTCTACTCTTGTGGCAAAGAATGAGAGAGAAAAAACAAAAGGGTGGAAAGTTAACCAGTGTTTATTGAGCACTTACTATGGGCCATGCCAAGGGCTAGACACTTCATGTATGTTTTCCTCTTGAAGCTGTGTAACAACTTGGGTATTATTCTCATTTGAAAAATGTGGAAATGGAATCAAAGGAATTATCTATTTATTCATTCACAAACTCATTCACTAAGTAACTATTTTTCTCGCACTTACTGAATATCAAGCACTGAGCAAAACATTAGGAATAAAAAGGAGAATAAGTAATACTTCCTACCCTTGTGGAGGTTACAGTCTAATGGAGGTATCACACCAAAAAAAATAATAAGTATATAATTACAAATTCTAATAAACAAATGTTGGAAATTTAAAAAATGTGAAAAATAAGAGATAGGGGACATATTTTCACCTGTGGCTCGATGAAGGTCTCAGGGAGGGGAAATTTAAGCTTTGACCTTGAAGGAAGAAGCGTTAGCCGTAGGGACATCAGCAACAACAACAAAAGTACTTCAGGCAGAGTAGTGTGTGCAAAGTCCCCAAGGTGGGAAACTTGAATTATCCCAGAGGTTGAACCTGATGCCATTGTGGCTGCAGCCTAGTGTTCAAGGGGAACTGTGGCACAGGAGGAAGCTAGAGAGGAAGATGAGAACCTATAGACAAGAGGGAAGAATGTGCTGGTGGGTTACAGAGCAAGGGATGTGAACCCCCTTTATGCTAATCCCCAAGCCTCCACTGTACCACAGTAAGTGGTTCTCACAGTGTATTCCATAGATCAGCTACGTCACTATCACCTGGGAACTTGTTAGAAATGCAAATTCTTGAGATCCATCCCAGACCTACTCAATCATACACTCTGGGGCCAGCAATCTGTGTTTTAACAAGCTGACATCAATGCATACTCAGTTTGAGATCTATTACCTTCATGAAGATGAAAGAACCTTGTTCCTTTTTCACCTCTCCCTTGCATCTTTCCCACTAACTGGTAATCCTTTCAGTGACCCAGTTATTTTGGTGATAGCACTGTTGTTTAGTATCCAGCTATCAGCTGCTTATCTTACATTGTGTATTTATTCCATGCCTCCAGGTTCACTCACCTGAGCTCTGTGATGTCATTTGCTCAAACTCTCCATCTCTCTCTGTTACAGGACAATCCGCCCTAACAGTGCAGTGCGCTCCATCTACAAAGCTTCAGGCTGCTCGGATAACCCCAACCGCCATGTCAACTACCTGGAGCACGTCGTTGTGCGCATCACCATCACCCACCCCAGGAGAGGAGACCTGGCCATCTACCTGACCTCGCCCTCTGGAACTAGGTCTCAGCTTTTGGCCAACAGGTACAGCAGTGGTCTCTGCCCACCAGTGTAGTAGTCACAGCGACACTCGGCTATTCCTTAGGTAGAAGGGAACAGCTGCTGCTTTCACCTAACCTGGGAACCAGCAGAGGGGGTGCTTAGATGTCAGGATCTCACTGCTCATAAGTAGAGAGTGTGAAGCTGCCTATAATCTGTAGATGTGGAAAAGTGGGGCATTTAATAGTTGGCTAAGAAAAGGATGCAGTAGAAAAATTGAAGGCCACTTGTTCTTGATCCTACAAAAGAATTGCAGAGCACTAACTCGTAAGGCCTCTGATATCCCCTCCCCCACCATTAAGTATCTGTTGTCATTCGTTACAGATTAACCGAATTCTCTTGCCCAAGCACTTACTTTCAAAACTTAAAGGAAATTCTAATTTTTTAAAGCAGGTGTTAACAGATTTTTTCTGCACAGAGCCAGACAATAAATGTGTTGAGCTGTGTAAGCCAGGTCTTTATCCCAACTACTCAACTCTGCCATTCGAGTACAGAAGCCACCTAGACAATATAAATGAATACGGGTGCCTGTGTGCCAAATCAAACTTCACTTACTGAGAGGCGCAGGCTAGATTTGGCCTGAGGATTATGGTTTGCTCACCCCTGTTTTTAAGGTTGCCTCTTCAGTCCTTTTTTTTTTTTTTTTTTTTTTTGAGAGACGGAGTCTCACTCTGTCTCCAGGCTGGAGTGCGGTGGTGTGATCTCGGCTCACTGCAGTCATCGCCTCCCAGGTTCAAGCGATTCCCCTACCTCAGCCTCCTGAGTAGCTGTGAGTACAGCCGTGCCCCACCATGCCTGGCTAGTTTTTTGTATTTCAGTAGAGACGGGGTTTCACCACGTTGACCAGGATGGTCTCGATCTCCTGACCTCGTGATCCATCCGCCTCGGCCTCCCAAAGTGCTGGGATTACAGGCATGAGCCACCGCGCCCAGCTGACTCTTCAGTCTTTATTGCCCTAGAGGGTATTCAGTTTCGCTTGTTAGCCTCTCCTCCCTGCTTCCTCCAAAACACTTCCCCAGCATATAAGTAACTGTATTTTGTACAGGCCAAGATCCTGCTGAGACAATGTGGCCAGAATGTTCTATCACTCATTTTCTTTTGCTCCCTTGGCTTTTTGAGTGGTTGGGAGCATGGGAGAAAGTTGTTAGCAAGTGGGACCGGAGAGGGGAGATGTCAGCTTTTCTTGTGATCCTCGTTCTCATGGTGGTTCTAAATGACAAACCACAGCCCAAAGCCTAAAGCTTCTTTGATTTTTTTTTCTCTCAGAAGAACATTTAATGGGAGCAAAAACTTTCTTATCAGTGGCATATATAGTTCAAATGAAAGTCAACCTTTTATATAGACATAGCCACTTGTCCACACACCAGGTGACCATGGCAGAGGTGATCTTTGTTAGAACACTAACAACAGGCCAGAGGTGTTGAGAGGCAAGAGGCCCATGAAAGTCTGCACGGCCAACAGTGAGACCGAACTTGCCAGTTGCTTTTAAAAATCCCTAACTTCATCTACTATAGGACAGTGAGAAAAGGAGAGAACAATAACTTTTCTGGCTTATAGCAACTAGGAGTACAGAATCTGATATCTTTTTTTTTTTTCTTTTTTGAGATGGAGTCTTGCTCTGTTGCCCAGGCTGGAGTGCAGTGTTGGCACAATCTCGGCTCACTGCATCCTCCACCTCCTGGGTTCAAGCAATTCTCCTGCCTGAGCCTCTCCAGTAGTTGGGATTACAGGCACACGCCACCACAGCCAGCTAATTTTTGTATTTTTAGTAGAGACGGGGTTTCACCATGTTGGCCAGGCTGGTCTTGAACTCCCAACCTCAAGTGATCCTCTTGCCTTGGCCTCCCAAAGTGCTGGGATTACAGGCATGAGCCACTGCGTGCAGCCCGGAATCTGAAATCTTCATGTGCATTTTATTTCTGTGCTTAGACTTGCTGTGTTCTTTCAAATCTGACGTCTTCCATTAGTGTATGGGAAACCTGGGTTTAGTACTTTAAATGTGATGTGCAGCTTTGCCACAATAAGTGTATGCAGGTGCAAGGAACATAAGGATTCCTCAGCATAGGATCGCTGGGCACTTCCTCATGTCCTCCTCCCACTGCAGACAAAGAGCCCTCAGCAGGCCGCCTGCAGGGTAATTGCAGGTACCTGCCTGAGGTTTCTTTCCAGCAAGCAAAACTTCAGATACACAATTACGTGATTAATGAAAGTCTCTCCAGCTGTGGTTACCGAAGCTAGGGAAGGCCTTTATTTCTTGCTTTTTTTTTTTTTCTTTACCATTATTCATCTGGGTTTAACTTGAAAATGTATCCTGGTGAAATACTGTGAAGTGCAAAGGTTTGCTTCACATGTGTGGATCGTGTTCCCCCGAGCCCCCTTCCTTGTAGAGAAACAGTCCCTCCGCTGTTGCTGTTTGCTTGAAAAACTCAACCTCTTCAGCCTGTCTGGGCTCTTCCTGCATATTCCGCTATTTATTTTTGGCTTCCCCTGAAATGACGTCAGTGAGGAAACTTGTGAGCAGAGGAGCTATGGATTCCATCACAGGCATTTGGTGGATTGCAGTGTTGCTGGCTTCAGGCTCGCATGCATTCTTCAACAGCCAACATCTGCTTTGCTCTTTGCAAAGTGCTGAACACAAGAGTGCTGCGTGACTTGTGTCGGAGAAAAGAAACAGGCATTTCCGACGTGCGGTGACCGGCACTCCTATAGCGCACCTCAGTCTCCCTCATCAAGACCACCTGGGAATAAAGTTTGCTCCCAGAATGTGTCTTCTTGGTCTGGAGCAGTTTCTTCAAGTGTGGCTCTCGTTTATCCTCCATCTCAGTCCTGAAAATAAGTAGCCACTGAAGGGAGGTAGAGAGCCTGGAGATTGGAGGGGGCTGGAGACCCCAAGAGATGTAAAGGATATTGTGAATTCATTTGTCTACAAGCTCTGCAGAATTATTGCTCTGAGCAGCTGACCCTTTCCATGTGAAACAGCTGCACCCAGTCCCAAAACCATGAATGGCCACCTTCCAAGGCCTGGCTCCCCCGTTCCTGCTGTGCTTGACACTGGTAGCGTCCCTCCTACCGAGGCAGCTAAAGAAAGACAGTTTCTTTTGGCACTCTATCCATCTGGAGTATTCTGAAGCTTTCATTTCATTAGAGGAAACTTCTCCTCAAAACCTCTCAGTCTCTGACCTAGTGGCAAGGAGGCCTCATGCCCTCTCACCTTGGCCCCATTTCAAAGCACATTCCCAGAATGGAGAGCTGGGAACAAGGGCACAGAAAGGGGTGGAGAGGAGGTGAAGCAAAGGCCTGCTTTGGTCCTGGTGTCCTTCATGTTGGTATGCAAGGCAGTCCGTCTCTGTGGTGGGGAAAAAAAATGAAGAGGTCAGGTTTTAGAAGGAATTTGCCAGAGATGATTGGTAAGAGCAATAAATATTTCCCCTGCCAGACCCTTGTCTTTTTTTCAGAGAAGTCAAGATTTCTCAGGAGGACCATGTAAAGCAAAGAACAAAGATTTTTTTCTTAAATAAGAATTCTGAAAAGTTTAAAACAATGTTTCCCTAGCAGAGGTGGTTTGAGATGCAGATGTTGGCTTCTTGTGGCAGACTTTTCCTCATTTTATCTGTCCTACCCCTCTGGGGGTAGGGGTGATTCTTTTCATCCCGAATTAGAATTTCCAACACTGCACACTTAACTAGCCTGGCAGCCAACGTGGAAAACTCCCCAAGGCCTTTGAAGCAGCTCCTCTGCTCCATGGCTTACTCACAGCAGGCTGCGTGTTGGCTCCTGGGAGAAGGAACCAGAATCTGGAGGCTCACTTGGCATCACCTCTCCTTTGCAATGAAAAAACCAGAGACCAGACAATGAGGATGAAGCAGAGGGGGAGAGTCCAGAGGACAGTGCTCTCCTTTTCAGTATTGACAAAATATACGTCCTATCTGGGGACCTGAAACTATGGTCACTATTTATGGTTGGCTTTCCAGAAGTCCTCATTTACTTAGACATTTCAGTGAGGAATTTCTTCAGAATTGTTTATCTCCTCACCACAGGAATTCCTTGAAAGTCTGTTTTCTGAGAAGTGCTGAACACGTTGATGTAGTCTGTGTGGGCCGTCTGGAGCCCCTCAGTGGCTCCCTGTCCTGGCTGACGGGCACTTGCCTGAACTCCTGTGAAGAACAGCTGTTGGAGGAGGAACAGTTTCCCCAAGCATCTGCAGGTGCTAAGCGCTGGAAGGCACTCAGCAGCATTCAGAACTCCAGTCCAGCTTGAGCTCTGTGCCCCATTAGCCCGGCGTGCATGCTCCCCTGGCAAGCCCCGTGGATCATTCAGTGGGTGTGTGCCGTGGGTCAATGGAGAAGTCCTAGAATGGACTTTCCTTTGCTCTTCCCCTGCCCTCCCACCCTCTTGGTTCTCCCCTTGGCCTGTATACCCTGCCTAACAAAAAGGCAAATTGAATATTCACAGCAAGTGATTTACTTCCATAAAGAGCATGGAGGTCGAGTGTGTAGGGAGAAGCCAGGTGGGCTTGGGTCCTTTGAAAATGTTTTTAGATGAGAGCAACTTTAGATATAAGCCTATATACTATGACACATTCAAAGTCTGCCTGTGTCAAAATTTTTCAAACAAAAGCTTATCCCAGCAGATTCTTTCTTCAGCTGCATCTGTTAGAATTATAAAAAGCTGTCTTTTTTTTTTTTTTTTTTTTCCTGAATCTCCCTTATTGAGTTTTAGATTTAGCTTAGATGTACTGGCCCTCTGTTCCAAATTTTGGCCTCGATTGAAAGGTGAAACTTTGCCTCCCTTTCTAAATTTAATTACAGATGAATATCTCTGCTTCTAATTATGGCCTTAAATGGAGAGAAGGTATACTTTCTAATCTGCAAAACCTATGGAGTCCTATAATTAAATATATTTTAAATGTAGTGTTTATGCTTCAGTCATTTCTGTCACTTCCCTACCCAAATGTTCAATGACAGACTATTGACATTTGTAAGGCATCATGGTATATAAATGCATCTGTGGGTTGCAGTAAAAATTACACTTTTGCAGTGAATGTTTTACATTCCAGTAACACCCAACCACGTGAACCTTCTTCCTTCATTCAAAAGAAGGTACAGCCTTTGGAGTTAGACAGAGCTGGGTTTTTCTTGACTTCACTGATATCTGTGTTTCAATTTAGAAAGCCTAATTTCCTCATTTATAAAATAGATGTAATAGTATATACCTCACAGGGTTGGTTGGTACACGTATTAAGATCACGTACAGTTACATACTTAGCACAGTGCCTAGCATAGTAAGCACTTAATAAGTGGTAACTCTTATTTACACAGTGCTTCTCCAAGCACCTGGTACATGACTCTATCAAATGCAGTTGGCTGGGTCCCTCTCCCAAAAAGTCTAATTCTATCAGTCTGCGGTGAGGTCCAAGGATGTGCATTTCTAATAAGCTCCCAGGTGATCCTGAAGCTGCCTGTCCACAGACCACACTTTAAATAGCAAGGATTTAAAAGATCATCCAGCTTTTTCATACACATTCTTATTACTTTTGTGTCATCAAAAGACTTGGGAGCAGTATGCTGCTGGATGCTGTGCAAGGAAATTACAAAGGGGCTTATAATATAAAACAGATATTTCAATAAAAGCCATCTACTCTAAAATGAATTAAATCTTGAGGAAGATTAAGTACTTATGTACCCACAAGAAGGAATGCATTTTGGGGTTGGTGAATGAATTGATAATAGCTTGCATATTGGAAGGTTTTTTACCAAAAAAAAAAAAACTTATCATTTTAGGTATTACAGACCTCTAGAACCAGTTCCTTTCTCCTTCTCAATCTTTCTTAAAGAAGTAATTGAGATTAGGAAAGAGAGAAAAAGCAAATAGTATGTTTTAAATACCCTGTATCAGAAGAAATTATTTAAAACTTACAAAAACCAAACATCTAAAGAAAACCAAAAACTCAACTACAGTGGAGCCAAATGAGTTCTTCAAGCTCTACCTTAAATTGTAATGAATCACTTTAAAAAAATAAAAAATAGAAGAGAGAAAAGAGAAAATTTCCAGGAATATTAGCCTGATGTCTAGTTCTGTAGTGGACATAAATACCATTTGAATAGTAGTGGATGATTCTGAAATTAAGATCCATTTACAATTTTAGAAATAATTATATGATAACACATAGCTGTCAGTATTTATAAAACATCTTGTTATTTAGTTGCCATAACATCACAGAAGAATGCTGTGGCCTTGATACATTCACTAGACTCTTTAAGAGGAAGGGAAATAAAGCTTACAGTAATTATGTAAGTTATTTCCTGAGTTAATTCCTCAAAAGGATATACTACACTTGATGGTCATCTTTTCTACCAGGCTTCATCCAAAGTAATTTATTTGGAAACCACTTGCAGGGATAGGGCTGTGGGGCACCATTTCAATAACTGGATGCATAATTTGTGCCATCGCATGCATATATCATTTCATCGAGCACGTGATTATGAAGTCAACTTTGACAGGACAGAATTTCACTGCAAGAGAAGTGGATAAAGGCATGGAGTTAATGTACTTAGGCTTTCAGCACACTGGCTCTGCTTTATTGACATTTTACCCACACTAATAATGTTGGCATGTGTCTGATCTCTTCACTGTTGGCACAGCGTGGATGTTCACGCTGGGCATTAAGCTTTTTAGTTGATAAAAGAAGATCCCACAATTGGAATCTCCGTAGCAGGTGTCCATGGTTCGACACTTGATTGTCTTAAGCAAGTATGTTCTTTGCAATGCAAAGCAAACCTACAAGCTATATTACCTTTTGTTTTATGCAGAGATGCAGTTTCCTTTAATGTTACAATGGTAGAAAATAAGAAGTAGCTGAAGTATTGAATCCAAGTTAAAACACACAACAATGTGTACTTATAAAGGACGGAATGAAACTAGCAATGTAAAGCCCAGTTAGGTGATACAACAACCATTGGTGCCTGTTTTTTTTTCCCCATCAACTCTTTCAGCAAAATGTGATGGTTGTGTTTGGCTGCATTTTCATTCCTCTCCTCAACTCTTATATTCACATGAAATTAATGAACATTCCAACTCTGAATAATGTGAAGAGACCAGGGGGTGGAAAACTGCTTAGCCACATAGACAGAGCTCATTTATGTTTGGGCTTTGAAACACTTACTTGAATTCTGATTTGTGGATATTTCTTCTTGGCAGTCAGTTTATATTTAATTTTTGTGCCCGATGTGATTTGAAAGTGATTGGTAGCAATGAAATGACTTTCAAAGGTGGACAGGAAAGGGTGGAAGGGAAGAAACGTAGGGTCTGCTAATCCAGCAGTCAAATCATTGACCCATGAGTGATTAAAAGTTGGCTGAGGTTGTGGAAACAAGACTGCCCCTCATGTGATGGCAGCTTCAAGTCTCCTTTGTAGTTTTTGGATGTGAGGCAATGAGCCAAGTGTTCTGTCTAAACTGTTTGGGAACTGCTTTTAAGTTCGGCACTCTTGGAGAGGTATTATGTGACAAGTTATTGCTTCAGTGCCCTCAAATGGCACCATGGCCTCAACGAATTAGAGCTTAAGCTGGAGCTGTGGGACTTAAGGAAGGAAGTGGTTCTAAACTGCTTTTCTGCCTCTAGCCATTTCTATATCAACATATTCCCTTTAACAACATCTCTCTGTTAGAAAGGGCAGTTTGAAAAAGCTCCTCTTCCCCTTCTCTGTTGTCTTCTTGCCCAACATACACATGTTGTGGGTTTTTAGTGAGGGATTCAATGGATGTAAGTTAAGTATATAATGACACAGCCATTTCTTCTTGTCCAAGTCTAGTCTTAAGCCATAAACTTGTGAAATGAGCTGATTGTGGTTGTTCAGTGGATTGTAGAATCTCCATAAAGTGCACCATCCTTTCTCTATTGAGGACCCATTCCAGTGGGAAAATATTCATGTAAAAAGCTACCATCTTCATCCTTGTCACTGTGAGCCAAAGTTGCCAGATCCAACCTGGTTCCTCATTGAAGTGCCACGCTCCTCTATTTCGAGAGGGAACCTTTATAGATCATATACAGATGTTCTAAAAAGAGAGAGAGAATAGGCTTCATGTCCAGGTAAACTTTGAAAATCACTGCCTCCCAGTTAACCCCATTATGGAAATTGATAAAACACATTTGCATATTCTGAAGATCTGAGATGTCCTCTATTAAAGAGTTCTACTCATCTGTGTTTGATTCAGCCTTTCCCAAATTTTTTGACCATGGGAGACCTGAGAATGCTGCCTAATAATTTTCATTTTTCTGTCTTTCAAGGGTTCAGGAACATATAGCAGGTGATTTTCCTGTTTATTGCTTTTCTCTAGGGAATATTGCAAAGTGTTAGCCATTTACCTATCACAATCCAAAATTGTGTTTCTGAACCCTTTAGCTTTAGAATCCTGCTGGCATTTTAGAAAGAGCCTCAGACACACTGATAAAATACGTTTTTAAAAAATCAGAGTTCTAATATATTGTTATAAGAAGACTGAACTAGTTACTTTTATGTTTAGAAGGGCACATTTTCTCTCAATGGGAAGAGGTACAGAGAAGGTCAAATTATAACCACCAGTTTGTCTGGTAAACATGAGATTAAAGCAAAGAGAGTTGATTTGTGTGTTCTGAATAGCCATCAAACTTTAGTTACCATAACGTTTGTTACCATTTGTCCCCATTGAAGGAGAGAAATATCCCAGTAACTGGACATGATTGCCCCTAAGAAAATTTTAGAGATATTTTTCCTCTCTGTTTGCCTCGCTCACTTGCAATATTTTACTCTTTTTTTATTTTTTTCAGTGAAATAATAGATGAACATCATTTTTTAAAGTTCTATACAAAAAGGACTTGCCCCGTCTTTCACTTTCCACTATGTAGGTTTCATCTTTACAGAAAATGTCTTCTGTATCTTTGGGATATTTATTTGGGTAGTCAAGTCTATGCTATATACCTGCATAAGTGATGTGTTTATTTATTTGAGACAGAGTCTCCCTCTGTCATCCAGGCTGGAGTGCAGTGGCATGATCTAGGCTCACTGCAACCTCTGCTTCCTGGGTTCAAGGGATTCTCCTGCCTCAGCCCCCTGAGTAGTGGGACTACAGGTACACCACCATACCCGGCTAATTTTTGTATTTTTAGTAGAGACGGGGTTTCACCATGTTGGCCAGACTGGTCTGAACTCCTGACCTCAGGTGATCTGCCCACCTCAGCCTCTCAAAGTGCTGGGATTACAGGCATGAACCGCTGCACCCACTTATTTCTTAATATGTTAATTTTATACATTATTAATGTCTCTTTATTCTTGAAAGGGAATCTGTTTGTTTTCTTTCCCTTCATACTTCATATCTTTCAGGATTCCATTGCAGGAAACAGAATAATTCTAGCTATTTCAAGCAGGAAGAGATTTTAAACTGCAAATTCGGAGCTTTGGAAATCACTGGAAGGACTGAAAGAGCAGGATCTAGGCTGGGATTTCAGGCATAACTCCCTGAACTGGATAAGATTAGTGGGCAGTCTTTTTATTGAAGCATAATTTACCTACAATGTAAATTCAGTTTTTTATGTGAATAATTCAGTGAGTTTTGACAAATCTGTGTTGCTGTATAGCCACACGCCATTACTTTCAACATATAAAACAATTCTATCACCCTCAAAAATTCCCCATGCCTCTTTTCCTCACTCCTCCCCAGCCCCTGGCAACCACTGATCTGTTTCTTTACGTATAATTTTGCCTTTTCTAGAATATTGTATAAATTGAATCATGCAGTATGTAGTCTTTTGTATCTGGCTTCTTTCACTTAGCATAATGTTTTTTAAATTCATTTATATCATGGTATGTATTAGTAGTTATTACTGGGTAGTTTGTTGTATGGATATACAGTCATCCATTTTCAATCTGTGATTGAATTCACACATGCAGAATCCACAGATACAGAGGGCCGACTGTACCATAATTTGTTTACACATTTACCAGTTGATGGACACTTGAGTTGTTTACAGTTTTGGGGAATTATGAACATTCATATGAAGTTTTTCGTGTGAACATATGTCTTCATTTATCTTGTTTAAATAGGTAGGAGGAGGATTGTTGAGTTTTATGGTGAGTGTGTGTGTAACTTTATAGGAACTGTCAAACTGTTTTCCAGAGCCTCGTATCATTTTGCACTCCTATCAGCAGTATAAGAGAGCCCTAGCTCCTCCACGTCTTCAATACTCTACTGTCAGTCTTGTAGGTAGAGTCTTAACCTGGTTTTCCTGATCCCCAGTGGGTTCTCCCTTCCAGATTTGCTATTACATAGCCAGCCCCAATTCTGTTTCTCTGTGGTAAAACAATGATTTATATATATATGTATATATATATATCTGCAAATTGGTGACATCCAGGATGCAGACCAGCTCTAGTGCCCAGCTGAACTTGCTAATGGATACAAAAAACAGTGTCGATTGTGGTATTAACTAGACCCTCATTGGATTTGAAATATCGCACATAACAATGTTTTGTTCACTTTCAGGCTATTTGATCACTCCATGGAAGGATTCAAAAACTGGGAGTTCATGACCATTCATTGCTGGGGAGAAAGAGCTGCTGGTGACTGGGTCCTTGAAGTTTATGATACTCCCTCTCAGCTAAGGAACTTTAAGACTCCAGGTGAGAACTCCCTTTCTATACATTGTTCTACTGTGTAGAAGAAAATGATGGAGTATATTTTGGCCAGAGTGTTTCACACTCACATATTAGCATCTTTTCTCATGTGGTTCATTTCATGTGTGCTTTGAATTACCTGCATGTATTTCAGTTCTCAAGATTACCATTTGAGAGATAGTAATTTAAGGATAGGAAATAAAGAATACATATAGTATAGAACAAAACATGACAGCTTTTGATTGATGTTTCAGAATACATGATCCACATCTCTAACCAGCTTCCCAGACTTTCTATGTCTGTAAACAAGCCAGCCTGTCCACCGGCACTGAGTTCAATTGCATGATCTCACAAGAAGAGACAGGCTTCCTTAGTTATCTATTTCTTTTTAGTTTTCCCTAAATTTACTTTTCAGTTTAGGCAAGACATTGAGCTCGGCCCATGCCAGCTAATCTGGGTACCACCAAAGAAAATGATGATGATATTCTTCCCTGCATGAGCCCAAGAGCCAAGGAAAAAGAAACCCTTCTTGACATGTAAAACAGAAATTATGATGTTAACAAAGGTCTTTTCAGGTAGGCTCAGTCTGTTTCTGCACACAGCCTATTCCCGTCTTCATGCTAACCTGTAAAGCTTGTTTATAATATAAAATAAGGGAAAGTACAAGGCAACATGGGGTGAGAGACTGTGTTGCCCATTACAGAGCCCTACAGAGTGGCTCAGCAGTGAATGATCTGTTTGATAACTAATTAGCTTCCCACCCATCCATGAACACATCTTTAGCCATCAGATAAAGTCCTCCTTCTCAGTGCTCTGTCCAGTCCTCTTTAGAAGAACCAGGCTTGGGGGAAGTTTTAGGACTGACATCCAGTTCTAGCCCTCTCCAGATTACAGAATAAAGTAACCTAGACATTCTGTAATTGTGGGAGTGTGTAGCATTCAGATACAGCTAGCTGCACAGGGCAAAGGAGGCACACAGCAGAACACAGGGATAAAGGGCACGTTTGCCAGACTTTTGCCTGCCAATCTGAGAAAGTTACTCATTCTGAGAGATCCATTGTTGACTGTACATTTTGGTTATCCCTTCCCTAGTTCTGTAATGAGGTTCATCTTTGTTTGCCACAGTGGTCCCATAATCAGGGAGGTCAAAGCCAGAATGGTGGCCAGGTCACAATGAATCAGGATAAACGTTTTGTTAAAGAGTATCTGTGCCCAGCTCACCTCCAGAATGCAGCCTGAATATAGTGGTAACCAAGTTTTTATCAAGAAAGCAAATGTTTGTCAATAAGGCAGGATTGATAGAGAAAACATGCAGATTATAGCCCAGAGTTTCTAGACCCTTTCACCTCTTCATAATCTACATTAGTTCCCAGGATCTTCCTCTCTCCTTTCTTCCTCTTTGCAGCGCATGCTTATTGCCCTGCCATGAGGTTGCACAGGGTCATGGCACATAGGTGAAACGGAAGCATGGTGACTGGGCTGTGATCCATTAGCAGGCATCACTGCTGGACTCTTACAGGACAAGAGACCCCGGAGAAATAAACACTGTCAAATGTGGCAGTTGTGTACCAAGGAAGGTGCAGACATAAAGAGTATGTTTTTGAGCATTTTAAAGTTATAAAACTAACTAAACGTGACTCTGTTCTTTATTACCACCAGACACCAGAAATTCTACTCTCCATGATAAGCCCAGGCTGCTCCTAAGGGCTACTGGTTAACCATGCATTGCATCTAAGGGTCAGGGGTCACGAATATAAATCCCTCTGCCCTCAAGAAGTTCTGAGTCTATACAGAGCTTACTATGATTATGTGCACTTAAAACTCTACAGTAGCTCAGATAATCTAGAGTTACCTATTTCATAGCAGAGGCATCTCCTTATACTATTTAAATGTTCACATTTAACCCTAGTCACCTCCAGTCATTTTAGAGGTGTTGAGGTGTTCTTTTTACGCCAGACGAGAGATACCCTAATGCTATTACTGGCCTGGAGACTTTAATAGAAACATATAGTCTTTGTGTATCTTTACTTCAACCAACCTTTCATTTCAGGATTAGTTACACCTTTAGTAAGGGACTTTGAGTGTCCTGTTTATGGGTGGGGGGGTGTGTGTGTGTATGTGCATGTGTCTATATCATTGTTTCTGTGGTGTACAGTCCTATGATAGGTTTCTTCCTCTCTGATTAATAAGGGTTACATCAGTAAGCGAATAGAAATTCAGTTGGATCTGTAGAATTTTCTAGCCCAATTAAATGGTAGACTCATCCCCTAATATAGAACTTCCTGGCTCCAAACTGAATTTATATTTATTTATTGTCTCTTGTCATTTATTTATTATTACAATACATATTAAGAGCATTTGAGGGTGTTGTTTTGATTTTTGGCACATTGAACCTATATACGCAGATTGCATTTATGTGTTAGCAAGGAAGATGGATTTTTCTCCTTCTGTATTTACACAGCTATTTCATAATAACAGGTTTCAATATTAATTGCAAAATCATCTATAAAATTTAGCAAACAGAAAAAGGGGTAGAGGAGAAAAAAAAATGATGGCCCAAATATGGCAGTTATTTGAAGTGAATCATAGTAGAGGTTCTAAGGAAATAAAATTACATAATAAGTGAAATATAAAGAGATGAATTACACAGGAAGGATATCCCTAGTGGGCTTATGATGTCCTTCAGAAATGGCACAAAGGGAAATAATCAATTTTGAGACAGCACTCTTCAAAGCACTTAGAGGGTAAACTTTTGCATCCAAAATGATCTTAAATAAAATGAACTAAATTTTAAGGTGACTAATGATTAGGATGACCTATAGTGTCCTTGTATTATATGCTTCATTTGTACACTTGAGAGATGCCATAAGGAAAATGCGTTCTCTTTTGCACTGCTACCTAAAGGCAATCAGATAGGTCATCAATTTCCAGCAGTCATTCACTTCTTATCACTCCCTAATGCGTGTTACTTAGAATTCTGGGCCTGAATAATACCCTGATTGTGAAAAGCCTGGTCATTAACAAATGAGTCCAAAGAAAAGCTGGCAGAGGGCAAACCATACATAAACCGATTGTACTGGTCCAATGTAAAAGTCAGAAAAAAATGCATGCATCACAGAATGTGTTCATTTTTAAATGTCAGGCTCCTAAACTCCTAGAAATGAATAGGAGATAATTTTGTATATGGTTTAAAAACACAGGATTTGGAATTGGAGTATGTTTTAATACCAATCTGTCCTCTTATTGCCTTTGAGGAAGTTACCAACCTCTGTAGCTCTGTTTCCTCCTCTATATATTGGGACTGTTAGTACCCACCTTAGAGTTGTTTTGAACAGTGAATGAAATAAAACTTACAAATCACTTAGACTGGTGCTTAGCATATAGAAAGCACTTAAAAACATCAAACATCGATTTGTTGGTGATGGTAGGTGCTCATAGATGAAGGAAGCTGACAAGCTGAAATCCGTCACTTTCTGAGCTAGCCCCTGACCTTGTCTGGATTCTATGCATTCAGCCAAGGTGAGAGGGGTTCTGAGGGGCATTCTACCTTCCTACCAGCATATGCCTATGTTTGTAATGGTTTTGTCTTAATCACTTCTGCTTACGGTTGATTCCTTTTGAGATCAGTTTTACTAACTTTAATGAAATGGAGGCACGTTTCCTTTTTTTTTTTTTTTTTTTTTTTTTTTTTTTTTTTTACTTTTTGCATTGAACACAATTTTGTGAAGCTAAGAAATAAGTTAACAAATAAGAACTAAACTAAAGCAAAATGTTCCTTGTAAGTGATCCAGACTCATAGAAGGTGAAACACTTGCCTCAGGTCTCAAGGCGTTCCTGCCCAGAAAATGCTGTTTTGGGCCAAGTGTGGTGGCTCACGTCTGTAATCCCAGCACTTAGGGAGGCTAAGGCGGGTGGATCACCTGAGGTCAGGAGTTCAAGACCAGCCTGACCAACATGGTGAAACCCTGTCTCTACTAAAAAATACAAAAATTAGCTGAGTGTGGTGGGGGCCACCTGTAATCCCAGCTACTTGGGAGGATAAGGCAGGAGAATTGCTTGAACCAGGGAGTCAGGGGTTGCAGTGAGCCTAGATCATGCCATTGCACTCCAGCCTGGGTGACAGAACGAAATCAAAAAAAAAGAAAGAAAATGCTGTTTTGCACATAGACCCATAGAACATTCTGCAATGATGGAAATGCTGTCCAGTAGGATGGCCACTAGCCACATATGGCTCTTGAGCACTGGAAATATGGTTAGTGTGATGGAGAAGCTGAATCTCAAAATTTTTGTTAATTTTAGTTCATTTAAGTTTAAATAATCAAATGTTTAATGGCTATCACATTGGACAGCACAGGTCTATAGGACAGTATAATTAGTGATGTTTTCTTAATATTGAATGACCGATACCAGGAATTAGGGAGAACAAAGAGTTGTTCTGTCTACTTATTAACAAGTCAGATAATGCCAAAAAAAAATTTTTTTTTTTTTTTGAGATGGAGTGTTGCCCTGTTGCCCAGGCTGGAGTGCAGTGGCGTGATCTCCGCTCTCTGCAACCTCCGCCTCCCAGGTTCAAGGGATTCTTCTGCCTCAGCCCCCCAAGTAGCTGGGACTACAGGCACGTGCCACTGCGCCCAGCTAATTTTTTTTTTGTATTTTTAGTAGAGACGGAGTTTCACCGTGTTAGCCAGGGTGGTCTCAATCTCCTGACCTCGTGATCCACCAGTCTCAGCCTCCCAAGGTGCTGGGATTACAGGCATGAGCCACCGCACCGGGCCATATAAGACTTTTTATACCTAGAAAAACAAAGCCTTCTATTAAGTCCTGGGATTCTCTTAAATATTTCTAATTTGAAATTCAGCCCTTGATCCAGCAATCTGAAGTGTGTTTGTTTCTCAGTCTTCCTATAAATGCTGATTAAATCAAGGCCTCTCTGGTAGTACATGCTCAGTCAATATGTGGTATGTGAATTATTAAATAATTCTGCAGATGACGAGAAATACGCATTTCTAGCTCTGCGTTTGATGTAGTGATTGATATCCATCTGCCTCCCACAGTTCTGTTGCTTTTTCTTGAGTGAGAAGGACTTAAAGATGTTACAGAGCTAAAGAGGGAAAATTTGGTCATGCTGTGATTTCATTATTATTTCTCAAGGTAAATTGAAAGAATGGTCTTTGGTCCTCTACGGCACCTCCGTGCAGCCATATTCACCAACCAATGAATTTCCGAAAGTGGAACGGTTCCGCTATAGCCGAGTTGAAGACCCCACAGACGACTATGGCACAGAGGATTATGCAGGTGAGCTGGCTTCCAGTGGGACACAGGCTAAAAAGAGGCAGCTCATGCATCATCCCACCACATGGGAGAACAGAATGGAATGGAATGGAATGAAATGGAATGGAATGAAATGGAATGGAATGGAATGGAATGGAATGGAATGGAATCGAATCGAATCGAATCGAATAGAATAGAATAGAATAGAACAGAACAGAATAGAATAGAACAGAACAATCTACTACCCATATTCTGACATATTTTCTTCCCCTTAAATATTTGTGTGTGTATATCAGTGCACTCATATATTCAAATATCCATATGTGTTATCTGCAAAGCTAATAGTCCATATTGCGATTGTACCATAATATAGTTAATCTGTAATCTGGGACATATTGTTCGCTTACAGAATTTTACACTATTTTAAACACGGTTTGGATAAACATCATTATTTATCAATCTTTGTCTATATCTTCATTATTTCTTTAGAATAGAGTTCTGTTTTGAGACTTACTGCATCAAAGAGGATAATCAGCTTTAGGGCTTGGAAACATTTTGTCACTTGCTATCCAGACAAGATGTACCAGTCTTCACTGTGACCAGCTATGTGATTGTTTATTACACTCATTCCTGCCAACAGAAAAAAATAAAGAGAAAAAAAAGTAAAAAAAAGAAAGAGGTGAACGTTTTAAAAGTGTTATAGCTTTGATTGCCTGTAAATCTAAACATTTCTTCCTCTGTAGTTCTCTGAATTAAATACAACTGTCTTATCCATTTTTCTATTCGAAGTACAGTAATCCTCTTATCTCCTTGTGAACACTCTGTATGTTATTGTCTCTCACATTGTTTCGTCTTTGCTGAAAACATATTCTCACTTATCACTGTTAAGTTTTGTTTTGGTTTGTGTTGTTTTGACAAAAAAAAAAACTATTAGAGGCTGGGGTTTATGGTCTCAGATATAACACTGATATTTTGCAGAAGTTTTATCCTTTAATGTCTACTGAATATTCACATGCTTTGCTTGGTAATCTCTTATTTTTTACATTTGGCCATTAATTCATCTGGAACTCATTTTGGTTTATGATATACAGTGTCAATTGAAGCTCTGTCTTTAGTTATTTTCCAAACAGACTAACATCATTGGCCAAGTAACTATCCCTTCTTTTTTTATTAGTTTAGGATGCTTCCTTTGTAACAATATAGTAAGTTCTTATACCAGCATCTTTTCTGGTTCCGCCTTTTCTGATTCATCAATCTAATAATTCTCAAACCAATACCACCCACACTGTTTTGTTTTCATTTCATGATGTTATTTTTATATTTGTAGAACATCTGCTTCCCATTTCCATAGCAATTATTGCCTTATTATTCTTCCAGATGAATTTTAGAATGATTTTTAAGTCTCCCTTTAAAAGTCTCATTGGAATTTAATTTGAATTTATATGCAGTCTTATGGGAAGAATTGTTTTTGCAACATACAATCTTTCCATTTAAAACATAGATCATGTCCCACTTTACTGCAATCTTTTAATTTTATGTAGTTTTCTTCTTGTTAGCGTTACACCTAAGTATTTTTGGGCCTTGGTGCTCTTATAGTGGAAAATATTCCATGCTTTCTAACTAGTGTATGCTGGTGTGTAGGAAATCTATTGGTTGTATTTATTTTATATGGCCACTTTGCTTAACTCTCTCATTAATTTATATAGTTTAGAGTTGATTTTCTGGGATGGTTTAGGTATTACAGCCTTATCGTCTACAAATTGGTTTTGTTGTCCTTCTTGTCATTATTTCTGACTACTGTCTTGTTGCATTGGCTAGCACTCCTAGGAGCATTCAATCCTTCTAAGATATGACATGTAACGCATAATGGACAAAGCTTCTCCTAATGAAGAACTGTTTATAGGCCAGGTGCGGTGGCCCACGCCTGTAATCCCAGCACTTTGGGAGGCCGAGGAGGGTGGATTGCCTGAGCTCAGGAGTTTGAGACTAGCCTGGGCAACATGGTGAAACCCCATCTCTACTAAAAATACAAAAAGAAATTAGCCGGGTGTGGTGGCACGCACCTGTAATCCCAGCTACTGGAGAGGCTGAGGCACAAGAATCACTTGAACTCAGGAGGCGGAGGTTGTAGTGAGCCGGGATCGTGCCACTTCACTCCAGCCTGGGAACAGAGTGAGACTCAGTCTCAAAAAAAAAGAAAAGAAAAGAAAAAAAAGAACTATAAATACAAGTTTAATGTATCTTTAGATGAGAAATATTTTTTCTTGCAGTTCTGAGGTTTTCCTCTAAATACTAAAAATAAAAGTACTTCATTAACCACCTGAACAGAGTATCTTAAATACACATGTAGTTACTTTTATTCTAAACAGATAGCATCCTAGAATCAATAAACATGCTTGAAATTAAGACCAATTGAGCTTATCAGAGCTGGATTGTATTAGATTTTGTGATGTTTTGCTTTGAGCCTATAGCATTGCTATTTATATTTTAACTAGCAAACTATTTTGTCTTCTCGGATAGGAGAAAGTAGATCCAAAAAACATAAATAGAGTATAATAGTAAGCTGTTACTCTTTATTCATATTTTGGTAATGTTTCCCATTCAAATTTTGGAATGTTGAGATTCAGAACAGTTATATATCTTTGTGGTTTTTCTGATTATATCTCTAAAACATCAATATTGGCACTTGTGAGAGAACCAAGACTATTATTGCATTATTATCCTGCAACCTACAATGCTAAACTTCATCTGGGACAGTTTAAGATGATAAAAGAAACAGCATAGTATGTGAATTTGCCATACAGTGAGAGCCCTTTTGGCAAATATCAAGAATAAATGTTTGGGATTTTTTTTTTTTTAATTCTAGAAGTCATCTGGTGAAAATTTAGGGCCACCCATGACTCCTTTCCTTTGGAGCTGCAATTTTCACCTTCATTTAGAAGTCAGCCAGATTAGAGACACAGATGGCGTTATCATAACCAGATTCCCGTACTGTGTCATTGGATCCAAGGGACTGTGAGATCACAGCTGGCTGAACTTCAGTCCATAGACAGCAGAGACACCACTCCCCTGGTGTACGATGGCAGATGGCTAAAATGTCCCAAGTTGCAGTAGCTATGGAATTTGGAGATCGATTTGAAGCTTTGGGGAAAATAGAAATAAGCAGTGCTGTCAAATGACTCTTGCAGTTAATCAGAAGTATATTCGAGTCTGCAGCATTTTGAAATGACTTATTTCCATTCAGATGGAGAAGTCATCCCTAGTACGTGATTTGCTACATCTAAGCAGGAATTTTTACCTAAGTATCAGGGCCTATGTTGATCCCCTCTCCTCACCATGTGATACTGGGCAAGCCACTGAAATTCTTGGAAAATCAGTTTCTTCATCAGTAAAATGAGGGTATTTGACTACCAGATTTTTCTCTAAGTCATTCCACCCGAGTTCTAACATTTTTTTATGTTTCTGTGATTCAGTTAATTATGAAACATAGTCCCATAATGACTCAAAGAAACCAAGGTGTAACAGTAAGTCCTTTGGGTTACAATAAGTAGATTTTCTACTACCCTTGACTTACTATTTGTACATTTCATTCAATATATTTATTGCTAGTTAAAATCATATGAATTTTCAGTGGGAAAGAGTTTGCAGATTATGAGACCAAATGTTCCAGAATATGGAGAACAAAGAAGAGAATTAAAAACTTCTATAACTAGCCCATGTCATTAGAAAGTTTTTCATCAATCACAAAATAGCTCCATCTTTCTGGCATTTTTTTTTCTTACTGTTCATTATCTTCAGTTCTATACCAAAGAATATGTAGTAAGAGAGATTGGGAACTTTCATCCCAGGTCTGGAATCCTTTAAGCTTGCTTGCGTTTTTTTTAAATTTATATGTCATTTTCTTTTGTTGAATTGCCCATTGGCCTTTGTGTAGGATGCAATTTTAAATCTATTATCTGTGTCTGAGACTGGATGCTGATAAGCTTGTGCCAGGTGCTGTAATGGTGTTTCTTCCTGGCCACAGTATTTCAGAGGTATTCAGTAGCTTTAATGAGACAGGTCATTTGGTCCAGGCGTTAAATAATAATGCTTTTTTCTTTTTTGTCAACAACTTCTCTCTTTTCTACAAATCCAATCTTTTTACTATTACACATACTTAATTGCAGTTGGTTTTTTTCCAGTTGCTACAGTTCATTTGAATTCTCAAATATTTATCTACCACAAGGCAGCCATATATGCTTTGAAGACCAGGCCATGACTAGAATTTACATTCTTTATACCTAGGTAATTGAGGTTGCCTAGGAATCAAAAGTCAAAAAAAGTCAAGAGCTCATCTCTGGACCTAAAGCCACATTGACAATTATTCCTCTGTCTTAAAGAAACTCTCTGCATAAGAAAAAAAAAAGTCTTATTTTTATACCAAATTCAAGGTAAAGCTGACCTGCTCTAAAATCATTTTTCCAAGTATTGTTCTAATGTCTTTTGGAAAGGTCCCTGCGACCCTGAGTGCAGTGAGGTTGGCTGTGACGGGCCAGGACCAGACCACTGCAATGACTGTTTGCACTACTACTACAAGCTGAAAAACAATACCAGGTAAGAGAGGTGCCAAGTCACATCCCCACAGCATGTGCCAGGCATCTTAGGAGTTCCTGCAAGGCTAATACCATGGGGTGTGTGCAGGCCACTGGCATCTTCCACTATTCTCCCACCAGGACCGAAACATAGAAAAGAGGCTGCTGTGCAGGCCGACTGCCTCCCTGTGTTATTCAGAATGGTGAAAACTATATTGAGTTACAAAACGCAAAATGTGCATGTATGCTGTGAAACTGCAAATGTCTTCTCTCACGTTTGGAGGACGGTGGAGGAACCAGCTAAGCACCTGCCCCTCCAGACCTTTCTTTTTTTTTTTTTTAATTGACAAGTAAAAACTGCATGTATTTATAATGCATAACATGATGTTTATATATATATGTGTGTGTGTGTATATATATATATATATACACACACACACATATACATACGTACACACGTTTTGGAACAACTAAATCCAGCTATTTAACATATGCATTAGCTCACATACTTATCTTTTTTTGTGGCCAGAACACTTAAACACTACTCTCGTCACAATTTTCAAGTACACAATAAATTGTTATTAACTCTAGTCATCATGAGGTACAATAGATTTCTTGAACTTATTCCTCCCATCTCACACAAGTTTCATGTCCTTTCCACCCCACTGATGTTTGATTTCATGGCTTCACAAAGATGCCAATGCACAGGCCAAACTGATGCTTTTCCACATTTTCCAGCACATAGGCCATCAGTGTGGCAAAGGGGTTGGTCCTGCTTGATCTCACTCTTCTGCCCTGGGCACTAAGGTGGACCCTGTGCCTCTGAGCCCCTGGTGTCTGCTTGAGCTGTGCAGATATGTTTCCTGGGCAGAGCCAAGGAATGGTGACTGCCCCCATCAGAGTTCATCCTGACCTCCCCTTGTCTCCCACAGCCCCACCCACCTTCTCCCTCCTCCTTCAGGCGAAAACTCACTAAGCATAGCTGCCACACGGTTCCTCCATACTCCAGTCCCCCAGACAGACCCAGACGTGTTAAGAATTCCTGCTGTAAGTCTGCTGGAATTTAAATTCCTTAAGAGAAAGGAGGACTTTGGCTATCTCCCAGCCTCTGTTATCTCCTGCACTTAGCAACATGCCTGATATTTAATTGGTGCTCAGTAAATATTTGTTGAATGGATAAATAAAGCTCTGTGCTTCCATTATGGGCAAACAAGGAAGTTTTTTTTTTTTTTTAAGTGTTCTCATATACAACATAAATTTAAATATATTTATATTAATTTAGACAACAGCATACAACCACCACCACCACTCACACATGCACATACAGGATCCATATGACAAACAACACACGAAAATAGAAGTCACACCTTTTTAAAGGGACCTTTTTGAATAGAGTTGTGGTTCCCACATAGTTTTCCTCTGATTCACCACCATAACCTTCCTCTCTGTAACCATCATCATTTTTCAAGAGCTAGGTGCAAACCAGGAAATGGTTTGACAAGTCCTTGGTAGATTTGGTGTTGGGTAACTGCATTGCTACTTCAGCACACTGTGCAGGAGGAAGTTTAACAAACAATCTGGCTCTCTGGATGTGGTGTTGGCATCCTGGTTTAAAAGTGATTTGGAAGCTGAGCTCAGCCATTTGCTCAGCACCTCCAAGAGAATGCTGGGGACTGGTTTGCTCATGACGCTGCCTTCTTTCTTATTGTTTCACAATGCAGGATCTGTGTCTCCAGCTGCCCCCCTGGCCACTACCACGCCGACAAGAAGCGCTGCAGGAAGTGTGCCCCCAACTGTGAGTCCTGCTTTGGGAGCCATGGTGACCAATGCATGTCCTGCAAATATGGATACTTTCTGAATGAAGAAACCAACAGCTGTGTTACTCACTGCCCTGATGGGTCATATCAGGATACCAGTAAGCTCACTTCAAATACTTGGGTTTTAGAGAAGAAATGTGGTGTTTTCATTTGAGTGACCTCAGGAGGGATAGCCTCTTTGTGAAATCTGGAATTGTGCTTCATATCAAACAGGATCTAGTTCATTCATTTTAAGAGAACCCTTTAGAAGCTTCATGTAAAAATGCTTATAACTTTGTCAGAGTATCCTCAAGACCACCCCCAGATTCAGTGATTTGCTGGGAGTATTCACAAGGCCTGGGGTATAGTCGTGCTCATGAACTCACAGATAGGAGATATTACAGCAACAAATCATCAAAGGGAAAAGGCATATGGAACAAGGTTCAGCCACACAGGGCATATTCACTTCCCCGTGCAACAATGCGTGACGACGTGCATGAAATGTTGTCTACCAGGGAACCTCATTAGAGACTCAGGGCCCAGGGTTGTCACTGGGGGCTGGTCAGACCTGACACATACCAAAATTCCAGAGTCTTCAAAGGAAAATAGGTGTTCACCATAAACCATATTGTTTATACAAACAGTTTAGACAAAGTGAGCCACTCTTTTCAGGGTAGTGGGAACCCTCCCAAAATTCAAGTTCCCAGATGTGCCAGCCATGGGCCAACCTTACAAGCAGATTTGCTAAGGACAACATTCAGGCTGCTCTTTTCTGCATACTGACCAAATAGACACCAGGCCTGTATGATATCAAAATATACTTTTTAAAAAGTTCAAAAAATATGACTGTCTTTTAAGAGTAGAATGAACATTTGTCAATGACTTATTTAACCCACTAATGAGGGAACTTGCAAGGTGACAAATAGGGCTAAAAGATGATCAGGTACTGTAGTCCACCAGGAAAGGCAAAATGGAAATCCTTTTGCTAAGTTGGAGACAAAATTGAATAATTTAATAATTTTCTACATGGCAATACAAGTAGAATTTGGGGGAGTGTTTTTTTTTTCTAATGAATAGGAGTAATTTGCAACTTTACCAAACAAAAATGTGTACCTTAACACAGAGTTTGGGCCCTAATCAGCCATCATTAGCAAACAGACGAAGGTATATTGCCCTAGAGAATTAAATAGTCTTAAGGTAGACCTATTAGACAGTGCTCTAGTGTGGCTCTGAAAAGGACTGCAGTTATCTTTTCCTTTATTTCTGAGTTCTGGATAATTTCTCTTAACAAGGACCTCATACCATGGTATATGATGGCACTGAAATTTCATGTTTTTGCACAACCTAAGGAGACAAAGAGAAAACTCAAGTTTAAAAGAACAAGAGTTATTTAAAATAAAATCAGACAAGAAATCTGAAGTGAATACTCTTGCTTCTTAAGAAGTGAAATTCTCTCTGGTTTCAAAGAGGAGCATTTCTCTGTGAGGCAGAGAGGGTCTTTCAACTTACCCTTTAGGGCAGTGGGTAAGGACTCTGCCTTTCTTGCTTGCCCCAAAATTTAGAACATGAAATTTGACTTGAGGGAGAAAGGAGAAATTGGGAGACAGAAGGGGGCATAAAGAATCCACAGAAATATGCAGTATTCCTTGTGAGGAAAAAAGTCAAAATTCTATCAGGAAGGTTGAGCCTTGAAAAAGAAATTTGATTCTGGAATGTTGTATGACAGAACCAAGGTAATTGAGAGTCCGTTGTTTCCAGAGCCTAGAAGGTAGATAATTAAGGTGTTCAAACTATGACTTCAGCTACCAGGAAGTGTTGATCCAAGTGGTTTGTATATCTCTCTCTTTCTATGTAATTGCCTTATGTTATAGTTTTCCTCTCTAATGAGTCCATTTATGTACAACATGATGATCACATATGATAATGACTAGTAATAATTACTGCCAACACATTTACAGTGCTTAATAGTTCATATCGTTCCCTTGAATAATTAATTTTATTTAACTTCTCAAGACAACCAGAGAGGTGGGTAACATTGTAATCTCATTTTAATGAATAAAAGAACAGAGACCCTGAATTTGCCCACTGGAGGTGCTTAAAGCAGAATGCAAATCTAGGTCATCTGAGTTAAGATTCTATGCATGTGCAGTGTTCTCAATGAGACAGTGAGAGAGACCGTATGATGACTACTGTTAAGATTGTAAGGGGCTTCGTATTTCATGCTCAGAGGCTCAGACTTGATCCAGCAGGCCCTTGCAGGGATCCACTAAGCTGTGTTTCTCTATGGAACCCTGAAGAACATCAACATTTAAAGAGCAGATGGAAGCCCATGAAGAAAGCTTCATTCATTTCTACAAATTCACATGGATATAATCCACTTGCATATCAGAGCAGGTACCAAGACATTAGCAAAATTTTATCTAAGGTAGAAGGACTTTCTTAATATGCCAAATATTTTCCTCCACAGAACAACCATAAATTTGCCAACTTTTTTCAATATGGACCTGGTAGTAACTAGGAAAGCAAGTATTCACAGTATACTTGTTCAAATGATACATTTCTATTCTCCAGAATATAGATTTCTCCAGAATAGAGATATTATCTGAATTGTAATAACATTTATACCAATTCCACTGCAGCTGTAAAGTGCAAGACACTAAAATAGTGTTTAAAATAAACAATGTTAGAAATAAGCAATCCTTACCCTTGCAGTCTTAAATGTAGATTCCCTTCTCTAGTTCAGCTCAACTGACCAGTCCTAAAAGCTATGAGCATGGGGGTCTACATTCCCATTCCTTCGTCTCAGGCATTGCCTTTCAATCCCTATACAGTGATGTTGTCCCAGCTTCATGAGGGGGATTTGCACTGTTGCAAGTTAGGAAACCCTCCTGGGGAGAGAGACTAGGAAGAAGAAGAAAAAAAAAAGACCTATAAACTATTCAACTAAGAATTAGCTAGGCTATCATTTTCTTGTCTGCAAAATGGCAGAGAAGTCTAAGGTGTTTTCCAGTGTTACAGTTCCTGTCTGTACTTGGTTTGCTGAGAAATGATAACAAATAGTGATTCTGTGGCTTTTCCTGCAATTGTCTAGTCAAGGCCATAGGTACTGTAGCATACATTAGCAAGCATTAGAACATCTCTGATGCTTTTATGGAATCCAATTGACCAACTGATTTACAACTTTCTCTTTTTTTTAACAGAGAAAAATCTTTGCCGGAAATGCAGTGAAAACTGCAAGACATGTACTGAATTCCATAACTGTACAGAATGTAGGGATGGGTTAAGGTAAGAGAGTGAAGGATTTTATCAAGTAACACAGCCCAAAGAGCTTCTCAATGTAAATAAAATGAAAAAATGATAAACAAGTAAATAAACAGCTCTCTTATGATCTACCCTGGGTTTGACTCCCATTCAAGCACTTGATTGCTATTTGCATTATCTCTGCTATTATATGTGAAAAATGGGATGCTGTGTTGGCTAAAGAAGGGTTATATCCAAATAAATTCTCTTTAGAAAAGATGGCTCAGATAAAACTCAATAAAAATGGCCATTTGAGAGGCATTCTTTGTGCTTTTTAACCTGCATTGTGCCAGTCAAGGATTACTTTGCAGGTAATACCAATGAATTATATTTAATCCCCCGATTCATTCCTTGGATGGTCGGAAATTATTCCCTTATCTTTATTATTTCTCTCCACATAGCCAATCATTCTCTTATCTTAAGTATCTCAGGCTTGGTTCCATTATGCTATGGTATGCACATAGATTTAACACCAGGAGATGTTTTCCTTGAATGGATGACTTGCTCATTGCTAAAGCTCAATAGTTGGTCAACTCTCTAAGAGAACAATGTACAGCTCAAATTAACTAGGTAGCCTCTTGATCTCAGTAGGGAAGGTGAGACCATTCTGCATTTAGTGAAGAGTTGGACTGAGGCTGTACGTAGAATTAGAACTCTGCTGCACTGGATTTCTTTTAAGTATTGATCATATCTTTATTTCCACCTGTGATTGGAGGTAAACTAGGCAGGGTCCAGGCAGTTTCCAGGCAGGTACATTCTTCACCATTAACCAGTATTGGAGCATCATTTTCATTTAGATTAATTATCTATGGCTTCATTTCTTTTTCCCCCCATGAATGCATTCAGTATTAGCTTACTTGGCAATTTTCATCTCAAGACTTCAGTACTGAGAAAGAATTAGCCACCTAATTCTTCTTGGAGAAGGAGCAAAGCAGTATAATAGAAGGAAAGAAAGTAGATGTGGGCTCACATCCTCCTCTGCTATTTATTAACTGTGTGATTTGGGGCAAGTCACTTAACTACTCCGAGCCTTCATTTTCTCCTCTATAAAATGATGATAATAATAATCCCTGTTTTGCTGGATTATGATAAAGGTTAACTGTGATAACATTTACAAAATACCTATTCTACCATCTGGCACATACTTGGTTCATGAGAAATAAAAGATGATTTAAATTATTTTATTTCTTAGGGAACATTGTATAGAGTATGTTAAACCAGTGCATGCCGGTAGAAACATGAGAGCCATATATGTAATTTTAAATATGCCAGTAACCACATTAAGAGAAGTAAAAAGATACAGGGGAAATGAGTTTAATAAAATATTTTATTTCACCTAATATATCTAAAATATTATCATTTCAACAATATAAAAACTTATCAGATGTCTTTCATTCTTTTTCATTGTTGTACTGTCTTCAAAATCTGATATATATTTTACCCTTAGAACACATCTCAATTCAGACAAAATTGTTTTTATGAGAAATATTTGATCTTTATTTAGGTTTCACAGTTGAAAAAGAAAATTTTACATAGCCAAGTTGTTCCAAACGTACCCAAATTTTTGCCAGTAATGGAATCAAGTGCCAATTTTTCACATTTAGACTTAAATTAGTTAAAATTAAATTAAATAAAATGTAAAATTCTGTTTCTTAGCCATACTATAGCCACCTTTCGAGGTCTCAGTAGCCATGTGTGCCAGATTATGTTGTACAGCACAGGTCTAACCTGGCCAGTTTATCACAGAGAGAACAGAGGCGTTCACAATACCAAGTGCATTAGCCTCGCAGTACCTGTATTTTGGAAGCAGCAGAAAGCTTCAGGGTTGGTGACTGCTGTCTGTTACACGTCCCCCTTACCTCATTCCTTCTCCATACAGTGCAACCTCTGTGTCCTGCTGAACAGATGCCAACCTCACAAGGAAGTGCTGTCCTGTATTAGAAAAACTAGGCAGCTTTTTAACTTTGATAAGTGTTTCGGTGGTCCTTATTTCCTCTCAAATGGATCCATTTAAGGCAGTATCCTTTTTTCTAGTGCTACAGAAAGGGAAAGGGATTTTCTTTTGGCTTTTTAAATGACAGCGCTCTCTCTCTGGCCAGTGAGGAGATCTATGAATGAAGTCCACTTTCACTTATGCTGCCCTTAGTCTCCTTGAGGCCCCTTGCATTTTTCTAAGGGCTTCCAGGGTTGACCATTTTGCCTCAAGAGACTTGTAAATTTTTAAATAGTGGTGAAGAACAAACAGGGGAAAAAATATATCAGTGCACAAAATCCAGGAAGGAAATAAATTAAATGCTAATGGGGACTGTTCGGGTTTCTTTTTTCTTCAACTTTGTTTTTGTACTTTCCAAATTTTTTTAAGAGCATAGGGAAAAATAAATTTTAATTTTTTAAATTAGCATTATCCACATACAAAGCAGTCAATTAAGATGTCAATTTGGAGCAGTATAAAGAGTTTAAAACAATGGAAACCATTTAACCCTGTTTAGATACTGATCTTCTAGTTTCATTGATTTGGTAGCATAGGATTACATTTTCTCACTATGTTTCCAATCACACTAGTTATTCAGTGAATAATATTTTTTATATTAACTATTGTAATTTTTTTTTTTAAGAGACAGAGTCTTGCTCTGACAGCCAAGCTAGAGTGCAGTGGTGTGATCATAGCTCACTCAAACTCATGGGCTCAAGCAATCCTCTGGCCTCAGCCTCCCGAGTAGCTGGGACTGCAGGCAGGCACCACCATGCCTAGCAATTTTTTTTTAGCCTTTGTAGAGATGGCGTCTGACTGTGTTGCCCAGGCTAGTCTCAAACTCCTGGCTTCGAGTGATCCACCCACCTTGGCCTCCCGAAGTTCTGGGATTACAGGTGTGAGCCACCATGCCCAGCCAAATATAGTAAAAATTTTTTATTTGCTTTCAATTTTAAGAATTAGCCTGTAGACTGTGAAAAATATGATAGCTGACAGAAATTAGAAGGGAGAGAAAAATATGCATTTCTCATTTGACATTCTGACAACTCATTAAATACTATCTCATATTGCTAGGTAAATAGAAATTTAAATAGGTTATTTAATATAGTTTAGATAACTCCCAGAAACACTAAATAATAATATAACAACAAAGAAAAGTCAAGATGATTGGGGAAATAGCAGTACAGTTAGTTTTGATAAATTTTTCATTAGAGTGTTTAAAATGAATAAATCAAGAAATAGAGGCAAAAGTATTTTAAATCTTGTTGTTTTGATGAGAACCTATAGAAGACTAAAATCAGAAACACTTAAAATCAGAATGGCTACTCCGGAGAATTTGAGCTGTGGGTTGGACAGGATGGTCGTACACTTTTACTCAGTCATAATTCATTGTACCATGTGTTCCTACTGCATTTATAATCATGAAATAACTGTTGAATTTATTATGTAGTAAGTCTGGATATTAAGAAATTGTTGGGCTTATTGCTAGACAATGTGATTGTTTTGTCAATCAAATACTTTTTAAAACCTCTGGGTTGTAAGATGTTGCGCAAAGTAGGAGTGTGCCCATCAGTCTAACAAATTAAGGAGGCTGTCCCCGAAGCCTAGCAGCGTGTGTGTATGCTACAGATATCATTGTAGGCACAGAGAAGCATTATAAGCATTGAGAGGAGAAAAAAAAGGGTACACGGGCTATTTCCCCGGCTTTGAAGCTTTGCCAAATCCACTGGCCTCTGAGGGAAACTGTATCTGTTACATATGGAGTTTGGGGAGTCATTACGTTTTGGCCTCATCACAACAGTCTGTTTGAAGCTCCCTTTATACTTCTTCCAGCCTGCAGGGATCCCGGTGCTCTGTCTCCTGTGAAGATGGACGGTATTTCAACGGCCAGGACTGCCAGCCCTGCCACCGCTTCTGCGCCACTTGTGCTGGTACCTTCCCTAGTTCTTTTGTTTATTCTCCCGGTTCTGGTTTTGCTTTTCTTTCTGGTTTGGGCCATCACTCATGCAACCCACTTGATACTTTTAAAGTAATGCTGGAAAAGTTTATTTCTCGTTTGATAATTGTGTGTGTATTCTCATTGAAAGTCAAGCAGTCATCAGCATCCTATCCTCATTGAGAAACTTACATAGCCCAGTGATAGCTCCTCTTTCAAAAGACAGTGAATGTTTTTGTCAAGAGGTTCCATTTTAACTTTGAAGGCTTTTTTCCCAGGGAAATCAAGAAAAAGCATGAATATTAAATTATTATTCTTTGACGCCATTTTCTCAAACTGTTAAAGAAGAAGCCCATGACACCACCTCCTCTGAGGTTTTATTTCTCGTTTCCTGTGTTTGTCTTGCTTTTAAGGGGCAGGAGCTGATGGGTGCATTAACTGCACAGAGGGCTACTTCATGGAGGATGGGAGATGCGTGCAGAGCTGTAGTATCAGCTATTACTTTGACCACTCTTCAGAGAATGGATACAAATCCTGCAAAAAGTAAGTGGATCTGCCCCCTGGGCCCTAGCATTTAGACCTAAGTTCTTTTGATGACTATCTTCATAAGAAAATAAGAAAACTTAGAATTTGTAATGATAACACTAGGTTTAAACATGTACCTGTGGACACTGTTCTGAAGCTTTCACCCAGCTTATCATTGATATTTTTATTCCTTTGCCTCAGGGGCACCTTAAAACCTTTAATATTTCAATTTCAAGTACATGCTCCATACCCTTTAAAATCACAGTGTCTACCTGTGTCACCTAACCTAGCAATTGTTGTGAGGAAAGATTTTTGAGTAATCTTCAGAGGGATAATTAAATGTAAGACATTATGAGGTTGCTAGTAAACACACCTTCCCCTGTGCATGTGTGAATGGATTAAAAAATTGTACATTTTTCTCATAGATGTGATATCAGTTGTTTGACGTGCAATGGCCCAGGATTCAAGAACTGTACAAGCTGCCCTAGTGGGTATCTCTTAGACTTAGGAATGTGTCAAATGGGAGCCATTTGCAAGGATGGTGAGTACAACTGCCCATATCGATCTTATGAAGCAAAGTATGATCTTTCTACTTTCAGGACTAATATTTTTCCACTTAAAAAAGAAACTCACAGCATGCATCAGATATGACATGCTCAATATTTTGGTGGCATTCATTCATCTTGAACTTATGCCCTTAATGGATTTGTTTGAATTGCAAAAAGAAATAAATCAGCTACAGTGGCACTGGCCAATATGGCTCAAGTTAATTTTTTTAATTAATAAACTTTATTTTTTGAGAGCAGTTTTAGATTCATAAGCAAAATTGAGCAGAAAGTTCAGAAATTTCCCATATACCCCGTTTTCCCCACACAGGCATAGCTTCCCCCACTATCAACATCAAGCACTAGAGGAATACATTTGTTACAGTTGATAAACCTACAGTGACACATCATTATCACCCAAAGTCCACAATTTACATTAGGGCTCACTCTTGGTTATATATTCTGTGGGTTTGGACAAATGTATAACAACATGTATGCAACATTATAGCGCCATGCAAAGTAGTTTTACTGCCCTGAAACTCCTCTGTGAATTACCTACTCATCTCTCCCACCCACTACTGATTTTTTTTTTTTTTTTACAGTCTCCATAGATTTGCCTTTTCCAGAATCTGTATAATTGGAATTATACAATATGTAGCCTTTTCTAGCTAATTATTGTTGTATTTCTTTCCAGTTTTCACCATATTAAAAATACCATGCACATAGAGTTTTGTATCTTGCTTTTTGCACTAAGGATTAGGCATAAACATTATCCTATGTTTTTACAAAGTTTTAGGAAACTTTATTTTTAATAGCAGCATAAAATTCAATCATGTGAAGATTCTATAGTTTTTAGCCAATCTCCTATTATTTGGATTGTTTATAATTTTGATGTATAAACAGTAATTAAATGGGTATCTGAATCTTTCATTAAGCCTGTGAGGCTAGGAAGTAATATTTTCATCTTACAGAAGGGAAAACCCAAGGTGTAGAGCTAGGAAATGATAGACCTAAGTATAGAACTTAATATTTCAAAATGTTGGTCTGTTCTTTGCACCAATGATTCTGAACCAGGATGCAGCACCATCCCCAAATATTCTGATTGAATTGATCTGGGGTGCAGCCCATGATCATAGGTTTAACTTCCCAAGTGTTTCTAATCTGCAGCCAGGTTTGAGAACCACTGCACATCCAATTCTCCCTAACAATTTAGCTAATACCAAGTTTCCTCACCTCTCTAGCCTCAGTTTCCCCATCTGTAAAAATGAATGAATTTAAATTATTCCAACTCCAACATTTTGTGAACTTTTTTGACTCTTGAAATAACTTACGCTGAAGCGACCTAAAATTTACTCCTAAATTTATGCAGATATTACATGCCAATGATGTAGAAATTGTTTAAACTATTTGTTTAAACTATTGTTGTTCAAAACATCTTTGGATTGTTATAAAAATAGAAAACAAACAAAAAATATGCAGTTGGAACAATCTGACTGACATGATCGCTGCCCTAGGTTTATTCTTTCCCTTCTTTTGAATGTTTCCCCTTCTGGAAATTTCATGAAAGGAAAAACAGTACCATTGTCAGGAGAATGTGGACTTGGAAGTCAGAATGCTGTCATTCATACCTGGTCTCCAGGCCTTGGGCAGGTTATGAACTTCTCTGGGCCTCATTTCCACCATCTGTAAAAAATGAAGAAGATAATACTACTGACCTCATCTGGTTATTCCACAACTCCCTACAAAGAATCTCAAAAAGGTGTCAGAAAGAACGGGGCACATGATTGATAGCACTGATAGGACATCATTTGTGGTCTTATTTCTTTGGAGCATCGTAGGTGACTTTGCATCTCCATGGTTTTTCCAGTATGTGATTGGTCTGGCAGGCATGGGCCCGACACAGTCAGTTCCTGTGTTCTGAGGTTTTCTCGCCAGGGCTGATTCTACTATAGCACACTGGGGTGATAAAGGCTTGGGGTGGTGGCACCCCAGGGGCCACGTAAGTATCATTTTTTAGTTACCAGCAAGTGCCTCCTTTACTTTACTTAAAAACATGGCTCCCCTATTTCTGAATATGACCAGAATTTTTGGTAGGTTAGTAACAGAAAATTGAGGAAGATGAAAGTGAGACCAGCCTGAGCAACATGGTGAAACCCCATCTCTACTAAAAATACAAATATTGGCCAGGCATGGTAGCACGTACCTGTAATCCCAGCTACTTGGGTAGCTGAAGCATGAGAATCACTTGAACCCTGGAGGTGGAGGTTGCAGAGAGCAGAGATCGTGTCCAGCCTAGGCAACAGAGCAAGACTGTCTCAAAAAAAAAAAAAAAAAAAAGAAGTGATGATCGATGCAGGAAATCCATTGTAACAACTTGAAATGTTCACCAACAGTACTTGGTACCAGGCATTTCAAGAGTTGTAATGCTTTAACTACTTTCCCTAAACCATGGTGAGCACTGGATAAGTTATGTCAAATGGCACTTTGCTAAAAGCGGAGTGTCAGGCTTGTGGGCTGAAGTGGGAAAAGAAGAATCATATCTGCAGTGAGCCCATTTTCAGGTCAGTTACAAAATGAGAATATTGATGGCTCACCAGGCTTTTGAAATCACATGGCAGCTGCACTTAAGGATGTGTTATTTATTCTCTTTCAACTGTCATATTTCTGTGATTCTAAGACATATATTTTTTACATTTTATCATCTCGGAAATCAGATGCATCTTATAATTTGTGGCAGTTTACAACTGCTTTTGACCAGAAAACTGATGTGATATCAGTGTTACTGCCCAGATATGAGAGTTGGATGCAGAGACATCTGTTCAACCGAGTTAGGCACATGACTACTTCTTCTTGTGTTGAATTTAATTCTTCTTCTTGTGTTGAATTTAATTGCCGTTCTAAAGAGGTTTGAAAATTAAACTATTGTTCAATATTCGAAGGAAAGATTCTTGCATAAGCATGGAAACAAAACAGAATGTTACATAAGTATAACAAATACTTTTAATAAGTCTAAAATTAAAATTCTAATTGATAAGACAATATTGTGTCACAGTTTAATATGAAGCATCTTTTCCTTTGTGTTACTTAAAATGATGGTGCATCTTAAATCTTGTGTCTTAGATTCAATGAAATATGGTATAAATGACTGTATACTCTCTGCTCTAGGTATCTCAAAGAAGACAAATTTCTTGCTTGTGTTATTAATTGATTTCTAATTTATTCTTTTTCTAATCTTTTTTTTTTTTCACAAATGGATACCAATTACATTTACCATTGGACTGCAATGTCTCTCCTCTCCTTGAAAAACAATGCGGTTGACTGAAATCACTTTGGGTGGACCAAATTTCCTCCTGTTGACTACTCCTGAATGATCTCTTCCAATTCCCCAAATCTGCCTCTCTGGCCAATCACAACCTTCTTCCATGTGTGTACATCATGCTGCTCTCGTCTTCAACTCCCCTTCTCTCTTGCTGACTTCTGGAAAAGCAACGGAAGAGTCCTGGGCGGAAGGAGGCTTCTGTATGCTTGTGAAAAAGAACAATCTGTGCCAACGGAAGGTTCTTCAACAACTTTGCTGCAAAACATGTACATTTCAAGGCTGAGCAGCCATCTTAGATTTCTTTGTTCCTGTAGACTTATAGATTATTCCATATTATTAAAAAGAAAAAAGCCAAAAAGAAAAAAAAAAAAAGCAAGCCACCTCTCTCTTTCTTTTCTTGCTCTCTTTTTCTTTCTCTCTCTCTCAAGTTTGTGCAGGGAGATGGTGAACTGTTTTGTCAGAACTTAAATGGAAAAAAAAATAAAACTACAACAAGCCTACCTTTTATAACTGGGTGTTTAGTGCTAAACAGCCAGAACCACAGAGACAGTATTGTATGACCAAAGCATTTGATGCCAAAATTTGACGTTAAAGTAATGATTTGATTTCCTGCCCTGGTTTTGAAGGTCCATTTTTTTCCCTTTTGCATTGACTTGCTTGTTTCCCCTTTGAAACACCTAAAAATACCTTTCCAAAACATCGCGAGAGCATACATAGACAAAAATGAAATAGAAAGCTCTTGCATGCTTGAGTCCACCATTGGGGGAAATGACAGAAAACTGGACCTGAGGGCATTAGGAACATCCTACAGAGTTGTGTTTAGTGTCGTTTGCCATGGTATTTCACAGTGAAACATGGATACTCTCCACACATCATTTACTTCATGCTGTGTACTTATGTACTGGTTTTTGCATTTTACTCACTTGATAAGTCTGCTCCACTGGTTTCATCAGATAGACTTGCTGCTACTGGCTTTTCCATTGTAGATTGGGTTATTTTACACGCAGTTCGCCAAATGGGATTGCTCTGTATAGTCAAATTGGTGATGGACAGATGGACAGAATGCAGAGGTACATAGATGAGCTGAGGCTGATCCAGCTCCCCTGAAATTCAGAGTGTTAACTTTGTAGACCCTGCACAATCTCTTGGTGCTATCTAGCCATTACCCCCATTTTTTTTTTAAAGGCCATCTGAAATTCCATTTGTCATGGTGGGAAGCATTTTGGATATGATGCAGGAAATCTCTTCCTGGAGTCAAAAGTTCCCAAGAGGTCCTGTATTTTTAAGAAATGGAATTTATTTAAATAATATTTAAGCTTGTGCCCATGTTGGCCGGGCAACTTTTTTCAATGGTGCTTATTAGAAGAAGTTTTTTCATCTTGTCATTTTAAGAAAATAAAACTGGAAATTGAATATGGGTGGCATGATTGTACCCTTTTAGTTCTCTTATTTTTCTACTCCTCTGTCCCTCTATAACTATGCCATACTATTATATGCTGGTCCACTGAATGCTGAGATGATCTGTTTTTTGGGGTTTTTTTTTTTTAAGAAATATTTTCACTGGTTTTCTGTGACTCTCTAAACACTTCATCGAAACTAGAAGACTGAATTATGAGGAAACTATTTGGATTAGTGGCCAGAAACGATGAAATCTTATAGATCTTTTGACAGTTTCTCTGTTTAGGGGAGCCTAGACTGATATCAAGTTTCTTCATATCAAAGCTTCATTGGTGACCTCATTTGCTTTACAAGTGACCAGCCATCTTGCAGGCTTCATGCTTCTGAGAGCCTTACTTAGAAGATGCTGCTGGAGTCACAGCTGAGGAGAGGAATACTATCAACATGGACTATCCTGGGAAAGAGCTAGGAAGTAGATGCTGAGGTCCCCATCCAAACAGCAAGCTAGGAAAAAGCCTGCCTTGAAAATATTTCTAGACATCAAAGATAACTTACAACCCAAAGTGAATAATAAGTAAATAGTCTGATGACCCTCTTAATAGCATTGCAATTGTATTGAATCACATAATGATTCATAAGTAACTAGGGAACCAACTGATTTTGCTAAGCAGTCTTCCCCTTATAACACCACAGGCCCTTCTGACACACAAAAAAATGAAAGTTAATCCTGGGTACAGCATACAGTTTTACATTTAAACGCACAGTCTTACGTGGACAAATGCAAGCACAAGCCTAAAGCAAGGTCAAGCAGATGGCAAAACCGAATTTGCCTGCAAAGAAATCTATTTAACTGAATCAGCCCATAATATTTGAGGCACGAGGTTACTGTGATTGATAGGAAAGATAAAAATGATGTCTGTTTTTGTAGACGAATAACCATCAACATGACAACAAAATTCATTGGGGTCTACCAGCGTGCATTCCATTTCCCACTGACCATGCAGGTGCACGTCGCGGAAATACTGGTTTAACTACTAGTGTGTTACTGCCTCATTTATCTACATAACATTATTAACTAGAACATAATGCTTTCAAAGTTTAAGTTAATGTTATATATTATGTATAAATATATATATTCATAATGAGATATATGTAATGGATAGTACAAAGTTTGGAGACTCAACAAATGCTCTAACCTTCTAGAGACAAAAGTCCTATTTCTGTTTTCTTTTGTCTTTTTATTTTCAATTAGTGACCCATTGTTAAATCCAAATCCACTTTTACTGAAAAATACTGTACATGTGTAAAATGTTCAGTTGTTTTTTTGTAAAATATAGTAGAACGGTTGTAACTGATACTGGCCAAAATCAATGTTATTCCATATTTTATTTTTTCTATTAAATTAACCTAAGTTCCTGTTTATTTGATCTGTTCATACCCACGTATAAACTTCTCTGAAAGGGTAAGGTCATGAGAAACTTCCCTGTTTCTACATAGAAGCTGAATATGAAGGAAAGGGTGGAGGTGCATGAAACATCTAAATAAAGTTGGAAAAGAAAGAGTGAGCAGAGGAGGGAATTGAGAAGGAGTGAGAAACAGCAATGTAAGAAAGGAATGGGTTAGATTTGGTCATGAATATATATTAAATACCATCTTTAGAAAGCAAGGCTGTGAAAAAAAATCCATAAAGGCTTGGTATTGTTTCTATCAGATTGTACAGACGCTGGACCCCAGAACAGGGCCCACCTGGTCCCATTCTTCCTGTAGTGCGCAGCACACCCACTAGTATGTGTCTGTAGGGTTAGGAGCCATGGCTGGGGGCAAGGAGGTAGGCAGTGTAAAAGCTGTTAAAGAGGAAGGTGGCTTTGTTCAATTTGCTGACATCTTGCGTAAAGTCGGCATTGGCTGGATGTCTAGAAGATGATTTTTGTCTAAAATAAATCTCCGGTACATACCAGGGGGTGGGACTGAACGAGCTAGCTAAAAACAGCAGTGGAGTATAGATCTTTCTGAACCGTGCCTGAGATGCAATTACTAGTCTTAAAGGTTCAGTGCTCTGCCTTTTGGGGAAAAGAAATTGTAAACCAGCCAAAGCCACAAACAAATTGAGCTCCAACTAGGTTTAAAGATCTGGAGATAACAACCAGGTATGAGAAAGAGCCTCTACTGCTTTGAAGTCCCATTATAGGGATGGAGAGAAATTAATTTTATTGATCACTTACTATGTACTACACAATGTGAGAATATAGAGTAGGTATATACACACTGATGTGGATATGTTCTCTCTCAATTTTCAGAAGGACTCCTCTAGAGGTGAATGTATTATCCTCCATTTACACATGAGAAAACTGGGCCACATAGACTTGAAACAAATTGATTGAGATTCCATATCCAGATTCATAATAATAATACAATTTAACATTAAGACAATTAACAGCAAGTAGTACATGCCAAATCTCAAATGAGTGGTACACTGAGTTGTTAAGTTCAGAACAGGCAGAGATTCCTTTGAATTGGACTGGTCAGTTCCCTAAAGCAGGTAGAGCTAGAATTGGTCCCTGAAGCATGGATGAGTCTTACCTGGGAAGACAGGAAGAGAGCGGGAAGAACATTACCAATGAACTTGCTCCAGTTACCAGTGAACTTGCTGCATACAAGGTGCTTAGGGAAGTAAGATGTTCTCATGGTTTTAATCTAATTATCTATTGCTACAAAGAACAGTGATTCAAAATTTGGTGGTTTAGTCCAGAAAAATCTACATTTGTACACCTTGTAGAAGAAGGATAGTGTGTCCATTCTGAATCCCCACATCCATGGGAGACTGCTAATTATCACTCACTTTCCACTCCAGTTATCAGAGGCTTGTCACACTGCTGATCTCTTCTACCAGATTCATTATTTTCCGCTGAATAAGCTACCCTTCATTTTTAAAGAACTTACAAACTGAGTACTTGGTAAAGAAGGGGAAGTGATTGCTATAGTAACTACTAAAGTTTCTCAATCAAAGTGATCAATACTTGCAACATATCTGAGTATGGAAATAAATACATAACATCTTATCCCCCTCATGTAAAAAGAATGTCATGCCGCTAAAATATAAAATAGACATTCATTCTTAACAGCTTCCATATTATCATTCAGCCTTGCACAGAGAGAGCAATGGCAGACGGCAATGTGTTGAACAGAAATTGCATATTGGAGGCAATTTTAAACTATGGCTCAGCCAATTTAATACCCCCCCTCCTTCTGTCCCCAACCACAAGATGGTAGAGGTGGAACAGAGGACAGCTGCAGTGTGACCTCACCCAGCCCAGGGCCCTGCGCCCAATATGTGTAGAAGACGGCACAGATCTTCTTCTCTTCTCTGGTGAACATCCCTTTCTAAATGTTATGTTTGTTGCAGACTCATGAAATCTGAAGTTTTCACACAGAATACTTTAGAGCCTTTGACATATTTAGCAGGGCATAGCCAAGGTGGACTTAATTTCACTGTAGCTCATTAGAACTACTTGGCACCTAGAAATGGGGCTAATCTGTATAATCCTGTCTCCTCTTCATCACTAGAGGTGAAGATCAGGTCCAGATTCAGTTATTGAGCAATAAAGATGCAGTTATGCAGCCTCACTACGTTTCAGCGGACCAGAATGTGACCTGGGATGGCCAGCACTCCTTCCCGTTCTCTACCTCCAAGGGACTTACAAGGACAGTTTGACTGGCTTATTACCAAAGGACTTTCTTACAAGGTCTCTTCTCTAAAGGACCATTGTTGGATCCAGTTGTGGTTTTTTTAGGGCCAGGTGTCAGGCAACAAAAGATATTTTGTATCCCACTTTCTAGAAAATTCCAGAAACGTTCCCTGAGGCTTGAGTTGTAAGATCTTTTACTTTTTTCATTTTAGAAAACAGTACATTATTTTAAAAATACAGTGTTTTAAGCTTCACAGAGTTTTACTAAAATGGATTTATTTAATTTGGCCCACACAAAAATCAGGCCGATAGACATTCATTTTCTGATGCAAGAGGCACAGCTAGTTAAGGGGTGTGGCTGGGACTCAAGCCCACAGCTTCAACATTCTGTACAACACTGATTCCTTTTTAAGAGTGCTGGAGAAAAGCAAGTCCACATCACATATGTTGCAAGGCAAGGGGGTAAGAGCCTTTTCTCAAGTGAAGATAGAAAGCACACTGTGTGCCTGGGCTTGACTTTTTCTCATTCCAAAAGAGTTGCTTCCATAAATAAATATTATTGAGTCCCCGCCACAAACTAGGTTCTGAGTGTTCTCTTGCCCTCTTCAAACTTATAGTCTAATGAGGGAAACAGACACTTAGACATAAAACACATGGTTACAATGTGAATCCGTTTAAGTGCCTTTAAAGGGTATAAAATATTGTCAGGAGTCAAAGGAGCAAGCTCACTTCACTAATCACGTGCTAAGGTTCCATGCCCTTGCACTACAAGCTTCCCAAGGACTTCCAAAAATAGCATGAAACCTTAAAAATGGAGTTGACTCTAAAATGTACAAATAAAACTGCAAAGATCAAAATCAAATGATATCTTTATTAAATATCTACAAAGTGGATCATGTCAAACTAGTCCACTGCAACTAAGAAAGTATACTTACAGCCATTGTCACTTGACAGCAGGGATATGTCTGAGAAACGCATCCTTAGGTGATTTTGTCATCATGCAAACATCATAGAACACACTTACACAAACCTAGATGGCATAGCCTACCACCCACCTAAGCTGTATGGGATGGCTTATTGCTTCTAGGCCACAAAGCTGTACAGCATGTTACCGTACTGAATACTGCATGCAGTTGTAACAAAATGGTAAGTATTTGTGTGTCTAAACATAGAAAAGGTATGGTAAATATATGGTATAATCTTATGGGACCACTGTCATATATACAGTCTGTTATTGACCAAAACGTCATTATATGGTACATGACTATAATTAATGTTAATGTAGAATAAAGGTGAATTTTAATATGCTTGATATGATGTGAGACCTGCAGAGATTGGAGAATCTAGGATCTTGAGAATCTTCATAGCCCTGCAAAGGAGGGAGGAAGTCACTATTCACCCTCTAGGGAACAGAAAAGAGGAGAGAGAGATATGTCCTATCCTTGGTGGTGGTCAGGGAGGTCACTGGGGTGGGGCGTGGAAGGGCAGCGTACGGGACTGCAATATGTGGATGTCTTCCTGGATATCATCCTCACTTCTTCCCTGTGCCTTCTACACTCTCTCCAAGGAGATCTTTGTCAATCTCATGGTTTTAAATACCATCTATATGCTGATGACTCTTAAAATATATATAGATTCCTGATCTCTTCCCTCAAGATTCACACCTGTAGATTCAATTAACTACTTGACATTTCCCTTCAGCTGTCTAATAGGCATCTCAAAATTAACACGTCCAAAATAGACTTCAGACACCCCAACCCCCTGACCATCTTTACCACCAAATCTCTCCCACCTCAGTAAATGGCATTCACTGTATTTCCAAATATATCTCTAAATGGTCTACTTCTGCCCACTCCATAGCTGTGACTGTGGCCAAACCACCATTGTTGCCATCCCAGACTGCTGCAACAGCCTCCGAACCAGCTCCCAGACTTCTCCCTCTCCTCTCCTATTTTCTCTCCTTTCCCTAATCAGTTCCCTACACAGCATAGTGCCATTACAAATGGAAAATCAGATTTCATCTCTGTTTACTGAGCATAAAATCTGAACTCCTTACCTGAGATCTTTGTGCTGTCACCTCACACCACCATCCCCCATGCCCTCACATGTTCTAGTCATGCCAACTTTCTTTTCATCCTTCAAACAAAACCAGCTTGTTTGGGACCCAGGACCCTTGCCCTTCACATGGCTGGCTTCTTCTCATCCCACAGGTCTCAGTTCAAAAATAACTTCCTCTGAGCAGTTCCTTCCACCACTGACCCCACACCTGCCCACCTCGTTTTGACTTTCCATAGCACTCACCACATGACATTTTATGGTTCGTTACTTGTTGTCAGCCAGCCCCGTGAGAGCTGGTGCTTCATCTGTCTTGTTCACAGCTGTATCTTACATGTCCAGCACATGCCTTGCTTAAGAAATATTTGTGGAATGAATGAATAAGAAAACATCCGAGAGAAGTGACATTTGACCTGGGCCTTGAAGGATAAGCAAGAAATTAAAAATCAAAGAAGGTTATGATGTTTAAGAAGGATATTCGAGAGAGAGAACCTGAGCAAAGGCACAAAGCCATTGAAAGGGTCCTGTGGACGGCGATCACTTGGAGGCCCAGGCAGGGGATGAGCAGGGCAGGCAGCTTGGGAGAAAGGATGGAGAGATGAGTGGGGTCAACCGGTAAAGAACCTTCGCTGGACTGTTTCCCTTCCTCCACCCTCTTGTCATCAATGTCATCAACCCTCTTTTCAGAGAGGCTAATTGATTTGCCCAAGGACCCCATCAAGTCAACTCTTGGCCTCCTGCCAACATATTTGAGAAGCATTCACTCAGACAGAATGCTGAGGCGGCCAGATTTGCTCAGTCCCCAGGCACTGATGGCTGTATTGAGCCAGTTGAACGAAAGAACAGGGTGCAAGCTCACATGAGAGGCAGCAGCCCACAGCTTCTGTTCACTGTGATGTCCACAGTCAGAGCAACAATTTGGCAAGGCCTGTTTGCAAAACTGGACTTGGGACCATAAGCCTGCTCAGTACCATCTTTTTCTCCTAAGAGAAGATCCCCTAGCCCTCTAAACTGTCATCACCAGAGAAGAACAAAAGGAAAAAACATGATGTGCTAGCACTTCCCTTCCCTAACAATGAAAACAGTAACCCCCATATGCGGAGTACTTCCTATATGCTGAGCTAAAGGCTTCATATGGGTTATTTAATTCAGTACTTCCAATAGCCTGATTCTATCTCCATTTTACAAATAAGGAAACAGATGAGGTAAATGCCTAAGGTACTCCAGTGGTAGATAGAAGGTCTGGGATTAATTTAAACCCAGACAATCTGATATCAGAGCACCCACAAGGAGAAATACAAGAGCCAAGGAGGATTCCATCAAAACAAGCTTCACGCTATGATTGTGGAGTGTGCGACGGGTTTCTATATTTTAGCTGGTGCTGTCAGGTCCCAGGTGCATGTTATTAATGTCCACCCAGGAGTACACACTGTGGCTACATCATGCTTTGTGTGAACAAGGCAGGAGTCAATATTTGATCATTAAAGTTAGTAACAACCAATGGGCCATATGGACAAAATCAAAATGGACCTAAGGTAAATGAGGCAGTGGCTGTTACAAAGAAATGGGGATATGATGACATGACACTTCCTTTCATAATTTCTTTGTAAAGAGGCTATTGTTTGCATTCTCTAGCCCAAGTTGAAATGAAGAAGAAATAAAATGGAGTTATTGGGAACATTAGAAGAAACATTAGCATGCTGAAAGTTAATACAAATACTTAATACAAATTCTGTGAGCTCCTTTGACAAATCTGGTGAAACAAATTCTTTCCAGGTGATATTAAACAGGATTTCTTGCCACCGAAATCACAATGGTTGCAATATAATAAAAGCTAAACTATGAAAAAAGTAAGGCTTTTTATTATATATAGGAATATAATGTTTAATTGTTCTATGTTATCAGAAGAGCCACAAATATGGCAGAAACCGGAAGTCATCTTGAACATCTCCTTCGTCACTCCCACATCAGATCCAACACCAAGTCAAGACAGTTCTACCTCCCAAATCTCCCAGATCCACTTTCTGTTCTTCATCTCTTCTGCCCCTATCCTAGTCTAACACTTTGGATCAAGCTACTTCTCACCTGGGATATTGCAGTATCTCCTCATTAGCCTCCCTGAACACACCCCATCTGTCCACAGTCATGTGTCTTCATCTTCATCTCCTATTCCATTTTCCACAACAGCCAGAATGCTCTTTTTAAAAATTCAAAGCTCAGCATGAGACTCCACTCCCCTGTGACTTCCCAGTTCCCTAGGATAAAACTGAAATTCCTTTCCACGGCCTTGAAGGCCAGGGTCAATCTGACCCACCTCTCCTCTCTAAACTTAGCTCACAACATTCTCTTCTTCCCCAAGTATTTTCCTGCCACATTTACTTTCCCTGATTCTTCCATTCTGCCCTGCACCCTAGAACACCCCCACACATCACTCCCCCTCCTTTAATGTTATCTCACCCGAATCATCTATCGTCTGGGCCTCAGTTTAAATGTCACCTCTTTGATTCCTGATCCTTAACAGAGAAGGTTAGATCTCCTTAGTGTAAGCTTTCTAGGAAGCCTCTACATTTCTTTTATATTAATTTTATGATAAATATCTAGTTACTTGTAGGAATATTTGTCTAATATATGTAATTCTCACTACATAGTTTGTTTGATGGGGGCAAAGTCTGTAAATGCCTTATATGTCGTGAACCTGGTAAAATATCTTGTAGAGAAGGTGCTTGATAACTGTTATGGATAGTTGAAAAAAATGAATGAATGAATAATTAAATGAAAAATTGAGCAAATGACAGGAAAGGAATAGCTCTGATCCAATACTTGGACAACTAAGTTCTAGCGTGAATTCTGTAAAACTTCAGCATAGCTCTCTATGTGTCTACACCTCAGTTTCCCCTTCTTCAGCATCATCCCTGTGAACCTTCCAGCTATTCTGTTCCATGTAAAGAGAAAATAGCAGGAGACTTCACAGAGTTTCCATCACTGGTCCTAAAACACATGCAAAACCATTGGCACAAACTCATTAAAGCCAATGCTTTAGGACCCTGCCACTAAAAGTGTGGACCAGCAGCAGCAATAAGCGGCCAGGAATTGTCTAGTGTGACAGCAGATTTCTAAACTTGCATTCTCATTCCCTGGGTACTCACTGTTGACAAGGGACTTTGCAGGAGAAATTAAAGGTTAATATCAAATGAACTTAAAATAGAGAGATCAGCCTGAATTGTCCAGATGGGCCCAAGGTAGAGGCAATCAGAGAGGTGTGGTAGAAGAAGGCAAAACAAGCAGAAGGCAGAAGGGGAAGTTAGAGAGATTCAAAGTGTGAGATGGACTTGGCCCACAGCCGAGGAACTTGCAACAGACCCAGGCTCAGAGCCTCCAGAAAGAATGCAGCCTGATAACACCTTGATTTCAATCTTGTAAAACTCAGAGCAGAGAACCAGCTGAGCCGCACCGTACCCAGCTGTCTTACCTACAGAACTGTGAGTTAGTGAAGGGGTGCTTTTTTAAGCTACAAAGTTTATAGTAACTTGTGATGGCAGCAGTGGAAACTAGCACAATGAGAACACACCTGCTCAATCACAATATGTCCTTTTGCCAGATCCCAAGTTGATCTTTTCAAGACATGGTTCAATGTCATAGTTACTATCACAGAATCTGAAGGGAGGCTGCCTGGGTTCAAATCCTGGCTCTGTCATTTACTAGCTGTGTGATCTTAGGGAACACATTTAACTTCTCTGTGCCCCTGCTTCCCCATTTGGATGATGGTAATCCTACCTCTCTTCCAGGAACATTTTGAGGATTAAATGACAACCCATAAAAGTACTTAGGACAGTGCCTATATGTATTAGGCAAAAACATGTTGGTTACTAATATTACTTAAACCAGAATTTTTTATTCATTGTTGATCCCTCTGCCTCCACTAATATCCAATCCATCACCCAGCTAGTTAATTTACCTCTTGAGTTTCTCTTGAATCTGTCCTCTTCCCTCTATCCCCACCATGACCGTCCTAGGTTGGCTATCATCATCACTTCCCAGAAGCACTCTGTGAATCTTCTCTAGTTCCGCAAAGAAGCTAAAGTGACTTTTCAAAATGCAAATCTAATCACAATGCTCTCCTGCTAAAACCTGTGGCTACTGGGGTAAATACAGGATCCATTAACATGTCCTGCGAAGTCTGATACCCCTACACCCATCTCAATTTCATTTTTCTTTCTTTTTCTTTCTTTCTTCTCTCTTCCCTCTCCTCTCTTCTCCTCTCTTCTCTCTCTCTTTCTCTCCTCTACTCTCTCCCCCCTTCTCTGGCCTTCCTTTAGCCTGTCCCGGTGGCCAAGCCTCCCCGCACTGGACCCTTTGCAGACATGGTTCCCTAAGGCTAGAGTGCTGGAATCACAGGTCCACAATTGTGTTTGTTCTTATTTGTTGGATGTCTGAGTCCCACTCCAGACTCTAAGCATGAGGGCAGGAGTGCATTTGCTTTTTCTCATCGTTGCATACCCCATAATTAGCACAGTTGCTGGCACAAATACTAGCTCAGTAAACAGTTTTTTAATGAACAAATGAATGAATAAAAATACCGTGGCACAGTTGAAGAGGCAGGACAAATAAGATGTTGGTGCTTCTTTTGGTTTGACTCCTACTTGGGGGCAGGGAGGGCAAGAATTAAATTATGTCAGATGGAAAACATAAATTCACTGGCTGGATCACTGTTGAGTTACTGCAACCTTTGTGAGTGTGTCACAGACTATGTTGGAAGTAGCTGAGCACAGGAGGAGAAATCAGAAATTGGTTCAGCAAAGGGGTCATCTCAAAATATGCTACAAGTCTAAGGGGTTATATAACTACCAAAAGCTGAAAAATTGTCTTTCCACACTCTCACCATATCTGTCATTTCTTTAGGTTTGCTGCCTAGAAAGATCTCATTGTCAGGTATTTTTTCCCCCACCAAAATATATAAACCTCAGTTTGCAGCTATCTCACTACTAGGTTAGCCCTCACTGTCCCTTTCCGTATTCAACCCTCCACCTCCCGCTTCCAGCTCTGTAGGTGTAAAACACGATGATCCAGAGCTGGAGAATGAAGACCCGCCTATGCTGTTCCCACACAGAACACAGCGTGAGGAGGTGGCGAGACATTCGCAGACCATAGAGGGCCCTCGTATGGGGCTGGGGCAACTTGACCTCAGATGTCTGTGCCAGAAAAAAAACTGATGAACAGGTACATCATTCAGGAATGTCCAAGCTCACAAATTCTTTATGAGGCCAGCAGAACTTGGAGGCCTGAAACCCTCCTCCAGAATCTAACTCATACCCCACCATTCTGTAATATGTATTCTCTGGGCTTCCATCACTGAAGTTCCGTCTCCCTGTCTTATAAGCTCCAAGGAATGTAGGGACCATGTCTAACATTGAGAATTCCAGATACAGGCAGGTGCTTTAAACCTGTAGCTTAATCAAATGGTTGTCAACGAGACAACATCAGCCTCCTTTTGTTGTCTCAGGCTAATTATTAGACAATTCAGAAATAAAATACAGATGATGTTTAGCCATGTCTTACTGAATGATTCAAATCAAACTCACTCTCCAGGTAATCGGCAGAATTTCTGACTCTGTGCTGGATCCCTCCTTCACCTCCCTCCTAAACCCTCTACCAAGAGGACATACACCATACCCACCCTTCCGGATGGCAAGTTTGGAAATATGCTTGCACTGTGCACATTGGCCACTTTCTACTACTGGTGCTAAGCAATAACCCAGAGTAGCAAGCAGCCTAAGCCTGGGTTGAGATGGCGACAGTCTTTCCGAAGGACTCTAAGGCAATGAGCATAGAGCAATGGCTGTCAGACTTGAGTGGCCATCAGAATCACCGGGACAGCCTGTTCAAACACAGATTCCTATCTGCCACCCCCACCTCAGAATTTGTAATTCAGTAGATCCGAGGTGGAATCTGAGAATTTATATTTCTAATAAATTCCCAGTTGATGCTGATGCTGCTGGTCCTACCTTGAGAACCACCAACACTGGTGTTAACTACATAGTCTTAGTAATGATACTAGAAAGATGTGGGTTCAAGTCCCAGCTCAGCCACTTAGCATGTAACTTTGGATAAAGTATTAAATCTCTCAAATTCTCACTTTCCTCATCTATAAAAAGAAAGTATTAACAGCAGCAATGCTGAGGATTAAATGGGTGATGCATCTGGAAGCATACGAAACATCCCCACCCCAGAAGACAGAGCCCCTTTCCCTGCACCACACCCAGTCCCTGCTCTCCCCAGGCTGCCGGTGCAACTCTCCTTAACAGGGCTGCTATAGGAACATTTGAGCAGTGGGCAGGGCACAGCTAATTGTCTCCACTTGCCTCTGTCCAGTGGTGTCCTGTCCACAAGGGCAATGCTAAGATGAGCATCAGCCCACCTCACAGAGCGCAAACAAGGCTATTGCCTGATGCTTCTGGAAGAATGGTGTTTCACATAGCTTTTTGCCCTGAGACTAAGAGATAAAGTAATTCATCCAAAACCACACAGCTAATAATGGCAGAGCTCCAGAGTTAGGACAATGCACCTGCTGACTCGCCTATACTGAACTGCATTTGTAATCTTGCTGTATTAATTTCTTATGGCTGCTCTAACAGATAACTACAATTTGGTACCATAAAACAATACATATTTATTCCCTCACACTTCTGGAGGTCAGTAGTCAGCAATCAGGGTTTCAGTAGGGCCACCCTACCAGAGGGTCCAGGGGAGAATCCATTTTCTTGTTTTTTTCAGCTTCTAGAGCTGCATTCCTGGCATTCTTTTGCTCATGACCCCTTCCTCCATCTTCAAAGCCAGCAGTAGCCTCGTTAAATCTCTCACTCTACAGTGAGAGAGATTAGATCACCTTCTTCTGTAGTAAATTCTCCTTCTGTTTTCCTCTTCTAAGAACACTTGTGATTATATTGGTGCCACCCTGATAATCCAGGATAATCTCCCCATTTCAAGATCTTTAACTTAATCACATCTGGGAAATCCCTTTTGCTGTACAAGGTAATACTCACAGGTCCCAGACATGAGGACTTGGATATCTTTGGAGGCCATTTTACGGCCTCCCACACTTGGATTTTTTGTCTAATTCTCTGAGCCACCATTTTTACTTCAGTGAAGTGGAAATAATAATATGTCCTCATGAGAACATTACCATGTGGTACACACTAACTCACTGAATAAATGTCCGCTGGATTGTTGAATGCTTCCTGCAATACTCTTTTGTGTGTATCTTGCATTAATTCGTTAACTATTTACTCATCTAACTTTTATTAAACACTTACTATGTGTTAAGTACTGAGCTGGGCATAGGGAATATAATATAAGGGTATATAAGGATATAATAGAATACATTTCCTCCCTTTACAGATTTTATACTGTAATAAAGGGATCTAAATGAGGGAGCAAATGCCCTGATGTGTTAACACGTGTTATGAAAAGGAATTAGAGAGGATATGCTCTACCGAATGGGTTGTCAGTCCCCTGGGCAGGAGGTAGGAGTGGAAGGATAGAGCTGGAGATAGGAGGCTGGAAAGGGACAGGGAGGTGTGAGCACCTGGAAAGTGCCAGGAATTTTTCCCTGATGGAGCCTTGGGGCTGTCTTAGTCTGCTTCCTGCTGCTATAACAGAATACCACAAACTGGGTAGTTTATAAAAAATAGGACTTTATTTGGCTCATGGTCCTGGAGGCTGGAAAGTCTAAGATCAAGCAGCTGCATTTGGTGAGAGCCTTCTTGCTATATCATAACATGGTAGAAGGCATGACATGGCAAGAAAGCGTACATGTGTCAGAGAGAAATGGGAGCCAAACTTCATCTTTTTATCAGGAGCCCTCTCTCACCGTAACGAACCCACTTTCACAGTAATGGCATAGTCCATTTATGAAGGCAGAGCCCCCATGACTTAATCACCTCTTAAAGGTCTCTCCTCTTGATACTGTCATAATGGCAATTAAATTTCAACATGAGTTTTGGAGGGGACATTCAAACCGTAGCAGGTCCCAAGGACTGAGGCACAGTGGGAGAGAGATGAGCTAACAATGCTGCCAAGGGTCTGACTGCAATGACCCTGGGTGCCATGTAAAGAAATCTGGGTCATGTTATGTTCTCCAGGAGCCACTGCAAAGTTTAAAGAGGCCCTTCTCAGTATTCCATCCTCTGCAGGGATCCAGGACTCCTGGCAGGAAACCCTGAAAGCTCTGTCCTCCTCATAAATATTAAAATACCAAATTCACAGAATTGTCTGTGAAGTGGTAGTGGTTTCCTTAAGTGCCTCTTGCCTTTGCCTTTCTTCCTCATTGAGACCTTTTATGATTTATAGTTTCAGAATTTTATTTTTAGAGCCTCCCATTACAGTGAGCCATCATCTCCCTTGAACCTCTGTCAATCTAATTTATAAGTCATCTGTTCTTAAAAATATTCTTATACCTCTGGATCCCATTTAACTCTCTAATCTTTGCAGTTCTTTTCATATGAGAATGTTCAAAAGGTAAATTCACCAAATTAACTATTAGGCAGAGAAGAATAATTCTGATTGCTCATGCGGTATTTTTTTTCCAACCTGGATGGTTTTGCTGAGAAGTGGATTGATGGTAACTGTGATGTGAATTTATTTGAAAATGTTTGCTTTCCTGGATGCATAGTCCTTGGTCTATTTTATCCCTTCACTTTACCTCCTGAAACTTAGCACCCCTCTCTAATATATTTTTGTCAACTGATATCATTCTCTCCATGAACTTCAATAAATTGGCAGTGAACTTCTGTGCTGGAAAGACATTTTGCATTAAAAACTGGATTCACAGCAGGCAATCTGCCTGGGGACCACATGTCTAAGAAAGCAGTCATTTTTAACTAAGGATATTTCAAGCCTAGATAGAATAGGGCTGGTGTGCTCTGAAGCCACAAATGTCTAGCCTACTAAAAGCAAAATTACTGTACTGCATGTTGGTAATTAACCTTGTCAACTAACTTTCAGAACAACTCCAGCGTAATGTACACACCTTTCTTTTGAGTTATATTGTTGTGATTCCTGGATCCCATTACATTCTACTTGCAACCTGCGTTCCTATCGCTACCCCTTACCAGCACTCCCTGATTTGCTTGCCCTGTTCAGCTTTTTGGTTCATAGAATTTAGTAGCTTCTAACCGTACTAATCATGCAAAATTTACTAGTTTACTTTATATCTCCTGTGTTATGATGTAAACTTCACCAGGAAGGAGATCTGTGTTTTGCCTACTACTGTATCTCAGATGCCTGGAATAGTACCTGACATGTAGTAGGCGCTCAATAATTAGATGATGAATGAATTACTGAGTGCCTTTTCATGGAGCTTTTAACTATCGTGTCACTGCTTTTCGCATCCCTAACGTCCAATAGTCAACTTATTTATTTACCAAAATGTTTCGATCACTTCACCACATGGCAAGTTGTGGTCTAGATCACAGAAAATTACTCTTGACCTTAAAGAGCAACTAGTCCCTGTCAAGGAGACACATATGTGCAGAATCACCAGTTGATATACATAATTATAAATAAATAAAATTATAAATTAAAATATAAATTATCAATTTAAATATATATTAAATTATAAATTAAAATATGTACAAAGCACAACCAAGCACAGAAAGAATTAATTCAGCTGCATAATGATGTGGTAGGAAAGATTCAGATAATTCTTCACAGAGGAGGCTACTTTGAGTTGTAGAGAATGAGTAGAAGTTTGCTGGAAGAAGAAAGAAAGGAGTGGGCACACTTCAAATGGCTGTTCTAAGTGGGAGAGTGTATCATGGGCTTGGGGGACTGGAAGTCTCTTGGAAACGCCAGAGCATGAGGATGTGTCTTAGTTGACCTCAACAGCAGCTGACCTTGAGACAAAGATTCAAGTCCAAGAGTTTTTTTAGGGGAGGTCAAAGAAAACGCCAGTGGTGAAGCAGGAGAGTCAGATAGGGAAGGGAATGCAGCCAATGAAGGTTATGTCATCAAGCCAGTTACTGTAAGCTACCAGAGGGGCAACTGGAGTTCAACGTCGTGGAGAAACTCTGGAAAATGGTATATAACATAGGCCTCAGAGTTTCCCCACTGATGAGGCAATGTAGCTGTGCTTTTCATATACTAAATCTCTGTCATTGGTTGAGGACAACTCCCGGGGGTCAGTTCGCTCCCTCTTCTGGCCTGCCATGTGTGCCTGACAGAGCACAGGCCTCAAGGAAGTACAAAGCAACACTCTCCCCTGTAAGTTTGTTTCTGCATATGGATGTGATGAGGCCAAATGGTGTGTGCAGGGCACCAAAAGAGTCTGCTACAGTTTGTAAGGTGAGCAATAGAGGATGAGGGTAAAATTGAAGCAAGGGCCAAATTTTTAAGGCTCTTGTATGTCATTCCTTCGAGCTTTATTCTGTATTGAGGGAGCAGCGTTGCAAGATTTTAGGTAGGAGAGTGGTCTGATAAGGTTTGAATTTCAGAGAGAACATTCTGGCTACAGAATGAATGACAGAATTGGCGTGGGGGGTGGAGAATATCGAGTCCAGGAGACCAATTAGGAAGATAAATCCACCATATGGTATAGAAATGATTGAGCTAAAAGACATGGGCTGGTGCTGGAGATGGGGATGAGCAGATGGAATGGAGAGCTGTTCAGGAGATAGAACAGACTGAAATTGTGAGGGATTAGATGTGAGGAGGGATCGGGGATGACTCCCTGGCGCAGGCTCCCCTGATTGGATGATGGTGGCACTCACCTAGATTGGAAGCACAGGAGGGGTATCAGTGCTGGGCTAAAGTGGTAAGGCTTGTTGAACATGGTAATTTGGAGATACCTGTAAAGTATCCAGGTGGAGAATCCAGTGGGCAATAGATGCAGGATTATTGAACTCAGGAGAAAGATCTGGACTGAGAAGAATTGTTTAGAAACCACTACTTTATGGAAGAGATTTAAGGGCAGAGAAGCAGAAGAAATTCCAGGATACATAACTGAAAGTTTGCCATGTGGGATGAGTTAATTGAATGTTACTATCAACATCCATTCGTATGAAGTCCTTTGCTAAGCTAGAGATGACCTGGCACCTATCATCCCTGGGTATTGCTTTGCCTTTATTTCTCTCTGCATCTTTCTAAAATTATTATTTCTTTCCCTCAGCCTAGCTGGATTTGGAGAGGGAACAAGACAAATTGTGTGATTTGGGGCAAGCTGTAGAAACTCTAATTATTAGCTTCTTCATCTGTAAAATGGGGCTCCCATAAGTGGAGACTGGTTTGTCTGATAGTCAATTGAAGAAACTTTCTTGAGAGGCTTTCCAAAGCTTTCTCCCTCTCCTGACCTCAAAAGATCTTAAGTCTGGGCATGGTGGCTCACACCTGTAATCCCAGCACTTGGGGAGGCTGAGGTGGGAGGATCACTGGAGGCCAAAAAGTTCAAGACTAACATCGACAACATAGGGAAATGCTATGTCTACAAAAATAAAACAATTAGTCAGGCATGGCGGTGCACGCCTGTGGTCCCAGCTACTCAGGAGGCTGAGGCTAGATGAGTGCTTAAGCCTGGGAGCTTGAGGCTGCAGTAAGCTGTGATTGTGCCTTTGCACTCCAGCCTGGGTGAGAGAATGAGACCGTGTCTCAAAAAAAAAATCAAAGTCATGCTCTTGCCCTACAAGGCACTTAGGTGGGTTGATACAAAATGCTCCTCACTGCACCCGCCATGAGCATTCACCCCCAGCAAGCACTGCACCTTTTACCTGCTAATGCTGGTTCATCTTTTACCTAGCACTTCATAATTGATTAAATAGCAGCTACGCTTGGGACCATTCTAAATGGTCCCAGCCACTGAGACCACTGTGAGAAAAGCCCTTTGTAACTACTTACCTTCTCTTCGTGTGAGTTTTATGCCAAGTATCTACGGATGTGCAACTCTTCCGCCAGACAGTTCTGCTGGCCAAGGACAGGATGGCCCCTCTGAAGGAATGTGTAGGTGATGACATTTCTTTCATCATTTTGGTACCTAAACATGACACTCTATCTGGCAACAATGAAAGGCACTCCTGATTGCTTATGGCATGGCTGTAGGGGGAAGGGGCTGTGAGCGTCTGCACTATATTTTGCTCCATCAACTCTTGTTATATGGGTTGATATAGCAGGAGAGATAACAAGAGTTGTGTGTCTTGTTGATATCACAAGAGTTGTGTGTTAGAGAAAGAACACAGCCATCCAGCATTGAGCAGGCTGAAAATACTGCCACTGACAAAATACTGCCATTGACAAAGTACTGCCTGTGGCATGTGGTTAAACGCACAGTGCTACGCCAGGAGTTGCTTAGTTTCAATACATCTGCTAGATCATTCCAACCAGCTTTCCTATATTCCCAGGCTCTGGCAATGCTACCACCATTTTCTTAACTCACTCAAGTTTAAGTCCATCAACTCGACTCCTTTTTCTCCACTCATTTCCTATATGCAGGTTGTCATCATTTATCAGTCATAATGACATTTATTCACCATTTGTTATATTCCAGACAAACCCTGTGCTAAGTGCCTTTAAATACTTTATCAAATTTAGTCATTACAACAACTTTCTGAGGTAGGGTTATTTTTATATTTTTTTGCACCTATGGAAACGAGGGTTAGAAAAGTTAAGTAGCAAGCCTAAAACACCACACAGCTAGAAAGTGGCAGAGCTGGAATATGGATCTGGCTTTCCCAGCTACTTATGTACCATAGTCCCTCCTGCAGAGCATTAAGGATCTTATCTGCCCCTCCTATATGTGACACTTTGAAGTTTCCAAAGCATTGTCACAAAGCTATCATTTGATCCTCCAAGTGGAGCAGAGAACTAGGCAGGACATGTATCATTGTCATTTCCACAGAAGTGACTAAGCCCCACGGGGTTTCACCGACCTACTCAAAACCATGCGTCCATGCCTTGGACTCAGATCTTCTCTCTTTTCATTATTCCCATAAATATCATTCTTTTTGTTCAGAGAAGCTGATTCTTCTGTAATGACCCATGTATAAAATTTCATGGGAGGCCAGATTTAGCCTACTACAAAGATATTTCAGATAGTTGAAGTTTTCCAAAAATGGAAGAGGAGGTAGTGAGTTCTTCTTCCTTTTCGGTATTCATTCAAACACTGAGCAGTCACTGGCTGGGCTAGAAAATCATTGAGGGAATTCAACCCATTCCCTGGGGACAGGGTAAATAAAGGCAGCTAGAGTAGATGAGCTCTAAAAGCCATCTGTCCCTGAGATCTGATGGCTCAATTTTCTGGGGACCACTCTGTCCTCACCATTTTGGTTGTAGTGGTTCCACTCCCTCACCCTGGCTTACTGCAGCCATCTCCTGGTTGATTTTCTGGACGCTGTCTTTCAATTCATTTAGTCTCCCTTGACCAGGGTGATCTTCACCAAAGTTGTGCCCAGCATAGACTTTATCTCTTTCTAAATCTTCAGTGACTCCCTTTGACCAGCTGTACCCACTTGATACCCCTCTAACTGATGTTCCGTTATCTGTCTACATCCTCCATCCAAGGTCATTTTTCATTTCTCTCGAACTCAGTTTCTACTTCAGTCAACCCAATCATTTGCCTGCTCCCAGAGACATCAGACTTATTCTACCTTCAACCCTTTGCTTTCCTTGTCTCTCTCTGAAACATTCTCCACTTTCCCTCCTGCCCACTTAACCACATCCTCCATTCTTTCATGCCCAAGGCAATCTGATTTGCAGTTCAACAAACAAAAAAATGGAATGAATTCCTCACACTTAGGAACAATCTTCCACTCATACAGTGAGGCCACGGAGACCCCAGAATAAGCAAGAGATGGCCCTGTCCTCGGGGAAGAGTATAATCAGAACCAGCTGCTCTGGACAAGACTTAGATTTGAACACTTGATTCTACATTGGCTAGTTTTCTTGATAGTTGATGTGAGCTGATTCTATCCCACAAAGGGTAGAAAGTGAGCCTTCTTCCAACACTCCACGCCCCATGCAAGAAAATGGTAGGCAAGCAAATAGTTCCAGATTACATGATTGAGGAGTCTAGGATTGCATGTTTGACTTTTTCCCCACATTCACTCACACACACACACGTGCACACACACACACATATGTGTGTGTGCACGCAGCCCACCAGTGATTTGAATTTCTAGGATATTGGAAGGGGGGTGCCATTTAAACATGAAATCTCATCTCTACTACTTTCTTGAAAAAGGGTATGTATAGCAAAACTCTGGTTAAAAGAGGAGAGTTTGGAGTCTGACTTCTTGGTTTAAGTCCCAGCTCTGGCAACAGCTAGGTGACCTTAACAGACCACTAATGTCTCATTGCCTCAACTTTCTCAACAACAACAACAAAAAGCAGGCCTTGGGGATGATTTAAAAAACAAGCAGTATACAATGCCTTTCTCCCAACAGGGTCAAGTTATTGTAAGGATCAAGTAAGTTAGTATTTGTGGAGCACTCCGAACAATTCCTAGCATATGGTAATCATGAAATAAGTGTTAGCTGTTCTTATTATTACTAATTCAGTGACCTTGGACAGACTGCTTACATTTCCTGAGCCTTGGTTTCCTCATCTGTAAGAGGAGAGCAATGCTCACCTCCATAAACTGGCTCTGAGAATTAAGTGTGAAAATATTGAGAAAGCTTTTCTAGAAAAGCTTCCCTTATCTTTGACCCAATGCCTGGACTTACGCTCCCCAAACAATACAACTACAACTTTCTCCTCTCCCTACTTCTTTAGCCATTTTGCAAGTCTATCATTCATGCTACTGTTGTAAGCTGGTTGTTTTTATTCCATAGAAAATGTTGGCCTCTGACAAATTCATCTTTAGAAAATTATAACCTAAATGACACTAGACAATTGCATAAGCCAAAGACTGTTCAAGTTCCCCAAGCCCACAGGCAGCTTTTCCACAGCCCATCCCTGCCCATTTTGGCAAACTGTGAACAGCAGAGAGAGGAATTGGCCTTCCCCAGGAAAATTTGGGGCCCCAGGCACATCATACCATGTAAAATCTGGTTAAGATAAATATCAAGAGCAGCCTTGAAAGCAAAAAGAAGTCACAGCAGGTCAGACAGCAGCCAGAGGGAGTTTGGGAAGGGGAGGAGGGCCTGAGTCACCAGCTCTGCCTGAGATGATCACTAGAATCGAGTTTCCAGGGAAAGGCAGGCTTCCTGAGCTGTGGATGCTAAGCCTGCCTGGTAGCTGCAGACCTAAGCCATGGGCTGGGCTAGGCTTTGAAGGCCCAGGACCCCCGATATGGGGCCCAGACTTGTTTCACTGGTTGCTTGTTCCCTAGAGATGCTGCTAAAGAGGCCACCAAGGGGAAAGTTACTTAACTAATTCAGGAAGGTGTGGTGGCCTCCAAGGGAGACGCTGAGGGCCTGCTTGGGGTGGGCTTGATAATAATGGAGAGTGGAGGCCAGGTGTGGTGGCTCATGCCTGTAATCCCAGCACTTTGGGAGACCAAGGCAGGCAGGCGATCCTTCTCTGTAAGGATCACCTGGGGTCAGGAGTGCAAGACCACCTGATTAACATGGTGAAACCCAGTCTCTACCAAAAATACAAAAATTAGCTGAGTGTGGTAGCACACACCTGTAGTCCCAGCTACTCAGAGGCTGAGGCAGGAGAATTGCTTGAACCTGGGAAGCAGAGGTTGCAGTAAGCCAAGATCACACCACTGCACTCCAGCCTGGGTGACAAAGCATGATTCTGTCTAAAAAAATTAAAAATTAAAACAAAAAAAAATGGGGACTGGAGTCAGACTCCAAGGGGGAGAGTTTGAAGGCACTGCAATCGGCTCTTCTACCAGAGGGACTGAATTGTTCTAGAGGCCACATAGACTTTCTAGAGCTACAATGTTTCTAGCAAAGTCAGAGGTTTTTTGCAAGCTCCTCCTCTGTCCTCTACATGACTCCGCAGGACTTCTCTGTAGGACTAGGCTGAGAAGGCAAGTTCTCAGGTCCATATGGTGGAGGGAGACAGAGGCTACAATGCCACTGGTGGAACCCGGCGCTCTACAGCATAGATGGGGTAGAGAGAAGCATGTAGAGCCTTGAAAGGAGATATCAAGGCATTCAGGAAAGGAAAAAAGAGCAAGAATGCATTGAGTCATACCACTCTGAAATGTTTTGATGAGTCAAGCATCCTCTCATGATGTTATTAATGTCAAAGAAACAATTCCTTGGGTTTATATTGAGGTTGCACAAGTTAGCTCACAACCAATTCCTGACCACTGTGCTAAGAGCTGGGTGAAGATCAGTGAGTGTCACAAACAATATTATATTACTCTCAAGAGCTTCCTCCATAAGGCAACAAGAAGGATAATATTAAGCAATAGAGGAAGAGCTGACCTGCCTTTCTGTCCAATATTGGTTTAAGATGCCCACAATTTTTTAGGAAGTGAATTGTTCTAGAACTGTAGATTTAGTATTGGGGGTCAAAGGGAAGGGGGCTGCCATTTCCTGAATAGAACTTTGGTGCCAAATAGAACCATGCCTGGTTGACTTCTTAAAAGTAATACAATGGTTAATACAATTGGAGTCTGTTTTCTTAAGGGGTCCCTGAAGAGTTGTGGAGAAGAAATCCTTTTGAAATATTTTGTGTATACTTACTACGCATTTCTTTTTTTGTTTGTTTTTGAGATGGCGTCTCGCTGTCACCCAGGCTGGAGTGCAATGGTGCAATTTTGGCTCACTGCAACCTCCATCTCCCGGGTTCAAGCAATTCGACTGCCTCAGCCTCCCAAGTAGCTGGGACTACAGGCATGCGCCACCACTCCTGGCTAATTTTTTGTATTTAGTAGAGATGGAGTTTCACCATGTTGGCCAGGCTGGTCTCAGATCCACCTGCCTCAGCCTCCCAAAGTGCTGGGGTTACAGGCGTGAGCCACCACCATTACTATTACCCAGCCATTACTATGCACTTCTAAATCAACCACAGTATGAGAAGGAATAATATTACCTGATATTAGGCAGGAGACAAACAGGAACTAGCAAAGTTTGGAGCAATTGAACTCATTTTATAAAGCTGAAGAGAGATTAAGTACATTATTCAAAGCCACCAGACAATAAGAAGTGAGTTGAGCGTTGAGTGTTTCTAAAGGTCTCTCTGGTGTTTGCTCTCTGGTGTTGCTTATCTGAGGGACCCAGTTTTACTCACTGGAGTAGCAACAGCTGAAAATTATTGAGTGCTTACTAGTGTGCCAGTATGTTTCAAAGCACATTTCATGTGTTAACTAATTTAATCCATCTGGCCATTTTCTTAGCTGTGATTATCACCATTTTACAGATGAGCTGACTGAGGCTCAGAGAGGTTATGGAACTTGCCCAAGGTTACACATGTAGCCAAGACAGGGCTGAGGTTCACATCTAGGACACCTGGTTCCAGATATAGGCACTTCAGTTCCCCACCTCTTGGGGGAAGGCATGCTTCCAAGTGGGGAGAAGATAGCTCATCGTCATCCGAGCACACAGTGGGAATGAGAGGAATCTCAAAAAGGAGAAAGAGCCATCCTCTCTACTGTGGAACCAGTGAGGTTCTAGTCCTGGATTCCACACTCTGGACAGCCTAAAGCTCTGATAGGATGCAAACCACGGGGAAGGACGTTAGTAGGCAAGGAAACACCTGAGCTCTCTGACACCTGGATTTGGAAGCCTCCTGCCCCTCCACACCACATTCCCCACCCCCATCCATACAAACGCCGCTGCCCTCACTTTCATTCTCATCTGTTTATGTGCTCCACCTCAATGAGGTGGGAAGGACTGTACAATGTGTCCTGATACCTGCCAAGTAGGGGAGCCCCCACCCACTCAGTGAAGAAGCAGGTACAGCCCAAGTGCAGTGAGCAGTCCATAGGGGGACCAAGGATCCCAAGTTCTGAACCTGACTTGATGAAACTCTGCTGGGGAAAAGCCCCATCTGATGGAGATTCACCTATTTCTGACCGACTTTGACCTCAGCAGCCTAAGAAGGGCACAGCCATGGCTCTGGAATTTTCCACAGCACAGTGCAGGAAAAGCTGGCTTTGTTTGGTATAGGGAGGCTGTCTCCAGGCGATGCTAATAATAAAAAAAAGAACGTGTGTAGGTTGCATCTGAAGCCCAATTGCTTTGCAAGGTCATTGTGCTTGGTCTGGAGGGTCATTAATTTTAGCTGCCTCATTGCCACCCACATATGCAACCAATACATTCCTCAGGGGCAGGAGAAAAAGCACAATTTGGGATCCAGTCTGACCAGGGTTTAGATGATGTTCACACAGGATTAACATTCTGGTGCTTAAATTCCTTGATCAAATGGAGCTGAGACCCCTAACTACCCTACATTATTATCTAATATTTAATGAGATAACACAATTAAAGAAACAGAATCATAACTAACCTCTGTCATCCATTCTTCTGGTGCTGTAGGTCTGTTTTCTCATTTGATCCCCACCACATCCTATGAGAGAGAGAGAGAGTATTATCCACATTTACAGAAGAGGAATGTCCGGGAAATATGTGATTTGATTAATTTCACACAGCTGGAGAAGGAAGGGACCCAAAAATGTAACCCAGGACGGGATGACTCCAAAATGTGTGTCCTTACCCAATGTAGTGCTTCTTACGATGCTGACCCGCAGTAGGCACGGAGCAAACCTTGATTCCTGTCTTTATTTCCACACTTCGTCTTTTTGAAAGCACAATTTGGTCACTCCCAATAAATCATTGGGCAGCCCAACGAATCAAATGCTTCTTCAGTCACCAAGGGACAGAGGCATCCTGGGTGCCGCATTCCATACAGACCTGTCACTGGGCAAACCTGCGGATCTCTTAGACAGTGTTAATGAGAACCGGTGAAAGACTAAACTGTCCGTTACAAAGCTGCGACCAGCTATCATGCAGCTAGAGCCCCAGGCCTTGGTATGCAGCTCCTCCTCTCTCCAGGGGCTTCTCTTTTCTCTTAATTAGAGATTTGGCTAAAATGTTTGAGCACTTGAAGTCAGGGCGTAAAGAAATAGGAAAGGAGTGTGGGAGATGAATGATGAGCCAGCACTTTCTATGTGTTGATGCAGAGAAAGAGAAAGAGGGTAATTTGAGGATGTTCCTTCCCATGGGGCAATGGAGCAGAGAAAGCCACACTGCAGCGGTATTTTCAAGGGGTTTAAAAGCAAGTTATGAAAGCCATGAGGGAGGTTCATTGGGTTGCTAAAAAAACGAAAGAGGATGATAACAAGTCTCATCCATGTGTCGGTGTTTCAGGAATTAAAAGCTGTAACAAGGAACATTTGGGTGGTATTAAGCTCTGTGGGGAGGACTTGGGGCTTTAACTCTCAGTGCACTAGCACCTCTATGTAGTTCAGAACCTCAGGAAGGCTCTGTGGGCCACGCTCCTGAAAATTTCACCTGCCATCTTCATCACTCCAAAGAGAAAGGAAATGGCACATCCCTTAAGGCCTGGCAGTGTCGTGCTCACTCATGGGAAGCGCTCTCAGCAGCGGCTTCCCCTCTCCTGCTGCGGGCTTGCATCTCATGTGGAGAGAGGCCCCCTTTCTCCCGGCCCTCAGCCCTTTCAAGTCATTCACTTTCTCAGTAAGCGTCTCCCAAGGGTGACTTGCATCAGGTTGTCGGCGCTGCTTTCTGAAAGATAAATAAGTTATTCTGTCAAATTATGCTCACTTATTTCTGTCAACATGTATTAAAACTTAGATATCGCCTCACCGTGAATGCATCAGACACTGTACTGTTCTCACCACTAGGGTGGGCCCTCTGCAGCCACAAATAGAGGAGACAGTTGGGGATAAAATCATAACTGATGAATAGAGAGACTGAGTGCACTAGCAAACCTGTAGAAATTCTAGGCTCACAGGAATAGCAAAAGACAGCCCACTAAATAAAGAGACTGTCAAGAAGCATTTCACACCTAACATGAGCAATAAATGGATTCCCATCCACCAACAACGTTTTTCATGATTTTCCTCATCCACAGGTTCAATGAGAAGCTTTGTAAATTTATTTTGTTTAACTGCAGACAATAATCACTCTCAGGGCTGGGCATGGTGGCTCATGCCTGTAATACCAGCACTTTGGGAGGCTGAGGCGGGCGGATCACCTGAGGTCAGGAGTTCAAGACCAGCCTGGCCAACATGGTGAAACCCTGTCTCTACTAAAAATACAAAAATCAGCTGGGCGTGGTGGTGGGCGCCTGTAGTCCCAGCTACTCGGAAGGCTGAGGAAGGAGAATGGCTTGAACATGGGAGGCAGAGGTTGCAGTGAGCTGAAAATGCGCCACAGCACTCCAGCCTGGGCGACCGAGCAAGACTCTGTCTCAAAAAAAAAAAAAAAAAAAAATCACACTCAGGTCTTTTACCTCCATCCCACCCCCAAACCCCACCCTTTGGGTCTGGTCTTACAACCAGCTGTTTAGAAACTTAAAAAAAAAAAATTGACACATAAAAATTGTGTGCATTTATGGTGTACAGCAAAATGTTTTGAAATATGTATACATTATGGAATGGCTAAATTAAGTTAATATATGCATTACCTCACATACTTATTTTTTGTGCATGATGAGAACACTTAAAATCTACTCTTAGTGATTTTCAAGTACATGATACATTGTTATCAACTCTAGTCACCATGTTGTACCATAAATCTCTCGAACTTATCCCTCCTGTCTAACTGAAATGTTGTATCCTTTGACCAAAATCCCCCCAGTCTTCCCCACCACCACAGAGAACTGTTACCATAATTGTGGTTGTAAGCTGTTTCTGAGGAGCCAGTTTATTTGTTTTGAACAGAATTAAACAACATAGAAAATCCCTGTCCAGACCCTCAACCAAGTTAATTCATTCAAAAAAATATTTCTGAGTTCCTCTTAGGAACTTACAGCCTAACGGGCAAAACAAACTGCTTGTAAAATCTGTTTACTTGATACATGGAATTGCCTTTTAAAGAATGATGGCCATTTTAACAGAGAAAATAAATTTGGAGGGTATAATCAATCATTGAGTAAATCTGCTTTGTGAAACATGCCTGCTCAAAGTTTGTTTGTTTCACAGTAAATTCCTTTTTGATGCCCTTACCTCATCAAGTAGTTGAGATGAGGCATGTACTCAGTTCTTTCTTTTTATAAATAGCAAAGCTACTTGGAACACTAAAGGGGGAAATGAATCCATACCAGCAAATATCGTAGAAAGAGCATGGGCTCAGTCTCAGACACACCTGGGTCGCAGCCCAGCTCTGCCACTTACCTAGTTGAATGAACTTATGCAAGATTTTTTAATCTCCCTGAGCCTCAGTTTCTTGTTTATAAAAGAGGTTTTTGTCTGGATTAAATATTACATAGAACAGCACTTGTAATACAGTAGGCATCCATGAATAGGAGCTTGTATGATTGCTACATCACTACTACATTCAGGTGCGTCAGCCAAGACTTCACTTTGGATGTACTTTTTTAACTGCCTGACTGTGGTCAAGGGCCAAACGACGGTGGAAACTAGAAAGATCAACTCTTAATTCTGCCCTTTGAACAACGTGTAGGCTGAAGGAAACTAAATATTTGTGTGTGTGTGTTGGATCCACAATTTACGATCCATCCTTTTTGCAGGAGTGCCAACCCATGAGGTTGCCAGAGTAGCATTTCAGAGCATCTGCACAAACCCCACAGATCAATGTCAGTGCCTGCCTGAGAATGAAAAAGCAATGGGACCAGGAAGGATAAGTCTTGTCAATCAAAAACAGAATATGCAGGAAGGACAAGGGCAAGTTGTCCTTGAGAGAATGGGATAGAGAAGAGATTTCCTCCAGACACCTCCAGGGTAGGGATGTAGAACCCTCTTTCTAGCTGCCTAATGTTCATTCTGTCTTTAGTGCATCCTTGAGGAAAGGAAGAAGACAGAGTTTTCCATCTGCCAGATGTCTCCCTTATCCCAAGTTTTATTCATATATCAATTTATTTCCATTATCACAGGAGGTCTCCCAAGCCTCACTTCAACAGACTGGCTTCCCAAGATGGTGGATTGGTTGATACCCTTTGGACCCATCCCCAAAGACAGGCAATACTGATTTTGTTTTTTGGCTAAAATGAAGTATTGGCCTGCTAAGACACAAACTCTTTGTGTAGATATTTTTTTAAAAAAATATTGTAAAATATTCATAATATATATTTACCATTTTAACTATTTTTAGTGTGTAGTTCTGTGGCATTAAATACATTCACACTGCTCTGCAACCATTACCACCATCCATCTCCAGACCTTCATCATCTTCTTCCACTGAAACTCTGTACCCATTAAATAACCCTTTCCCCCTACCCTTAGGCCCTGGAAACTACAATTCTACTTTGTCTCTATCACTTTTACTACTCCAGTTACCTCATATAAGTAAAATAATACAATATTCGTGCTTTTGTGACTGGCTTATTTCATTTAGCATAGTGTCTTCAAGGTTCATCCATGTTGTAGAGTTTGTCGGAATTTCCTTTCTTTTTAAGGCTGAATGATTGTGTTGACTTAAAGATGTTGCAGTCTCAGTTGATGGCCTCATAGTTTGAGCCTTGCTATAAAACTTTATGCTTAACAAAGCTTTGAAAAACAACTGATTTCATTAGTACATAAGTAGCTGAAAGTGTTGCTGAGTATTTATTATAGCTGGCGAAAAAAACATATAGATGTTTTTAATAAAAATTATCTTCACAGAATGGTATCTTAAGTTGGAAACTACATGTTGGCATCCTTGCAAAGAGATAATATTATTTGATTAACACTTGTGATAGTAGAATCACTCATACTCTATGATTTCTGGCATCTGAGTGACGAGGCACATAAATAGGCCTCACAGGGAAGTCTACAGATAATTTCATACCCCAAGGTTACTCACTGAAATAACTAGATCAAAAACCAAGCAACTGAATTCTCATCAAATTCCTCCCATCCTCTCTTACCAATCATCTTGCTAAAAAGTTTTTAAACTCACATCATAAAATATCATATTTATGTATCGATTAATTTATTCAGTGTACATATTTATTTGCTAGAATTCTACAATAAATTTAGCTGTAACCAATAAGGAAATATGAGGTATAAAAGAAAGCGTAGCATTTGTTCAGGAGAAATGAGGCTCTTCTGGCCATGTAAACCTAAAAAAGGATTATACTTCAATCTTATGTTGTAACTTTGGATGCTATGATACATGTTCAGTTATTCTGGAAGACTTTATAATGTTTGCTTAGAATCTGGACTTGTTGATAGTATTCTACAGTGTTATCAAGAGATGGAATAAGCACAGTAAGCCACTTGTAACTTTTTAAAATTTATAAGTATTAATTTTTAAGCTGTGTCTTCAACTTTTGAGGTAGCATTCCTCTCCAAGTGACTACACTTCCTCAGTGTCTTTGAACCATTATAGCATAGGATGAGAAAGAAACTAAAGGGGGAATGGAACATTTTTTGATCACAGGAGAAAGATGATCTGGAAATCATAACAATGGATGAAGATGCCAGAAAGAAGAGCTTGTAGGATGAGGTGGAAAACAAAATACTGGCTCCTGAAGGCTCTGTTAAAAGTTGACTTTTTGTAAGAATTTTGTATATCATGCCTGTCATAAACATTCAGCTTCATTGTGCAATGAAGACAGATGACAAGAATTTGCTGCTCCAAAAACAACAAAAAAGAGCAACTTCTCTGTGTCCTTGGAATCTGGTTTCTTCAGTTCCAAACATGCAGTGAAAACTTGTGCCTGTAAGAGCTGGGGGCAGTTGCTTATGTAACTAATTAAACATCTACGTAAATATGAGAATGGGAGAAGCCTTCTCTATTCTCATCAGCTGTTCTAACGTGAAGAGGCATGCAGACTTGAGAGACAGGCACAGTTTAGTTGTCTTACACTGACGCTCTTACATAAGCTTCAAGGTCATGAAGTTTTCACCATTTTGTTTCCAAATAGTAGGAGGAAAAAACAAGTTTTACAAGTCCCTTATCAGGGAGGGAAAGGGCTTGGGAAGGTTTAAGTTAGCAGAAAACTTTTGTAGATCAGACAAGGATTGGAGATGTGAGGAAGAGATTAAACACAGAGGAACTGGTGGAGAAATATTCTGAGGAAAGAAGATTATAACAGTAGATGGGGAATTGACAATAGCCAGGAAGAGTGGCAGACCTTTCTTTTGGAGACAGAAGATAAGTAAAAAGCCAAAGAGAAGACAGAGATGACTTTTGACATTGAGAAAAAAAAAAGCCAAGGGAACTCAGACATCTTATTGCAAATGAGGAGGTGATGTCTCCTTTTGCAGAAGAATGGGTGGAACTTGGGCTTTGGGATGGCTTGGCCTACCCCAGGTGGGGGATGCAAGCTAGAGATTGGAAGAGATGAATGAAGGGATAATCGCACAGTGACAGGGAGTCACCTAGGATGATGTAGACTTATAGTATGGCATAAGAAGCTGTGTCTGGAGGATGTATTTAAAATCTTGGAGATGGGGTAATCTTTTGGGGTCATTATATCTAAGGCAGCACATTGTGAGTGCCAACAGAGGCCATTATAGTTGAGTAGATTGAAGACATGCAAAGCCAGAGTATTAAAGCCACCTACTGGTTTATGAAAGCCAATGAGAAGGCAAACAAGAGATACAGAAGAAAATTTAAAATTTTCACAGTTATATCTTAATAACCCTCGACTAACCTAACGATGCCTCATCTGTATGATAAAGACTTTGAGCGCAGACATGATATAACTCTCAGAACCTTCTAAGTAGCATTTGATTTAGCAGAGCAAGGTGTTTTAGTTTAAAATCCTATCCTAGCATTGGATCTGACACATCATGGAAATGAGGATAGATGAATATGAGGAGTTCTGCCCATTCCTACAGGCACTGATGTCAAGGCAAAGTAATTGTCTTTGCCTCTGGGTCTAGCAGAGTCCTGTGTACACCCTTGCTCTTCTGTTCTGGTTTTTAATCTGGCCTGTCTGAGGAAGTAGAAGTCCCTTGGCTAGCAATTGTGTTATAACTATCTATAAATCACTCGCATAAAATCTTTGAGAACCCACGAGTAGGGTCTTTTTAATTTGTATGTCTCTACATCTCCCTTAGTAGCTGGCATGTATGTAGTGTTAAAAAATATATCCATAAAATGAATGAATGGATAAGCTGTGCTCTCTGAGTCCACATTTCTCTAGAATACGATTTTTGTGAGGTTTTCAGCTTCTATGAACCTCTCCATTCTTGTTCCACTCAGCATATTTTTTTGAAAGATACATAGATATCATCTAACTGTAAAAACAAATCGTTTGCACTGGCCCCTGTAGGCAAGGTCTGCTTCTTCCCACTGAGTCTGCCTTGGGTCCTCTGCTCTTAATTTTGCTGGTACCTGGACTGATAATCACCCTGCTCAATTGATTGTGCCTCCTACAACAATAGTGGAAGCCATAAATAAGAGGTGAAGTGAAGGAGCCTGAATAAATATAAAGAAGGCTGCATAACTATGATGATGCCTGTAGTCAGTGACACAGTCTCAGCTTGAAATCACCACTCCTGCTAGATGGAGGTCACAGCTTTTTTCTGTCTCAGGGCTACTGGTTACCAAGAATGTAACCAGTCCAGTCAACACCTTTGTATGAGTTAATAAAAGGTGTCCCTCTACAGAGGCAGGCGCAGCCTACACCAGAGTGCCTGGCATGGTGAAGCAAATGGGCTGGATGTCAGCCTCCACTGGACCATTCGGGTGGGTAGGCACCTTGTGCAGTGAACAACCTGCATACCTGTTGGTATGCCTTTGCCCCTGCTGGTTATGCACTCTTTTGGGCCTAGGTCTCCTGGGAAGTTTCCTAGTCAGTCCTGAAGTAAGAATCACAGTCCCATTCCCATTCTAAAAATTGTATATAAGTTTCCCAGTCCAAACTGTACCTTGGTAACAATGAGGAGACATAGAGGAACAGAGCCCGGGGTGTGCAGGGTGTGCTGTGATTAGATGTTTGCATCACTCTGAACATGCACTTTTCCCTTCTGTTAACAAAATGAATAGAATAACCCTACATGAAAGGCTTTTTCTGCTACATAAAGGCAAACTCTAGTTGTCTCTTCACAGTCATCTTTGGGGTTTAGTGCTAGCAAGTGTAAAATTTACATATATAAGATTTACTTACATGCTAGCTGTACCAGTCCAGTAAAGCGATGGGGGAAAGAGGGATGAATTTCCCTCATTTCCTCACCAGTCAAGTCTAGGTTTCCAGGGTTCTTTTCAATGCAACTATGCTAAATCAGGCAGTGAATCTTGGAGTTGCAGTAAGACAACGTGATTAAACCCTGGGCGGGTCCTGCTATCTCACCCCACCAGCTGGATCTCAGATTGACAGTGTTCAGACATGGCTTATGGGGGCTGTCAGAGTTGGAGGGGGTTGAGGTCCAGTGGAGGTTGTGTCTCTGCCAAAATCTGAAACCATATTTTCTGGGCATGACCAGTCTCTAAACCAGAAAAAGTGGCTCTGTGGATCTGACCAAAGAAGCCTGTCAATTTTTTTTAAGACAATAGCAGGTTAGGATGAGTGCAATGAGGGTTGGATTCAGTGAGTAGAGGCCCATCTTTGAGTCTATGAGATTTACTTTCCATGAGATTGGCCTCCCTCTGCCACCTTTGCTGTGGGAGTAATTTCTTAAAATGTTTCCAAGAAACTTGTGAGGCTGGATTTGCTTCTGTTGCAGGGCCCCATATGTGTTTTTCCTTGGGAAAGATAAAATTTCCAATTAAAGGAAGAATTCCCTGGCTATTTCTTCACTATTACTCTTTCAGAGTGAGATGTAGCTTACAATCACCCAATGTCAGCCAAGACTCAGCACCCATTCTTGACCAGTAACCATGATTACCACACCTCTACCCCATGGGGTGGTAAGAAAAGATCTAGGTGGTTCCTGCTCATTGCTTGACTTGAACCAAGACTATACGGCCCTCTGTGGACCAGGAGACCTCAGCTTTTAATGGAAAAGTCAGCAGGAGTTCAGTAAAGGGGTCTGGTGGGAAGCCCCGCTTGGCCTTCCCTACTTATAAAATCTGTAACACATGTTGACTAGATTCAGAAATATGTCATTGCCTCATAACTTTTTGAGGTTCCAACTTCTGGAGCCCCCGGGAGAGGAGCAGTTGTTATGATAAGGTCAGGATTTGGGACTAGCAGCTGAAGCCATTCAGGGCCTCTCCTCTCTGTGTTGTCTGCATTGCTTTCAGGCAGCCACAGAGATCTGGCTGCTCTCAGACTGACAGCCCAGGCAGGCTTGCCATGTAGAAATGAAATAAACAACTAGATTTTGTTCCCCAGGAGAATATGTTGATGAGCATGGCCACTGCCAGACCTGTGAGGCCTCATGTGCCAAGTGCCAGGGACCAACCCAGGAAGACTGCACTACCTGCCCCATGACAAGGTAAGTGGCTTCTCAGGATCTCCCGGTGGTGTGAGCTCATGGATTGCAGGGTGGAGAGAGGAGGTGCTCACCATCTTAGCAGCACCTCATGGGCCTGCAGTGAAAAAGAAGCAAACTCTTTCCCACTCCACAGATATTCTCCTTGGTCTGGGCACAGCCCAGCTCTGTAGTATCCTCTCCCCATGACGCCCAGTCCCCACCACAAGGACCAGTTCCCTGGACATGGAACAGATTTCCTCATCAATCAATAGGGTGCCTTTGATGCCTGAAATCTCATCCTTTTCTGCATACCCGTCCCTCAATCATCATTTCCATCTGCTGGTCAAGTATCTACTTATTTCTAGAGTCAGTTCAAAAGTGAACTGTTCTTTTTTTTTTTTTTGAGACAGAGTCTTGCTCTGTCACCCAAGTTGGAGTGCAGTGGCGCGATCTCTGCTCACGGCAACCTCCGCCTCCCGGGTTCAAGCAATTCTCCTGCCTGAGCCTCCCTAGAAGCTGGGATTATAGGCGCCCACCACCACGCCTGGCTAACTTTTGTGTCATTTAGTAGAGATGGGGTTTCACCATGTTGGCCATGGTGGGTTCTATGTCTGCTTCCTCTCCTATTTCTGAATGGTCTTGACCTCCTGCCCTCAGGTGATCTGCCCGCCTCAGCCTCCCAAAGTGCTGGGGTTACAAGGGGTGAACTGTTTTTAAAGGCATTTCTGACCTCTTCCCAGTAAAAATAATCTCTTCCCAGCAAAAATTAACCATTTTTATGTCCCTTTGCTCTCTATAAGCTTCCATAAGAGCAGCTGTAGCCTTTGAAGGTTTTCATTTACAAAGCTATCTCTTCATTAGACTGTAAGCCACTTGAGATACTCATCTTTGATCTCTAGTACCTACCACAGTTCGGGGATAATAGCAGGCACTCAGTAATGTTTGCTAACTGAGTTAATGAGGGAATAGCAAGTATGCAAATGGAATGAGCATCTTTGCTAATACACTGGGAATTTCTAATAAAGAAAGCTGGAGGCCTGTTTTATTTTCAGTCAATGCTCCTCTGAGCCTAGCACTGAATATTTTTTGGCTACCGAGTATTTCAGTGAATGGCCTCATCACTGCCCTGCCCAACGCAAAGGAAGCAGGTCTCTTGCAGGCAAGGGTGATGAGGCTGCTCCAGTGGCAGGCGCTTTGCATCTCTGGGATGGACATGCCCTCTGCTTTGCATTATGGTCATTTTGTCCTACTTCTGCAAGACTATAATATTCTTGCAAGCGGGTGCTGTGGTGTGTTTTTTCCTTTATTCCCCACAGTGATCAACACATAATTCAATAAATGTGCTTTATTGAACTTGATGAAGTGTGGAATCAATATCATAGGTTTGGCTCTCCAAATAGCTCCCTCAGAAAGAGGAAGGAAGAAAGGAAAGAATGAATAAGAGAAGGAAAAGAGGAAAGAAGGAAGGAGAAAGGACCGAAGAAGACACAAAGGAACAGTTTTAAGAATTTTTAATGCTAACCATGAGCATATTTTTCCAAGTGTCTCTTTAAAATAACTATGCCTCTAAATATTGAATTTGCTTTAAAGAAGCATCAGGACTTACTCTAAGATACAGATAGCATTCTCAAAATGAGGTTCTGTTTTTTCTCCAATTCCCCACCATACCAACAATCAAATGCCAATGCATGTTTGGACGTCTTTTGAACTAGGGGAATATTTTAACATTTGTTTAATAAGGCAGCTACCACCCTTCTTTTACAATTTTATAAACCACTGGGTTTAGCTCCTTAAAGACAATTAAAAACCTGGAGAAAGCAAGTGACCTCTTTGCCACTGTATTTAACATGCAAAGCTCTGTGATGCCAGGATCCTCATTGCCCAACCTAATTTCCCTGCCCAGTCCTGAAGGAGTTAGAGAGTCAGTGAACTAATTAAAAATATTTCAAAGTTACCTCTGTTCTGACCCATGCTCAAACATTGTATTTGATCTATTTCAATGAATTCAGAGAAAAAAATCTTTTTACTAGATTTCATTCTTTTAGAATATTAAAGAACCAAGAAATTACACTAAGTGCTGTTTTAATGGCTTTAATTAGGCCAAGTCAACAATCAGCAAAGAGGACCAGCTAACCCTGACATGCTGTCTCTTTCATTACAGTTCATGTCACACACACATCTGGGGGCCTTCTGGAATACTCAGCGCCAGTGTTAAGATCATCTCTGCCCAGCTGCTTAGCACTTGGTTCCACTGCATTCTCCCTTTCTTTCAGCCCTGTTTGGTCTGGAATGGTTCACTTCCTATGAAAAGGTCAAGAGCTGGCATGAGTTGGGGAAAGAAGCTCTTCCCCTGCAGAGATGAGCTTGCCTGGGCATCTCAGGAATCCATGAATTGGATGACTGGTGGTCCCAGAGATGCCTTGAGTTGGCTTTAAGGAACATTTTCATCAGACCCATTTTCTACTTTTATAGAGAAAAATATCTATTCTCTTCCACTAGGGAAAATTTGTTGGTGTCTGTTGAAAACTGTGGCCATTTGAAATGGGATTTTTCTTCAAGTTTCTTAGCAATATTTTGGGGGGAGGTTGGAGAATGTGGGGTGGGTCGTGGTGACATAACTCAGTGCCTTCACTTAAGCATAACTGTCTTCCCTATCTTTCTATCTTTAGAAATAATCATCCTCTTACAAAAACTGGAGATCTCACCTATGCTTTTGTTAGGGTGGACATGGAGGGAATGGTTTAAAGCATAATTATGTGATTGATATGTTCCTCAAATCAAGTCAAAAAGACAGCCCCTTTCCTACATAAACATGGAAGGGTTCTATATCTGCTTCCTCTCCTATTTCTGAGTGGTTTTTAATGGTTCCCATTAATGGGAGATTACTTCTCCCAAGACAAATGATTTCCCCCCCAAACCAATCTGTCATCTCATCTTGGACAGGGGTCCCCAAACTCCAGGCCATGAACTGATATTGGTTCATGGCCTATTAGGAGCTGGGCTGCACAGCAGCAGGTGAGCAGCAAGTGAGCAAGTGAAGCCTCGTCTGTATTTATAGCCACTCCCCGTTGCTCATATTACTGCCTGAGCTCCATCTCCTGTCACATCAGCAGCAGCATTAGATTCTCATAGGAATGTGAACCATATTGTGCACTGCCCATGTGAGGAATCTAGGTTGCGTGCTCATTATGAGAATCTAATGCCTGATGATCTCTCACTGCCTCCCGTCATCCCCAGATGAGACCATCTAGTTGCAGGAAAACAAGCTCAGGGCTCCCACTGATTCTGCATTACGGTTAGTTGCATAATTATTTCATTATATATCACAATGTAATAATAATAGAAATGAAGTGCACAATAAATGTAATGCACTTGAATCATCCCAAAACCATCCTCTGCCCCCCATTTGTAGAAAAATTGCCTTCCATGAAACTGGTCTGTACTAGATTGTTCTCATGCTGCTATGAAGAAATACTCGAGACTGGGTAATTTATAAAGAAAAGAGGTTTAGTTGACTCATAGTTCTGCATGACTGGGAAGGTCTCAGGAATCTTACAATCATGGCAGAAGGCAAAGGGGAGGAAAGGCTCCTTCTTCACAGGGTGGCAGGAAGGAGAAGTGCTGAGCAAAGGGGGAAAATCCCTTTATAAAACCATGAGCTCTTGTGAGAACTCACTCACTATCACGAGAACAGCATGAGGATAACCGCCCCCATGATTCAGTTACATCCCACTTGGTCCCTCCCACGACTCGGATCATGAGAACTATAATTCAAGATGAGATTTTGGGTGGGGACACAGCCAAATCAAATGACAGTGCCTAGTGCCAAAAAGGCCGGGGACCACTGCTATAAAAGATAAAATGATGATGTACTTCACATCCCTTTCTCAATTGATTTTAGCAAGAAAATAAATCCCCAGAATAAACTCGCCCCATTCTCTTTTTCAGCAGAACATTGAATAGCTTCCTTGCTTAAAATCCTCAGAAAGCTCTTCCACAGTTTTTCTTATAGAAAGATTTTGGGTTTTTTTGTTTGTTTGTTTGTTCATTTTAAACTAGCCACATCCAGACTATTCCTTGAAAAGTCTTCTAGCTCAGTAACTGGTGCCAGGGTGGGGCTGGGATATTCCCCTTTGGCATTAGTGCCATCCGCTAAAAATCTGGGCTGGGAGCACAGGCATCTCATTCTATGCCATGGTGCAGGGGATCTGTTTTGACATGGACAGCCAGATGTGTGTGAGTGTCTGTTTAGGACTGGGACTCATACTCTGCAGTGGACCAAAAGGATTGTTCATTCAATGGTGCTGCGGATGGTTAACAGAACATGAGGGCCTAGGAATCCAAGAGAGAGGTGGACTTCTCTCTTAGGTTGTCGGCTTGAATCCCATTCTGCCTCCAAACAGATGCAAATGACACAGACTTTCAGGGTATGGGAATGAATGAGATGGAAGACTGCAAGTGACATACTATTCAGGATGCCTTGTCCCACCCAACCTTCTTCCAAACCTGGGATTGAAATGGCCCACCCCCCAGTTCAGGGTTGGTTCTAGCTCTGGAAACAGTGAAGTTTAAACAAGCCAGTGCCAATACAGGAACAAGGTGCTTGAGGCCTACATCTGATCTTTCGTGTGGTGTCCAGCATAAGTGGAGAGGAGTAGTAGAGAGAAAAAGACATCCTTCCCTTTCTTCGCAGGCCCACTCAGATGTCCCAGGCCTGGATGGCAGCATTATGCCCACGGGAGCTTGCGTATGCTATGTGCTCAGTGAACCTCACAATTGATACAATAACTTATTCTAAGGGAGCTGTAAGAGATGCCAATTTGATGTCACCTGTATTACATAGGAATCATTTAGCGAATTCCACAGTAATCCAGACTGTCACTGAGCAGCGGATCTCAAAGAGTGCTCACCAGACCAGCAGCACTGGCATCATCTGGAATGCCAGAAATGAAAATTCTCAGCTGCCTCCCCTTAAGTCCCACTAAATTAGGAACTCTGGGTGTGCAGCCCCCAGCTCACTTCATCGATTCATATTACCTATCTGACTCTTGCACTTGATAAACATTTTGTATTTTTCTGAACAGAATACTTGGATACAATTTACTTAGTCACATTTGCTCTTACGATTAGTTTGCAAAGAATAATGAAGCAAAACTATAAAAATATTAACAATGACATTAGGATATACATTGTATATATGTAAAACCAAAGTTTTAGAAGCCCATATACCAACTCACCTGTAATGCCCTTTGTAGGTGTTCACAGTAGGTGTTCATGGTCAGAAAAGGAGACTGCAGTACTCCATATCTCAGGAAATGTTTGCAAAACATGACACTCAAAATCAGAGTTCATTGATTACTTGCAATATACACAGGCCAGGCTTCTAAGTAGCATCCGAGCTACAAAGCAGTGTTTTGTTTCACTCGTCAAGAGCCCTTGGAGCTGACATTTCCCTTGCAAAGCATGAGCATGCTGATAGATAAAGGAAGAATATTTTCTCCAAGGCCTCTCTCAGAGGCCCACTAAGTGTGTGGAAAGTTTACAGACCTCCATCTGACTGTTGGCTGGGTTTGGTTGGGGCCTATAATCTGGATTTCGTCCCTGTAGGCACCAGTTAGCTTGTTTGGAAGCAGATTCGGGATTGTTTTCCCAGCCAGTTTCTGGCATGCTGGCTGTTAGGTCCAAATCTTGGGCCAAGGATGGGTACGTGACTAATATTTCACATGTTCTAAGATGATCACTCCCAGGCATCCCCCTTGTTTCTGGAACAATGAAGTCAAATCTGTCCAGCAAACATGAATACCACATGTTCTGATACTTAGGGCCACTCTGGAAAGTCACCCTGATGAATTCTAAAAGTCTGCTTTTCCTCTAGGATTTTTGATGATGGCCGCTGTGTTTCGAACTGCCCCTCATGGAAATTTGAATTTGAGAACCAATGCCATCCATGCCACCACACCTGCCAGAGATGCCAAGGAAGTGGCCCTACCCACTGCACCTCCTGTGGAGCAGGTGAGAGACTGCTGCTCCTCCGTCTTCTGCACCCCAAACCTGTTCCTCTTCTGATGGCCATCATTTGGTTTGACCCAAAAGCCTTGTGTCTGGGGCTGAGGGTTAAGATCAGACAGCTGTTCACTGGAGAGCGTGTACAACCTTGAACTTTCTGCTTGCTGTCAGTACACAAAAAGCTTGTTCACCTTATTCGGGTGTAGACTCGGTGCCCTGGAAAAGATGAGAAAGCAGCTAAGAGATGCCTTTCCAGAGAAGGAGAGAGAAGGACGTAGAAGCATGAGGTCAGACATGAGATAGACAGTGAAGTTAAGATTTGTGGAGGTAAAAGTGAAGACCTGGGGAATTAAGAAAGACACGTTCTGTCTTTAAGGGAAGTATGCCACTTAGAAGTTGCCAGAGCTCGGCAGAGCAAGGTCATCGTTTCAAATGATTACAAATGTGACCTTTTGTGTCCCAGATTTACCTGCACTAAAAGTTTCCTGCTGTCATTGGATTCTATTTCATGCTCTCAAGGGTTCTCTGCATTCTGACCCTTGACTCCTTTCCAGCCTCAACTCATATGCCTGTCCCCTACCGACCTCATGTGGGCCAGATTCATATTTTATTTTTTTCTATATACTACTTTTTAAATTTGAGTCAAATTTAAAAATTGGGACATTGCAAATAAAAACTTGAGGGTTTAATGTCTCTTGAAAATTCAAAAGATCTGCCAACACTGGACCTGCATTTCCCAAATCATTACCTGGAGTCCAAAAGAGGCTGCTCTCCATCTCTCCCCAGTCCCCACCATTCCCAGTTGTCTCACTGATCCTGAGGCTGTCAGTTACCAGCATCATCATCCTTACATCATTTTTCTGGTGGAAGAGAATTATTGATCTTTATTCTTCCTTGAAATAAACCAAGAAAAATGAAGAACACATTGAGAGTACCAGGCATTTGCAGGAGATCAGGAGATAACACATTTCTGTATATAAATTCATTGCTTTGTGTTTCATGTGTCAAAACATGACAAATATCTGTCATATTTTACTTCTAGACTGCCTTATTCTGTTTCCTTCTTCATCTACAAGGTGATGATAATGCTTACTTCTTTAAGAGTTTTTATGAAAATTAAATGACATGAAATGAGATAAAACAATAAAGCATTTAGAACAGGGCTAGCCACATGGTGAGCACTTGGAATATTAACTGTTTTTATTTTTATTATTATTACTGTTATTGTTTGTAGCTGCTTAGTCTTTTGAGCATTTGAGTTTCTCTTGCTCCTAAGACTTCATTTGAGATGTTTCCTCTTCTCTGGCTGATGTCTTCCTATTCCATCTTAGTTTCAACATCATTTCCTCAGTGAGGGCTGCCCTAACCTCCTTGCCTAGATTAGGCCTTCACATCAGCAACCTGGGAACGCTGCACTTCCCCCTTCATGAGCCTCAACACATTTGATGTCTATTTGGTCCATAAGTTTCTATGCCCCATAAGAGCATGGCATGGTTTCTACCTTGTTTCTGCTGTATTTTAAGCATCAGCACAGTGTCTGGTATATGGAAGGTTCATAATAAATAACTGAATGAATTAATGAATGAATGGTTCAATGGAAGGAATGTTAAGACCAGCAGTCAGAAAATGTGGGTTCAAGTCCCGCCTTTGTTACTGACGAGAAGGTACTAAACCAGTCACTTCACCTCTTTATGCCTCTTCTTATTTGCAACAAAAAAAAAGAAGAAGAAGAAGAAGAGAAAGTACAAGATGGCATCCAAAATCACTTTTACATCTCCATATATAGCACAAAATTAGAAAGAAGTTTAGATACCAAACAAATGTCTAGTCTTCTAAGCATCCTACAACTACTTGGACCAATCTACCTATAAATGCACTGACATTTCTTCTATTTTTTTTTCTATTTGAAATTGTGTTTAATCCATTATCTTAAACATTTATTGCATCCCTTCTATTTACAAGTTACTATGCCCTGAATGCCAGAGAAAATGAGATAAATGATAGCATGATACTCATGTTCAAGGAATTACAGTCTAACAAGGAGGTTTGTCCTCATATGTTACAAAACAAGAAAATAATAGATGAAGACCAAATGCATGGTAGAAATCCTATCCCAGATCAGAGAAGCAGCATCACTTCCAGCTGTAATGAGCAGAGAAGGCTTCCTCGAGGTGGGGTGTTGTTTACCAAGCCCTGAGGTAGCTCTGCCTCCTTGAGAGTGTGATGTCCTTAAGAAGCATTAGTGAAGCAAGTGTAGCAGAGACCTTGATAACACAGTGCTGAAGAAGATGGATGACTTAATTGAAGAAGTTCCATATCCATAAATGGAAGCTTTAATAAAAGGCTAAAAATCCTCCAGCCGGGGTGTCCCATCAACCTTCATAAGCCCCTCCTACCAATTTGTAGAGATTGCATCCCTTGTTTAATTGTGACTTCATTAAGGTTTAGGTATGATGCCTCTTGGAAGTGTACATCTCCAGCTATATTGCTGAGGATTCACTCCAATTCTCTTCCAGATTTATTCACTACCAAACTACCCAAAGCTAAATTCCATCAATCACACAACAGCTACAGTAAGCAAAATGTGGTAGTCAACTTCATCAAGTTTATTTTCAGAATCCCTGCACCTTTCTTTTATCCTTTCCAGCAGTCCTTTTCGCCTCATGCCTTCAACCCTCACCCTTTCTTTTCTTCTATGGACATCCAATATCATCATGCTGGTCCACTTTCTCACCTAACAGAATCAGCTGCCAAGAAATGCTCTGGTAAAAGTGAATTACTCTCCAGAATAAACAAAAGCCAATCCAAACTCTTGTCCCCTATTATCCCATTTGAACTCTTGTCGCCTGTTTTCCCAGGAAAGTTTTTGGTGCCTAACAAAAGTATCAGCCCTTCTACCGCTGGAAATAGCTTCGTCTACATACTATTATAATAATTTAAAGTCGAAGACCCTGGGCAAGTAGCCAAAAATTTATGCATGGTATTTAAATTTCTGAGCTATCCAAATTATCATCCATAACTAATTGAGCAGGGCTACTCAAAATCTGACCGAATCTTGACATAGTCCTGGACCAAACCTGTCGGAAAAGCTGGTCATGGCCAAGGCATCTAAGTGACCTCCCTTTGTAGGTCTATGTATTTTAAACACTGAGACCCCCTGAAATCTCTGTTCTTTAAACCCAAATTATAACACCCAAAGAGGCACCTCAATAAAGCCATGTCCAAACAATAAAAATGGGATTGAAGAACACTTCCTTCTAAATCTGGGCCCGTCGTTGCTAATTTTTAAGATTGATGATCCAGTTGGATATAGGGGAAAAATTGAATATTGCCAAATTCCACAAATACATATTTAGAGCCTTAGACTCCCTCTAAGCATCTGGATCCTGAGTTGATGTCTTGTGAAGGTGCAGGGGATGGAGAAGAGGTAGACTTCCTCACTGCTCTCCCTCAAATCTTCCTACCTACACCAGAGAAATTGGGGAACTCTGAAAAAAAGATTTTTTTCTGAATGAGTCATGGTGGATGGAAGTGGCATTTGCAACGGTTTCATAAAGTGGCTGAGAACATAACTTGGAAGGATGACCCTCTTGTGATCTTCAGAGATTCCAGGTTCCACCAGATCAGAGTCTTGTGCTCCACAATGTTGATCGATAGCTATAGAATCACCAAATGCACATTAGTCCTTCCAAACCCTCTTCTTTCCTTAGAGGATAATCTCTTCTATGTCTAATTTAGAAACAGCAGAATATTTTCTTCCACCACCTCTGTGGAAGCCCTTTTTATTTTCTTAGTCCTATGGGAACCAGTAGCCTTCTAGTAGAAAATCACAATTAGCAAAATAGGTAGCTTGAGAGCCCATAATCCAAAAGCATGTTTTAAAAATTGCATTTCAGGCGAGGCACAGTGGCTCACGCCTGTAATCCCAGAACTTTGGGAGGCCAAGCCAGGCAGATCACTTGAGTCCAGGAGTTCAAGACCAGCCTGGGCAACATGGTGAAACCCTATCTCTACAAAACATACAAAAAAAAAAAAAATGGTTGGGCATGGTGGCACGCACCTGTGGTTCTAGCTACTTGAAAGGCTGAGGCGGGAGGATCACTTGAGCCCAGGAGAGGAGGTTGCAGTAAGCTGAGATCATGCCACTGCATTCCAGCCTGGACAACAGAGTGAGACCCTGTCTCAAAAAAAAGAAAATGTATTTCAACTATGGCTTTGAATAAATAAGAAATATTATGATAAATGATGTGAAAGTGCCATGCTCACAGGTAAAAAATAGTTAAATATCGGCAATTTCACGTGGGTCAATTTAACATTATACTGACTCTCAGTTTCTGCACTTGCAACATGGGGTTAGTGCTATCTTTATCCACAAATTCAGCAGCCTTGCATCTTGAAGGTCAATGATTCTGGATCTCCATGTGGTAGATCACATGACGAATGAACCCTAGACCCCGGTTATTCTGAGTAACACAGATCAGCTGCTCTTCAGAGGCAGGGACATGTGGGAAATCTGATTCAGAGAAGATGGATACCCCGAGCACACTCAGCACAAAAACTCCGGGAGGGTGGGAGTAGGAGACCTCTAGATGCATCAGTAGTCATCTTATTGTTGTTTTTGTATTCCTAACGGATTAGAATCCTTTGTAACTAATTGTGATGCTTTGTAACTAGTTAGACTTTTTCATTCCCTCCAGAAACAAATTCCCATGGTCTGTTAGGCTGTGGGCACTGCTGATTCTTTCCTTATAGAATCCAATGTTGACAAAAGTCAGGAACCCTCAGGAATGCACGTAAAAGAGTCAAAGAAGTGTGCTTGGTCTAGTGCTTCAATAAGCTTGTCATTATCGGCATTGGCAGCTCTGCAGAAATTCAGACCTTAGATGGTTAACGCAAGCATGTGACCGATAACAATTCAAAATCATTTTAAAAGATTGCACTTTCATAAAAAGTGTCGATCATTATGCATGTGTTTATTCTCATGGGCTCTCTATAGCCCCCAAGTCTGAGAGCTTTCACAGATACCAAAAGGAGCCTTTGGGAAAGTTAAACACATTTTGAATTGTAGTTAAACACAATGTGAATTGTAGTTATTCACAGAGCATCATTTTGCAATGACATCCCAGATAGTAGTCGCTGTTCACTGAAATATATAAAATATTGGAAAATAATTCCCTGCAAGGAAAACTTCTCAACTACAAGGATGTAGCTATTGCACTTTTCATTAAATCCATCCTTACACCCCTCATCCACTAGGAAAAAAAAGCACTCAGTCGCATCTTTTTAAAATATAATATCTTACATTATAATAGCTTCATGGCTAACTTTGTACATTTTCCCTCTTTTCGTTGCCCCTGTAACTGATCAGACAACTATGGCCGAGAGCACTTCCTGTACCAGGGAGAGTGTGGAGATAGCTGCCCAGAGGGCCACTATGCCACTGAGGGGAACACCTGCCTGCCCTGCCCAGACAACTGTGAGCTTTGCCACAGCGTGCATGTCTGCACAAGATGCATGAAGGGCTACTTCATAGCGCCCACCAACCACACATGCCAGAAGTTAGAGTGTGGACAAGGTAAGCCTGCTCCTGGGCCCTTGCCCAGCACCCGAACATGGGAGGAGGGGCTGCACCCTGGATGTCCTGGAGACTTGAATTGCCTTCCTGGCTTGCATGTCAGCACTTGGGATGATTTTGGGTGACTCCCAACCCTAGTGGGGAGAGAGGTAACTTTCTCTCTCCCTCTCTGTTCACACACCCTTTCTCTGGGTTTCCTCAGATATAATCCAAGGTCATAGGAATGCACTTAAGTGTATAGAAAATTGGCCAGGTGCAGTGGCTCATGCCTGTAATCCCAGCACTTTGGGAGGCTGAGGCAGGTGGATCACTTGAGGCCAGGAGTTCGAGACCAGCCTGGGGGAACACGGTGAAACTCTGTCTCTACTAAACATACAAAAATTAGCCAGGCTTGGTGTTGCATGCCTATAATCCCAGCTACACAGGAGGTTGAGGCAGGAGAATGGCTTGAACCCAGGAGGCAGAGGTTGCAGTGATCCGAGATCACACCACCGCACTCCAGCCTGGGAGACAGAGCAAGACTCCATCTCAAAAAAAAAAAAAAAGAAAAAAAAGAAAAGTAAGAAAGAAAAAGAAAATGATCTTGGCGGGTGGGGGGATTGTGGACAGGATATAGGTGAGAGAAAATAAAATTCGAATCCAAAAGTCTGGGTCAACAGTTTTCTCCTTCCCAATTACTAGACATGAGACCCTAGGCAAAACTCATCTAATTTGCCCATGCCTTGGTGTCTTCATCTGTCAAAGGAAGAGCACAGCATCAAGACAGAGTGGCTTTGAGAAGCCAGTGAGGACCAGCCTAAAACCACTTGAAAATATTAAAATGTTCTGTGAATCGTATGTGTTATTGTTATTGCCCAGTTTCTTATCTTTTATGGGAAGAAGGAAATTAAAAAACAACACTTATAGTTTCGGCTCTCTTCTATGTAAGAATGCCACGGACTGTTATTGCCCTGCTCTGTATAAGAATTATGCCCGGTCTGGTGCTGAAGAGAGCTCCAAGACATTTTTAGCATAATTAAGACACTCAATTCTGTTTCTCCTTAATGTTTATGAATGTAGTAAAAGATTTTAAACTTTTTTAAAAAGTGTTTAGTAGCACAGATAGAAAGAGAAAAAGAACCTGTTCATTTACATACCCAATTCCATTTTCCCAGAAGCAGAGCTGGCTTCTTTAATAAATAAAATCAATGAGCTTGACTTCAAAATGAGCTGCATGGCATATGGTCCAACCTGGTTCTCTTTGTACCCAATCAAGCTGATTCAATCTATTCAATTAATAGAAGGAGATTAAAAAGTAGAAACCACATATATCCTCGAGGACGGTTTTGGGCTTCATAATTGCTCTATGATTTACTTTAAAATAAGCTACACACGAACATATTTTTGTAGCAATTAACGTGTCTCCACTCAATGGAAATGAGTTGTGTTTTTCACTTCTCTGTCTGTGTAGGTGAAGTCCAAGACCCAGACTATGAAGAATGTGTCCCTTGTGAAGAAGGATGTCTGGGATGCAGCTTGGGTATGTCCTCTTCCTTTGTCACCTAAAGAGTTGAAATAGCTAAGTCCTTTTCCACACATCTTCATCCTGTCATTGCCCCAGCAGGCACTCTTGTCATTGCTGTCAGCCTCAGTGACACCATCAACGTCTTAAGTAGGCTTTCTTCAATACAAACAGGATCACTGTGAGGAAATACTTGCTTTTGAAGCAATGAATGGGTTTCTTGTCTTTATGAAACTCAAGTTTAGAAAAGGAGGCCATGGCACCTTTTCCTCTGGTTGTCAATGAGTTGTTGGGGCTTACTGACCAGCAACCGCATTTCAGGTGCCTGAGACTCAGCCTCTCCTTAGCTTCTCAAGGTGACACATTTGGAAGATTAACAGTGAATGAACTCAAGCAAAGAAATGCCTAATTCCTCTAACTCACTTGATGTGTAAAACACAGAAGTTTGTGGGTAGAGGGAGGGGGGGTTTCCTTTATAAAAATGACTCTGTTGGGCTGGGCACAGTGGCTCATGCCTGTAATCCCAGCACTTTGGGAGGCCAAGGTGGGTGGATCACCTGAGGTCAGGAGTTCGAGACCAGCCTGTCCAACATGGTGAAAACCCATCTCTACTAAAAATACAAAAATTAGCTGGATGTGGTAGCAGGCACCTGTAATCCCAGCTATTCGGGAGGCTGAGGCAGGAGAATTGCTTGAACCCAGGAGTCAGAGGTTGCAGTGAGCCAAGATCGTGCCATTGCACTCCAGCCTGGGCGACAGAGCCAGACTCCATCTTAAAACAATAAAAATGAAAATAAAAATGACTCTGTTGCTTGGAGCCTAAGACAACCCTTAGAGAATCAAGCATCGTGGTAACAGTGGAGTTGAATTCCCCATCATGCAATGCAAAGCACTTGTCACTCTCACATGTAACTCTTTAATTCAAGTCAGTGGCTCCTTCTTTCTTCCCTTCTCACATGCCTGCAGGAGATGATGGAGACAGTTTGTTAACCACATGGCACCATTGCATTGGCGATAAAATGAAAAATAGGGAGGTTACTGAATTCCAGGATTGTTTCTTAATGTACGTTTAGGCAACATATAAAAAATAATTAGCATGTGTGATCTTTGAAAGGAAACTCAACTGAAAAGTTCATGGAATAATTTGTCTTCATGGAACTTCCATGAAGCCCTGGGATTGGTTGACTAATCAACCACTGAAGCTTCTAAAACTTCAACGTGGGCACAAATCACCTGGGGAATTTGTTGAAATGCAGATTCTGATTCACTGATCTAAGGTGGGCCTGAGGATTTGTGTTTCTGACAAGTTGCCCAGTGAGGCTAATGCTGTTCTATAGAACACTCATGAAGTTACTAGGGGTAAGATTGTGCCAGAATAAAGCAGACTTTTTATTTGCCTTACCCAATGGATTTTCTTAATTTTTTTCTTACTAATACATAATAGTTTTACATATTTAGGGGATACATGTGATACTTTGATATTTGCATATGATGTGTGATGATCAAGTCAGGGTAACTGGTATATCATCACCTCACACATTTATCATTTCGTTGTGCTAGGAATATTCTAAATCTTCTCTTTGAGCTAATTTGAAATTAATACTTAAATATTATATATGAATTATAATTTATATTGTGGCTATCACCACCACTCTTTGCCTTAAATGGAAAAGATACATTTTCTATAATATCTGTAACTAGAAAATACAGTTTCTGGAAGCTTAAATACCATTGCCCCATTATCTTCCACTATAAAATGATGCTTATATTACTGGATAATAAAATCTCATAATAAAGTTAATAAACACTTAAGAAGAAGATAAAATTTAGAGTCAGATATTTAAGGGTAAAATGCTAATTACCTGGGAAGCAAAAAATAAACCTAGGCATAAATAATAAAAGTACTGAAGTAAAAAACTATAAGCAAATTCCAGTGTCTGTCTCATGTGAAGTGATAGAAGATGAGTTTGCACAGAGCAATGATGAATGTTTTGATTATCTTGATTTCACTGTTTGCCCATTTCAGATGTATTTTCCCATTAAGTTTCACACCCCAGCTAATTTCTGTGGTCTTCTCTGGCATCTTTGCTGTTGTGTGTTGTGTGCCCATACTAGCATCTTTGTGCATCTTGGAGGCGGGTTGTGTGTAATCTAAAATCTGAGGTTTGGGCTCTCTTGGCTCTGCTCAGTGATGAGAGTGGGGCAAGTCTACCCAGCAAGATACACATAGAGAAAAGAAGATCTTCCTTCCATAGCTTCAAGACACCTTGACAGGAATGTATGAATGTGTGTGAACTCCTTCAGGTTCAGTGAGGATCTTATCATGGAGGTGGGAACAGTGACAAGAAAACCATGGTCACTAGGTGTTCGCATTGGCCTCATTCTCCACTTAGCTGACCCAGCTAAAGATGAGACCAAGGGGAAGTCACTGGAAATGGACTCCACAGCAGACACTGACCCTCTGGGGACTCAAAATCCAAAAGACTCACCTTGCAAAAAAAGATAGATTAGGAAGTTTGATTTACTTGATTTACTTTACAAAGCACTATTAAGCTCTTCAGTCCATTCATTACTTAAGAAACTTTGTCTACTGTGTGCTGAGTGCTCGCCTTGATGGGGAGAATTTCAAAGGTGATATGGCTGTGATCCTACTATAAGGGATAGCAGGATCTGTCCCAAGTGATACACCTGGAATGAAACCTCTTAGAAGACAACCTGCCAGAGTAGAGACAGGTATAAAGTGCAGTGACACCACCAGAAAGGGTGACAAGACCATTCTAAATACCTCTAATTTCTCATTTTAAATTCTAAAATGCCCTTAATTTATAATATCTGTATGTATTGGGCCTCATTTATTCTTGGATAGACTTGGCTGAACCCAATTGTCACCTTATTTCTGAACCCTTTGTTGATCTCTCCAATAGAATAAATTCTCCCTTTTCTAGTTTCCCTTTGTTAGGCCAGCGAGAATACCTTTTAGAGGTGACTAGTGTAATATTTGCTATGTATACACCTTTCTGCCTGGACACTAAACTACCTGAGAACAAGCTCTTTGACTTATATGCTCTGAACTAGCAGAGTGCCCAGGACATAATAAATATGAATTAATGCATGAATGTTTGTTGAATTGAATTTGAGAATTGCCCAAATTCAAAGCAGAGATGAATGGCTTAGGATACCCAGGGTCTTAGATTTGCTGTTTTCTCTAATCAAACTTTGTTTATGAACCAAGAAGAAGAAAAAATAAACCATACAATACAAAAATAAATGATTTTGGCCAAGTGCAATGGCTCACGCCTATAATTCCAGCACTTTGAAAGGCCAAGGTGGGCAGATCACTTGAGCCCAGGAGTTTGAGACCAGTCTGGGAAGCATGGTGAAACCCTGTCTCTACAACAAAATACAGAAAACTAGCCAAGTGTGATGGCATGCACCTGTGGTCCCAGCTACTCAGGAAGTTGAGGTGGGAGGATCACCTGAGCCTGGGAAGTCAAGGCTGCAGTGAGCCGTATTCATGCCACTGCACTCCAGCCTGGGCAACAGAGCAAGATCCTTTCTCTAAATAAATAAATATTTAAAATTAAAAAATGATTTTTCATGAACTATTAGAACTATAAGGAAGCTTTGATCAGACCATGGTTTAAGTTTTATAATTTTAAAGAGATAAATACAAACTTGAAAAATTTGAATAATTTACTATAGATTTCCCCAAGATTCCTCCTGTGAGAAGGGACATCATCCTTTGGAGAGAACTTAACTTTATTCCATTTTAATAATGTAGATTCACCTCTGGGCCAGGTCTAGACGATCTCTAGGGGAGTCAGAGAAAAGTGAAATCAGTTATTGTGAGACATTTCATCTACATTATGTAATAATTAGCTGTTGAAAATCCTGGGGTTTTTTTTTTTTTTTTTTAGCTTTGTATTCCTTTCCAGCTATTTAGTGAACATTAATATCTATCTTTTATACCTAACAAAAAAAACCCTCAAATTCCAGATTAACTAGAATCTCATCTATTTCCTGGGTGGACCTAGCTATCTGTTATTCCAAGGAAAGATTACCAAAAAGGGGGCAGAAAACTAAACTCATGACCAAAAATGATTGTTTCGTCTGGAAGAAAGTGTTGAATTAAATACTTTGAGACGAAATAAGGATTTTTTAAATTATGAGATTCGATTTCTCTTCTTTGTCAAGTTGTAAACAAATAGATAACATTTTATATAATACTATTCTGCTCCAAGAATATTTGATGTCAATTCTTTCTCTTTCTAACCAGTATCCTGAATGGAAATTTTAACTACTAAGATAAATCTAAGTTTTAAATTATATTTCTTCACTAGCTGAGGATAGAAGTAAATGGAGTAACTTTTACCTAATGTTTTGAGGCACATTTTTTGTTTGTTTGTTTGTTTTAATTTAGGGAATGTAGCAATAGCTATGACTCTTAACTATAACCTGAGATCCAGACATCTTAGATTATATACCATTGACTTGATGATTGATTTTAATCAAATTACATAAGTTGTTCTTACTTTTCTACCTCATCAATAAATATAGTGGTTAATGTGCCCTTGTTTTAACTTAGAAAGAGATCATGAAAATGTATCGGTATTTGCAGATTGAAATGGCTGTCTCCACTCTTGGGATAAAACATATCCAAATTTAAAAATTGTAAGGAATTGCAAAAAAAAGAGAAAGGCTATATAAATTCACTGCCAAATAAGGGGACAAATATATGCACCAAAAGGATTTTTTAAAAAAAGAGAACCTCTGGGCACTGAAGTGTTCAAGGAAGGCTTTTAAGAAGATGGGAGTTGAGGTGAACATTAGTGTTTACATAGAATTTAGACAGATAAGAGAGAAGAGCTGTACTATAGGGGGTCTTTATATTTGGACAATAGCAGGAAAAAAAGGCTTCTGCTATGGATTTTGAGACACCAAGTATACTAATTTTGCAGAAGGAATGAGGAAATATAAGGAAATAGGCAAAGAGAAGTTTGGGGAAGTGGTTGAAAACAAAATCTTGAATTCCAGACTAATGAGGTTAAAAGTATTCTGTGACTAAAAGAGAATCATTGAAGGTTCTTCTAAAAACAGAAGTGGGAGAGTGGGTGTCTTGAAGGGGGTATTAAGAAGTTAATTTGGTTATTGCGTTAACTGTGTTCAGGATAATTAAAGGGAGAGAGGCTTTAGTAGATAAACCAGCCAGAAGACTATTTCAGAAATCCAGATATAAAATAAAGCAGACAAATCTAAAGTGATAGCCAGGAAATTATGAGGACAGAGGGAGAGATGTTTTTAAAAATCACATGAAACAAATGGCCTTCAAGCATAAGAAAAAGATGCTTGTTCACTGTATGGGAAATGCAAATTAAAACTGTGAGAGGCCTGGCGCAGTGGCTCACGCCTGTAATCCCAGCACTTTGTACTTTGGGAGGCCGAGGCGGGCAGATCACTTGAGTTCAGGAGTTTGAGACCATCCTGGACAACATGGTGAAACCCCCGTCTCTACTAAAAATACAAAAATTAGCTGAACATGATGGCTCAAACCTGTAGTCCCAACTACTTGGGAGGCTGAGGCAGGAGAATCGCTTGAACCCAGGAGACAGAAGTTGCAGTGAGCTGAGATTGCGCCACTGCACTCCACCCTGGGCGACAGAGCGAGATTCCATCTCAAAAAAAAAAAAAAAAAAAAAAAAAACTACCGTGAGATACCATTTCTAATTTATCAGACTGGCAAAAATTCAAAAGCTTACAAGTTCTATAGGCAAGGTTGTAGGAAAGCAATCACCACTGTTATTGCTTCCTGGTGGGAAGACAAAATGGTACAATGGCTGTTGAAGGAAATTTGGCAGTATAACACAACTCCATATGCATTTACCCTTGGACCCCACAACACCCCTTCTAGGAATTTACCCTGGTGACATACATCCTCAGATTCAAAACAGCATATTCACCATGCTATTTATTGTGGTGTTACTTGTGGTAGTAAACTATCAGAAACAACCTAAATGCTTGTCCATGGAAGACTGGTTGAATGAATGGGGTACATATACACAATAGAGCACTCTGCAGCTACCAAAAGAGCAAAGACGATCCGTATGAACTGATGGTGATTTCATGACACACTGTTACATGGAAGGCAAGGCACAAAGGTACACATAGTATGCTACTATTACCAGGGGTCCTTGCTCCCAGAGCTCCTAAGATGGTGGCAGGCCACTTCCAAAATGGCGGCAGGCCGCTTCCAAAATGGTTGCAAGCCTCATGTTCTCTGACCTGAGGTTCTTGGCCTCATGGATTCCAAGGAACGGAATCTTGCGCCATGAGGTGAGTGTTATAGCTCTATTAGAAGCTGTGGGTCACGGAAGAGAACCGTGGAACCCAGTGACTAGTGTTCAGCTCGATTAGGATGAACCTAGGCACTTAGTCATGCAGGAACAATGGCAAGCCTTTAGCCAGATCAGGAGTGGCAATGGGCACCTCGCTGGATCAGGAGCACAGTGGACACCCTGCCTGATCTGGAGGGATGGAAGTCAGCGGCAGGTCTGTGACAGCGGCAAACAGCAGTGGTGGACGCGAGCGAAACTTCAGCTTGAGCCGTAACAAACATGGACCAGAAGAGTGCAGTTGCAAGATTTAATAGAGTGAAATAGAGTGGAAACAGAGCTCCCATATAAAGGGAGGGGACCCAAAGAGTGTAGCCGTTGCTGGCTGGAATGCCTGGGTTTATATCCTGATCATTGTCCCTCCCTCTGTGCTCTCAGGGGATAGATGATTGGCTATTTCTTTAACTCCTGTCTTTGCCTAATTAGCATTTTAGTGAGCTCTCTGATTGGTCCGGTGTGAGCTAAGTTGCAAGCCCCATGTTTAAAGGTGGATGAAGTCACCTTCCCAGCTAGGCTTAGGGATTCTTAGTCAGCCTAGGAAATCCAGCTAGTCCTGTCTCTCACTACCTTTGTGGTAAGAAAATGGTGAGATAAAATGTATGAGTGTATTTACATTTTTATTTACTTTGGCAAAGAGAAAAAAGATAACTAAGAAACTAATGAAAGTGGTTACCTATAGAGAAAGGTAAAGGAGATGGGCAGGACTTCACTAGCTATATCTTTTTATTTTTTAATCTTTTTTTTTTTGAGACAGAGTCTCGCCCTGTTGCCCAGGCTGGAGTGCAACGGCGTGATCTTGGCTCACTGCAACCTCCGCCTCCCAGGTTCAAGCAATTCTCCTGCCTCAGCCTCCCAAGTAGCTGGGATTACAGGCACCTGCCACCACACCTGACTAATTTTTTGTATTTTTAGTAGAGATGGAGTTTCACCATGTTGGCCAGGCTGGTCTTGAACTCCTGACCTCGTGGTCCGCCAGCCTCAGCCTCCCAAATTGCTGGGATTACAGGCATGAGCCACCGCTCCCGACCTTAATCTTTTTTAAAAAAATTTTTTTTTAAGAGATGGGGTCGCACTATACTTACCAGGCTGGTCTTGAACTCCTGGCCTCAAGCAATCCTCCCATTTCGGCCTCACAAAGTGCTAGGATTACAGGCATGATCTACCGCACCCAACCTTTAGCTGTATCTTTCTAGTTATGATTTGAACCAGATAAATATTTTACATATTCATAACAAATGACATAGTAAGTAGTGTGAATGGACTCCCACTAGCCAAATGTAGGACAATTAGAGCATTTTTTTTTAAATGGGTGATAATTCCAACTCAATTAATATTTTAAATCCATGCATCAATAGTGAAGAAAAAGGAAGAGAGAGGGGAATAGAATAAAAGGGAAAGCTCTTTTTTACAGAAACAGTTCAGCTGTCATGTATTTCAGGAAAGAATTAGGAAATCATCATTTTGCATCCCCTAGTATATGAACCCAAAGGAGAATCATCAAATCATAAGTAGATATAAACACACTGGGTGGAAAGTTGCTATGGAACAAGATCATCACACAGACTCAAAGTACTACTACAATTAATAGTTAATTACAATGAAGAGATTTGCTGGTTACCAACTTAAACAAGTTATTATACATAACATCACTATTATCAGTTCCATAAACCTGACATTATATGTCTCCTGATGTGGTACTCAAGTAGATAATATCACCTCATATTCTTTTTGTTTTGTTGTTTTGTTTTGAGACAGGGTCCCCCTGTCATCCAGGTTTGAGTGCAGTGGCTTGATCATGGCTCCTGAGCTCAAGTGATCCTCCCCGCTCAGACTCCCAAGTTCCTGGGACTACAGGCATGCACTATTAGCCTGGACTAATTTATTTTTTGTAGAGGTGGGGTCTAGCTATGTTGCCCAGGCTAGTCTCAAACTCCTGGCCTCAAGCAGTCCTCCCACCTTGGCCTCCCAAAGTACTGGGATTACAGGTGTGAGCCACCGTACCCAACCCTCACCTCGTATTCTTGACAAAAGTGTCTAGATCACTGATTTTCAACTGGAGGCAATTATGCTTCCATGAAACACTTGTCGATGTTTCAGACAGTTTTGATTGTCGTGACTGGAAGGTTGTTACTTGCATCTGGTGGATAGAGGTTGAGGATGCTACTAAATATTCTATGATGCACAGGACTGCTCCCCCACAACAAAGAAATCCCTAGTCCAAAATGTCAATAATGCTGAGGTCAAGAAAAATCGTATTTAGCCTCAAGATAATCACAAGATAAATCAAGAATGTGGGGTATCTATAAGACAACTGGCCTGTACTTGGAAAGAAAATTCAATATTAGGGGAAAAGTGAAAATTAGGGAATTAAAAAAATAAAGAGATAAAACAATCAAGAAAATGCAGAAGTATTTTTATTTTTATTTTGAGACAGTGCTCTATGTCTGAAGTGCTCTGTCAGCAGAAAGGACTTAGAAGCTACAATACCCCAGCAGCAGTAAACACAAGTGCCTTGATTGTGGTTTCTAATACCATTCTCCAATAAACAATACCAAGGCTCCTTAGAGAATTGGCTGATTTGGGGACTGGGACAGGAAATAAACAGGATGAGCCTGCAGCATCTTGTAATGACAGAATGTAGGAGGATAGAAAGGGGTATAGCTCAGAGGTAAAGCATTTGACTGCAGAAAGTAAGGAGGTGCTCAAAGGAAAAAATCCACAATGATGGAAATATGTCAAAGGGACACAAGAGCCAACTGAAGAGCTCTCACTGGCCTAAGCTGGAACAATTTGGGCAATAATATAGATAGAATGGTATTAGATTATAACCCAAAGAATAAAATAAGTATCCATGAGTTCATACAAATATAAATAAATGGTGGATAAGTAAATAGGAAGGAGGCGACAAATCTTTCATGCAAAAGAATACCAAATAACTTATTTAAATATTCCTCTTTTAAGAAAGTGAAGGCCAGGCACGGTGGCTCACACCTGTAATCCCAGCACTTTAGGAGGCTGAGGCAGGCAGATCATAAGGTCAAGAGATCGAGACCATCCTGGCCAACATGGTGAAACCCTGTCTCTAAAAATACAAAAATTAGCTGGGCGTGGTGGTGCGTGCTTGTAGTCCCAGCTACTCAGGAGGCTGAGCCAGGAGAATCACTTGAACCTGGGAGGCAGAGGTTGCAGTGAGCCGAGATGGCACTGCTGCTCCCCAGCCTGGCGACAGAGTGAGACTCTGTCTCAAAATAAGAAAGAAAGTGGAGCATCACTCCCTACTACTTCTTACCTGTGACTTTTATCCAAGAGCACAGTATGGAAAGGGCAGGGGCAGAAGGACTTTACAGTGTAGAAAGCTGACAAACACTACGTCATACATGTGATAAAGGGAAACATCACCAGGGATAAATCATATGGATTGAATGTACTTTTGATACAATGTAATGAGAACCACTTTACCTCTATAGTCTTTCTGCCAAAAAACCATGACCCCAGTCTAGTAGTGAAGAAAATATCAGACAAATCCCAACGGAGGGACATTTTGTAAAATACCCAATTAATACTCAAAACTGTCCAGTTCATTAAACAAGTCAAGTCTGAGAAACTGTCACAGCCGAAAGGAGCCTAAGGAGATATGATGAGTAAATGTAATGTGGCATCTCAGGTGGGATTCTGAAACAGAGAAAAGACACTAGGTAAAAACTAAAGAAAGCTGAATAAATTACGGACTTTACGTTAGTAATAACCACATTATAATAAAAATAAAGGGCCTGATAGAGCTATTTGGGGTTTTAGAAATGTCCTATATCTTGATTGTTGGAGTGATTGCATGACTATAAGCATTTGCCAAAATTTATAGAACTGTACACATAAAAAGGGCAAATGTTACTCTATGAAAATTGTATTTCAATCAATCTGGCTTGAAAAGTAGTCCAAGCATGGTAGCTCAGACCTGTAATCCCAACACTTTGGGAGGCCAAGACAGGAGGATGGCTTCAGGCCAGGAGTTCGAGACCAGCCTGGGCAACATAGCCAGATACCATTTGTACACAAAATTTAAAAATTGTCAAGGTGTGGTGTGCATGGCTCTAGTTCTAGCTGCTTGGGATACTGAGGTGGGAGGAAGACTTAAGCCCAGGAGTTCAAAGCGGCAGTGAGCTATGATCACGCCACTGCACTCTAGCCTGGGTGACTGAGTTAGACCCCATCTCTAAAGAAAGAAAGAAGGCCAGGCGCGGTGGCTCACGCCTGTAATCCCAGCACTTTGGGAGGCCAAGGCGGGTGGATCATGAGGTCAGAAGTTCAAGACCAGCCTGGCCAAGATGGTGAAACCCCGTCTCTATTAAAAATACAAAAAAATTAGCTGGGCGTGGTGGCACGCACCTGTAATCCCAGCTACTCTGGAGGCTGAGACGGAGAATTGCTTAAACCTGGAGGGACGGAGCTTGCAGTGAGCCGAGATTGTGCCACTGCACTCCAGCCTGGGTGACAGAGCGAGACTCCGTCTCAAAAAAAAAAAAAAAAAGACAGAAAGAAAAAGAAAAGTACTTCAACATTAGAATGATTCCATTAATATTCTCTTTGCTGATTCTGTATAATACAGTAACTGAATTGCTAGCATTTATTGAATACTTACTAATGTGCCAGGTGCTGTACTAAGTTTTTTAAGTATATTACCTGACTTAACTCTATGGAATAGATATAATAATTATTGTTCTCATTTTTCAGCTGAAGACATAAAGGTCAGAACATTTAGAAATGTGGATAAGTTCACTAGGCTGGTAACTAGTAGAATCAGGACTTGACCCTGAATAGCCCCAGACCAAAACTCATGTATTTTATTACATTCCAATCATACTAGCTAATGTTCTTCCCTTCTGATTCTAGAGCAGAATATTATGCTTTTTTGCAATTATAAAAAGATAAAAGAGGCCGGGCGTGGTGGCTCACACCTGTAATCCCAGCACTTTGGGAGGCCGAGGTGGGTGGATCCCAAGGTCAGGAGATCGAGACCATCCTCGCTAACACGGTGAAACCCCGTCTCTACTAAAAATACAAAAACTTAGCCGGGCATGGTGGCGGGGTGCCTGTAGTCCCAGCTACTCGGGAGGCTGAGTCAGGAGAAAGGCGTGAACCTGGGAGGCGGAGCTTGCAGTGAGCCGCGATCGCGTGCCCCTGCACTCCAGCCTGTGTGACAGAAGCGAGACTCCGTCTCAGAAAAAATAATAATAATAATAATAAAAATAAGATAAAGAAAGGCTTCTTTTCTGCCCCTTTCCTCAGTCCTTCATACTAAAGCCATCATATTTAGTTTTGGCTACATCTTCATGCCCAATGACATAACTGACTCAACCAGTCAAACAGTGACACTGTTCTTCATAGTCATGCAAATTAATTTGGGTTCACTGCTCATCTAGAGCTGTCAGCCTTCAAGGCCTACATCTGGAAGGTTCTGAGATGGGATTGAGCACACAGGGGAGAGCTCTACAGCAGCAAGACTGAGAGAGTCAGTGAGCATATTTTCAGTTAGCCGTGGCATCCTCCCCACCACTTTACCTTCCTTCAGTTTCGTTTACCTCTACAAAGGACCTTCGTGCTCTGTGGGAAAGTGGGTTCTATTATAAGTATGTGATTGGCAGAAGACACCCTAACCCTTTTCATCTCAACCCACATTAAATTCAAGCTTCAAATCTAGGACTTAGAGAACCAACCTCATTTACTCTTACTACTCCATCTTTCCATAGGAAGTGAGACCCTAGTTCATAGAAAAAGTATTGGCGATATGGAAGACATGAAGTTCACTCTTTAATTTGCTATTGCAGCAGATATGCAAGGTTTTCAAGTTAAATACTGTGGACATTGACTGCTATTTATTTCACTTTTACTCAGATCTCTCACTGGAACATTTCCACATACTTTCAGAGGCACAAGAACGGTGTCAAACCATTTTGGTACCTTCCAAACCAAATATATTGCAGAATAAAATATATACCAGCAGTTTGTCTCCTTTAAATTGGAAGGAAGTGGCTGATTGTAAAACCGCTGCTCAGCATTCATAAAGCATCGTCTTTTCAGGGACCTAGTGCATCATCCACTGTGTAGCCAACCTTAGTGCATGACCCAGGGAGTTACTGACCATCGTCTCCATGGGCAGATGGGGAAGGGACATTCAGGATGCCTCTTCTTCTTCTTCTTTTTTTTTTTTTAAGGCCAAACTCAGAGCCAGCTTCAGAGGAAGGTTTAGAATATAAATGCAATGTCAATAGTCTTCTGAAGATAAGAGAAACAAGCTCCATTAAACAGTTCTGTCTTTAAAAAAATTATAAACTGACTGTTTCTATTTTGTATTCATTAGAGCCTCCCTGCCCCCTCATTGTCTAAATGATACCTCATTTCACAGATGGGTACTAAGAAGACATAAAACCTTTAAAAAAGAGAACACAAAGTTGGAAGAACTTGCAGACATTGTGCAGTTTCATTGTCCCTTACTCATCCTGGCTTTCTTCATTGATTCATTTGGCACATATTTATTGTGTACTTTTGTGCTTTCTGCTTTCCTATCACTTGTTCCGTTTATTCCACATATAATAGGACTGTATAGCCTAATATTTATCAAGCATCACCAGGCTACACGCTTAATGTACGTGATGTGTTTTCACATCTGCAACCCAACAATTTTTACATATGGGGAAACTGAGGGTTAGAGAAATGTTGAAATGTGACCAATTTTATGCATATGGGAAATGACAGAGTAATTCAGAAGCAGTTTGTTTGGAGCAACCTTGTGCATAACTTTGCTCCCTGTCTTCACAAAGGAAGTAGTTGGCTTAGAAGCTCTTTGTTATAAGTAAACACTAGGATACACAGGGTTGTATTTCCCAAATCTCGGTGACTTCAAACAACACAGGTTTATTTCTCTCTCATGCTACATCTTCATCATGGGTGAGCTGAGAACTCTGCTCTGTGTGATCCTTAATTCAGGACCAGGTTGATAGAGCAGCCACTACCTTGCCATGGCAGACACAAAGCAGACACTGGCTCTTAGAGGTTTCTCCAGGATGTGGCACTTGTACCTCCTGCTTACGTATTTTTGGCTAAAGCAAGTTACATGATTACGCCTGGGATCAGAGAGTGGGGAGGTGCAATCTTACCATGTGCCTGCAGAAAAGAGAGAAAATAATGATTGTGTGTAATGGTGACAGTCTCACAGGGGAATGACTATGGGTCATGGGACTGTTGCTGGCATATTCTGAGCTTTCACATTGTGTGTTTGTACATGAAATAGTCCCAGATGTGTGCCCGATATGCTTCAATAAATTATTTCTCTTCTGCTCCTCTGAACTTGTCCATTGTCTTACCTTGGAAATGTCTAACTTTTTTCTTCTCTCAAAGCAACTCTTTTGAAGAAGTCACTATTTAAAAAAAAAAAAAAGATGAAATTTCCCCAAGTATTCTGTTATCTCACTTCTTTTATCTCTGGCAACTGATGAGTCAAGAAGAGGACCAGTGGTCAATGCCTTATAGTCAATAGGTAGGCTGTCAGCTAAAAGGAACTTGACCCTTCTTTAGTGTCATTTTTCAAATGCCTACTGTGACAATAGCAAGTGCTGCTGTCTCTTGCCTTTGTTTGCTGCCTAAAAAATGTATTCGCCCATATAAGACACGTCTTGGGAATCTGAACAGCATCTCTCAGTTTTTGAGTTAGATTCAAGAAATATTTCCTGAGCATCTACATCAGGCTAGACATGGGGATATAAAGATGAATAAAGCTTGTTCTTTGCTCCTAAGCTGCTCACATGCAAATGCGATAGGCCAGAAGTTCTCAGCTCTGGGTACATATTAGGATCCTGCGGAGCTGTAAAATGCAGGTGCTGATACCTACTCCCAATGTTTCTAATTTAATTAGTCTGGAGTGAGGTGTGGGCATCAGTATTTTTTTAAAACGCCCTGGCCAGGCATGGTGGCTCATGCCTGTAATCCCAACACCTTGGGAGACTGAGGTGGGTGGATCACTTGAGGCCAGGAGTTTGAGATCAGCCTGGGCAACATGGTGAAACCCCATCTCTACTAAAAATACAAAAATTAATTGAGTGTGGTGGTACAGACCTGTAGTCCCAGCTACTAGGGAGGCTGAGGTGGGATGATTGCCTGAGCCCGGGAAATTGAGGTTTCAGTGAGCTGTGATCATGCCACTGCACTCCAGCCTGGGCAACAGAATAAGACTCTCTCTCAAAAAAATAAAAAAAATAATTTTAAAAAACTCCCTGACTAATTCTAATGTGCAACCAGAGTTGAAAGCCACTGATTAAGATAGATATAGAAACAGATAACTTCAACATCTGTTTAAGATACTGTGTTGAGAATGGAAGCTGAAACAGAGGCAGATACATTATATTAGAATGTATTGTTCAGCTAGGTGGACATTTTACAAACATGACCTCTAATCTTCAATGTAATTCTCTCTGCTCAAAATCCTTATGATAGGCTAGGCTCAGTGGCTTACACCTGTAATCCTAGCACTTTGGGCAGTTAAGGTGGCAGGTGAGGGGAATCACTTGAAGTCAGGAGTTCAAAACCAGCCTGGCCAACACATCAAGGCCCCATTTCTACAAATAAATTTTTTTTTTAAGTTAGCCTGGTGCGGTTACACGCACCCATAGTCCCAGCTACTTAGAAGGCTGAGGCAGGAGGATTGGTTGATCCCGGGAGGCTGAGGCTGCAGTGAACTATGATGGCACCATGGCACTCCAGCGTGGGCAATGGAGCAAGATCCTGTCTCAAAAAGAAGAAAAAAATTCCTTATCCTCATTTTATAGATGAAAAAACCAATGCCCAGGGAGCTTATGTCATTTGCCTAAAGTTACACAGCTAGCAAGTGTTAGAGCCAAATTCAGACTTAGGACTGTCTGGCTCCAAACCCACAGACCAACCAAATAGTTGCTCTTTTTCCAAAGTAGACTGCACTCATACACTATTTTCCTAAAGAACATAAATGAAAGTTGTGCAAAGGTTGGTCTGCTGCATTTGTTTCATTCTTGATTACATTCTCTGTTCCTTAGTTGTGTCTCCTGACATTTCCTTTGCTCCTTCTCCAACATTCAAGCTCACATTCTTAGAGTTATGGGGGAGAAGAACATAGTGGCGAGGTATCTTAAGTTCAATTCTAGAGCAATTAGCTCATCATCTTGGCTCTTCATGCTATTACGCTATTTCCCCCGGAGCCGGGTATAATCGAAGTTCCTCCTACTTGTTGTGTAACTGACCTGCTAAGTCGAGCTGTGAGCCAAGTCTGTCTGGATCACGTAAGCTTGCAGAGAGAACTGAGCCAAGTACTTCCAAAACAAACCTCGTTAAACAAAAGCGGAGTGTGGTCGAGCCGGACACACAGGGTGGAGGGTTCAGAAGACCGTCTGCCAGTCTCGAAAGCAATGTGGGGTCTGTGACATTAAACGTCCAAGGGCAGTTGAGCTGGAGGGATGGATTCACCTTTACAGATGAATCTGGAAACCAGTGAGAATGATTCTGCATGATTAGGAATAATAACCTGGAAAATCATTGCCAAATTACTTCCTTTTAGTGAAATATCTTCGATTTTTCTGAAACCCTTAGTCAATCAAGACCCCAGCTCGTGCCTGTTCATCACGCTTAAAGAAAAATAAAAATGAGTCTGGCAGTAGTGACTAGAACTTCAGATGGTTAGGTCTCATTTAGTTTTGCAGGAGTGTGGAAAATTGAGTCAGAAATCTTAGTCTCTATTCATTTCCATCCTTCCCTTAACACAGTGAAAATCTTGGGCAAGCCCTTTACATTTTTTGTTTCTTAATTCTATCCTGTTTTATAAAGGAAAGCATCACATAAATTGCCTTCCTTGTACCTCCTAATAGGTCCCTAGAGATTATGATGAAAACTAGAAAGGTGCTCATATCTTGAGTTCTTCAAGAGAGAGGAACCAAGAGGCTCTATTGTGAATATCAAAACAGAATTTAATTTGCTTTCTCTCTACGTTCACCCTTTTTCTGAGAAGCCTGTTGGTGTATCTGAAGCCACATGTCTGACATGCACCACTGTGTCACAGCACTTAGCACAGTGCCTGTCAACAGGGAGGCACTCAGTAACTATCTGTGACTTCTGTGCCTGTTATTATCTGTCCTCATCTCACCCCCCAACTCTCCATCTCCCTATGCCACAACCAAACTGCTATTTCATAGATGGTAGGAAGAGCTTCAAGCTCCACTGGTTGAGGAGAAAAAAAAAATTGATTTAAGTCACAGAGCAGACACCAGAATAGAGAGATGCTGTGTGTGGATAAGACAGGAGCATCTGCATGTTGATACCCAGCTGCTCAACAGGCTGGTCTCCAACTGAGAGTTGGGCCAACGATGAGTGTCAGTAAATTGCCTCTGCACCTCTAGAGCCTGAAATTCCTGCTTTCCAAAAGTCAACAGGAGGGTAATTTGGTAGGCATCCAGACTCATCCTTTCCACAAAGTCTCTCTGCACCTCCCACCAGGGAAAATTTGGCTCCAGTCCTCCCCGCAGCCTCCAGTTCAGCTTCCAGCACAGTGGGCCAGCCGGGGCCGTCAGAAGCAGAACGGGGACTAAACGCTGCGGCAAGCTGGAGAAGGACCAGTTCCAGGGGCAGGATCTGGACAGGGCCATGCCTCACTGATCACCCTTTGGCCAAGTACCCCAAATTGAAGCAGTGGAAGGCAAGGGGTATCCAGGCTGACCTCTCCAAACCTTAGTCATGTTCTCATGGATGATGTGACTGGGTCAATCAAAACTTTTTTCCTCGCAGCTGTGCCTGTGACTATCTGTAGCAACCAACTTTCCTTTATGTATATATGTTTTCCTATATGTATATGTTTTCCATAAAGACAGTGTGTTCTGACTAGCTATAAACTATCCATTATTAGGTGAGACAAGTGAATATTGTTTTGTATGAACCAGGCAGGTAACCCAAGGATGTCTACCTCTCAGCTCCCTTTTCCACAGCTCCCAGGTACAGGGAGGGCCCTGGGGACACTGGGAGAACAGTCCCCACTCAATCAGATCACCAGGGCAAGAGCACAGACATGGCATTATCTCCAGAGGGGTAGGTGGTAGAACATTAGAATAGAAAAGTTTATCAGTCTCTCCAACCTCTGATATGGACCAGAAAGAGCTGACAGCCTAATTTATCATCATGGTAGAATTTTATGCCCTCAAATAATTGCTAGTAACCTGGATCTTCCACTGGAAAAATAAAATCAACCCAAAAATATAGGCTCCAGATTACCATGACCCCAGCATTTGAGTGATGACATTGAGCCTTTGGGTCAGGTTTGGAGGTGAGTCTTGAGAGAGAAGGAAAGTTCTTTTGAAGGGGTGCTTATTGGAAAGCCTAGTGCAATCATGCTAGCTGCCCAAGCTAATTGTAAAATTTCAGATTTATTGTGTTCAGCAGAAATACAGCCTGTACATTTGAAATATTATCCAAATGACCTGGCTTCAACTTAGAAATCTTACATGAATTGAAACAAGTGAATTAGGGAGACCTCTTGCCTTCAGCCCTAAAGGGTCTGTGGGAGGTAAGTCAAGAACCATTTATAATAGTGATAAAATACTATATTTAAGGCTGTAAAAATTTGGCATGCAAGAACTCAGCTCAGAAGTAAATTCATCTTATGTGCTCGGCAAAGGAGCAACTGGAAAGTTTTACAAATGGGAAGTTTGACCTACTGAGATTTTAAAGATAAATTATGTCAATTATTCCTTGAGAGTGAGTACGGTCATTTACCCCCTTGAATGTTGAAATGGAAATCCGAACCATGAAGTCAGTAACAACTTCACTTTGCCATGGTGCACGTGGCTAATGACAGTTACCCAAAGCCATTGTCCAACTGTCACATCATGTGCCCAAATGTGCATTAGTGGGATGGGCCACTTGGGACCCTAGCAAGCAACCAGGGAGAGCATCAGAGCTATGCCCAATTAACAAACACCTCATATGATGGCGCATGATGCTTTTACTCTGCCAAGAAGCCAGTGATCCTTTCCTTGGGAATTCTATAATATGTCTGTCTGAAGCTAGAACTAGTAGATAATGCTTGATGACTGACAGATGTGTACTTTTTTCAAAAGAGCCTTATTAACTTTAGTCTCCTGCACATCTCTGGCCTCAGTGTCTACCTCTTGTTCCTCACCTCCCTCTCCAGCTACACTGCAGGGCCCTAGTCATGATTGCTGTAGCCCATTCTTGCCCCAGGGCCCTGCACTAGCTATTCCCTCTACTTGGAATGTTTTTCCCAAGATACCAATGTGGCTGGGTCCTTCCTGTCATCACATCTCAGTTTAAATGTCAGCTCCTAAGAGGCTTATCCTCAGCACCCAATTCAGCCTCCCTCCCTCTCTGTCTACACTACACACACACACACACACACACACACACACACTCACTTCAGTCATCCTACTTTAATTCTAGCAGATCAGATATAAGTATCTGATATTTTGATGTTTTATTGACTTTTAATATCTGTGTGTCGTATTTCTTCCCTCACTTAAAATGTAACTTCCAGGCAGGCAGAGACTTGATCGATTCTATTTACTGTTGTTTCATCAGCTCCTTGAATCATGCTTACCACATGCAGGTAAGCATATGGTTGAACATGCTTGGTTGAACATCCATAATGTTCAACCAAGTCAATGTCAGCGTCCTCACAGGTAAATCTATGGTGAATGATTTGAAAGCGCCCTTGTGGAGCATGGAAGAGCCATACTTCAGTCTCAGGGCTCACCTCAGGTGAGTCGTTTCAACCCAGTCTATGGGTCTCCCTCCCTCATCTGGAAGCAGAGGGGACTGGACTGGACCAGTGGCCCAAATCAGCAGCTTGCCGCCTCTCTTCTGTGAAGCCCTTTCTCTTCCTCACCATCCACTTCTCCCTATTTAGCCAGGACAGCTTTGCTTTCATCTTGTTAGGTGTATTTGATTTTTCATAAGTTTTCATTTGGTAAAGGATTCTGCTGCTAAAGTAAAATTTTAAATCTCCCAGCTTAGATAAATCCTTCTGTTAGAAATTAATCCTGGCTCAGCTGTAAGAGGCTAGTTGTGTGCTTTGGGGAAACTCACTTAAGCCTCAGACTCCTCATGTAAATGGAGGATAATTTCCATATCTGTCTCACAGTATTGGTGGGAGTATTAAATGAGATAATCCATCTGTAGTAGGCAGAATAATAGGCCCCCAAAAGATGTCCATGCTCAAATCCTCAGAGCCTATGAATATGTAACCCTACACAGCAAGAGGACTTTGAAGATGAGATTAAGGTTAAAGATTTTGAGATGGGGAGATTATTCTGAATTAGCTAAGTGGACTCAATCTGAGCTCATGAATCTTTAAAGTGGAGAACCTTTCCAGCTGCAGTCAGAAAGACAGACGAGACAGGAGAGAAACCATCACTGATAGCCGTGAAGCTGGCAGAAGAGATGCCCCAAGCCAAAAAATGCAGGTGGCATCTAAAAGCCAAATACAACCCTCAGCTGATAGCTAGCAAGGAAATGAATAAATGGATATCTCAGGCCTACAACTGCAAAGAACCGAATTCTGTCAACAGCCCAACTGAATGAGGAAACAGATCCTTTCCCAGAGCCTTCAGAAGGAACCCAGCCCTGCTGCCACTCTGCTTTTAGCCCATTGAGATCTCTACCAGACTTCTAACCTACAGGACTGTGACATAATAAATTTTTATGTTTTAAGCTGCTAAATTTATGGAAATTTGTTATGGCAGCAATAGAAAACTATTTAACTATTACATTTAAACTATGTAATAAAGTACTTGGCACATGGGAAGGGCTCAATAAATGTGAGCATTTCTTATAAATATTATTAATGGGGTATTTATTAATATCATTATATTATATCAATAACCTCTTCCTGCCTTGATGCTGAGCTTTGAATTCTGAAACTCCATTTCATGCCTATCCTGAAGACGTTTACTCTTAGTTGCCTTACAAGAATTATTCACCACCTTCAAGGTCCAGGTGTTGTGCTGGATAGCAATTAGAGGAAATTTCTGACATGCAAAACCAAGTGTACAGATTAACAACACTAAAGAGGTACAGATGGACACTGGGTGCTTCCTGAGGTGATGTCTTAAGAAAGGCACATGACCCATGTAGTAGTTTGGCTGCAGATGCTAAACTTGAGTTTACACATGAGGAAACATCAGGACAATCCCAAATGAGAAACTTTATTAAAAATAAACCGTTGCCTTTCTCCAAATAGGAAAAGAAGTCAAAGTATCTCTCCTTGCGGATGATATGATTCTATACCTAGAAAACCCTAAAGACACTGCCAAAAGGCTCTAAGAACTGAAAAATGACTCTGGTAAAGCTGCAGGATAGAAAATCAATGTACAAAAATCAGTAGCATTTTTACACAGCAATAATGTTCAAGCTGAGGGCCAAATCAAGAATGGAATCCCATTCACAATAACCCCCTTCCTGCCCTCACAAATATGTAGGAATATATCTAACCAAGGAGATAAAAAATCTCTATGAGAACTACAAAACGCTGTCAAAAGAAATCAGATTCTTCCTACCCATGAGTATGGAATGTTCTTCCATTTGTTTGTTTCCTCTTTTATTTCACTGAGCAGTGGTTTGTAGTTCTCCTTGAAGAGGTCCTTCACGTCCCTTGTAAGTTGGATTCCTACGTATTTTATTCTCTTTGAAGCAATTGTGAATGGGAGTTCACTCATGATTTGGCTCTCTGTTTGTCTGTTATTGGTGTATAAAAATGCTTGTGATTTTTCACACAGATTTTGTATCCTGAGACTTTGCTGAAGTTGCTTATTAGCTTAAGGAGATTTTGGGCTGAGATGATGGGGTTTTCTAGATATACAATCATGTCATCTGCAAACAGGGACAATTTGACTTCCTCTTTTCCTAATTGAATACCCTTTATTTCCTTCTCCTGCCTAACTGACCTGGCCAGAACTTCCAACACTATGTTGAATAGGAGTGGTGAGAGAGGGCATCCCTGTCTTGTGCCAGTTTTCAAAGGGAATGCTTCTAGCTTTTGCCCATTCAGTATGATATTGGCTGTGATGGAAGAACATTCCATGCTCATGGGTAGGAAGAATCAATATCGTGAAAATGGCCATACTGCCCAAGGTAATTTATAGATTCAATGCCATCCCCATCAAGCTACCAATGACTTTCTTCACAGAATTGGAAAAAACTACTTTAAAGTTCATATGGAACCAAAAAAGAGCATGCATCACCAAGTCAATCCTAAGCCAAAAGAACAAAGCTGGAGGCATCACGCTACCTGACTTCAAACTATACTATGAGGCTACAGTAACCAAAACAGCATGGTACTGGTACCAAAACAGAGATATGGATCAATGGAACAGAACAGAGCCCTCAGAAATAATGCCACATATCTACAACTATCTGATCTTTGACAAACCTGACAAAAACAAACAATGGGGAAAGGATTCCCTATTTAATAAATGGTGCTGGGAAAACTGGCTAGCCATATGTAGAAAGCTGAAACTGGATCCCTTCCTTACACCTTATACAAAAATCAATTCAAGATGGATTAAAGACTTAAACGTTAGACCTAAAACCACAAAAACCCTAGAAGAAAACCTAGGCATTACCATTCAGGACATAGGCATGGGCAAGGACTTCATGTCTAAAACACCAAAAGCAATGGCAACAAAAGACAAAATTGACAAATGGGATCTAATTAAACTAAAGAGCTTCTGCACAGCAAAAGAAACTACCATCAGAGTGAACAGGCAACCTACAAAATGGGAGGAAATTTTCGCAACCTGCTCATCTGACAAAGGGCTAATATCCAGAATCTACAATGAACTCAAACAAATTTACAAGAAAAAAAAAAACAACCCCATCAAAAATTGGGCGAAGGACATGAACAGACACTTCTCAAAAGAAGACATTTATGCCACCAAAAAACACATGAAAAAATGCTCACCTTCACTGGCCATCAGAGAAATGCAAATCAAAACCACAATGAGATATCATCTCACACCAGTTAGAATGGCAATCATTAAAAAGTCAGGAAACAACAGGTGCTGGAGAGGATGTGGAGAAATAGGAACACTTTTACACTGTTGGTGGGACTGTAAACTAGTTCAACCATTGTGGAAGTCAGTGTGGCGATTCCTCAGGGATCTAGAACTAGAAATACCATTTGACTCAGCCATCGCATTACTGGGTGTATAACCAAAGGACTATAAATCATGCTGCTATAAAGACACATGCACACGTATGTTTATTGCGGCTCTATTCACAATAGCAAAGACTTGGAACCAACGCAAATGTCCAACAATGATAGACTGGATTAAGAAAATGTGGCACATATACACCACGGAATACTATAAAGCCATAAAAAATGACGAGTTCGTGTCCTTTGTAGGGACATGGATGAAATTGGAAATCATCATTCTCAGTAAACTATCGCAAGAACAAAAAACCAAACACCACATATTCTCACTCATAGGTGGGAATTGAACAATAGGAACACATGGACACAGGAAGGGGAACATCACACTCTGGGGACTGTTGTGGGGTGGGGGGAGTGGGGAGGGATAGCATTAGGACATATACCTAATGCTAAATGATGAGTTAATGGGTGCAGCACACCAGCATGGCACATGTATACATATGTAACTAACCTGCACATTGTGCACATGTACCCTAAAACTTAAAGTATAATAATAATAAAAGAAAAAAAAAAGAAATCAGAGATGACACAAACAAATGGAAAAATATCCCATGCTCATGGATTGGAAGAATCAATATCATTAAAGTGGCCATACTGCTCAAAGCTATGAGATTCAATGCTATTTCTATTAAGCTGCCAATGTCAATTTCACAGAAGTAGCAGAAACTATTCTAAAACTTATATGGAACCAAAAAAGAGCCTGAATAGGCCAAAGTCATCCTAAGCAAAAAGAAGAAAGCTGGAGGCATTACATTACTCAATTTCAAACTATACTTTAAAGCTACAGTAACCAAAACAGCATGGTATTTGTACAGAAACAAACATATGGATCAATGAAACAGATTAGAGAATCCAGAAATAAATTCATATACCTACAGCCATCTGCTCTGCAACAAAATTGACAAAAATAAGCAATGGGGAAAGCACTTCCTATTTGATAAATGGTGCTGGGATAGCTGGCTAGCCATATGCAGAAGAATAAAACTATACCCCTGTATTTCACCATATACAAAAATTAACTCAAGATGGATTAAAGATTTAAGTGTTAGACTTCAAACTATAAAAATCCTAGAAGAAAACCTAGGAAGCAACATTCTGGATATGGGTCTTGGGAAGGAATTTATGACTAAGTCATCAAAAGCAATTGCAGCAAAAACAAAATTGACAAGTGGGACCTAATTAAACTCAAGAACTTCTGCACAGCAAAAGAAACTATCAACAGAGTAAACAAACATCTGACAAAGGTTTAACATCCAGAATCTACAAAGAACTTAATTCAACAAGCAAAATAAAAAACCTTAAAAAATGAGCAAAGACATGAACAGACACTTCTCAAAAGAAGAAATACAAGCAGACAACAAACATGAAACAATTATCCACATCGCTAACATCAGAGAAATGCAAATCAAAACGAAAAGGTAACATCTCATACCAGTCAGGGTGGCTATTATCAAGCCTGTGGAGAAAAGAGAATGCTTATACCCTGTTGGTGTGAATGTAAAGTAGTTCAGCCACTGTGGAAGGCACTTTGGAGATTTCTCAAAGATCTTAAAGCAGAACTACTGTTTGACCCAACAATCCCATTACTGGGTATATACCCAAATATATCCAGTATATTTATATATACCCAAAAGAAAAGAAATCCTTCTGACAAAAAGACACCTGCACTCACATGTTTATCACAGCACTATTCACAATAGCAAACATATGGAATAAACCTAGGTGTCCATCAATGGTGGGCTGAATAAAGAAAATGTGGTACATATATACCATGGACTACTATGCAGCCATAAAAAAGAAAAAATTATGTCCTTTGTAGCAACATGGATGCAGATGGAGGCCATTATCCTAAGCAAATTAACACAGGAATAGAAAACCAAATACTGCCTGTTCTCATTTATAAAAGGGAACTAAACATGGGGTACTCATGGACATAAAGATGACAGCAATAGAAAACGGTGACTACTGAAGAGGAAAGGGAGGGAGGGGGAGGCGGGTTGAAAAACTAACTACTGGGTACTAAGTTCAGTATCAGTTATACCCTAAACCACAGTGTCACTCGATATACTCAGGTAACAAATCTGCACATATACCACCTGAATTGAAAATAAAAGTTGAAAAAAGGTGAAAAAAAAATTGCCTTTTAAAAACATCAATATCATCAAAGTCAAAGAAGAGCCAAGAAATTGTTCTAGATTAGAGGAAACTAAATAAATGAGATGAATAAATGCAATGCATGATCCTAGAATAGATCTCTATTGAACATTACTGGGTCAATTGAAATAATTGGAATATAGGTGGGAGAGTAGATAAATGTATTTATTAATATTAAATTTCCTGAGTTGAAACTTTCTGAAGAATGACTCTATTGTGGTTACATGACAGAACATACTTATTCTTAGGAAATACACACTGAAATGTTTATGGGTAAAAGACCACAAGTATCCATCTTAATTTCAAATAGTTCCAAAAAATGTATGTATAATATATAAAACAAGTGGGTGACCACCTTCTAAAGCAAATGTGGCAGAATGTTAACAGTAGGTGAAATCTAGGTAAAGGGTAAATATTTTATTCTTGCAAGTTTTCTGTAATTTTGAAGTTATTTTCAAATAAAGAGTTTTAAAAATTGCCCAATTCTCTTTGCAATCCTGTAAAGAGAAGGAAATATTAGCTCTTGGTGCCCATTTAAACCACAGTTTTTCTTTTGATTTATAATTGCATCTGATACCTATGTTATTATGCCTGCCCATTTTTAAGACTTTCACAATGTAGAGCTTTCAAAATTAGTATAAAGACAGAAAGCTTCTTCAAACATCCCTTCAGGTGCATTAAAAGTAAGCACTGGTTAAAGAAAGCACAGTTTTCATGTAATCCACTGGTTTTACATGCTAAGTTCTTAGTACTGAAGCATTAGCATAGTCCCTGGAAATATTCATTTAATAGGATAAATTATTTCTGGTAGGCTATATATCTCTTCAAAAAAGTGGCAAAGCTGTCAGCTAAACAGCTAGATGAATGAAGTAAACAGTCCATTGTAAAAAATAATTACATGGTACTTACTATATGTAGACATAATTGGCAATAATGGGCCAAAAGGAGGGATCATGGCAGCTTGGGTCAATCACAGAGGTCTCCAAATGTTTCTAAATGTGTGCCTATTTAATTCCCATTGCAAAATAAGCCCTTTCATCTTTCATAACATTGATAAAAAAACGTTGATGTTCACAGCAGTGTTTTTATGGAAATTGTGTCCTGATCCCCTCCATGCACATGCCAGAATCTATGAGCCTTCTGTGATCAAGCTCATCTCTCTTCCATCAGTGCCAAACTTCTTAGAAATACTGAAGATTTCTAAAATGGATCAATGCTTTGGCAAATTGCCTCATCACCAAGAATAAACACTCACAGACTTAAGCAGCCACTTGTGCATCTATCATTGAATAGAGCCTCAAGATACTGGAAGTGATGTATCAATGGCTTTCCTACCAGCCAGTTGCTTCTCTGGAAGCAAAGGAAACAATGCTGAGCATTGTCATCCATGTAATTTGTGGCCATTAGAAAGACTGGTAGATGCTCTTTCATTGAGACCCTTTGGACTAACAACACAGCCCATCTGGAGCACAAAACTGTAAACCTGGAAAAAAAATAGACTGCACAGATGAGCAGTTTCGGTGCACCTTCCCCATTCAGAGGTGCTAATAAGGAAAAATGCTGAATTACTATGATTACCCATGACTTGAAAATAGCTTATCACCTGCCAATCTGAATGAAGGCCCCTGGAGGGCTGTGAAATGCCACAAAGAACAATGGCCTTGGAATCAGAACCTGCAGTGTCTGAGAGAGGCATCCCAGTGCAAGGCTAAAGGGCCACCAGCCTTCTAAAATGGAGCTCTTATTCTCAGTAAACCCTGCAAACTGGTTCTGGGCTGTTCCCATGCCAGAGAGAAGGAAAATAGAAGTGCTTTCATAAAACAATCAGGCCCATAAAAGTAGAAATGCAGGGGAGAGAAAGCCAGCAATTATCCAAAAGAATCATATCTTAGATAAGCGGCCAATTTAAGGTATTTCACGGTGGGGCAAAGCTCTCTCCACATTCAGCAGATAATTGTTAGCCTGCTTTCTACTTTATGTGTGATTGTGTAAACTTAATCATACTGCAAAATCCCTCTTGTCTTCAGACCTCAGTGCCCCTGGAATGTTGTTAAAGTAGTCACATGAGGTTCATTAGGAAGAAGAGCTTGGCTTTGTAGAGACTGGGTATTTGGCTGTTCACAGGAATCTTTTCTTCGTTATCACAAAGCTCTGTGTTAAGACCATTGTAGACACTAAAGCAGAGTATCTCCCAGCTGAGCAAGACATAATATCTCAGTGGTGGCCTGCCCCATTGGCAGGTGCTAAGCTTTTATTTTTATTATTATAATGGCTTTGTTTCCCCATGAACCATTTAGATGAAGTATGACCACAGTCTGAGTCTTCACTTATGGCCAACTTCTTCTCTTAATTTACTGTGGCATCAAAACAATAAGGATTTATTTATAAATTTTTGTTCTCTTTAAGAATGGATACAAGGAGAAAAGTCTCCCAAAGTTGAAGAGCATTGCCTTTTTATTCAGTAATGCACTGCCTACCCTCCCAAAATGCACACACATGCTTATGGGTATACACACACACACACACACACACACACACACACACATTTGTGGGTCTGCCTTCCTTCAAAATGTTCTAACGTGGGACTGGTGAGGTGGATAGGCTGACTTGTGCCACAGACTAAGACATCTGCCATTAATTGGTGGGACAGCAAATAATGTAAAAATATGTTTTCTCTTTCACTAGCTTCTCTAGACAAATCAGCTTTGTGTTCCTAGTGCTGCTTCTAAGTTTCTTTCCTCTTGTTCATAATTCCTAGCTCTCAGATTGCCTTTGAAAAGCTGCCACTTTTGGAGCAGAATGATCTGAGAGGGTGTTTTCCCTTTTCTTCCCCACCCACCCCACACATACGCACATACACGTGCTTGTCAGCTGGTAATGCGTTTCTCTATACCTGAATCATAATTCACTACTTTTTCTAAATAACACCAAGTGTTTTTTTAAAGCCCACAGTGATAAGAGTTGTTGCTTTGTTTGTTGACTGGTGGTGGCCCACATGGATTTGTATGGTTCTCAGTCATAATCAGTCTAAAACATATTTCCTCATTACCTGGTGTGTACCCCAGTCTGTAGTATAAGGAGAAACTAGAAGATACAGTTTTAATCTTCAAAAACTAGAAGCGGCTGGGTGCAGTGGCTCATGCCTATAATCCCAACACTTTGGGAGGCTGAGGTGGACAGATCGCTTGAGCCCAGGAGTTTGAGACCCGCCTGGGGAACATAGTGACACCTCATCTCTACAAAAAAATACAAAAACTAGCCAAATGTAGTGGTGCACACTTGTAGTCCTATTTACTTGGGAGGCTGAGGAGGGAGGATCACTTGAGCCCAGGAGGTCAAGGCTGCAGTAACCTGTGACCGTCCCACTGCACTCCAGTCTGGGTGACAGAGCAAGGCTCTGTCTCAGAATCAAAACAAAACAAAAAACAAAAACAAAACTAGAAGCACCAGGCTAGTGATCAGTAAAACTGGATTTAGTCCTCAAGCTGCCACTAATTAACTGTTTGGCTTTGGCCAAGTCCCTAAAAATTTCTAGTCTCAGTTTCTTCATCTGTAAAATTTGGAAAGGGGTGAAATTCATATCTACAAGTGCCAGGCAGGTACCATGGTCAAGTGGGCCAGCTGGGGACTGAGGCCACAGGGCATCCCCATCTACAGGAGTCATTTGCTCCTCAGCCCCAACCAATTGCTGCATGCAGAACTCGAGGTAATTCAGACTTTTATGAAAAATCTCTTGATTTCCTTAAATATAGTTTAAACATTGTTTGTGCTGGCTGAACAAATCATTTCTGCAAAGTATATTCCAGTCCACCACTTCTAGACTCCTGGCACTCTCAAGTCTCTCCTTCCCTCTTTGTGTGTTGTTTAGAACCATTCAGCAATTGACATCCAATCTAAGTGTTCAGGGGAGTGAATACAACCCAGGAAAGATGATCACGATATTCCTCGGGCTACCAAGTGATTAAGAATTGCACCGATCACTCATCACAGTTTCAGCAGGTCCAAGTGTTACTAGTAAAAATTGAGATGGATTGTTGACTTTTGAGAAGGAGAAGAAGCTTAAAAAGGGTATTAAAGAAAACAAAGCTCCATTTGTAACTAGACAGCATTTCCACCCGGCAGTATACAAAAGAAAGAACAAGTGGAAGTGCTTCTGTATAATTTGCTACACAACTCTGGAGCTTCAGCTAAACCTCCTATAGCTGTAAGCAATAAAAGCACAGAAGTAGAGAGAAGTAACCAAAACATACCTAGTATTCCATAGAAGCCATCACATAACACAGAGGACAAAAATGTGTAGCAATAAATAACACATGGAACATAGCAAAACTCTCAGATCAAGAGAAACATTTTTGAAGAAAACTATTTCCAAAATTTGTGAAGTTTTAAAAAGGTAGAGCAATAGGCCAAGGCTCCAAACCTAGAGGGAAAGGATAGATTCTCTGGCTGGTGCCTCCTGATTAATGAATAGAAAGTGATCCAGTTGCTATAGTGACTTGAAGATACACAAAAGAAAACATCACTTCTTTAAAATATGCCTGATGATGAATAGGCAGATTCTTTCAAAATATTTTTTTAAAAATATGAGCAACTCTTTTTTTTTTCTTTAAAGTGAATCACACAGGATGTCTCTTAGATTTCTTTCTTCTTTTTTTCAGATAACAGGACTTGTTTACACAAGCCCTAGTTTGTTTACATGAACCAGCAATTCGGGCAAAAATTAATGATCAGAAAATACGTCTGTTGGAGAATAAGTTTTGTTTTTCAGCAGTTTTGTTTCTGTTTGAGCAGCAAGGGAGATAAGTGTATGTTGTCTTGGTTTTCCTTTTTTCCAGCAATATATTTATTTGGAGAGTTTCCTCGGATGCTGAGAATGTGAAATGTACCTAAGCAATCAGGGAATGGAAGGTTGTGTTTGCTGAAACCTTCCCTTATCTGTCTGAATGGAGAGGTAATAAAAAATATTATTTTGGTGGGACTGAATGCCCACTCCCTTTGGCTCTCCAGCCTGGCCCCCACAATCTCCAAAGGATTGTTCTGTTTTGCTCCAGGCAGTTCAGCCTTGGCACAGTATCCTGAATAGAGGACATTCAAGGCAAGGTCTTGAAATAAAAACTGCAGTGATTAAATATCCTGGGGACCCCTTCTGTGGGGGATGGAGAACTCTTAGTTGAATGATTTGGGTAAACTGTTGGCACAAGGTCCCAGCTGAAGTGTCCCAAGGCCTGCAGCCTGGAGAGACATTCTTTAGCTGAAAATGTGATGTGGGCTTTTGCTAACCAGCAGAGGGGTCAATGATCTTGAACAGCATCCTAAGCCTGTGTAATATGGTCTTTTAAAGTGGGTGTGTGAATATTTTTATTAAAGGATATGTAATTTTAAATAAAGGTAATTCACAGGGGAGTAGGGAAATCACTTGAAAATCATAGGAAGAGAAGTTCCCAAACCTGCACCTGTTCTGTGTGATCTTGGACAAGTAACTGAGGTTTCTTGGGGCTCAGTTTACTCACCCCTAAAATGAGGAAGTTAGATCACTTTAAAGTCAGCAAACATATTAAGTGCCCGCTGTGTACTATCATCTTCCACCCATATCCCCAGATCCCACTCCTGAGTCCCAGGGATCCAAATACTGCACCGTTCAGCTGCTCAAGCCAAAACTCCAGGAAACCCATCATTCCTCCCCCTTTCCTTGGGCTTCGTTGAAATAAAAAGGTAATAATCACACCTCTCCCACAATTCAGAATCAAATGAGCATTAAGGGAGAAAGGAGATTATACAGAAAAAAAATCAAAGCATCAGCTTTATTCCTTATAAGGCCAAAAGGGAAAATATGAATTAGATCTCTGAACTGCGAACTTCCTAACCACTCCCCTCTGCATTAACCTTCCCATCTCTCTCATCTGGGCATATGAGTTCCTTCTCCCAAACTCACCAATTCACACATGATAAAGCATTCCTCTTTTCACTAAGAAGAAGTAGCTGAATTTAAAAGAAGTGGCAGCTCTCTTTCGAATATTTTAAAGATCAAGGCAGGAACACATGGTATCCCTAAATGTAAGTTACATTTTAGTTTCCCAGAGCTGCTGCCACAAAGTACTATAAAATGAGTGGCTTAGGCCGGCAGGGGGCTGACACCTGTAATCTCAGCACTTTGGAAGGCCAGGGCAGGAGGATCGCTTGAAGCCAGGAGATAGAGACCAGCCTGGGCAACATAGCAAGACCCCATTTCTAAAAAAAAAAAAATTAAAAATGGATGGCTTACAACAACAGAAATGTATTCTCTCACAGTTCTGGAGGCTGGAAGTCCAAAATCAAGGAATTGGCAAGGTTGGCTTCTTCTGGAGGCTCTGAGGGCAAATTCTTTCTTGCCTCTTTCTGGCTCCTTGTGGCTGCTGGCAGTCCTTGGCATTCTTTATCTTGCAGCTGCATAACTCTCATCTCTGCCACATAGTCTCATGGCCTTCTCCCTTCTGTGTCTGTGTGTCTGTGTCTTCATGTTTATACAGAAATGAGTCATTTGATTTAGCTTAGGGCCCACCTTAATGTAATGTGACCTCATCTTAGCAAACTGATTACATCTGCAAAGACCCTATTGCCAAGTACATAGAGTATTTGAATATGTACTATGTACTTAGAGTACTAAGAGTGTTACTATGTATACTATGTACTTAGAGTACTATGAGTGTGTACGTAGAGTACACATTCATAGGTAGGTAGTAGGTATTAATGTTTGGACATATCATTTTGGAAGACATAATTCAACTCACAATGGTTGAACAAGTCTTTTCTACTTCCTAAATATTTTTCGCTCTGTCTACTTCTACCCATCTCAACAACTATACTTTAGTTCAGGCCACAGACACCATTCCCCCAGATACCACATCAGTCTTCTAACTAGTCTCTCTGATTCCAGTCTTCTTCTATTCTCTCATTTTCAAAAATCCACTCTCTCCTCTAATAATGGCCTTCTTTCTGAAATGTAAACCTGACGGTGACAACTGCCTACAAATCTAAAATGACTTCCCATGGCCGTGGATAAAGTTCATACTCCCAGCCAGGCGCAGTGGCTCATGCCTGTAATCCCAGCACTTTGGGAGGCTGAGACGGGCGGATCACGAGGTCAGGAGATTGAGACCATCCTGGCCAACATAGTGAAACCCCCATCTCTACTAAAATACAAAAAAATTAGCTGGGCATGGTGGTGCATGCCTGTAGTCCTAGCTACTCGGGAGGCTGAGGCAGAGGAATTGCTTGAACATGGGAGGCAGAGATTGCAGTGAGCCGAGATCACGCCACTGCACTCCAGCCTGGTGACAGAGTGAGACTCCATCTCAAAAAAAAAAAAAAAAAAAAAAAAAAAAATTCACACTCCCAAGAATGCCATAAAAGCTTCTTCATTATCATTGATCTTCAGCCACTGATCTGTCCAGCCTTTCCTCTCCTGCCTCTTCTTGCTTCTCCAAGCATTTCTACTTCTTACTCTAGCTACCCCAAACTCTTTGCAATCTACCTTGGTACTTTCCCCATCCTATTATTGAAAACCTGCATGTTTTTAAGACGGGGGCAACTATGCTATATTTTGAGGTCTTGTCACTCATTCTACAGTTCCCTCAAGGGGAACTGAATAAATCCTTTCATTAAAGGAATCATCTCTGTAGATTCAGCTCTCTCTACATGAATGCCTTTCTTTCCTTTTCTGCCTTCTGTCTGTACCACTCCCTCTAATTCATCTTTCAGGTCTCACCTAAGCTTTTGCTTCCTCAAGAAACCATGATTTGAAGGCTCTCCCTACACACATACACACATGTGCTCTAATTTAGGTATCACTTTATTTTCTTAGCAAATTGTTCAGAATCCTCTTAGCAATACTGAAAACACAGAATTCATTGTGATATCTTTCTACTTGCTTCATTCCCCCTGACTCTGAGCTAAGTATTGTACTAGGAATTAGTCTCCTTCATAGCCTCCTTCTTTCATCCACCAAATTTCATTGCCCCTTCTCAAGGTGTTTCTTCTTACATACTATGTCTCTTTATCACTCTCCCTGGGCTAACAGCTGTTTGCTTTCTTGGTTATTCTGTAATTTCACTGTGATGAGTCTTCTTATAGATTAACAAAATAGTAATATATATATACATATATATATATATATATATTTGTACTGCTTCTTGAAATTAATCATGGGGATTTATTGATATTATTATTATCATTACAGACAGTATATCTCTGTCACCCAGGCTGGAGTGCAGTGGTGCGATCATAGCTCACTATAGCCTGAAACTCCTGGGCTCTAGAGATCCTCTTGCCTCAGTCCCCCAAGTAGCTGGGATTACAGGTGCATGCTATCATACATAGCTAATTTTTAATTTTTTTTTTCTTTTTTTTTTTGTAGAGACAGGGTCTTGCTATATTGCCTAGGCTGGTCTCAAACTCCCAGGCTCAAGCAAGCCTCTTGCTTTGGACTCGCAAAGTGCTGTGATTGCCAGCATGAGCCACTGTGCCCAGCCAGATTGGTGGGTTTTGTTTTTTTTTTTCCAACAATTCTGGAACATTTTCAAGGATTTTATTGTTATCAAATATTGTACCTTTCCCATTCTCTCAGTTATCTCTTCGGAACTTTGACATTTTTTAGCCCTTCTCATTTTAACCTCCACGTTTCTTAACCACCCTTTCCTGTTTTTTAGCTTTTATTGCCTCTATGGGTTGAAGCTTCTATCTTTTCTTTATATCTATCTTTGAGTTTACCTAATTCTTTTTCTGCTATGCCTAATCTACTGTTTAATCTATCCACTGAGCTTTAGATTCTAATTTTTATGTCTATCACTTATAGAAGTTATATGTAGTTGTTTTACAAACCACACGGTTATTTTATATTTTAAGATGTTCTTTTTATTTCTTTAAAAATTTTAAATATTTGTTATTTTATATTTTGTACCAGCTACTTTCAAGATCTGTAGTCTCTGTGGGTTTGATTCTGGTGTTATTTCTGCTGACTTTCTCTCATGGTGACTGATTTCCTTATGTGGTCTATGTTTTTAAACTGTGACCATTTTCCTTGAAAATTTACCCATGAAAATACTTTAAGGCCTGGGTTAAGATTATATTTTTTAAGAGAAGATTTGCATTTCCTTCTGTCAATGGTCTTAAGGCATTACTTACCTGGAACTACTTGAAACTGAATTTTCCTTTTGAGATGTTCTAGAACACACAAGTAACATGAATTATGACTATAAACCTATGTGATATCTAGCTTAGGGTTACACATTCTCAAAGGGGTTTTTTTGTTGTTTTATTTTATTGTATCTACCTGTCTTAGTCCATTTGTATTGCTATAAAAGAATACCTGAGGCCAGGAAATGTAGAAAGAATAGAGGTTTATCTGGCTCATGCTTCTGCAGGCTGTACAAGAGCATGGCTCCAGCATCTGCTTCTAGCGAGGGCTCCAGGCTGCTTCCACTCATGGTGGAAGGGGGAGAAAGCAAGGGGAGGGGAGGCACCAGGCTCTTTTGAACAAGCAGCCCTCATAGGAACTCTCACGGGAATTAGTAAAGCAAGAACTCACTCATTCCCAAGAGGACAGCACCACCCCATGCATGAAGGATCCACCCATATGACCCAAACACCTCTCATTAGGTCCTGCCTCTAACATTGGAGATAAAAAAAAAATTTATCCTTTTTTTAAAAATATTGTTTTTATACCTATTTGAATGGGAGGAGATAAAATTTTAACATGAGGTTTGGATGGTCAAATAGCACTACTCAATGCTAAGGATGAGACCAAGATAATTTTTTCCTGTCTCTTCCTCCTGAAAAGTTTATTTTTCATCCATCCTTCACTAAGACTGCAATCCATGTGTTCCTATCCCAGCCCTGCATTTTATCTGACAACCCTAACTATAATAAGAATGCTCTGAATTTGCCCATTAAGCAAGATTTTAAAAAAGCTATTTTTTGTTTGTTTGCTTCTTTGGTTTTTTGGGGGTTTTTTGTTTGTTTGTTTTTCAGATGCAGTCTCTTTCTGTCACCCAGGCTGGAGTCCAGTGGCATGATCTTGGCTTACTGCAACCTCCGCCTCTCGGATTCAAGTGATTCTCCTGCCTCAGCCTCCTAAGTAGCTAGGATTACAGGCATGCACCACCACACCTGGCTAATTTTTGTATTTTTAGTAGAGACAGGGTTTCACCATGTTGGCCAGGCTGGCCTCAAACTCCTGATCTCAAGTGATCCACCTGCCTCGGCCTCCCAAAATGTTGGGATTCCAGGCATTAGCCACTGTGCCTGGCTGATGAAATACTAATTATGTGGGAAGACAGAAGAGAGAGAATCATAACTTGGCTTCTTTCAGCCTGAAAAAATATTTCTGTGGTACACTACATTAGAGGTTTCTCCATTCTATCATTCGCCACACTGTGATTTCTCTCTAATTAGCTTTGTTAATTACTGTCCCTTCGCCAATTTGCAAATTCCTTGAGGTAGGGACTGCCTTTCTCATCTATACTCGTTACAGTATCCAAAGCAGTGGATGGACTGTAGTGTGGGATCAATTAAGTGTTTATTACTTCTAAGTCGACTTCACTGCTGGGTGCTCCTCTTCTCCCATCCATCCAGGTGCTTGGACAAGGCCGCGGAGTAATCCCATTCCCTCACCCCACACATCTTATCATTTAATATTCTCAATTTTATTTCTTTACTTTCTCTCAAATCTGAGTTTTGCTGTTACTGCACCCACAGTCTTAGTTTATCCCTAATCATTTCTCCTCTAGGATATTCCTAAAAATATATAAATAAATAAAAAAATAAAATAAAATAAAAGTTTCTTGAGTGTGTTACATAGAATCTAGTTGAGCAAGATTTAATAGATGTATCTGTTTCTGCAGTTAAATAAGCCATTACCACACAGTAGACACAGTCATCATTTTAAATAAATCAGATCACATAGGTCATTTTTACTGAAGCTTCTCATGCCCTCCCATTACTCTTCGATTAGAATGTAAACCTCCTATCCTGGCCTATAAGATCCTATATGATCTTGTCCTGCCTATGACCCTGGCATCACCTCCTGACTCTCTCCCTTTCTCTCCATCTCTTCCAGCCCCACTGGCCTTCTTGATGTTCCTTGAAGGGGACAAGCTTTCCCTGGCCTCTGTCTGGAACACCTGCCCTCAGAACCTCCCATGCTAGCTCTTTGTTATCATTCGAATCTCTACTCAGATGTCAATTCTTGCAAGACACGGCCTCACTAGCCCATCTAAATTAGGGCCTCTCCTCTCCACCCCAGTCTCATCACTCTCTAACCCTTTATCTGAATTTACGTACTTACTTATGTGTTTTCTTCACCCAATGCATATTTCTGGAGCATCTGCTATATACCAGCAGTTCTTGGCACTGGAGATACAGGAAAACAAAACAGAACAACCTGTCTTCATGAAGCTTGCGTTTTACTGTTTGCTTCATGCATTTATTGAACAAAAATTTATGCTTTGTTTTCATTCTAATAATTATCTAGGCTGGGTGCAGTGGCTCACTCCTATAATCCCAGCATTGTGGGAGGCCAAGGCGGGTGGATCACCTGAGGTCAAGAGTTCGAGACCAACCTGGCCAACATGGTGAAACCCTGTCTCTACAAAAAATACAAAAAAAATTAGTGGGTGTGGTGGCACAAACCTGTAGTCCCAGCTACTAGGGAGTCTAAGGCAGGAGAATCGCCTGAATCTGGGAGCCGGAGGTTGCAGTGAGATCATGCCACTGCACTCCAGCCTGGGCGACAGAGTGAGACTCCATCTCAAAAACAATAATAATAATAATCTAATTTTTTCTTTTTATTATGTCTTCCCCCCAAAGAATGAAGGCTTCAGAATAAATGAATACGTGAATGAATGTACAGCGTTAGTGAGTGATCCCTATAGGAATTGCTGCATATTTTCATCCATCACTTCTACCTGCTAGTCAGTCTAGAGAAGCATGGAAATCCACAAACAGCTTGCCTATTATGATATTCCATCACTGGAATTAGAGGACTCGATAAAGACTAGAGACCAATAGAAGACTGAACCCTCTTTAGCCAACATTTGTAGACAATAATTTCAATTACTTATTCCAGTCTCTTCTACCACCCTGTCCCTCCAGGGAGTTGTGCCCCACTGTCAGTTGCACCATTTGCATTACTGCCGATTCAAACATTTATTCATTATCCCTGGGCACCGATGAGGACAACATGATTGAAAATCACTAGCAAACCCCCAACCAAATACTTTGTATCCCAGCACCATTGAACCTTCCAGAAAAATCAGCTTTGGCAAAACTGTCAGAGGATCCATTTTGTATTCGAGTGTTAATTATTTGAGGCAATTCTAAGTGCAAGACCTATTTGAATTATGTACTTTTTAGTGTTATTTGGGGCTTATAATTAGTTGCACTCTTTGGGAATATAAATGTTTTACCCAGTTCATTATCTTCGGGTGGACTGAAAAATGTCAGTGACTCTCCTGCAAATTTGTACAGCGTTGCTCAGTAAGTAAGTATATATTTACCCTGGGAGAATATGCATTATTGACAATTTACTTAATTATCTCTCAAAACAATTCAAGTATTGGCTGCTTATAATGCTGTCTTTCTCCTCAAAGGGAGCAGTAGGACATCTCAACAGGGGTGGACATGCTGCTGCTACTCCAACAAGGCTGCAGGTGCTCATATAGAGACTTGTTTAAGAATGCTTGGCCCCACTGAAAGCCACGAGTCTCAGGAGAGCCAAGAATAACCCCATCTCGTATTCATTGGCCTCCTTTGCAAAATTGTATCAGAAAAACAATTCGTTTTAAAAGTGAATCTTTTTCAAGGAGATTATACAAACATCTGCCACCATTTAGCCACACCCCACGGAAGAACATCAGTCCTGTCCTGGTGGTGTAGAATTAGGAAATGCCAGGAGACAAAATGGGAAGATGAGAAAATAGGAGTGGGCAGGAAAGAAAGGAACAAAAAAGTAAAGAGCTTAGCCAAATGACAAGCTCCCTCATGGGAGATCTGTGGGAGGATGCTGTTTTCAAATACATGACCCAAATGATGTCTAGAACTCAGGACCTGAGCTTTTTTTTTTCCTTAATAACATTTTTGTTTTAACCAATTCTGTAACACACATTTATTTTAAAAGCATAGAAACATATATATGTATATGTAAAGCAAAAATTAATATTAATATTTTAGCTTTTTGCCTTCTGATTTTCAATAAAGCCATCTCTATCTGTCTATCTATCTATCTATCCATCCATCCATCCATCCACACAGGTAGGTATCTACCTACCATATACATAGAGATGGATTATCATCATTTTTTACATAGCCTATCATGAAATGTTTCTGTGTCATTAAATACTCTTGAGAAACAAAATTTCAATGTCTATTAGCCCATCTTATATAAGTGAACAGGCATATCTCATTTTACTGCATTTTGCTTTATTGTACATTGCACATGTTGCATTTTTTTTATTATACTTTAAGTTTTAGGGTACATGTGCACATTGTGCAGGTTAGTTACATATGTATACATGTGCCATGCTGGTGCGCTGCACCCACTAACTCGTCATCTAGCATTAGGCATGTCTCCCAATGCTATCCCTCCCCCCTCCCCCCACCCCACCACAGTCCCCAGAGTGTGATGTTCCCCTTCCTGTGTCCATGTGATCTCATTGTTCAATTCCCACCTATGAGTGAGAATATGCGGTGTTTGGTTTTTTGTTCTTGCGATAGTTTACTGAGAATGATGATTTCCAATTTCATCCATGTCCCTACATAGGACATGAACTCATCATTTTTTATGGCTGCATAGTATTCCATGGTGTACATGTGCCACATTTTCTTAATCCAGTCTATCATTGTTGGGCATTTGGGTTGGTTCCAAGTCTTTGCTATTGTGAATAATGCCGCAATAAACATACGTGTGCATGTGTCTTTACAGCAGCATGATTTATAGTCCTTTGGGTATATACCCAGTAATGGGATGGCTGGGTCAAATGGTATTTCTAGTTCTAGATCCCTGAGGAATCGCCACACTGACTTCCACAAGGGTTGAACTAGTTTACAGTCCCACCAACAGTGTAAAAATGTTCCTGTTTCTCCACATCCTCTCCAGCACCTGTTGTTTCCTGACTTTTTAATGATTGCCATTCTAACTGGTGTGAGATGATATCTCATTGTGGTTTTGATTTGCATTTCTCTGATGGCCAGTGATGATGAGCATTTTTTCACATGTTTTTTGGCTGCATAAATGTCTTCTTTTGAGAAGTGTCTGTTCATGTCCTTCGCCCACTTTTTGATGGGGTTGTTTGTTTTTTTCTTGTAAATTTGTTTGAGTTCATTGTAGATTCTGGATATTAGCCCTTTGTCAGATGAGTAGGTTGCGAAAATTTTCTCCCATTTTGTAGGTTGCCTGTTCACTCTGATGGTAGTTTCTTTTGCTGTGCAGAAGCTCTTTAGTTTAATTAGATCCCATTTGTCAATTTTGTCTTTTGTTGCCATTGCTTTTGGTGTTTTAGACATGAAGTCCTTGCCCATGCCTAGCACATGTTGCATTTTTTACAAATTACAGGTTTGTGGCAACCCTGCCACAAGCCTGTCTCTACCACTCCTCCAATAGCACATCCTCACTTTGTGTCTCTGTGTCACATTTTTGTAATTCTCACAATATTTTGAACTTTTCATCATTATTTTATCTGTTATGGTGATCACAGTGATCAGTGATCAATTATAATTGTTTTGGGGCACCATGAACCCCACCATGTGAGATGGAACTTAGTTGACAAATGTGTGTGTTCTGCCTTTTCCACTGACGGCATTTCCCTATATCTCTTCCTCTCATCAGACCTTCCCTGAGATATAATAATATGGAAATGAGGCCAGTTAATACTTTTACAGTGGCATCTACATGCTCAAATGAAAGGAAGAGTTGCAAGTCTCTCACTTTAAATCAAAAGCTTAAAATTGATTAAGCTTAGTGAGGAAGGCAAGTCAAAAACAAAGGTAGGGCCGGACACGGTGGCTCACACCTATAATCCCAGCACTTTGGGAGGCCGAGGCAGGAGGATCGCTTGAGCCCAGGAATTAGAGACCAGCCTGGGCAACATGGGGAAAACCCGTCTCTACTAAAAGTACAACAATTAGCCAGATGTGGTGGTCTGTAGTCCCAGCTACATGGTGGGCTGAGGTGGGAGGATTGCTTGATCCCAGGAGTACCAGGCTGCAGTAAGCCATGATCACACCACTGCACTCCAGCCTGAGTGACAGAGCCAGACTCTGTCTCAAAAAAACAATAACCAAACAAAAAGATAGGCTGAAATCTAGGTCTCTGGCACCAAACAGCCAAGTTGTGAATGCAAAGCAAAAGTTCTTGAAGGAAATTAAAAGTGCTACTCCAGTGAATACACAAATGATAAAAAAGAGAAACAGCCTTAGTGCTGATATGGAGAAAGTTTTTGTGGTCTGGATAGAAAATCAAACCACAACATTTCCTTAAGCCAAAGCCTAATCCAGAGCAAGGACCTAACTCTCTTCAATTTTATGTAAGCTGAGAGAGGTAAGGAAGCTACAGAAGAAATGTTGGAAGCTAGCAGAGGTTAGTTCATGAGGCTTAAGGAAAGAAGCTGTCTCCATAACATAAAAGTGCGAGGTGAAGCAGCAAGTAATGATGCAGAAGCTGCAGCAAATGGTTCAGCTAAGATCATTGATGGAGGTTAATATAGCAAACAACAGATTTCCAGTTTAGGTGGAACAGCCTTCCATTGGGAAAACATGCCATCTAGGACTTTCATAGCTAGAGAGGAGAAGTCAACGCCTGGCTTCAAAGTCTCAAAGGACAGGCTGACTCTCTTATTAGGGACTAATGCAGCTGGTGACTTTAAGTTAAAGCCAGTATTCACTTATCATTCTGAAAATCCTAGGCCCTTAAGAATTATGCCAAATCCATTCTGCCTGTGGTCCATAAATGAAACAAGGCCGGGTTCAGCACATCTGTTTACAGAATGGTTACTGAATATTTTAAGCCCACGGTGGAGACCTACTGCTCAGACAAAAGAGTTTTCAAACTATTACTGCTCATTGACAATGTACCTGGTCACCTAAGAGTTCCAATGGAGATGTGCAAGATTAATGTTGTTTTCATACCTGCTAACAGGACATTGATTCTGCAGCCCATGGATTGAAGAGTAATTTCAAATTTCAAGTATTATTATTTTGAAACAGGGTCCCACTCTGTCACCCATGCTGGAGTACAGTGGCACACTCTTGGCTCACTGCAACCTCCACCTCCTGGGCTCAAGCAATTCTTCCACCTCAGCCTCCTGGGTTTCTAGAACTACAGGTGTATGCCACCACACTAGGCTAATTTTCATATTTTTTATAGAGATGGGGTTTTGCCACGTTGCCCAGGCTGGTCTTGAACTCCTGAGCTCAACTAATCCAATCACCTCAACCTCCCAAAGTGCTGGTATTACAGGCTTGTGCCGTTGCACCTGGCCTAAGTCTTACTGAGAAAGACACTGTGTATGGCAATAGCTGCCGTAGAGATTCCTCTGATGTATCTGGGCAATGTAAATTGAAACTTCCTGGAAAGGATGCACCATTTTTTTCTTTCTTTTTTTTTTTCCCCACTCTGTTGCCCAGGCTGGAGTGCACCATTCTTTTCTTTGCTTTTTTTTTTTTTTTTTTTTTTTTTTTCGCTCTGTTGCCCAGGCTGGAGCACAGTGGTGTGATCATAGCTCACTGCAGCCTCAAACTCCTGGGCTCAAGTGATCCTCCCACCTCATCCTCCTGACTAGCTAGGACTACAGGTGTGTGCCACTGTGCCTGGCCAATTTTTTATTTTATTTCCAATTTTTTCTTTCTTTCTTTTTCTTTCTTTCTTTCTTCCTTTTCTTCTGTCTTTTTTTTTTTTTCGAGACAGGGTTTTTGCAATCTTGACTCACTGCAGCCTTGACCTCCGAGGCTAACGCAATCCTCCCACCTCAGCCTCCTGAGTAGCTGTGACTACAAGCACTTGCCAATATGCCCAGCTGATATCTATTTTTTGTAGAAATAGAGTCTCCCTATGTTGCCCAGGCTGATCTCAAACTCCTGGGCTCAAGTGATCCTTCCATCTCAGCCTCCCAAAGTGTTGGGATTACAGGTATGAGCCACTGCACCCATCTTATGTTTTTATAATTTCAACTTTTATTTTGATTCAGTGGGTACATGTGCAGATTTATTACATGGGTATGCTGTGTGATGCCGAGGTTTGGGGTATGAATGATCCCATCACCCAGGTAGTGAGCATAGTACCCAATAGGTAGTTTTTCAGCCATTGCCCATCTCCCATAGTAGTCCCCAGTGTCTGTTCTCGTCTTCATGTCCATGGGATTCACCATTCTTGATATCATTTGTGATTCATGGGAGGAGGTCAAGATAGTAACATTAACAGTTTGGAAGAAGTTGATTCTAACCCTCATGAATGACTGGGAAGTTTCAAGACTTCAGTGGAGGAAGTGACTGCAGAGGTGATGGAAATGGTAAGAAAACTAGAATTAGAAGTGGAACCTGAAGATGTGACTGAATTGCTACAATCTCACAATAAAATTTGAACAGACAAGAAATTGGTTCTTATGGTTGAGCAAAGAAAGTGGTTTTTCAAGATGGAAACTTCTCCTGGTGAAGATGCTGTGAACATTGTTGAAATGAAAACAAATGATTTAGAATATTACATAAATTTAGTTGATAAAGTAGCAGCAGAATTTGAGAGGATTGACTCGAATTTTCAAAGAAGTTCTACTGTGGGTAAAATGCTATCAAACAGCATCACATGCTACAGAGAAATCTTTCATGTAAAGGAGGGTCAATCAACGTGGTAAACTTCATTGTTTCAAAAAATTGCCACAGCCACCCCAACCTTCAGAAACCACCACCCTGATCAGTCAAGCAGCCATCAATATCGAGGCAAGACCCTCCACCAGCAAAAGGATCTGAATGCTCAGATGATCATTAGCATTTTTTAGCAATAAAGTATTTCCTAATTAAGGTATGTATATTTTTTAGACATAATGCTATTGCTTACTTAATAGACTACAGTATAGTGTATTACTTTTATATGCACTGGGAAACAAAAGAGTTTGTGTGACCTGCTTTATTGTAACACTTACTTCATTGAGGTGGTCTGGAACTGAACCCATAATATCTCTGAGGCATGCCTGTAGTATACTATTTTAAATATATTCCCAACAGATGCTTTTTTATTAAGGCATAACCAATGATTATTTTGATCTAGAAAGTTTGCTCCGGGGAATAAATTTATGTACTAAAGCTACAGAAGGTGGTGAAGAGGTTGAAAAAATGGAATCTAATCATATCATTCAAACATTTTCATTCACATCTATATTTCCACTTATCTCCTGACCCCAAAATGCTAGGTAAACAAGTTAATTAGAATCAAATAGTCCGTCTATAAAGAAGGGCTGGAAGCCAAGTGCAGGAGATTCCTTATGTACATGCGAGTCAGAGAGCCATTTCTTCTGGTTACAATCTTAAGGAACCAAACTCAACATGTTTTGACAAGGTTAAATATGAATTTATTAGCTCAGATGTAGCATTTGGTTAGGTGTGGCCTGGGTCACTGGTCTCCAGAAAGAGGTAGGAAAAATAATTTATTTAGGCTGCAAAAGAAAAAAAAAAAAGAACTTATGTTCATGATTTTTATGTTAACCTCTTCAATCTTAAATGTTCTACTCTAGCACATCTCTTTAATGTATGTGAAATATTCATTGATATGGTTTGGCTGTGTCCTCACCCAAATCTCATCTTGAATTGTAGCTCCCATAATCCCCACATGTCAAGGGAGGGACCCGGTGGGGGGTAACTGAATCATGGGGGCAGGTTTTTCCCATGCTGTTCTCATGATAGTGAATAAGTTTCATGAGATCTGATGGTTTTATAAAGGACAGATACCCCGCACACACTCTCTTGCCTGCCACCATGTAAGACATGTCTTTGCTTCTCCTTCACCTTCCACCATGATTGTGAGGCCTCCTCAGCCACATGGAACTGTGAGTCCATTAAACCCTTTTTTTTTTTTTTGTCTTTTTTTTTTTTTTGAGGCAGAGTTTCGCTCTTCTTGCTCAGGCTGGAGTGCAATGGCGCGATCTCAGCTCACTGCAACCTCCGCCTCCTGGGTTCAAGTGATTCTCCTGCCTCAACCTCCCAAGTAGCTGGGATTACAGACATGTGCCAGCATGCCCAGCTAATTTTGTATTTTTAGTAGAGACAGAGTTTCTCCATGTTGGTCAGGTTGGTCTCAAACTCCCGACGTCAGGTGATCCACCAGCCTCAGCCTCCCAAAGTGCTGGGATTACAGGCTTGAGCCACTGCGCCTGGCCAAACCTCTTTTTCTTTTAAATTACCCAGTCTCAGGTATTTCTTCATAGCAGTATGAAAATGCACTAATACATTCATGCACTAGTACATAATAAATAATAATGAATAATAATTTATACACACACATATATTAGCATGCAAGTGGAGGGTGAGCATAACGTGTATAAATGTTATATTTTCTAACATACTAATTTTTTAAGCCAATGAGTGATTAATCAAAACAGTATGGAGCTTAGAACTTTAGATTTCTGTTGTTGATTGAGATTGGAGAGTGGCTGATGCTGGAAGTTCTATGAAGTATGGCTGGAGCATGACTTTGGTCTAATACTTGGCCTAAGTGTGGGAGATATTGGCCAACCTGAATCCTGGGAAGTGAATGGAGCCCCTAGTTTGGTAGAGCATAAGATATAGATGAGTAGACCAGAGAAGGTGACTGGGCCAAAAGGTTGAGATTGTCTGGGAGAAGCAAGTATCCAGGGTATGCTAAACTACAATCAAATGGGTAATGTTTTATGGAACATTTGCAGATGTAGCCTAAGAGAGTCAAAGTGGAAGGAACCTAAGGAGTCTAGAACACTTGAGAAGAGAGTGAGAGAGGTGAGAGCCTAGGAGTCTCCCAAGAGCACATATTTGCCATGCCCATTCGTCTGTCATCCTAGCCAGTAACCTAGTAGGTTCTTGCAGTAACAGGACACAGGACAGATAGGTTTCAATAGCAAGTGGTAGGGGGGGAGTCTGGCTTGCATGGGGTATGAATGAAAGTCCTAGAAGCTTGAATGAGATAGCCAAAGATAAGATAGGAGCACCCTAAAATTACCCCCCCACCACCAGTTTTGCGGAGGGTTGATTCTGCCTAAACATAGTGTCTACTTCATGGCCAATTCTGGCAGATATAGACATTCTATGATAAAAGGCTATCCTTAAGACATTGAGTTTCTTCTGTCTCCCCCAAAAGAAAAATAAACATGTGAAGAGAATAATAAAATTAGAAAAAAAAAATAAAGTTAGAAGCATTTTAGCTAGTATGTTCCTCTTTTTTTGAATGGAATACAAAGACATTTCATTTTCGTCTTTTTTAGATAGTGAACTATTAAATTTCTTTGGTAATAAATGAGAAAAAAAGAGGAAAGAAAAGATCTGGGCTGCGATGATTACTGGGTTCTATTTGTCTTTCTGATAATGTGAATTTAAAACAGTTAAATCACACTTACACCACTACAAAAATTAGTACTAGTAACCTTTTGGAGATTATAAAATACAATATACCCAGTGGACATAAATGTGTTCAAAAGGTTTTTTTCCTGCAGGTCATTTTTCCCCCCATAAACAGAGACAAAGTGAACATATGATTGGGTTGGTAATTCTGCTGTATATTGCAATTCACCCAGCTTCTTGTCATTCACAGAAATGAAGAAGACAGGCATTAGATTTTACTTGTCATGTGATATTAGTAGCCAGATGTTTTAATGGCAGCTTATCTGAGGTCCATCAATCCTTTGAATATGTGTAGAAAAGCATGGCCATTGTTTCTCACCTGCCCACATCTGAACACATTCAGATACCATGGAAACCACAAAGGAAGAAAAAAAATACTTATTCCAAGATTCATTGATTGGGATATTTAAGTGTCCTTTCTTTCATACAGCCAGGGGTGTGATAATGTGCTAGGGCCTGCTGTGTTTTCTGGCATGAGCTCCATCTCTGAGGGTCCTGAGAAAGACAGTGGATGGATCCTGGAGTCCTCTTGAAAGGGGAAGGTGGTCCTATTGAGTGGAACATGTGTGTCTCAAATCCTGGAGGTAGGGGCAGAGCAATAGCAGGGGTGGGGACAGGGCAATAGCAGTTGAACATGGCAAGGCAATGTTCACCACAGCTGTAGGAGCACTTGGAGGTAGGTTGAAGTCATTGGCAGATGCATCTGCTGCTGCAGAAGGAGGAAGAGCTCCCGGCAGTACTGGAATCAGCTCTAGCTGGATCCCCGGGTCTGGGGTTCTGTCATTTTCCTTTCCTCTGGCTGCCTGGGATCTTCCCCATTTTACACTTAGTCTGCAGCCATTGGTGATTAACTTATTAAAGGACTTCTCTACAGCCACTTGTGCAGCCTGCCCTGTGGAAACCTGGATGAAAGCACACCGCTGTCTCTGCACAACAGGGATTGTCCAGATCTCTCTAAATAGGTAGAGATTATTTCTTAAGATCTGTCTCAGTAATGGTATCACCCGGATCACCGGTGTCTAGTGTGGGGATAGTCTTATCCTCTGGGAGTTCCAGATGAGGCGTGGCTGAAGCCTACTATAGAAGCTTATCTGCTACACGGTCGTTGACTATATAATATCAGTTTTTAATATCTGATCAGCAAGGGAATCATGTGGACCTGTAGGCTTCTCATGTCTCTATCGAAACTCCTCTCCTCTCTTACCCTCTCCCTTCACCCAGAAGGAGCAAATGTGGGGCTTATTCTTTAGGTAATAGGGTATGGTCCAGGCCAGTTTGTCTAGCATGTCACTGGTGGATGTGGCTTTCCCCAGCAGGCCAACTGGCTGTCTTCCATTCGAGTTAGAAATCCCTCTCTCCACATTCTGCGTGTAGTACTCTTCTCTTCTCTGACATCTGACTTTGGCATGTCATCTTTTTTTTGTTGTTTTTTTGAGATGGAGTCTCACTCTGTCGCCCAGGCTGGAGTGCAGTGACACAGTCTCAGCTCACTGCAAGCTCTACCTCCCGGGTACATGCCATTCTCCTGCCTCAGCCTCCTGAGTAGCTGGGACTACAGGCACCTACCACCACACCCGGCTAATGTTTTGTATTTTTAGTAGAGACGGGGTTTCATCATGTTAGCCAGGCTGGTCTCGATCTCCTGACCTTTTGATCTGCCCGCCTCAGCCTCCCAAAGTGCTGGGATTACAGGCATGAGCCACCGCGCCCGGCCAGCATGTCCTCTTTTAAAGACAACGCAGCATCACAAACCTAGGTGGGCAGGCCATGCTCCAGGTCTAAGAGGCAGGTCTGACAGACATACTTCAGGCTTCTGCAGGTTCGACATACTTTATTTTTCTTGAAATGCATGTGGGCCCCAGGGCACCAGCAAAACATTGTGAATGGCCTGGCACAGATTTCTCATTTTTCTCATACTTTTCTTTGGTCATTCAGATATAATGGGTTTCCTCTAAGACATGTCTGATACAGAATGGAGAAGTATGCATTTTCCCAGTGTTTCCTGTTTAAGGTGTTGAAACCAAGACAGGTCACCATCTCGAGGGGGTCTTGAGGTAGTGGTAGGTTTTAGGTGGGAGAGAGACACCATGATCCTGTCAAGCCCAGCTCTTCTTTGTTCCCCTGTTCTTGATGCTCCGGACAATTGCTTTGACAGTATGTGATTCTCCTTTCTTGATTCAAGGTGAAACTCACTTCTCAGGAATCCCCATTCTTGGAGAAAACTCTGGATTTCCTGGTCTCTCCAAGGACTGGCCTGTAATACCAGGGCTTTGGTAGCCTGAGGCAGGAGGATTGCTTGAGGTCAGGAGTTCAAAACCACCAGGGCAACACAGGGAGACCCCATCTTAAATTCATGCTTTTCTGCTAGAATACTGAGATACATAACCTGGAAGCTGGAAGTCCAGTTTCTTCACAAGTATCTTTTTCCAGTGACAAAGTAACTTCCCTGTAATCTCAGCACTTTGGGAAGCCAAGGCAGAAGGATCACTTGGGATCAGGGGTTTGATACCAGCCTGGATACCATAGGGAGACCTGGTCTCTTCAGACAGCCAGCATGGCCAGGGCAGCCAGTCTCACCCTGTAATTGTGACATTTTGTCTTCATGAAATGCCAGCTTGCTGACTTGTGCCGACATTTTATTTCTCACAGAGCAGTAAGAGGCCAGGACCCTTTCACAGTCTGCATGGGGTTGCCATGGTTATGCTCACCCTCCACTTGTATGTATCCTGAATTATGGGACACCGAGTTTATGTAAACCATAAAAATAAATTCTTCTTCTCTAGACGTTCAAGTTTAAAATATCTCCTTTCCAATACATCTTATAGGTATGATGTGCACAGCTCCCACTGTGGCCCTCATCCATCCAAATTCAATGGTGAAGGTGATCGTTATTACTGAGAACAAAATAAAATGGCATAGAATGTAAATTGGCTGCTGAAGGCGATGTTGAAGCAGGAGGCAATGTCTCCATGGGACAGTGAGTTCGTGATGAGTGACAGTACAGATGATCCCCAAAGACACAGTGGGAAGGTGACACAGGGGATCATGAAGAGCTCTCAAGAGAGAGCGGACTTTGTAGTCCGGCCCACCCCACCCCATACAAATGAGACAATAAAAATGACTTTTCTCAAGACAGAAAGACGGCATCCCCGTCCTGACGAGGCATCTGCTCGCATGTTCTCCTTAGGAAAGATATGAGCAGCTGGAAGCCAGCCACTGTTTCTGAAGACTTTTTTCCAAATGTGTGAGGCTCTCTCTGAATTCTGACTGAACTTTCCCCATCTCTCCCCAAAATATGCTCTCTCAGCTCAAAAGTTTGACAAAATCAAATCACCCGAGCTATTTAAACATCCTTCTTTGGATAACACCTTCCAAGACAGCTAACAATTGTAGCTTGTTTAAGACTCCCTTCCCATTCCCCTCACCACACACACACACACACACACACACACACACACACACACACGCAACATACACACACACACACACACACACACACACACTAGAAGCCAGGAAAATTCATCTTTCTCCTTAAGCCACCCCTCCTCACCATCTAAATGCCAAGCTGACTTAGAGTCAACTTCTAGATTTGGGATTGTTACCTTCTTCCTTAATCTCATAACAGCAGCCTCTCAGTGGTCAAGCTAAATCCATTTAGCTTATGTCTGACTTGTGGATCTTCTGGGGTGGAAACAATTTTTTAAATAATTCTCATTCTTCAGAACAACTGCTAATAATGAGAAAAACTAATGAGCATTCATAAGCTGTATAAGGCACAGTTCCTGTTCTATGCATTATTCATTTATGCAAACTGTTGTAAAGGTACCAAATTCACTGTGCAACTGGGCTGGAAAAGTCCCTGAACTCAAGATGGCATTGGTATGCACAATTCTGAGGCTTGGTTCTGTTTAACATTTTCATCAGTGACCTGCTTAAAGGAGCAGAGAGCAAGCTCATTAAGTTCCTAGATGGGAGGGATGACCAGAACATTAAAGAACAGGATTAGAATTTCCCCAGCCCTTGCCAAATTAGCAAAACTGTTAGAGTCAAATATGTTCATTAGGGAGGCAGAGTAAAGTAAGCTGCCCAAATATAAGCTGAGTGGTTGGAGGTTATTTAGAAACTGAAAAGAATATGGATGCAAAAATAGACACGTAATGGAAAATGAACTAGTCCAGGGGAACCACTGGTGTTCACTGGGGCCTCTGCTGGCCCTTACAATGGGTTCAGATCCCCAGCCTATGAATTGGTCTTTCCCAAGATTTCTAAGAATGCCAGGGAGCTTTTCTTTCCCATGGTCACCTCTAGCTTCACTTCCTGGTTCCACCTAATTAGCCTGGTTTTTGGTTCATTTCACTGTCCTGTCTTAGTCACCGTATTACAAACCATGTTGACCCAGACATTAAAAACCATTTCCCTCCCATGAGCAGATAACAGCTTCCTGCAGAAGGGCCCTTCTATCTCTTTGGCTGTCTTGGCTCTTGTTCAACTCTTCCAATTAAACCTCTACCCCAAGGAGCTTAACAAGGTAGTTTCCTAAATATAGACAGTTCTTTTCCTAAGAGGAACTCTGAAACCAGCTGTTAAGACAATTACAGACACCTGTGTCCCCTAGCAAAGATGAGCATGACCAAGTCATGAGCTAATAGTGCTATAGTCAGGGGACGGCAAATTCTGTGAAGTGGCAGGGAGTAAATATCTTTGGTCTCTTGCAATTACTCAACTCTGGTTATATAGCATGAAAGCATTCTTACACAATACATACAAATAGATGGCAAGGTCAAGGTCCTGGAGTGGGCCATAGTTGCCAACTCCTGCTAGGCTCAACTTCAGAATCTGTGACTTTCCAGAAGTCTTAACAACCATCTTGTCCAACCAGCTCATTTTACACCCGCAGAAACCAGGACCCAGAAAGTAGGTGACATTTGTGCAAGTTCACAAGATAATTAAGCCTGAGTTGAAACTTCAAACAGGAAGCTCAACTTCCAGGCCAGCACTGTTTCTACTGCACCATCATCAAGCTATTTCCAGAAGGTTCTGCAGATCCCTGCTTTAATTAGCAGAGCCTTTGCTAGAAATTTTCCCACTTAACATTTAGTGCAATGCATTAGTTGTATTATGTGTAGTACACAGGAATATCATTTGGTAGCCTCCCTAGGACCCAAGATGAACGTGTGACTAAAGATTTGAGTGAGGTTGTGTCTACCTCCTAAGGGCAGTCTGAAAAAACCAGAAGAGGGCAGAATAGATTAGAAAGGAAAGCTATGCACAAAGTTCAAATGATATAGTTTTATTTTGTTAATTAAAGGTGACATAAAATTTTCACATACCAAGAGGAACGTTTTAAGGAGGAACAGTTGTCTTTCATCTCCTATTAAAATAAGAAGAGCAAGACTGGAAGGTAGGTTAGATCACAGAAAGAACCTGCCAGAGGTAGCTCTGTTATGTGCAAGAACTGCAGGCCAGAGGAAGTCACCGAATTCTCTTAATAGCTAGATCTGAGAGTTGCATCTTCTGGGAAGTGTTAGGAGGGAGAGAAATAGGCTGAGATGATGACTCTCAAAATCTTTTCTCTCTCTTTAAGTCCCCTGAAAGCTGCAGGAAAGAACCCTTCTGTGAGCCAGCAGGGATGCATTGAATCATTACTCTTAATGAGAACAAGACAGTTTTTTTAAGAAAGTTGCGAAGGGCGTAACATGAAGTGGATACTTGGGAAAAATAATTGTGCAGATTTCGAAGGAGTGCCCCAAATGATGCTCACTTCCATTGGCAAGATTCTTGGGTAACTGATGGAAAACCCTCTATTCAGGGTCAGAAGCTTGTAGCCCCTTCCAAATATTTGTGTGTGGACTTGGTTGATCCCTCTATCTCAGTAAAGGCCAGGGGGTTCTTAATGTGGATGGTCGTTGATCTTTAATTCGAAGACCCAGTAGCTTGAACCTATTCCTCCTTGAAAGTCAGGGCCAAGTGTTTATGAGAATTCTTACTACCTTTGATAAAGATAAATCCTAGTGTACATCTTGTTGCTAATTAAAAACAGTACAATCTGTTCAAATATTATTTCTGGACAGTACATTTCATGAAACTATCCCACAGGATTGTTTATCTCAAGCTACAGCTTTCAGACCCTATTTTTCCAAATGACGAATTCCTCATGATTATTACTTTTTATTATTTTTTTTTTCCAGATGATCCAGGAACATGTACATCTTGCGCTATGGGGTATTACAGGTAAGTCTGGTCTTCCTTTTCATGGCACTAACTTTTCTGCAGTTTAAGCATTACTGACATAATCCTCAATCCAGCGATTAAAGCAAAGTGGCCCTGCAGCCCGAAGCAACTCTGTCCTGTCAGGCTATTAATGAGCAATTCTTGGATTTAGCAATAAGAGCCCAGCTGTTTCCTTGCCTCGAAAGGAGGCCATCTCTTTCTTGATCCTGGAAGTCATCCAGCCTGACACTGGTGTCTAGGAATCCTGCCATGGGTTACCAAGATTCAGATCTTGCTGTTCTTGGGCAGACCTTAATAATATACCTGGTCCTAAGTAAGCTGTTTGCAAACGTCTGCATGGATACTGCGTCCTTAACCAGAGCGAAGGCTCCAGGGTGAAGCCAGGTGCTATATCAGCTCTTAGTCATCCCCTAGGTAACAAGAGACACAGACCACTAGGTTAAATGAAACAGAGGTAACCATCACTCCCAATGTACTCTAAAAACAATCCACAAAATCAAAAATGGCATGTTTCAATATCGCCCCCTCTTCCTAGTCTAGCTTCCCTTCCAGCACACACTGTTGACCGTCCTAGAAGGAAAATGAAAGAGAAAGGAGCTGCAAAGGAAAGGAAGTCCGTGGGTGATGCATGGGCTGCATAATCCCTCCCTGTCCTCCTAAGAACTCAGGAGTTTTGTGATATACAAACTCTCACGACTATTTCATCTCTCGATCATTTTATTGAGATTGTCAGAGACACAGGAGGATGTTAATCTCCTGAAGAGAAAACTGAAGCTCAGAGAGGGGCAAGGTTTTACTCCAGTTGCACCACAGCTACTGACAGGTCTACATTTGCGACATTTGGCCTTTGGCGGGTCACCTCCTCTTGTCACATTGCCTTTTCCCTCCATCCATAGAATTGGACAAAGCAATGTGGTGACAAGAGAAGGCGACCCACCTGTCCAAAAACAAATACACTTGAAATGTGGTAATAGGTAAGAAAAAGTAAAAGGAGTGTGGAGGATGGGAGAGAAAGGGAAGCCCAACAAGCTGAAACATACTAAAAATGATCAGTTAACCTTATCAGTTCTTAGCCTTACGGTTTTAATCTAACTTTTCCAGAATAGCCTGCCATTCTCTACATTGACTATGTCTCACATCACTGCACTCCTGACCCACTTTGTTTTTTTGGGTTTTTTTTGTTTGTTTGTTTTTAAGACAGTCTCACTCTGTGGCCCAGGCTGGAGTGCAGTGGCACGATGTCAGCTCACTGCAACCTCTGCCTCCCAAGTTCAAGTGATTCTTGTGCCTCAGCCTCCCTAGTAGCTGGGATTATAGGTGCACACCACCACGCCCAGCTAGTTTTTGTATTTTTAGCAGAGACAGGGTTTCGCCATGTTGGCCAGGCTCTGTTAAACTTTGTCAAACATCCTCTGTTAAACGTTGGAGCCAAACCTGGCCGCCTCTTCAGCTCTCCACTACTCGCTAATGAGCATGTTTCATAAAACCCTCTGAAAAACAAATACCCTGGAAGAACATGCTCCAATATCACTAAGGGTACAACATGAGATATTTATTTCAAGAAACAAACATATATAATCTTTGAAAACATTCAGCAACTTTGAATACAGCGAGTGAAATGCCTTACAATAGACATTGTTGCTGGGCGTGTTGGCTCACGCCTGTAATCCCAACACTTTGGGAGGCCAAGGTGGGTGGATCACCTGAGGTCAGGAGTTTGGGACCAGCCTAGCCAACCTGGGGAAACCCCGTCTCTACTAAAAATACAAAAATTAGCCGAGTGTGGTGGCATGCATCTGTAGTTCCAGCTACTCAGGAAGCTGAGGCAAGAGAATCACTTGAACCCAGGAGGTGGAGGTGGCAGTGAGCCAAGATCATGCCATTGCACTCCAGCCTCAGTGACAGGGAGATTTAGTCTCAAAAAAAAAAAAAAAAACAGTTGTTAAGGAAGATATGCAAAGGTTTCCCCTGATATCATGCTGATGCTCTGAAATTCATCAAAGGCAGGGGTCAATTTCACTCCACTCCTCCTTCAGGTAAGCCTGCAATTCAGTGGAGTCTGAATTACAACATTTTACTGTAGAATGAGAATAACAGATAACGTACATAAAAATATTTATAAATAAAAGCTAAGCTACTTCGCTACTATTGTTAATAATCTGGTTACAGACATTTTAGTAAGCTGCCTGGACTCGACACCAAGCTATTTCAGGCCTCAGTGCCAGTTGCTATGTGATAAATCACACAAGCAACCTTTTCACACAGACTTTGGTTAAAATCCCAGTCCCACCGTTAGCTAGCTCTGTGATTTTTGAGCACTTAACCCTGAGCTCCAGTTCCCTTATCTAGAAATTAAAGATACATGATATCTACCATACGAGATTTGTGGAGATTTAGATGAGCTAATACTTGACACATAATCAGTACTCTATAAATAAGTATCAGTACCCCTTCTTTCTCCCCAGCCTTCTCCCAGCTGCCCTGATAAAGAGTCCTTGGAGGTCCAGAAGGAGGTGGTTAGTGACTTGGGTTGAGGGGTGCATAACAGACCAAGCCTGAAATTCAATTATCCACTCCTGTTGAAAATGCTGCACAGGCTGGGCGTGGTGGCTCATGCCTGTAATTCCAACACTTTGGGAGGCAGAGGTGGGCAGATCCCCTGAGGCCAGGAGTTTGAGACCAGCCTGGGCAACATGGCAAAACCCCCTCTCTGGAAAAAAATACAAAAATTAGCCAGGCATGGTGGTGTGCACCTGTAATCCCAGCTACTCGGGAGGCTGAGGCAAGAGAATCACTTGAGCCCGGGAGACAGAAGTTGCAGTGAGCCGAGATCGACCACTGCACTCCAGCCTGGGCGACAAGAGCAAAACTCCATCTCAAACAAAACAAAACAAAACGAAACAAAAAACTCTGCATAGACATACATAAGGAGATTAAATTATGGTGAAGAGAAATACATCAACATAAGTCATGAAAGAAATGATGTCTTCTTCCTCTAGGTTTGATCACCATTGTTATAAAACCTGTCCTGAGAAGACCTACAGTGAGGAAGTGGAATGCAAGGCGTGTGATAGTAACTGTGGCAGCTGTGACCAGAATGGGTGTTACTGGTGTGAAGAGGGCTTCTTTCTCTTAGGTAAGTTAGAAAATGGCACCATCCAAGCTAAGAACCAGGCACTGGAGCTCCACACAGTCGGGGCCACAGGAGCGCACATGTGATTGGTTTCAGAGTCTGTGCGTGTGGGCACCTCTGGCCCAAGGAGAAATTTTAATTTGGTTTAGAAATAAACATTAGCCAAACCACCTCCTTCTGCTTTTATTACTGAAGCATGGTTCCTGTTCCACTAATTAATCTCAAATATCTCCAAGCTGATGGAAACAAGGCTGAATTGGATGGAGATAGAGAGTGGGGACCTGAAGATGAATGTTTTGGCATTGAAGTCACCTGGCATATTGAGAGCTCTGACCCTTGTCTTGAGACTTAATCCATCTTATATATCCCCATGCACTGTAAGAATCTAACAAGATCCCTTGCCTTAGGCTTTGGTCAACTCACTGACTGATGGAAATGGATAGTTAGGAAAGAAATACAGTGTGACTCTTCCAGCTGAAGAGGATAATAGCCCAATGCACTTGAGTGTTTGGGGGAGAAAGAATGAGAAGGACAGCCCACAATGATCTTCAGTGTTTCTCTACACAGAGATTTATTTTATTTGTAATTTTTCAAGGCCTCAAGGATTCTGTATTCGATGCTCTTAACCCTCTAATGGCCAATGTAAATTCCCAGTTGAAAAAGGACTTAGGTAAAGTGTTGGATTTTTTTAGATGGAGTCTCACTCTTGTCACCCAGGTTGGAGTGCAGTGGCGCAATCTCAGCTCACTGCAACCTCTGTTGGCCAGGCTGGCCTCGAACACCTGACCTCAGGTGATCCACCCACCTCAGCCTCCCAAAGTGCTGGGATTACAAGCATGAGCCACCTCGCCCGACCTGGATTTATTAAAACACATTTCTTGGTTGACATAAGCTAAAGCCATCTTGGTTTCTTTGAAAACAAATGCAAAGGCTGGACACAGTGGCCTGGCCAACATGGTGAAACCCCATCTCTACTAAAAATATATAAGCCGTGCGTGGTGACACATACCTGTAGTCCCGGTCACTCAAGAGGCTGAGGCAGGAGAATTGCTTGAACCCGGGAGGTGGAGGATGCAGTGAGCCGAGATCATGCCACTGCACTTTAGCCTGGGCAACAGAGAGAGACTCCATCTCAAAAATAATAATAAAAACAAATGCAAAGAAAAATGTCCCTAAAATTTCCTCCAGCCTCTTTAGAACTTGGCCTTGCAAAGATCACTAAAGCCTTCATGCTTTCTCTCTGTGTTCTCACATAGGTGGCAGTTGTGTGAGGAAATGTGGTCCTGGATTCTATGGTGACCAAGAAATGGGAGAATGTGAGTCCTGCCACCGAGCATGCGAAACCTGCACAGGCCCTGGTCATGACGAGTGCAGCAGCTGCCAGGAAGGACTGCAGCTGCTGCGTGGGATGTGCGTGCATGCCACCAAGACCCAGGAGGAGGGCAAATTCTGGAATGGTATGTGCCCCCCAAAAAAGAGGTCACAGGGGTCTAGCGACCTACTCTGCTTCCCTCCTTCTATAACTCTGGTTTTTTTAGTTATCCAGGAGAGAAAGGCTGTGCAGAAAAACAAGAGTTTGGAGTGAGAATCAAGTTGGGATCGTTCCTGAGTCTCTCTGATGCTTGCAGTAGGAGTGGGTAGGAAGCTGAGGTTGGCATTCAGCCAGCAGAGAGAGCCCAAAGGGCAATTTATAATTAGTCTACCTGCTTGAGTTTCTACCTGGGTGAAGCAGGCCCGGAAGCAAGTGAAGAGAGTCACGGAGGGAAATGGCCCTGGTATCATTTTCTCAGAAATTTCGGAGTCACTTCTATCACAGGCATGTCCTACGTCCTTATTACATGTCCTTTTTACAGTAAAGGAAAATTTTACCTGTAGGGTAGGCTTTTCCAATTAGACAAGCAAGAACTGCTCGAATGTATTAGATTTTATGCTAAAAACAGACGGTCTCTATGGCTGCGTTATTAGAGCTCACCGTCAGTCAAGCTTGCCTTTAAAAGTTGCTCTTCCCAGTTGCAGACAGGGAAAGCGTGAAGCTTCTGAGGAGGGAGGAGAGGGGACAGGTGTGGGAGCTTGGAATCCAACAGCAAAGCCCTGCAGGTGCTCATTCCTCCCCGAGTCTTTAGAACGCGCCTCCTCACACTTGAGCGTCAGTTATAGGCTTCCTTGCAAGGTAATTACAAACTTTCAGCGACCCCTCTGTGACCGAGGTGGTTAAAAAACAAAATCCTCTTCCTGTTGGAAAAATCTGACTCATGTTCTATGCGGAGACAGTCACAAAAACAGGAGCTGCTCTTCATTTGATTTCGAGGCAAGAATTTGTTAAAAGGGTCACTTCGGTGCAAAGGCAACGGCAGCCGAAGAGAGTGCTGTACAGGAGGAGTGTGCTAAGGGCTCGAGGGAGTGACAGCTCTGTGGTTTTTGCTGGGCTGGAGAGGAGGCACGTCCATGGCTGCTGTCTACTACGGCAGTTTTACACATGTGACTTCAAGGAAGAGCAGCTCAGAGACCGTGGAAAGCCCAGCAGCCAAAGGCCACGGAGAACACGGGCCCTATTTCAGAGACAGAGCCGAGAAGATTATTCAATCCAGATTGGGCTATCTTCTGTGAGTTATAGCTGAAGCAAAATGCTGAAAATGAGTTTGTTTGGCATTCAGGCATTTAAGAGGCAGTGCAAGCCAAAAGGAAAATGGTCTGGTGCTGTGTTTCTAGCTGAACATCTGTATTTTATCTGGCGTCCAGATGATGACACGGTCCAGGGAGCCAAGAGTTAGAGCAGGCTTGATTCCCCAAATGATTCCACGTCCCTTCAACTGGACTACGCATTTTGCAAGCAGAAACCAGGCTTCAGTGGTTCCCTTTTGTCGAAGCACCACACCCACCCCTCCACATTTTCTACTATCACAATGTAATGTTTTTGAGGAGAGGGAGGAATTAGTGCATTTGGGGATTTTTCACTAATAGGGGATTGGGGACAGAGATGAGAGTGTTTCTCATGGCTGGACAAAAGCAATCAAGTCAACGACAGAGCTGTACTTTCCCATTCCCATGACCTATGAAATAAGACATGCAGACCATTAACACAGAGAAATAGCCATTTATTCACTAAGCAAGGTAAAGCTGTAGCTCAGCTTCCCCCAGCATAGTGTAAGCACTGAAATGGATAGTAAATGGGAAATGCATTCCATAAAGTCCTGGGAGTATTTGAGCCAATGCCTACAACCTTCTCCTGACTTCTTTTGCTTAAAAAAAACAGGATCGAGAGTGTAATAGGAGAGGAGAGGCTTCCAGAGAACAAGCACTAATTAGCCACACCTTTCAGATGATGGAAAGCAGATTGCAGTCATCCTGGGTCAATTCAGAGGAAACCCAGGCAAATTACAGAGTGTTTTTGAGAGGATATAGCTGCCTAGGTGGTACCAGAACGTTTTTCTGTTTCATTTTGGGTTTTGTTTTATTTTGTTTTTCAAACACAGATTCAGATTCAGGTAGGAAAGGTAAGATGACACACACTTCAATCCATTCCTTCACCCATGCTGCTCCCCAGTGGAAACAATAAGATCCTGTTTGCGTCTGAAGACTACAACCAACCCCATGAGCATCTATCAGCACAGGCTGGGAAAACACCCTTGAAATAAAAGTCCAGCTAGAGTTCCCTGAACTCCTCTTTTAATAAGGTGGCTAATCAGAATGAGAATGACAACAGTGAGAGAGCCACCATTCTTTGCCAACTGCCAACAAAGTGGGAATACCTCCTACCTAGTCTAAGGATGCAGATTCCTCCACCTATCAGACAATGCCTGACAAATCCTCCAGCTAAGACTAAGTAATCAAAGATTGTGCTCGACTCTCTGTTTTTTCAGCCACCAAAAAGTCACTGCACAAATGTATAGATCATCCCCAGACCCTCTCTCCTGGTCACTAGTATATTGTGACAATTATTTAGTGTCCCTAAATGGCAGGAATAAAACCAATATTCAAGGCCGGACGTGGTAGCTCATGCCTATAATCCCAGCACTTTGGGAGGCCGAGGCGGGTGGATCTCTTGAGGTCAGGAGTTCGAGACCAACCTGGCCAACATGGTGAAACCTCATCTCTACTAAAAATACAAAAAAAATTAGCCGGGCGTGGTGGTCAGTACCTGTAATCCCAGCTACTCAGGAGGCTGAGGTGCAAGAATCACTTGAACCCAGGAGGCAGAGGTTGCAGTGAGCTGAGATTGTGCCACAGCACTCCAGCCTGGGCAACAGAGAGACTCCATCTAAAACAACAACAACAACAAACGAACAAACAAAAATATATAATATTCGACAGGCTGCAAATGGCTTCAGCAGTGACTCAAGCATCACACAACCTTGGTGGAAAGGTTCAGGTATGGCAGACCACGGGCTTTGAAGGAAGATGATGGCTTCGGCTGGTTTCCTGAAGCCACTTTTGGGAATGGAAGCACTTTCCTCTGCTACTGTTAAACCATTTGGATTTTCTTAAGTGGTTTCCCCCGGTAGTGCTGGAGAGTCCTAGGAGTAATTTCTGCACATTTATCTTACCTCATATTTCCATCATTGATTAAAACAATGTTATAGCAGGTTCTAATTACATATTCTGCTGATAGTCTAATCTACAGAACACAGACATGGTGAATTAGCTTTGTGTTTGTGACCACATCCTAACAATTTATCACTAGCCTGTCTCTTGATCTTAATTCTAATCCTTGGGGAAAGACTGAAATCCCAGAGTTAGTCACAAACACTGAAAGTCACTCACATGTGAAAAAAAATAAATCGACTTCAGTAGTGGGAAGATACGTTGCCTAATAGTCACTGAACTTTAGAAAACTTCAAAGATGCCATGGAAATCTGATTTTTAGAGAGACTTTATAGATGTGTACAGCTGTCTCACTTAGAAATGAGTACACCATTTTTAGTTATTTAACCTACCAGAACACAGAGTGCAAAAAAACACATGGCACTGGGTAAGTAATTAACTGTTTGGCCAGTAGGACAAAGGAAGCATCTGTATCAGCTTGCCCAGATCGTTATATACTCAGGAGTTCTGGAAGTGGATTGTGAAACCATTGACAGCTTGAAATTAGCTATGGTGGGAGTATTTACACCACAGAAATTGGAAACACTACAAATCAGGTTTTTGGTTTTTCATTTTTCTAGAGACCTGTCTTACCAGCACACCATTATTTTGGCTTCTATCAAATTACTTCAGAATTCAAATTTATTGCTGAAAAATTCTAAAGCCTATGTCTACACCCTCTAGCAGATGCAGGCTTTAGGGCACAGCACACATGAATTCAAATCCCAGCTCTGTGTTTTGCTAGCTGTGTGACCTTCAGTGAGTTACTCATCCTCTCTGAGCCTGTGTCCTTCTCTGTAAAGTGAAAACATGAAACTGCCTCACACAAAGTCATTTTAAGAATGAAATGAGAAAATGTATATAAAGCTCTCAGGACACATATAACACAATAAAGTCTCGTCTACTCCCTAACTATTTGACTCGGTCCAGTTTTAACACTTGAAACACCAGTTTGCTTTGAAAGCAGCATTCCCTGGGTCACAAAAGAAAGCAATATTTGGGGCCATGCGCAGTGGCTCACACATGTAATCCCAGGACTTTGGGAAGCTGAGGTGGGCAGATCACTTGAGGCCAGGATTCAAGACCAACCTGGCCAACATGGTGAAACCCTGTCTCTACTAAAAATACAAAAATTAGCCAGGTGTGGTGGCACGCATCTGTAGTCTCAGCTACTTGGGAGGCTGAGGCATTAGAATCACTTGAACCTGGAAGGTGGAGGTTGCAGTGAGCCGAGATCACACCACTGCACTCCAGCCTGGGCAACAGAGCGCGACTCTCTCAAAAAAAAAAAAAAGAAAGAAAAGAAAGAAAGCCATTTGAGAGGGTATAGAGATAAACAGGGCTCTAAGGGAAATGGCCCTGGAAAAAAAGGCACCAGATAATGGTAAGTCGGGATACCTAATAGGCAGAATCCTGACTTAGCCAAGAATGTATACTCACAAAGATGTTGAGAGCAGCTTTACGATTTTAAAAAGAGAAGGGAACAATCTCAAAAATATAACAAAAGAAAAAAGCTAAATGAATTACCATCCATACAAATAAATATGCAAACCATTGAAAATGATGTTTACAGCTGGGCACGGTGGCTCATGCCTGTAATCCCAGCACTTTGGGAGGCCAAGGCAGGCAGATCACGTCAGTCCAGGAGTTTGAGACCAACCTGGCCAACACGGTGAAACCCCATCTCTACTAAAAATACAAAATACTAGCCAGGCATGGCGGTGCTTGCCTATAGTCCCAGCTACTTGGGAGGCTGAGGCAGGAGAATCGCTTGAACCTGGGAGCCAGAGGCTGCAACAAGCTGAGATGGCGCCACCGCACTCTGGCCTGGGAAACAGAGCAAGACTCCTCGTGGAAAAAAAAAATGATGTTTACAAGGAATGCTAATGACAAGAGAAAATACCTACGAGATTTATAGTGTTAAATGCAGTGTTCAGGGTCAGTCTTATGTGTACAGAAGCTATAAATGATGACACATCTATACATAGATGTAATTATACTCACACACTCAATATGAAGATGAGACATCCATGTACCACAGTATACACAGCAGACATTTCTGGGTGGTGGGTTTATAGGTGAAGTTTATCTTCTTTATCCTTTTTGCATTAAAAAAAAACTAAACACTTTTTTTTTTAATAAAAAAGAAGCTGTGTCCACTGCAAACCTATCTGTGGTGAAGAGCCTGCTGCAGGAGCGACGAAGGTGGAAAGTTCAAATCAAAAGAGGTAACAGGGAAATAGGGAGGCAACAATCACAGCAGCAGAGACTATCTCTGGAGATGGTCTCCGTGGAGAAATCACCCCAAGAAGCTGGGAGGCCAGAAGCAAATGGGGTGCAGAGATGCAGAGGTCATTAGAAAAAGTTGGAGACAGGAGGGGCAATAAACACAACATATCAGTGGGCACTCAGAGGGAAGACTGTGAGAAGTTCCGCAGTGGAGATTTCTGTAACAGATAAGGATATTCGTGACGAGCTAAATGGTCATGGCTGGCAGAGGCTATCAAGAAAAGCCTCTGTCCTTGCAGAACTTTAATAGGCTAAGGAAGCACCTCTGCCTTCCCAGTCACCGCAGCATTGTTTGAAATCACAAAGACTGGAAAAAACTAAGTGGTTACCAGCAGGAGATGAGAGAAATAAAGTCGATGTATTCATACAATAGAATACTATGGAGCCACCAAAAGGAAGAGGTTCTTTCTGTACTGATAAAGAATGATTTCCAAATATATTGCTTGTTTACTTTACAGGCAAGGTGATAAACCGTGTGAATAGATACAGCTTGTATGAAAAAGGGTGGAGAAGGGATTGGGAGAGAGACATCACAGTACATGCCTTTTCTCCATTTTGCACCATGAGTGAATTATGTATTAAATAAAAAATAAATACAATAAATGAACCCCTTGCTTTATATAGTTTAGCTACAGTCATTTCTGAAGAATGGACACTGCACTTTCTGGGTCAAAGTGGTTCTTTTTTTTTTTTTTTTTTTTTTTTGTGGTCCTGTCCAGTCTAGAATTTCCAAAGTTGGAAAAAGAGAAACTATGATCACGGTTAAAATTTACTTGTTGAGATTAAGTCCCCAATCTTTTATGATAAAGAACTCTTGCTGAGGAGGACTTTATGCCCTGCCCAGGCCTAATTGCTAAGTTAACTGCTTGTACAGATCTCCCTCTGGTGGACATATGAAGACATTACAGAATTTTATTTTATTTTTATTTGTTATTATTTTTTAAGGGACAAGGTTTCACCATGTTGTCCAGGCTGGTCTCAAACTCTTGGCTTCAAGCTATCCTCCCACCTTGGCCTCCCAGATTGCTGGGATTATAGACATAAGCCACCGTGCTTGGCTGACATTACAGAATTTCATACCAGGAGTATGCAGTAAAATACCAAATTGCCAGAACGTGAGATACATGTAATTATAAATATGTGCATATTTGTAGATATAGACATTAAAACTTATACAAATATGAGAAAATTGATGAAAACTCATGTCTTTATAAATATATTTTAGTATATACATGATAACATCAAAGGAAAATCAGCCTGAAGCCTGGACATAGAACATTGAAGATTTGCACGGTGTTCACTGTCTGATTAATATTGTTGCCTTATTATTCTTTGAACAACTGCTCTCAGCCATTCAGTGAGCATCTGACTATTAGCAACAGGATTGTTGCTTGCCTTTCGGCTGCCTTCTCTTTGGGGCTGAGTGATACTGCAGTTTTAAAAAGCCCTCGGGGACAGAATCGGTTACTTTGAGAGGCATGCGGAACACCTTTGTGACAATCCTGTGGCCAAGGTGGCTCTGCACAAGGCTAAATTCAGCCCTTAGCAGATGCCCCAGAGAGAATACATCAGTCAATCATCAGCTTTAATTAGTGTATTGGAAAACCAGGGGGCTGGCTGCAGTGGCTCACACCTGTAATCCCAGCGCTTTGGGAGACCAAGGCGGGTGGACCACCTGAGGTCAGGAGTTCAAGACCAGCCCGGGCAAAATGGTGAAACCCCATCTTTACTAAAAATACAAAAATTAGCCAGGCTTGGTGGCAGGCACCTGTAATCCCAGCTACTTGGGAGGCTGAGACCAGAGAATCGCTTGAACCTGGGAGGTGAAGGTTGCAGTGAGCCAAGATTGCACCACTGCACTCCAGCCTAGGTGATGGAGCGAGACTCTGTCTCAAAAAATAAAAGAAAGCCAGGGTAAATTTTTATCTCCAAGCTAGGAAAAAACCAACTACCCAGCCTGGCAGCCTAATCATTTATATCTCCATCTCCACCTGTATTTGCATCTATCCGCATATCTGTGTCTATCCATCCTATCTATGTATGTACCTTTCTATCATCTGTATTTGAATCTAGTTTCATCTATGGCAAGGCTCATCAGCTTTGTATCCATGATTGTCATCACAGAAGCTGAGCAGGCCACCCAGGTATGAAACCAGAGGGAAGGAAGAGGGGAGTAAAACAAGCCTCAGAAAGGGAGTGGAATGGTGGCAGGAGAGAATCAACAGGAAGCTGAAGGAACTACAATTTACTGCGCCCCTATGTTAAGCACTTGACACGTATTATCTCATTTAGTCTTCACAACAATCCTATAAGGGCAGAATTATTTTCTCTCATTTTAGAGACAAGGAAAGTAGGATTCTGAGAGTTTAATTACTGTATCCATGTGCCCCTATGTTAAGCACTTGACACGTATTATCTCATTTAGTCTTCACAACAATCCTATAAGGGCAGAATTATTTTCTCTCATTTTAGAGACAAGGAAAGTAGGATTCTGAGAGTTTAATTACTGTATCCATGTGCCCCTATGTTAAGCACTTGACACGTATTATCTCATTTAGTCTTCACAACAATCCTATAAGGGCAGAATTATTTTCTCTCATTTTAGAGACAAGGAAAGTAGGATTCTGAGAGTTTAATTACTGTATCCATGTGCCCCTATGTTAAGCACTTGACACGTATTATCTCATTTAGTCTTCACAACAATCCTATAAGGGCAGAATTATTTTCTCTCATTTTAGAGACAAGGAAAGTAGGATTCTGAGAGTTTAATTACTGTATCCATGTGCCCCTATGTTAAGCACTTGACACGTATTATCTCATTTAGTCTTCACAACAATCCTATAAGGGCAGAATTATTTTCTCTCATTTTAGAGACAAGGAAAGTAGGATTCTGAGAGTTTAATTACTGTATCCATGTGCCCCTATGTTAAGCACTTGACACGTATTATCTCATTTAGTCTTCACAACAATCCTATAAGGGCAGAATTATTTTCTCTCATTTTAGAGACAAGGAAAGTAGGATTCTGAGAGTTTAATTACTGTATCCATGTGCCCCTATGTTAAGCACTTGACACGTATTATCTCATTTAGTCTTCACAACAATCCTATAAGGGCAGAATTATTTTCTCTCATTTTAGAGACAAGGAAAGTAGGATTCTGAGAGTTTAATTACTGTATCCATGTGCCCCTATGTTAAGCACTTGACACGTATTATCTCATTTAGTCTTCACAACAATCCTATAAGGGCAGAATTATTTTCTCTCATTTTAGAGACAAGGAAAGTAGGATTCTGAGAGTTTAATTACTGTATCCATGTGCCCCTATGTTAAGCACTTGACACGTATTATCTCATTTAGTCTTCACAACAATCCTATAAGGGCAGAATTATTTTCTCTCATTTTAGAGACAAGGAAAGTAGGATTCTGAGAGTTTAATTACTGTATCCATGTGCCCCTATGTTAAGCACTTGACACGTATTATCTCATTTAGTCTTCACAACAATCCTATAAGGGCAGAATTATTTTCTCTCATTTTAGAGACAAGGAAAGTAGGATTCTGAGAGTTTAATTACTGTATCCATGTGCCCCTATGTTAAGCACTTGACACGTATTATCTCATTTAGTCTTCACAACAATCCTATAAGGGCAGAATTATTTTCTCTCATTTTAGAGACAAGGAAAGTAGGATTCTGAGAGTTTAATTACTGTATCCATGTGCCCCTATGTTAAGCACTTGACACGTATTATCTCATTTAGTCTTCACAACAATCCTATAAGGGCAGAATTATTTTCTCTCATTTTAGAGACAAGGAAAGTAGGATTCTGAGAGTTTAATTACTGTATCCATGTGCCCCTATGTTAAGCACTTGACACGTATTATCTCATTTAGTCTTCACAACAATCCTATAAGGGCAGAATTATTTTCTCTCATTTTAGAGACAAGGAAAGTAGGATTCTGAGAGTTTAATTACTGTAGCCATGTGCCCCTATGTTAAGCACTTGACACGTATTATCTCATTTAGTCTTCACAACAATCCTATAAGGGCAGAATTATTTTCTCTCATTTTAGAGACAAGGAAAGTAGGATTCTGAGAGTTTAATTACTGTAGCCATGTGCCCCTATGTTAAGCACTTGACACGTATTATCTCATTTAGTCTTCACAACAATCCTATAAGGGCAGAATTATTTTCTCTCATTTTAGAGACAAGGAAAGTAGGATTCTGAGAGTTTAATTACCGTATCCATGTGCCCCTATGTTAAGCACTTGACACGTATTATCTCATTTAGTCTTCACAACAATCCTATAAGGGCAGAATTATTTTCTCTCATTTTAGAGACAAGGAAAGTAGGATTCTGAGAGTTTAATTACTGTATCCATGTGCCCCTATGTTAAGCACTTGACACGTATTATCTCATTTAGTCTTCACAACAATCCTATAAGGGCAGAATTATTTTCTCTAATTTTAGAGACAAGGAAAGTAGGATTCTGAGAGTTTAATTACTGTATCCATGTGCCCCTATGTTAAGCACTTGACACGTATTATCTCATTTAGTCTTCACAACAATCCTATAAGGGCAGAATTATTTTCTCTCATTTTAGAGACAAGGAAAGTAGGATTCTGAGAGTTTAATTACTGTATCCATGTGCCCCTATGTTAAGCACTTGACACGTATTATCTCATTTAGTCTTCACAACAATCCTATAAGGGCAGAATTATTTTCTCTCATTTTAGAGACAAGGAAAGTAGGATTCTGAGAGTTTAATTACTGTATCCATGTGCCCCTATGTTAAGCACTTGACACGTATTATCTCATTTAGTCTTCACAACAATCCTATAAGGGCAGAATTATTTTCTCTCATTTTAGAGACAAGGAAAGTAGGATTCTGAGAGTTTAATTACCGTATCCATGGTTACCCTACCCTTCGGCGGCATAGCTGGGATCTGAAGGCAGGTGTGACTAGAGCGCCATCTATACCCGGCTGACTCTTAGGATGAGAAGAAAGAAGATGAAAGGCAGGAGAGGAAGGAAGGGAGAAAGGGAGGGAGGAGGTAATAAGGAAAATGGTAAGATGTCAACATTGATTGAGGGTCAGGGTCATTGAAATCCCACATTCTGAGCTAGAACTTCGTTTTCTAATTTTTTCCTGTGTGAGCCATGCTGATTTCTGAGCAATCCCTGAGCTCTAGTCAAGGTCTCCATATGTATTGACTGAGTGATGTCTTGAAGCTGTTCTGTCCTTGAAATTGTCCCATGGAGTTGCTGAGGTGACTTCCTGGGAAAGCCTGCCCATCAAATGCTGTTGGAGGGAAAGGGAGAAGGGAACACTTCCAATGTTTCCTTGGTTAATGGTATATTAACCTGGGACAACCTACTTATAGCCCGACCAACAAGAAAGCCTGTGAGTAGGGGATAATTTTGATGTTTAACAATGATTTGGGACAAACTTAAGATGAGATAAATTTAGGTTGCATAGCACAGTAGCTACTCTAAAGAACACAGTGACCCAAACATTGACCAATAATAAAATCTGATTTTCAAAGAACAAAAACAGAAAAAAAAAAGAAAAGAAGTTCCTCCACGAGAGGTACAATGAATTGTCAATTATCATCTTGGAGTGAAGAGAAATGGTCATCCGGCCGGGCGCGGTGGCTCACACCTGTAATCCCAGCAGTTTGGGAGGCTGAGGCGGGTGGATCACCTGAGGTCAAGAGTTCAAGACCAGCTGGTCAACATGGCAAAACCCCGTCTCTACTAAAAATACAAAAATTAGCTGGGCATGGTAGTGCGCACCTGTAATCCCAGCTACTTGGGAGATTGAGGCAGGAGAATCACTTGAGCCCAGGAGGCAGAGGCGGCAGTGAGCCAAGATCACACCACCACACTCCAGCCTGGGCTACAGAGTGAGACTCTGTCTCAAAAAAGAAAAGAAAAGAAAAGAAAAGGTCATCCAACAATCTTGGCAATAGAAGTGATTACCTTTGACTCATAAACTCATTCACAAGTGCATACACACAAATACAAACTCACTCCCATTTTTAACACACAAAAGAAGTAATTATGTGTTCAAATATCCCCACAGTATTTGAGGCTATCTTGTAGAATACCACATTCCTTGTGGTACCACACATTCGTGTGGTATCTTTCTTGATAATCAATTGCAAATGAAGGAGTAAGAGAAAAAAAAATAAATGAAGTCTACACAATGGCAATGAGCCAGTGCCAACAATCAGCTCATGTACAATCAAAAGGATTCCATCTGGGGCAGGAAAAGAGACTAGGTAACCCATGAGATCTTTTTCAGTACTGGAATCCTATGTGCCTATTCCAAGGAGAAGCCTGAACTGTTGTTTCTTTCTCATACAGATATTTTGAGAAAACTCCAGCCTTGTCATTCTTCTTGTAAAACCTGCAATGGATCTGCAACTCTGTGCACTTCATGTCCCAAAGGTTAGTGTGTTGCGTGACAGAAGATGGCAGCAGTCAAGCCAAGTCATTGAAACTCATGTGTAGTGGCATCTTGGTGTAAGGAGGTCTGTAAGGCCTTGATCTATTCCCATCACATGTTCCTATTACAGTGGCTACTCGGGAGACACACAGGGACCCAAACATTGACCAATAATAAAAACTGGCTTTCAAAGGACAATACAAAGAAGTGGTCAGGTACAGTGGTTCACACCTGTAATCCCAACATTTTGAGAGGCTGAGGCGGGAGGATTTCTTGAGCCCAGGAGTTTGAGATCAGCCTGGGAAACATAGTGAGACCCCATCTCTATAAAAATTTTAAAAATTAGCTGGGCATGGTGGCATGTCCCTGTAGTTCCACCTACTTGGGAGGCTGAAATGAAAGCATTGCTTGGTCCCAGGAGGTCAAGGCTGCAGTGAACCATGATCATGCCACTGCACTCCAGCCTGGGTGACAGAGCAAGACCTTGTCTTAAAAAAGAAAAAAGTTTCTTAATCTAAAGGCATGATGAAGAGGGAGGGAGGAAGGAATAAGAGCAGCAACATAACAGCTTGATAACTTATCAATTGCTTCATCTATAAAAACAAAAATCACAAATAACATAACTTCCCTGAATTAGGAGAATATTTTACTTAAATGGTACACTGACATAAAGAATGTTTAAGTGGGCTGGGCATGATGGCTCATGCCTGTAATCCCAACACTTTGGGAGGCTGAAGCAGGAGGATCACTTGAGGCCAGGAGTTGGAGACCTGCCTGGCCAACATGGCAAGTCCCCGTCTCTACTAAAAATACAAAAATTAGCCACATGTGTTGGCACATGCCTGTAATCCCAGGCTACGTGGGAGGCTGAGACATGAGATCACTTGAACCTGGGAGGTAGAGGTTGCAGTGTGCACTTCAACCTGGATGACAGAGCAAGACGCTGCCTCAAAAAAAAAAAAAAGAATGTTTACATGTTTCCATGATCATTATAAAGTCCACGTTGGAATGTACAATGTTAATAGTGGAATCTGATGCAAAAGCAGAAAAATTTACAATAATAGGCAAGCCACAATTATAATCATATAAAATATAAAAGGTTACACTCAAAAAGCTAAAGCATTTTCCTGGAATCTTGGGTGTGAGAGTGATTTTGAAAATTGGTTTTCTTAATGAGTATCAGTTGTTTTTCGATTGAAAAATAGGTGGATCCCCTGTTAAAGGGAGAGTTGGGTGGAAGAGTTGTAACTCTGGGCCGAGCCTGTAATGCCAGCACTTTAGGAGGCTGAAGCGGGCAGATTACCTGAGGTCAGGAGTCTGAGTCCCACCTGTCCAACATGGTGAAACCCCGTGTCTACTAAAAATACAAAAATTAGCCAGGTGTGGTGGTGCACGCCTGTAGTCCCAGCTGCTCAGGAGGCTGAAGTAGGAGAATCGCTTGAACCCGGGAGGCGGAGGTCGCAGTGAGCCAAGATCGCACCAGTGCACTCCAGCCTGGGAGATAGAGCAAGACTCCTTCTCAAAAAAAAAAAAAAAGAGTTGCAACTATGTTAGTGTCCTAACAAGATGGGCTTTGGGGAAGCAGAGTATTAATAGATTCCATCAAGCTGTGCATGTACAGCTGCCTTACACCAGGAAGACATAGAGAGTGTGTTAATAAGACTGATCAACTGGGCAAAAGGAAGCCCCATCATGACCTATACCTAATATCTGTAGGATAGGAAAGAAACAGGCAAAAGTCTCTTGCTGTCAATTGCCTTCTAGAAATGTAACTCATCCTGGAGGACTTAGCATCACTAGCAAATATTTTGGTAAGCCTGAAATAAGTGCCTGGATACTTTGGTCTTTGGAAAGCTTAAAAAAGCCATGTCTCTGCATGGAAAACCACATGATGACTATTCCCATCTTCCCTCTTCCCTGAATTTCTAGGTGCATATCTTCTGGCTCAGGCCTGTGTTTCCTCCTGTCCCCAAGGCACATGGCCTTCCGTAAGGAGTGGGAGCTGCGAGAACTGTACGGAGGCCTGTGCCATCTGCTCTGGAGCCGATCTTTGCAAAAAATGCCAGATGCAGCCGGGCCACCCTCTCTTCCTCCATGAAGGCAGGTGCTACTCCAAGTGCCCGGAGTAAGTTTCCTTTTTAATTTTACTTCCTGCTTGTAATCACTCTCCTCTGGTACTTTGGGAGCAATTCTTTCTTATTCACCAAAAAACTCTTCTCTGCTCTACGAGCACCCACATAAATGTCCTCTGTTGACTGACATGGGTGTGCGCCACAGCAGCCAAAACTTACATGAGGCCAGATGCCCACTTCTCCTCTGTGACTATTTTATGTATATATTTTTACTTTTATGAAAAATATGTTCAGGGGCTGGGCGTGGTGGCTCACACCTGTAATCCCAGCACTTCGGGAGGCTAAGGCAGAAGGATCGCTAGGAATTTGAGACCAGCCTAGGCAACATAGCAAGACTCCGTCTACAAAATATTTAAAAATTAGCCAGTGGGTGCTGTAGTCCCAGCTACTTGGGAGGCTAAGGTGGGAGGATTCCTTGAGCCCAGGAGATTGCAGTGAGCTGTGATTGCACCACTGTACTCCAGCCTGGATGACAAAGCAGGACCCTGTCTTTAAAAAAAAAAAAAAAATTATTTTCCCACCTTATATTAATGATCAACTGATGTCATGTTTTTTTTCCTCCATTACAAAAGTAAGGCTGTGATGTGCACCTCTTCTAAAGGTTTAAATAGGTGAGGCATGAATTATAGATAATAAATAACACCTGGTTAGTTATTTATTGATTCCTCCTGGTTTCCTTGGTCCCCTGGTTTGTAGTTGCTTTACTCTTCCTACCAATAGTCCCACCTCCAGAATTTACCTAGGAAGAAAGTGAGGAATAGCAAATGCAAGAGTACAGCAAGAAACTTTCAGCAATAAGCAACAGAAATGCCAAGTAAAATGACTGAGACATAACAGGGTTTATTATCTCACAGAACAAAAATGCTGCAAGTCCAGTATTGGTCACTTCAGCGGCCAACAAGGTCATCACAAAGTCTGGTTTTTCTGTTTCGCTCTTGTACCTTCCTTAGCTCATCCTCTCTGACTGGCACCGCTGCTGAGCCCACATTACGTGTCTCAGCTCCAGACACGGTCACCCCATGCAGCCACTACCAGGGCCAGGAAAGGGGATGTTTCCCCTTGTTTATCCTTTTCTTGAAGAAAAGAAAATTTCCTCAGATTTTTATTCTAATCTCAGTCGCAAGAATGCATCACTGATACCTCCCTAAATCAATCCCTGGCAAAAAGAATGGAAATATAGGAGTGGTTTAGGCTGAACAAGATTCACGCCTGAACATCCAAGCAACTCAGGACTCTGACAGCCAGGAAGAATGGAGAGAGGGAGGCAGGAAATAAATGTGCGGAAGTAACTGACAGTGTCTACTTTAAGGAGTTAGAATTTTCATTTGCCCTCTTATTAAAAGAATTTGATACAACAACGCCTATTTCCTGGCTGGGCGTGGTGGCTCACGCCTGTAATCACAGCATTTTGGGAGGCCAACCGGGAGGATCACCTGAGGTCAGGAGTTCAAAACCAGCCTGACCAACATGGAGAAACCCCATCTCTACTAAAAATACAAAATTAGCCAGGCATGGTGTCATATGCCTGTAATCCCAGCTACTCGGGAGGCTGAAGCAGGAGACTCGTTTGAACTCGGGAGGTGGAGGTTGTGGTGAGCTAAGATCACACCGTTATATTCCAGCCTGGGCAACAAGAGCGAAACTCCATCTCAAAAAAAAAAAAAAGCAAAAAAGCAAAACTGGCACCTATTTCCTAGTGACCTATTTGTTTTCATTACTGAGATAGACTCTATAGAGTATAAATATAAGTTATGAGTATAAATATAGAGTATAAATATAAGGTATTTACCCTCAAAAAGCATCCAATCTAGTGTAGAAAGCCAAGCATATTCAGCTCAACAACACAGATTTAGCACCAACTAGGGGTAAAAATTGATACTGATGCAATATCAATATATTGTATTGTATATGCGTAGCTCAGTGGAGTCTATTCTTCTACCAACAATTGATATTGATATTGATATTGATGTTGATATTGACACTGATATGGAAAGCTAAGTTAAGACCAACTCCAGGAAGTCCAAGTCTGCAAAAATGCTTACAATCCACTAAGGGAGGTTTACATCAGTCAATGTCATACTTCTCAGGGCCTTAATATACAAAGGGCTAAGAGATTCCAAGAGAAAAGAAAACATTTTAAATCACTATTTTTTGAATGCTTGCAACGTCCAGGTATTGTGCTAAGGGCTGTAAATGTATGATCCCATTAATCCTCACAAGAATTCTCTTATCCACTTACTATTATTTTCCCTCATTTGACCAATGAGGAAAAGAATAGCAGGCTCAATTTTACACATCAAATACATGGTGTGGCCAGAATTTGAACCCAAACCTCTCTGGCATTGAAGTCCATGTGCTTAACTATCACTCAGTGCTGCCTTCTTGTACAATTGAGTATTTTTTAAATCACAACTTTATTGAGATATAATTCACATACCATACAAATCACCCCTAAAAGTGTATAATTCACGGTTTTTAGTATATTCACAGAGTTATGCAACCATTACCACAATCAATTTCAGAACATTGTCATCAACCTAGAAAGAAACCCTATACCCTTTTAGCTGTTATTCCTACTTTTTCCATTTCCCCCAGCCCTAAGCAACCACTAATCTACTTTCTATCCCTGTAGATTTGCTATTCTTGGACATTTCCTATAAATGGGATTATATAAAATGTGGTCTTTGAGCCAAGCATGGTGGCCATGGTGCACACCTCTAGTCCCAGCTATCAGGAGCCCAAGGCTGGAGAATTGCTTGAGCCCAGGAGTTCAAGGTCAGCCTGAGCAACATAGCAAGACCCTGTCTCTGAAAACAAAAACAAAACACATAAAACAAAAAAGACAAAACATGTTTTTTTCTGACAGACTTTTTGACTTAGCATAATGTTTTCCAGCTTCATCCCCAGCTGGGTATTTGAGAAAAGGCTTGATGGTCCCTAGCTCTTGAAGGATTTTGTCAAGCAGAGAGTGGAGAAAGGGTAGCAAAGGGTCAGAGTAAGAGAACCCAGGTGAGAAGTCAGGTTTGGAAACTCCCAGTCCTCCTCCCCTATCAACCGAGCTCCACCCCAGCAAACTCAGCCAAGTGTTACAATAAAGCAAAGGTGAAAGAGATTTGCTTACCAGAGTCAGTCATTGCTTCCTCAGTGGTAGGATTGAACTGGTTGTCATTATTATTGCCTTATTTATTTAATCATTACCTTTTTCAACTCTCTCTTGGATTCTTTGAGTGTTCCAGGAATTGACAACACATTAAAACAAGGAAGAAAGAGATGCATTTTGCTTTACTCAAGTTAGTTGACCGCTTAATGTATTTTACCTCAGAGTCTGGGTTGAACCATTTTCATGGAGCAATGGGACACTACGCAGACATGCAGCAGTCAAGATAGTCTGTATTTCTTGAGCAGTAGGAAAGCTACCAGCATGGCCTAGGAATATTGCAGACTATAGAATTGCAAGCATATGCCCTCCTGTTATGGGTAGGGTGATCTGATTATAGCGGAATCCCTCATCTTTGTGTTTAAACACACACAAAAAAAGAAAACTAACAACAGAAGACACAGAGTCTGAGGAACACATAATATCCAGTTTATCTTGGGAAGCTTTATTGCTGTTTCTGAGAAATCACCCTTTTGGGTGTGATCCATCCTAGAACAGCAATAAGATTTATAACAGGAACATAACCTGCAATGACACAGCATCCAGATATTCAGAGTTATTTATAAGTTAGCATTTAGTGGCCCCTGCTTTTTCAAATATAGTACATGTTCATGAAAAAAAAAAGTGTTTGTTTTTTTTGAGACCAAGTCTCTCCCTGTTGCCCAGGCTGGAGTGCAATGGCGCGATCTCGGCTCACTGCAATCTCTGCCTCCCAGGTTCAAGCAATCATCCTGCCTCAGCCTCCCGAGTAGCTGGGATTACAGGCGCATGCCACCACACCTGGCTTATATTTTTTTCTATCTTTTGTAGAGATGGGGTTTCACCGTGTTGGCCAGGCTGGTCTCGGAACTCCTGACCTCGTGATCCGACCACCGTGGCCTCCCAAAGTGCTGGGATTACAGGCATGAGCCGCCACGCTAGGCCAAAAATAGGTTTTAACAGTAACGTATTTTTTTTTTTCTGAGATGGAGTTTCACTCTTGTTGCCCAGGCAATGGCGCCATCTCAGCTCACTGCAACCTCTACCTCCCAGGTTGAAGCAATTCTCCTGCCTCAGCCTCCCAAGTATCTGGGATTACATGCATCCATCACCACGCCCAGCTAATTTTTTGTATTTTTAGTAGAGATGGGGTTTCACCACGTTGGCCAGGCTGGTCTTGAACTCCTGACCTCAGGTGATCCACCCACCCTGGCCTTTCAGAGTGCTGGGATTACAGGCATGAGCCACTGTGACAGTAACATATATCATTACAGTAGTTGTTTAAAAAGCAACAGAAAACTTAAGGTGGACTCACATTCACCAAATGTGAACAGATTTGAAGCTCTGTTGAAGAAAAACAGCCTTCCTTTAAGTGCTGCTGGTCACTGTCTTGGTGTCTGTGAAATGGAGGTGAAGGCCCAGGACCACACAGCTTTCACAGGACATGGATTTATCTGAGCTGAAAGACTTCAACATTAAGTACTTTGAATTTAACGATTTAGTACATGCAACCATTTCTTTTCAAAAGAAATATTCGTCTTCTTAAATAAAATAATTGTGAAATAAAGCACTAAGAAAAACAGTTTTATAAATGCAGAGACAGGAAAGGAGAACCAACTCCCAGGCAGATCTGTGTGGAGAAGACTACTTTTTTTTTTTTTTTTTTTTGAGACAGAGTCTTGCTCTGGAATGCAGTGGTGCAATCTCAGCTCACTGCAATTTCTGCCTCCCAGGTTCAAGCGATTCTTCTGCCTCAGCCTCCTGAGTAGCTGGGATTACAGGCGCCCACCATCAAGCTCGACTAATTTTTGTATTTTTGTAGAGACAGCATTTCGCCATGTTGGCCAAGCTGGTCTTGAATTCCTGACCTCAGGTGATCCACCCATCTGGGCCTCCCAAAGTGCTAGGATTACAGGCATGAGCCACTTCAAGGGTTTTTTTTTTTTTTTTTTTTTTTGCTTTTTGCTTGAATCCATTTCTTTCATTTCAGCATCTCATCCAACATCCACTGAACCTCTTCTGAGAGGGATCTGAAAAAGATTTATTCGTGTTGCGTCTTTTTAGCTCTGTATTAGCATTCATCATCTTCAGTGTCCAGAAACTATTCTCTGCAGGTCTTGGCCAGGCCTAGCATTGAGATTCCCTGGAGGTGGGCCTGATCTTACAAAGCTCCCCTCCTTTAAACACAGAGTGGATCATTGTGGCAAGCCAGTTCCCACCTTAAGTTTACAAGATGTGGCTGGCCCCACTCTGAGTCATCCCAGTACCAACTCTCAGGTGTGGCAAGAGAGACCCATCATGAATAACAAAGACACCCCTAACTCTTAGGAAATTCCAAAGGTTTTGAGGTTAGCCGAAGAGAAAGACCAGACCTCTCTTTGGGTGAGGTCAAATTCTTTACTATGCTTACAGGAACAATGAATCCATCAAATTTTCATTCGATTAGAAGATGTGATTGGTAAGGTACACCTGTAATCCCAGCACTTTGGGATGCCATGGTGGGCGCACTGCTTGAGGCCAGGAGTTTGAGACCAGCTTGGGTAACATAGTAAGACCCCCATCTCTACAAAAAAAAAAAGATAAAAATTTAAAAATTAGCCCAGTGTGGCGGCACACACCTGTAGTCCTAGCTACTCAGGAGGCCAAAGTGGGAGGATCACTTGAGCCCAGCAAGTCGAGGCTGCAGTGAGCCATGATCACACCACTGCACTCTAGCCTGGGCAACAGAGCCAGACCTTGTCTCACCAAAAAAAAAAAAAAAAAAAAAAAAAAAAGAATGTGATCTATTTAAGAATGCACTAAATTTCCTTAATTTCAAATTTCTCAAATCTGATCAAACTGCTGGTGGGCATATAACACATTGCCTGTCTTGTTCAATTCATTTTTAAGAGATAGACTTTGTTTGAGCAAAGTAGCTGAGTCTTTCTTCTTCAAGTGTTCTCTGTCATGGTCAAAAAAAAGCTAAGGGTACTACTGTGTGAGAAAGCTCAATCTTAGCTTTTATCTGGATGCTATTTCTTTCTCTCTCTTCTACCTAGACTGCTTTCTTCTCCAATTTTTCTTACCTGAAACTATATCAGAAATATGACTTTTTGGCTGGGCACAGTGGCTCACACATGTAACTGGGAGGCCAAGGCAGGCAGATCACTTGAGGTCAGGAGTTTGAGACCAGCCTGGCCAACATGGTAAAGCCCCATCTTTACTAAAAAAATACAAAAATTAGCCAGGCATGGTGGTGCATGCCTGTAGTCCCAGCTACTCAGGAGGCTGAGGCAGGAGAATCACTTCAACCCAGGAGGTAGAGGTTGCAGTGAGTTGAGATCACGCCACTGCACTTCAGCCTGGGTGACAGGGCAAGACCCTGTCTCAGACAAAACAAAACAAAGAAATGTGACTTCTGTTCACCCCTGCCCTATTTCTTCCTGGAACACTCAATATATTTTTGTTTACTGAATGCATACAGTAAATAAATGACTGAAAGAATGATTAAACGTGTGAGTGCTGATTAATTAAAACACCAAGTAAAAATGCTGCGTAGCAGCGGATCCCTTCCTGGCTTGTGATTTAAAGAGGTCTCTGGTAGATTGGGTTATTTGTTGCAGTTCTTCGCCACTCCTCGTATTCATGCCCACTGCCTGCAACTTTGCACCAACTCCACTAGAGGTGAAATGGACTTCCTTGTCCCTTGACTTTGGCTGGGTTATGTGATTTGTTTTGGCCAATGACATGTTAGCAGAAGAAAGGTGGAGGCATAAAATGTGCCCGATTGAACTTGCCCTTCTACGCGTTTGTCATGGCTGTGAGAAGAACGTCCCCTGGTAGTCCCGGTAGCCAGGGAAAATAGAGGAATGTGAAGGCATGGACCCAGTGTGTAGCCTGGAGTCAAGCCTGCCAAGCCCAGCCTAGATCTGCTTCCCCACACACATGAGTGAGAGTAAATGATTGTTGTTTTAAGCCACTGAGTTTTGGGTTGGGATGGTTTGTGGCACAGCAATATTATGGCGCTAACTCACTAATGGATCATGATAGAAAGCAATTGGAATAGGTACCTATGACATCAGAAGTCCATTTTCTCTAAGCCGGCTTATGGTTCTTCCTCTTCCGCGAGTTCCAGCTCTTCCATTCAGCTTTTCCCACCAAAGAAACCTCATCTAAGTTCATGTCTTTTGCAGGGACATGGACGAAGCTGGAAACCTTCATTCTCAGCAAACTAACACAGGAACAGAAAATCAAACACTGCATGTTCTCACTCATAAGTGGGAGTTGAACAATGAGAACACATGGACACAGGGAGGGGAACATCACACACCAGGGCCTGTCGGAGGGTAGGGGGCAAGGGGAGGGAGAGCATTAGGAGAAATACCTAATGTAGATAGATGATGAGTTGATGGGTGCAGCAAACCACCATGGCACATGTATACCTATGTAACAAACCTGCACATTCTGCACATGTACCGCAGAATTTAAAGTATAAAAAAAAAAGAAAAAAGAAAAAAAAGAAACCTCATCTATCCATCCCTCATCTCCCAAATATATTTGAGAGGATTGGGGTTGTATATTTTACTGTGTTCCCCCACCAGTGAGTGATTTCTACAATGGGATAGTTTAATCACTGGGGTTCTATATACACAGACATAAGATTCCGCCTGGAAGAAGGTGATTTGCACAAACACGCTGGTACTCAAAATATGTTTAGTGCTGTGTGCAAATGTTCATATGTATGCATTTGAAAAAAGTCATCAGAGGTTGGTTGACAGCATCCAGTGGTTCCAATCTTACAGGGCATTAACCCTTTTGAGTCTTTTGGAAATTTTTATTGTTTATTAAATGTTTTTAAAATTTATTAATTGAATAAAAAATATTTTCCACTTTAAAGTTAGGCTCTAACAAAAAGAAAAAAATAATAAAACTTGGGTCACATAGGGAAAAGAGAAGATGACTAAACTATACACAAATTAACAACAATTGTTCTCAAACCAATCAAATTCACAAGAATATGAACCCCAAATATCTGAGGCAGGTCTCAGTCAATTTAGGAAGTTTATTTTGCCACAGTTGAGGACACATGCCCATGACAGCCTCAGGAGTTCCTGATGACATGTGCCCAAGGTGGCCAGGGCACAGCTTAGTTTTATACTTTTTAGGGAGACATGAGACATCAATCAATATATGTAAGATGTACATTGTAGGCCGGGCGCGGTGGCTCACGCCTGTAATCCCAGCACTTTAGGAGGCCAAGGTGGGCGGATCACGAGGTCAAGAGATCAAGACCATTGTGGGCGGAGGATTACCTAGGTGCCGAGGCAAGAGACTGAAGGCACAAACTGTTTCAGTATAATAAAGAAAATAGTTAGAATAAGAATAGTCATAATACAAATTAGATATAGAGATGATCATGGACAATTATCAATCATTATTAATCATTAGCTTTTAATATTACTCTTTGTTGCATTACTAATATAACCTAGGAATAACCGGCAGGTATAGGGTCAGGTGCTGAAGGGACATTGTGAGAAGTGACCTAGAAGGCAAGAGGTGAGCCCTCTGTCACGCCCACATAAGGGCCGCTTGAGGGCTCCTTGGTCGAGCGGTAACGCCAGTGTCTGGGAAGGCACCCGTTACTTAGCAGACCGCGAAAGGGAGTCTCCTTTTCTTGAGGGAGTCAGGGAACACTCTGCTCCACCAGCTTCTTGTGGGAAGCTGGATACTATCCAGACCTGCCCGCAGTCATCCGGAGGCCTAAACCCCTCCCTGTGGTGCTGTGCTTCGGTGGTCACACTCCTTGTCCACTTTCATGCTCCTCCTGCACTCCTGGTTCCTCTTTGAACTTCATAGTAGATAGCGGTAGAAGAAATAGTGAAAGTCTTAAAGTCTTTGATCTTTCTTATAAGTGCAGAGAAGAAAACGCTGACGTACACTGCCTTCTTTCTCTGCTTCGGCTACCTAAAAGGGAAGGGCCCCCTATCCTGTAATCACGCGACTTGCTTCACCTTGTCAATCACTTAGAAGGTTCACTCTCCTTACCCTGCCCACTTGTCTTGTATGCGATAAATATCGGCGTGCCCAGCCATTCGGGGCCACTACCGGTTTCCGCATCTTGATGGTAGTGGTCCCCCGAGCCCAGCTGTTTTCTCTTTATCTCTTTGTCTTGTGTCTTAATTTATTACAATCTCTCGTCTCCACACACGGGGAGAACACCTGCTAATAAGCACCGTAGGCTGGACCCTACAGACCATCCTGGCTAACACGGTGAAACCCCGTATCTACTAAAAAAATACAAAAACAATTAGCCAGGCATGGTGGCACGCACCTCTAGTCCCAGCTACTCAGGAGGCTGAGGCAGGAGAATCGCTTGAACCTGGGAGGCAGAGGTTGTGGTGAGCCAAGATCGTGCCATGCACTCCAGCCTGGGTGACACAGCAAGACTCTGTCTCAAAAAAAAAAAAAGAAAAAAAAAAAGTACATTGTAGCTTTTTTTTTTTTTTTTTTTTTGAGACAGAATCTCGCTCTGTTATCTAGGCTGGAGTGCAGTGGAGTGGCACAATCTTGGCTCACCTCAACCTCTGCCTTCCTGGTTCAAGCAATTCTCCTGTCTCAGCCTCCCGAGTAGCTGGGACTACAGGCGCAAGCCATCACACCTGGCTAATTTTTATATTTTTAGTAGAGACTGGGTTTTGCCATGCTGGCCAAGCCAGTCTCAAACTCCTGATCTCAGGTGATCCACCCACCTCAGCCTCCCAGAGTGCTGGGATTACAGGCATGAGCCACCCTACCCAACCCATTGTAGCTTTTTAAAATCTTAGTAACTATCTGGTTTTTGGTTTTGTTTTTTTTTTTTTAAGACAGAGTCTCACTCTGTCACCAGGTTGGAGTGCAGTGGCATGATCTCGGCTCACTGCAGCCTCTGCCTCCCGAGTTCAAGTGATTCTCCTGTCTCAGCCTCCCGAGTAGCTGAGACTATAGGCGTGCACCACCACACCCAGCTAATTTTTGTATTTTTTAGTAGAGACAGTGTTTCACCATGTTGGCCAGAATGGTCTCGATCTCCTGACCTGATGACCTGCCCACCTCGGCCTCCCAAAGTGCTGGGATTACAAGCGTGAGCCACCACACCCGGCCAGTTAGCTATCTTTTTAAGGAATAGCGTGGGAGGCAGGTTTACCCTAAGCAGTTCCCAGCTTGATTTTTCCCTTTGGCTTAGTAATACTGGGGTCCCAAGATTTATTTTCCTTTCACAAGAATAATGCTTGTCCTTTTCCTTCCATTTTTCTGAATGTTCTTTTCACTTCCTTATAAATCCCATGGATGCCTCTCAGCTGACGACAGCAGCAGCCCTTTTGTTTTTAGACCTAATTCCTTTTCCCCAGGAATGAGTCACTTCTCCAGCAGGTCAGCTTCTCCAGTTGCACTCTGTCTTCCTTCCACAGGGGCTCTTATGCAGAAGACGGCATATGTGAACGCTGTAGCTCTCCTTGCAGAACATGTGAAGGAAACGCCACCAACTGCCATTCTTGTGAAGGAGGCCACGTCCTGCACCACGGAGTGTGCCAGGAAAACTGCCCCGAGAGGCACGTGGCTGTGAAGGGGGTATGCAAGCATTGCCCAGAGATGTGTCAGGACTGCATCCATGAGAAAACATGCAAAGGTACCTAGGAGCTTCCCACAGGAGAGCAAGGCTCTGCTGAGCCACCAGTTGGGGGCCGATTATCTGAGGGTGGATGGCAAAGAGCTGTGGGAACCAGTCTCCCTACCATTCCTGAAAGGTATGTCTCTGTGCCTGTCATCAGAGAAACTGAGGGTGAGATACACCCTTTTCATTATGGATGCTGCAAGTTAAGACAAGCAAGAGCCCCTTTTTGCATGATCTCTTACACTCACCCCCATATGTACACACACAGCAGATGTGCAAGTGCTATCCTAGGTGCTAGAGGTACAGAGAAGAACCCAATGTTCTCATCTTTTTTTTTTCCTTGAGATGGAGTTTCACTCTTGTTGCCCAGGCTGGAGTGCAATGGCTCAATCTCAGCTCACTGCAACTTCTGCCTCCCATGTTTAAGCGATTCTCCTGCCTCAGCCTCCAGAGTAGCTGGGATTACAGGCACGCTCCACCACGCCGGGCTAATTTTAACATTTTTAGTAGAGACGAGGTTTCTCCATGTTGGTCAGGCTGGTCTCAAACTCCTGACCTCAGGTGATCCACCGTCCTCAGCCTCCCAAAGTGCTGGGATTACAAGCGTGAGGCACCACGCCCAGCTGTTCCCATCTTTTGGAACACAAAATCTTACAGACTGATAGTAAGCCACAAAACACAGAGGTAGCTAGAAAACTGCAGTTGTTAAAAAGGATAGGAAAGAAAAGTTCGGGCAACTATGACTGAGATGACCACTCTGGCTGTGAATGAATTTTGTTGTTTTTTTCCCTCAGGAATTATCTCCCCCAAAAAGCTGTTCAATTTTCTCTCCAGAATAAGACAGACTCATTTAACTGGTGCTGTCCTATCCAAAGTATTCTCTTGGTGTGACCTCAAGTGTTTCCCAGGATTCCCCCCAAAGTAAGAAAATGAACACAAAAAAAATAAACCCGCAATGTATTCTTCACACTGATCAATCCTGTATTCATTGTTGTACCTGATCAATGAATGAAAAGTTAACTAATCCAACCATTCCTAAACTGCTTTCTGTGTTGAAAACAGTGTGAGGTTCTCAATACAATTTTTTAAATCTGTTAATGCTCTTCGGGTTTTTCAAACAATACCGCCAGCCTCTCAGCCATCCCTGTCTTTTGCAGCATTGCAAATTTTTGCACTGCACCTCCAAAGGGCAGACCATTTCATTGTGTAAGTCCAGCACCATCTAATACGGTCACCATGTGTGGCCTCCTTGTCCCAAGGCAGGGCTTGTTAGACATCAAGTCTATGCCCTGGCAGGGTGGGTAAAGGGCAAGCATACTCTCAGGTCAAATCAACCAAAGTGCTGAGGGAGGAGCTAGCCTACTGCAGACAATGAATTCCTTTCTCCTACCCCCCGGGGATAACTTGCTGCTTCCTCCTTTTCCCAGAGTGCACGCCTGAGTTCTTCCTGCACGATGATATGTGCCACCAGTCCTGTCCCCGTGGCTTCTATGCAGACTCGCGCCACTGTGTCCCCTGCCATAAAGACTGTCTGGAGTGCAGTGGCCCCAAAGCCGACGACTGCGAGCTCTGTCTTGAGAGTTCCTGGGTCCTCTATGATGGACTGTGCTTGGAGGAGTGTCCAGCAGGAACCTATTATGAAAAGGAGACTAAGGAGTGCAGAGGTAAAGACTTCTGGGATTCAAAATAGGCTCCGGGGTTTGCATAGTTCCAGCCCCAGCCCCAGCGCCAGAGCTGTCATCTCAATCTTTTTTTTGTTGTGTTTTGTTTTTGTTTTGGGACAAGGTCTCCCTCTATTGCCCAGGCTCAAGTTCAGTAGCACGAACATGGCTCACTGAAGCCTCCGCCTCCTGGGCTCAAGTGATCCTCCCACCTCAGCCTCCAGAGTTGCTGGGAACATAGAGATGAGGTCTCAGAATGTTGCCTAGGCTGGTCTTGAACTCCTGGCTTCAAGCAATCCTCTGCCTTGGGCTCCCAAAGTGCTGGGATTACAGGTGTGAGTCACCATGACCAGTCCATCTCATCCTTTACCATCTCACTCAAGGAGGCATATTTTGAACCGGTTGTAAATAATCTTTAAATGAATCACTCATAAGCTTTGTACAGGTAACTTTTATTAGTGACAAATCACGTGGACCTTCCTCACAACAGTGGCTATGAACTGCTGGTCAAAAGAAGTTATCATATAAAGATTTACAGCAGAGAGGAGGAGCCTTCAAAAGCTACCTGAGACTTTTCTTGATAACACAAGCAAATTGTGACACCATAAGGGACTTTCTTGGTGCCTCTTGTCTCCCTTCCTGGGTGATTTTTTTTTTTTTTTTGAGACAGAGTCTCACTCTGTTGGCTAGAGTGCGGTGGCACGATCTTGGCTTACTATAACCTCTGCCTCCTGGGTTCAAGCGATTTGCCTGCCTCAGGCTCCTGAGTAACTGGGACTACAGGCGTGTGCCACCACGCCTGGCTAATTTTTCTATTTTTAGTAGAGAGGGGGTTTCACCATGTTGACCAGGCTGGTCTTGAACTCCTGACCTCAAGTGATCCACCTGCCTCGCCCTTCCAAAGTGCTGGGATAATAAGCGTGAGCCATGGCGCTCGGTCCATATTTTGTTATTGTTGTTCTTGAGATGGAGTCTCACTCTGTTGCCCAGGTTGGAGTGCAGTGGCATGATCTCAGCTCATCGCAGCCTCCACCTCCTGGGTTCAAGTGGTTCTCCTGCCTCAGCCTCCTGAGTAGCTGGGATTATAGGTGGCTGCCACCACACCTAGCTAATTTTTGCATTTTTAGTAGAGACAGGGTTTCACCATGTTGGCCAGGCTGGTCCTGAATGCCTGATCTCAAGTGATCCGCCCACCCTGGCCTCCCAAAGTGCTGGGATTACAGGTGTGAGCCACCGCGCCCAGCCTCCCTTCATGGTTTGCTCCCTGGAAGCTCCCCACCTTCCTCTTCATATCCTTCAATTCCTGCTCCAAGGTCCCCATTTCCACTCCCACTCAGTCCCTGCATGTTCAAGAAAGGATCTGCTATTATTTATACCTCCTTATGTTTTAACTCGGCATGAATCATTTGCCTCTTATTCATTATCAAGGAACAGAAAAATAAAATAAGTTATGCACTCTAGAATTCTCTAGCAAGTGAGAGAAATGTTGTGGGGCGGGGGCTTTTCTAGAGCCCAGGATTCACTCTGTTGAGGCAGCCTGAGGTCCTTCACCCCCACATGTCGCCCCCAAGCAAACACGACAAGATAGATGTCCAGAGGCAATTCCCCTAACAACCGCGAGAGCCTGAGAGTGACCTTCCACTGAGAAACCCTGGGACACCCACACCCTAGGACATACTGAGGGGAAGGTTTTTAGTAGGACACGAAGATGTGTCTCGGTCCTGAAGGCTTTCTGCTCCAGCCTTGTGCTGTGGATATGTCTTTTTGTGTGTTTTATATAAAGCACTATTTAGTGTTAATGTCCTACCTGCCCATATGTGAAAAGGCGTGGATGTCAAGGCTGTGTCCGCATGCAGAAGAGGCGGGTGTTCGTGTGGGAGGCAGGCTGTGGAGCTGGGAATGGCTTCTGGGAGGTGAGAGACTCAGCAGCAGGCCTCCAGCGCCATCTTGCCTCTGCGAGGGCAGGAACTGAGGTTCAACTTCTGGCCTTTCTCTGGTGTTGAATAATGAAAGTAATTTACCATACAGAGAGCTTTACAGGTCTCAGAGTATGTTTTCTTAATTTATCTGATTTAATTATCTCCTTGAGAAAGGCCCCTGGTTGCCCATTAGAATCACCTGGGCAGCTCTTAAAACCACAGATGCCTGCACCCAACATTCTAATTCCTTCTCCCACCACCAGTAATTCTGATGCTTAGTGTGGGTTGAGAGCCATTGAGGTAAATGGCAATTTTCTGCATTTTTCTGAGAAGGAAACAGATGCTTTGAGAAGTTAAGCACTTGCTCAATGTGACCCCACTAGTGAGGACAGAGTTGGAAACTCACTTGAGGTGTCTCCCTACAATGACATTGCACTTTCTTTTTTTTGAGACGGAGTTTTGCTCTCGTTGCTGCCAGGCTGGAGTGCAATGGCGCGATCTGGACTCACCACAACCTCCGCCTCCCTGGTTCAAGAGATTCTCCTGCTTCAGCTTCCCGAGTGACTGGGATTACAGGCATGTGCCACCACACCCAGCTAATTTTGTATTTTTAGTAGAGACAGAGTTTCTCCATATTGGTCAGGGTGGTCTCGAACTCCTGACCTTAGGTGATCTGCCCGTCTCTGCCTCCCAAAGTGCTGGGATTACAGGCGTGAGCCACCATGCCCGGCCGCCATTGCACTTTCTACCAGACCAAAGGGAGGGGAAGGAATGTGGTATTGGAAGAAACAGTGACAACCTGACTTTCCAGAGAGATAATACAAAGAACCTGATCTGAAAATTAAGATTTGGGGAAGTGTAGAGAAGCGTTTAGAATGGAGCAATCTCAGCCGGACACGGTGGCTCACATCTGTAATCTCAACAACACTTTGGGAGGCCAAGGCAGGAGGATCTCTTGAGTCCAGGAATTTGAGACCAGCCTGGGCAACATAGCAAGACCCTATTTCTAAAACAAAAATAATTATACAAAAATTAGCCAGATGTAGTGGTGTGTGCCTGTAGTCCCAGCTACTCAAGAGGCTGAGATGGGGGGATCACTTTAGCCTGGGAGGTCAATGTTTCAGTGAGCCATGATCACACCACTGCACTCTAGCCTGGGTGACAGAGCAAGAACCTATAGCAAAAAAAAGAAAAAAAAATCTGTAAGCAGGATCTTCTCTAAGAAACACAAGGACTTTGGATCCATTCCAATCACCCAGATTATCCTGTAATAGATAGTACAGACACCTCTAAAAGTCCCATACCTTTCCTGAAGCACTGGAGCAGAAGCAGCAAGGCAGTTGCTAAGGTCCTGGGCTCAACTCCTGATACTACTTAGCGTAAGTGACTTAGCATCTCCAGCCTCAATTTCCTGATTTAGATAAAATGAGAGGATAATATAAACAATAATAATACCATGCATGTATCCACCCAGGGAATGCTTACAGGGGGGCCTGCTATGTGCCGTGTGCTCTTTCAGGTCTGGGGAACAGCAGGGAGTGAGACAGAGTCCCTGCCCTCATGGAGCTCACATTCTGTTAGGGAAGACAGGTACTAACGACCATAAGCCAAGAGCAAAAATAAGGCAGAGGTGCAGGACAGGGAGATAGGCAGGATGGAGATAAAACTTGAGAGATGTCTTAGATTTCATTGAGAAAGGCAGGAAGCAAACCATGCATGCCTCTGGGAGAAGAGAATTGCAGGCAGACAGAATGGCAACTACTAAATCCCAGAGATGGTCGGCCTGGTGCAGTGGCTCATGCCTGTAATCCCAGCCCTTTGGGAGGCCAAGGCAGGAAAATCACTTGAGGCCAGGAGTTCAAGACCAGCCTGGGCAGCAAAGTGAAGGCCCATCTCTATTTTTTTTTTTTTTTTTTTCCTGAGACAGGGTCTCACTCTGTCACCCAGGCTGGAGTGCAGTGGTGCAATCACAGCTCACTGCAGCCTTGACCTCCTGGGCTCAGGAGATCCTTCCACCTTAGCCTCCTGAGTAGCTGGGACTACAGGCACCCGCCACCATGCCCAGCTAATTTTTGTGTTTTTTCTAGAGACAGTGTCTTGCCATGTTGCTCAGGCTGGTCTCGAACTCCTGGGCTCAAACAATCCATCCACCTTGGCCTCCCAAAGTGCTAGGATTACAGGCGTAAGCCACTGCACCCAGCCCCCGTCTCTAGTTAAATACAGAAAAAGAAAACCTAGAGGTGGAAGATAATTGTTATTTTCTTTTTTTAACAAATACTTATCGATTCCTATTACATGCCAGGCCCTCTCATAGGCACTATGTATTCAAAAATAAATGCAAAAGGGACCTTTATTTGTCAACAGACAATTAAATACATTCCAACAATTGCTGTATTCGTGATAAGCTCAAGGTACTCCGGAGGTGAGTGGAGGACCATAACAGTAGGTGTTGTGACGGTGGAAAATTCGATGCCATTACAGAATGGCTTGTTATTATTTTGTTGCAGTTTGGGTAATTATAGTGAGCCTTACTAATATTTCTGAGATGGCTATTGCAGGAAAGCCCTCTCTGGATACAACAGAGAAAATAAAATAATAATTTTCTCTCATTTTGCAAAAGAATGGTCCACCCCAGAGCTCAAGGGCTGTACTCAACTCATGGCCCCACACCATTGGCCCAGAGCTCTGGAAATCTCCGGAAGAAATGTGAAAGGAATGTGAAGACCCTTTCCCAGGGGAAGCCATTCCCACGAGGGCCACCCTGGCTCTCGCTCACTCTGTCTGCTGCCCCTCCACGCCCACAGATTGCCACAAGTCCTGCTTGACCTGCTCATCATCTGGGACCTGCACCACCTGTCAGAAAGGCCTGATCATGAACCCTCGTGGGAGCTGCATGGCCAACGAGAAGTGCTCACCCTCCGAGTACTGGGATGAGGATGCTCCCGGGTGCAAGCCCTGCCATGTTAAGTGCTTCCACTGCATGGGGCCGGCGGAGGACCAGTGTCAAACATGCCCCATGAACAGCCTTCTTCTCAGTGAGTTACTTCTCCGAGGACAGCTTTGTGTTTCCATCTCTCTGGGAAACTGCCTTGCACACTGCCTTGTCCAGTAGATACTGGCTTCTTTCTTTTTGATTTTTTGCTTTGTGTTTGGGAAATGTTCAAACCTGCAGAAAAGATGCAAGAGTAAGAACTGTACAAAGAACAGCGCACGGATGTGCTTCATCCAGTTCGCAAATTGCTCATCTTCTACACCATTTGCTTTATCATTTGTTCGTGGGCTCTCTCCCCCCTTCTCACTCATTCTCTCTCTCTCTATCGCTCTCTTCCTCTCACTCTCTCAATGTATACATGTACATCATTCCCAATACATATTTTTCGAAGCCATTTGAAGGCATACATCATGGCCCCTTTCCCATAAATATTTTAGTGCCTATTTCCTCAGATTAGTGATATTTTCTTACATAACCGCAGGATAGTTATCAACTCTAATAAATTGTACATTCATACAATACTTTAATATACTATCCATATTACAATTTTCTCAGTGCCCCTTTAGGATTCAGGCTAGAGTCAGTTGTTTCATTTAGCTTCCATGTCCCTTTTTTGTTTGTTTGTTTGTTGGGAAGGAGTCTCACTCAGTTGCTCAGAGTGGAGTGCAGTGGTATGATCTCGGCTCACTGCAACCTCTGACTCCTGGGTTCAAGCAATTGTCATGCCTCAGTCTTCTGAGTAGCTGGGATTACAGGTGGGCACCATCGCTCCCGGCTAATTTTTTTTTTTTTTTGTATTTTTGGTAGAGACGGGGTTTCACCATGTTGGCCAGGCTGGTCTTGAACTCCTGGCCTCAAGCAGTCTGCCCTCCTCAGCCTCCCAAAGTGCTGGGATTACAGGTGTGAGCCACTGCGCCCGGCCACTTTTTTGTTTGTTTGTTTTTTGTTTTAAGAGACAAGTTGGCCAGGCGCAGTACCCAGGCTGTTGGAGTGCAGTGGCACGATCATGGTTCACTGCAGCCTTGAACTCCTGGGCTCAAGAGATCCTCCTGCCTCAGCCTCCCAAGTAGATGGGATGGGATTACAGGCATGAACCACCATGCCTGGCCCTTCCATGTCATGTCCAGCCATTTTTTTTTCTTTTTAGAGACAAGGGTCTCACTGTGTTCCCCAGGCTGGTCTTGAATTCCTGGGCTCTAGCTATTCTCCTGCCTCAGTCTCCCAAAGTGCTGGGATTACAGGCATGAACCACTATGCCAGGCCCTTCCATGTCCCTTTAGCCTCCTTTAATATGAAATGTTTCCACACACTTTCTTTTTCTTTCACAATATCAATGCTTTAGAAAAATACAGTCTTGGCTGGGCACGGTGGCTCACACCTGTAATCCCAGCACTTTGGGAGGCTGAGGTGGGCAGATCATGAGGTCAGGAGTTCAAGACCAGCCTGACCAACATGATGAAATCCCATCTCTACTAAAAATACAAAAATTAGCCAGGTGTGGTGGTGGGCACCTGTAGTCCCAGCTACTCGGGAGGCTGAGGCAGGGGAATCGCTTGAACCCGGGAGACAGAGGTTGCAGTGATCCGAGATCGCACCACTACACTCCAGCCTAGGCAACAGAGCAAGACTCTATCTCAGAAAAAAAAGAAAAGAAAGGAAAAATACAGTCTTCATTTTTCCTTTCGGGTGACTGTGAAGTTGCCCGTGATCAGTTGCAGAGTGTGCATGCTTGGCCAGCATACTTCAGAAGTGATGTTGTATCCTCCGAGAGTCACACCTGGAGGAACGTGATCTCCACATGCCTTTCCTCGGTGATATTAATGTTGATCACCTGGCCAAGATGTTCAGTTTCCCTACTGCATAATTACTATTTATTCCCTTGTAACTAATAAGTAGCCTGTGGGGTTACACTTTAAGAACATGTAGATATTCAGCTCCTCATCAAAATTTCCCCTCCATTTAGCATGGTTGATTAAGAAATCCCTCTTGAGCAAAAAGTGGCACAGGTCAAGGTTGGCCACGGTCCCACAGATCAGAGTTGAAGGTTATTGCTAATATGAAACAATGTCCTCAGGTTCCCAGGGATACTGTGACTAGGCTTAAAACAAGCATGGGAGAAAGAAAATGAAACAAAACTTAACTAAAAAAGAAGTCATAGGAGACAGAAGAGAGAGATGAATATGGTGAAGACCAGGAAGTATGAGCACTTTTCTCCCCCACCAGGAGAGTAGACCTGAGAAGCGTGAAACTCCAAATAGACATGTGTGGTAGGCTGGGCGCAGTGGCTCATGCCTGTAATCCCAGCACTTTGGGAGGTCGAGGCAGGAGGATTGCTTGAGCCCAGGAGTTCAAGGCCAGTCTAGGCAACATAGTGAGACTTCATCTCTACAAAAAATGGAAAAAAATTAAAATTTTAAATTTAAAAATTTTAAACATTAAAAAAAAATGTTTTAAAGACATGCATGGCAAGCTTTTCCTCTTCATATTGAGCGAGGACACCATCCCCCTGCTAAGACACAGGGAGACCTATTCTCAATACCATTCCTGATCACTTCACAATAGAAAACACTCAAAGAGACCAGTCTTCTCTATCCATCTACCTTAGCTCCTGGTCCACAAATCTCTGTGACTCTCCTTCCCAGCAGTTGCTGCTTCATAAAAGCATTCCCTCCAGCCACGTCTCCCAGGTAATCCCACCCCGTCGGACCTTCTTTTCTACTTACGTCCAATCTAGAGTGCCACCAGTAATCATCTCAGATGCCTTCATATAGAGAAGACAGCTTGCCTCCACAAAGTGGTCTTCCCCTCATCCGAGGCTGCAGATTAGACTAGAATTGAGGCTTCAGTGCTGGTATAGGACACAGAGCTGTAGTCCCCCTGGGAAATGGGTGCAGATTTGCTCAGCCTGGTATCCTCACATTCTCTCTACCCTGTCCCACACCACCACACCACCAGGGTCAGGCTATTTATAAATTAGATACTTTTTTTGGACATCGTGGTAGACTGAATAATGGCCCCCCTGAAGATGACACATCCTGATCCCCAGATCCTGTAAATGTATTACTCTACTTGGTAAAGGACTTTGGGGCAGTGATTTAGTTGAGGATCTCGGCATAGAGAGATTATCCTGCATTATCCACGTAGACCCAATGCCATCACAAGGGTCTGATAAGAGAGATGCCGGGGGTGGGCCAGGCATGGTGGCTCACGCCTGTAATCCCAGCACTTTGGGAGGCCGAGGTGGGCGGATCACAAGGTCAGGAGATCGAGACCATCCTGGCTAAAACGGTGAAACCCCGTCTCTACTAAAAATACAAAAAATTAGCTGGGTGTGGTGGCAGGTGCCTGTAGTCCCAGCTACTCGGGAGGCTTAGGCAGGAGAATGGTGTGAACCCGGAAGGTGGAGCTTGCAGTGAGCCAAGATTGTGCCACTGCACTCCAGCCTGGGCGACAGAGTGAGACTCCATCTCAAAAAAAAAAAAAAAGAGAGATGCCAGGGGATCAGAGTCAGTAATAGAAGGTGATGTGATCAGAAGCAGAGGGACAGAGAGAAGCTACTGCACTGCTGCCTTTGAAGACAGAGGAAGGGGCCATGAGCCAAGGCATGCAGGTGGACTCTAGCAAGTGGAAAAGGAAAGGAAACAGATTCCCTCCTAGAGCCTCTAAAAGGAACAGAGCCCTGTGGATCTATTTTGGACTTCTGACCTCCAGAACAGTAAGATAATAAATTGTTGTTTCAAGGCCCCAAGTTGGGGATACTTCATAGGAACAGCAATAAGAGACTAATACGGCGGTGTTTTTCCTTCAGGAAGCTGGGGCTTCCCCCTAGTTAACCAGATACATGAGCTGGACAATGAGCCATTGCCAACATCCACAGGCGCCGGACTGTAGTTTCTGTTCTACCCACCACAGCTAATCCACTGAGAAATTTGGGTGGGACACAGATGAGATTTGGATCTCTGATGAGATGAGATGGGATCACTGATGAGATTTGGGTGGGACACAGAGCCAAACCATATCACTGACTTCTGTTTTCCTTGTATTCCTCATGGCCTTAGGGCAATTCTGTTTCTTGGACACTAATCTTATTTCCCAAACATATCCATCAGCTCACAGGATCATCCCATTCCTCCTGCAGCCCTCTCCTCCCTCCCGCCATGGTACACAAGAGGGAAAATACAGGGGAGACATGTGTCATGCTCGATGTCCAAATAGACATTTTTTCTCCCATGACAGACACAACCTGTGTGAAGGACTGCCCAGAGGGCTATTATGCCGATGAGGACAGCAACCGGTGTGCCCACTGCCACAGCTCTTGCAGGACATGTGAAGGGAGACACAGCAGGCAGTGCCACTCCTGCCGACCGGGCTGGTTCCAGCTAGGAAAAGAGTGCCTGCTCCAGTGCAGGGAAGGGTAAGTGCTCAATACATTTTCCCCCATGTAATTTCACAGCCACAGCAGATATCAACCCATTTTACAAATGAGGAAACTAAGATTCAGAACACTTATAAAACCAGGTTGAAGTCTCAGTGCTAGTAAGGAGCAAAGATGAACCAATTCACAGTAACAGAAGAGAAACAGGAGAGGCAGAGTGACCGAGTGAGTTAACACAAAGGGTCAGATTGTCAAGCCGGACTCACCTGAGCAATTGATCTTCCTCAACGACAGTCCTTACTGAAAATTCAAAGCATATTGGCAGCTGGGCACTGTGGCTCATGCCTGTAATCCCAACTACGTGGGAGGTTGAGGCTGGAGGATCACTTAAGGCAGGAGTTTGAACCAGTATGGGCAACATCTTGAGACCCCATCTGTAAAATATTAAAATAAGATTAGCTGGGCATGGTGCCATCAGGCTATAGTCCCAGCTTCTATAGAAGCTGAGGCAGGGGATGATCACTTGAACCCAGGAGTTGGAGGCTGCAGTAAGCTATGATTGCACCACTGCACTCCAGCCTCAGTGACAGAGCAAGACCTTGTTTCTAAAAATTAAAACAATTTGGCAAAGGGTCTCAGCAATCACAAGGCAGAAGCAAAGCATCCTTTCCTCAGAGAAGCCCAAGATCATTAATGGAGGTTCTTTTTCTTCACCTTCAGGACTTGTTCTGATTCAGATTTAAAATTCAGGGTCTCACATTCTCCCAACCTGCTTATGTGAGGAGAGCAGTGAGTGTGGAACATTGATTTACAAAGGAAATAGTTCCATTAACATCTCCATTTATTCCCCATTAATTCCCCAACCTGTCATGTCACCTATAAATCCACAAATTACAGGTTTTGTTATCATAAACAACGTAGACACACGCACTTGATGTATCCTTCTAAAAGCATTTCATGGATAAGGACTCTATTATTTTTCTGCTAGGAAGAACTGTTAGTGTTATCAGAAGGTCTGATTGCCAGCATATCCTTTTTCTCCCCCAGGCATTCCCAGTAAAGAGTAAAAGATTGATGATAGGCCTGTTGCTGACTCTTTCTACCCAATCAATAACCTAGAGCACTGGGAGTTTCCAGACCCAAATCAAGGGCTGTAACCTTAGACCTTCCTCAAATGCTTTCACCCAAATTGACACATCTCTTCGGTCCTATAGCAGTTACTGCTTGTTTCATTCATTTTAGTGCTATATGCTGCCTTGCATTTTGATTTATCTCATTCATTCACTTATTTATTTAACACATTTCATGATGAGTACTTTGTATGTATAAATAAGATGAGTAAAAGAAAGACTGACTGTGTTTGTTTTCACGCGGCTGATAAAGACATACCCAAAGACTGGGCAATTTACAAACTAAAGAGGTTTAATTCGACTTACAGTTCCATGTGGATGGGGAGGCCTCACAATCATGGCAGAAGGCAAGTAGGAGCAAGTCACATCTTATGTGGATAGCGGCAGGCAAAGAGAGAGAATGAGAGCCAGGCGAAACGGGTTTCTCCTTATCAAACCGTCAGATCTCGTAAGACTTATTCACAACAGCAAGAACAGCATGGGGGAAACCGCCCCTACAATCCAACCATCTCCCACAGGGTCCCTCCCACAGCACATGGGAATTATGGGAGTACAATTCAAGATGAGATTTGGGTGAGACACAGAACCAAACCATATCACTGACTTTAAGAGTTTATTCTTATTTTTATATGCCTCTTCCCAAGAAAATTATAAACTCATGGAAGAAAAACACCTCTTACGTCTTACATTTGCTTCTACAACACTCAGCACAGAGCCACACATTGGCAGCTCTTGAAAAACACCAGCCAGGCTGGGCAGGGTGGCTCACGCCTATAATCCCAGCACTTTGGGAGGCCGAGGTGGGTGGGAGGTGAGGTTAGGAGTTTGAGACCAGCCTGGCCAACAGGGTGAAACCCCATCTCTACTAAAAATACAAAAACTAGCCAGGCATGGTGGCACGTGCCTGTCATCCCAGCTACTTGGGAGGCTGAGGGAGGAGAATTGCTTGAACCCAGGAGGCCAAGGTTGCAGTGAGCCAAGATCACACCACTGCACTCCAACCTGGAGCAAGATTCTGTCTCAGAAAAGAAGAAAAACACCAGTCATATAGATCAAGGAAGAAAGGGCCCTGCCAGACAAGAACAGAGATGGATGGCCAGGTGTGGTGGCTCATGCCTGTAATTCCAGCACTTTCAAAGGCTGAGGCGGGCAGATCACTTGAGGCCAGGAGTTCACGACCAGCCTTGCCAACATGGTGAGACCCTGTCTCTATTAACAATACAAAAATTAGCAGGGTGTGCAGGCAGGCACCTGTGATCCCAGCTACTGGGGAATCTGTGGCATGAGAATTGCTTGAACCTTGGAGGTGAAGGTTTCAGTGAGCCAAGATCGCACCACTGCACTCCAGCCTGGGCAACAGAACAAGACCCTGTCTTAAAAACAAACAAACAAACAAACAAAAACAGGAATGAAGCTACCTGGCTTAGCCCTTCTGCATCACCCTAGTAAGTGTCTGAAAAGATCTGGATCCCATCTTCCTCAAATCAAGTCAGTAAACACTCTCAAACACAAAAAGGGTGCTTGATCATCCTGTGATCTAAGTAGAATGCAGACCATGGAATTAAGAAGACAATTGTTCCACAGCGTGTAAAGTTCCCCAGGGCTGGTGGGGGGAGGCACAGGTTGCCATAGATCTCTTTAATAAAGAAGAAATGGAATATTCATGAGGTATATGAGAACTCTTCCTTTAGTAAAATCAGTGTTCCACATGCTTGGCATAACCCTTGTATGTTAAATCTCTGGCTTGGAAAAGTAGGCATACACTTCTCTGCACCCTATCCCAACCCACGTAATTATTTTGGTGTTTAACTCAGAGAAGTTTCTTTAAAGCCTAGGTTACTGCTTGTGCTTATGCTCTTCAAGGCTGGGAGGCTCAAAAGATGAGTCCTCAAAGCAAGCAGTGGTGTTGTACTCTTTTAATCTGTTCCAATAAACTCTTCATTGTCTCTTTTAGCATTACTCCTTGATAATTTTAAAAACCTACTTAGAATTGATAAGCTTTCTTTCCCACAGTTCCTACTGATGCTTTTCATCTTTATAACAATCTATAATAAAAACAGTAGGTAAAAAAACTTTTGTATGCTGCTTAAGAGTTACAAAGTATTTCCACTCACAATATATCTTTACATTATGATTTGATTCTACAACAATCTCATGACGTTACTGTTAGTCTCTCCATTTTACAGATGAAGAAACTGAGGATCAGAGGGGTTAAGTGACTTGCCCAAAGTCACAGAGCTACTAATACATGGCAGAGCCAGGATTAAAAATTCTATCTTCTGACTCTAATCCTGTGTATTCCCTCTGCTCTGTGTAGATTTCACTTTTCCCTGATGGTTTCTTTTCTTGAGTCTTATGTGGGCTTTGTCAACCATTCAGCTCATCATCGCCTTGTCTCTTAGATACCTCAGTCTTACAGATTGACACATAGTAGTCATTGTTCTTCACATAACTGCAAAAAGTGAAGGAAGTCTCAAGTTACCACAAGCTGGGCCACTGAGGTTCAAGTGTGCTCACTCAGATCAGTGACAGGTGGCTAAACAGACCAAGCCTCAACATAACCTAGGCATGGTGTGAGTTTTCAGCAAGTTCATGGAGCTGAATTAGTCTACAAAAAAAAAGCCTATTGGGACCTGTAGTGTTGCACCAGAGAAAACAAAGATGAACCTTTAGGTTTCTAGGATAGGTTTAGTGGTGCTGATGTCTAGAAATACAGAGATGAATCAGATGACCTTTAGAAGTTCATCCTTAGCAAGAATTTTGTTACCCTCTTTTATCTTGCTTGCAAACCTTTGTTTGCCTTCAATTAATGCACTATTTTGTTGTAGCGTTTAACAGTTAAGCTCAAATCATATTGTCTCATTTCACTAACTGACTTTAAGCAAGTTGTCTAAATTCTCTAAGCTTCAATGTTTGCTTCTGTAAAATAAGGATAATAATACCTAAATCATAAGATTTGCTATGAGGATAAATCATAAAATTTATAATTATCACTAATATACATTAATTATTTATAATGTGCCCATCATGGTCCCCACCCCTTTCTCAGTAATTACATGTTTAATTGTAGGTACTAACATTAGTCCCATCTTATAGATGAGAAACCTGAGGCACAGAGATGTTGAGTGACTGGCCCAAGGTCATACAGCTTGTAAGTGGTATGACTGGGATTTAAAACTGTAGTCTTGTTCCAGAGGGCAAGTGCTAACTACCACACTCTAGTGTCTCATTTGTAGGTTCAATAAGGTGAAATAATGTTTATGAAGTCCCTGGAATACTATCAGGCATATTAGTAGAAACTTAATGAATAGTGGTTATAGTTATCATATTTAACTTCCAAAAATCTTTTCAAACAAGGTTATATCTATTATGTAAATGTCGATATCACACTTGTCACCTCCTATTTCAAAATTTCTTCTTTAATTGGCAAATTAGAAGAATAATTCAGAGGTACATTTATTTATTTTATGTTATCTTTTATTGTATTTTATTTATGACAGTCTCACTCTGTCACCCAGGCTAGAGTGCAGTGGTGTGCTCTCAGCTCACTCTCCTGGGTTCAAACAATTCTCATGCCTCAGCCACCCAAGTAGCTGGGACTGCACACCACATCTGGCTACTTTTGTTTGTTTGTTTGTTTGTATTTTTAGTAGAGATGAGGTTTCACCATGTTGATTGACCAGGCTGGTCTTGAACTCCTGGCTTCAAGTCATCCTCTCATCTTGGCCTCCCAAAGTGCTGGGATTACAGGTGTAAGCCACTGTACCTGGCCAGATGGATCTCTTTTTTTGAGACGGAGTCTCACATTATCGCCTAGGATGGAGTGCAGTGGCATGATCTCGGCTCACTGCAACCTCCACCACCCAGGTTCAAACGATTCTCCTGCATCAGCCTCCCAAGTAGCTGGGATTACAGGCACATGCTACCATGTCTGGCTAATTTTTGTATTTTTAGTAGAGACAGGGTTTCACCATGTTGGCCAGGCTGGTCTCAAACTTCTGACCTCAAGTGATCCACCCATGTCGGCCTCCCAAAGTGCTATAATTACAGGTGTGAGCCACTGCACCCAGCCTGGATGGATCTTTTAAATGTATCTCTGAATGGCCAGGCCAACATAGTGAGACACCCATCTCTGTTTTAAAAAAAAAAAAAGATCCTTCCATTCTCTGATCCCAGCCATTAATCACAACTTAAAGCATGAACTTGGAGAGACACATGGTAGAAAAAGGCAATGGTAGCTAGCAACGATGGAGGTGCTACTAGGTGTTATAAGCACTAGGTCTTTTCATATGTGTTAGTTACCCAGTTTAATTTTCACAAATAGTAGGGGAGGGATTGGCCCAATTTACAGGTAAGAACACTGGGAATCATTGGATTCATTAGTGTTATTAGCAATGAATCTAATGAGTAAGGTAAAGAGGCTAAAGTCACTCAGCTTGTAAATGAAACCTGACCACCATGTTTTTCCACTGCATCCAATTTAGGAGCAAAGCTTACTATTCCATCTTTTCTTCTCCTTTGGTTTCAGATATTACGCAGACAACTCCACTGGCCGGTGTGAGAGGTGCAACAGGAGCTGCAAGGGGTGCCAGGGCCCACGGCCCACAGACTGCCTGTCTTGCGATAGATTTTTCTTTCTGCTCCGCTCCAAAGGAGAGTGTCATCGCTCCTGCCCAGACCATTACTATGTAGAGCAAAGCACACAGACCTGTGAGAGATGCCATCCGACTTGTGATCAATGCAAAGGTGAGAGTCTACCTGTCATTTTGCATGAGTGCGTAGAAAAATGAAAAGGTTTTCTTCCTTATTTGCCCCTTTCTCTCTTCTCACCACCTGGGAGGTTCCTCTTGCTTCCCTACCTCGTGTGTGATCCTCTCCAGCATCAGCGCCCTCTGTTCGCTCTTAACTTCCACATCTTCCCTCTAACCTGGGCTGCTCCTGCCCATCCCCCATCCTTCAAGGCCCAGAGACAGGCATCATCTCCTTGAGGAAGTATTGTTCGTTCACTCATCATTTTCCTACTCTACCTGATGAGTCTGTCTGGGGGAATTTGTTTATTTTCATTACTCCCACTATTCCCTGAGACTTCTGCCTCAAACTCTCCCAAGCTCCATGCCTCTTTTACAGAAATCTAGTTGTCTGTCCCAGAGATCCTTAAGGCTCACCATCTACCAAGGAGTCCAGGCTGATACTTTGAAGTTCTCCTTGACTCTTCTCCTTCCCCTGTTGCCTGCCCAACCCACCCACCTCCAACAAAGCTAAACTTCAAGATCTGTTGGTACTCTTTCCCAAATAGTTATCTAATGAGATCTTTTTCATTCTCACTACCCTCATCTTCCATTCTCAGTATCTAGTATCACACCTTTTGAAGCAGCCAGCAGGTCACCCCAACTCTCAATCTTGCCCCCACACCAGGTCATCTGGTATACTAATGCCAGAGTGATTGCCTTAAAATTCAAATTTCTCATTTTTCTCTACATCTTGCCATAAATATATGAGCACCATGAATGCTTCTCAATATTTAAGAATGAAATACTTCTATATTTTAATTGTTAAAACTTTCTAGAAAAATATTATTAGCTGGTAGGATACATACCTGTTCTTTTCAAAATTATCTTGGCTATTTTTAGTTCTTTTATATAAATATGTAACCAGTCAGGTTTAATTTTTTAAAAATCTTTCATTTTTAAAAAGTATTTGGATATTGAGTAGCATTGCATTGAATTTATTTTGGAGAAAACCCCATCTTTATGATCCTGAGTTATCATATTTATGAATATGGTATAATGGTATATCTCTCCATTCTATGCATTTACTTACTACACTTCAATAAACTTTTAATAAGTGTTTTTGTTTGTTTTGAGATGGAGTCTCACTCTGTCGCCCAGGCTGGAGTGCAGTGGCGCGATCTTGGCTCACTGCAACCTCCGCCTCCCAGGATCAAGCGATTCTCCTGCCTCAGCCTCCTAAGTAGCTGGGATTACAGACGTGCACCACCACGCCTGGCTAATTTTTGTATTTTTAGTAGAGGCAGGGTTTCACCATATTGATCAGGCTGGTCTCGAACTCCTGACCTCATGATCCGCCCGCCTCAACCTCCCAAAGTGCTGGGATTACATGTGTGAGCCACCGCACCCGGCCAATAAATGTTTTTATATTTAAAAGGCTATTAAGATTTTCCCAGCAGTCCCCTTAACTTATGTCTTAAGGACTTGTCTTCCATGTATTCTAGAAGCTAGAACTACCCAGAACCACTCAGCAGCCACCAAATATGCCATGTTCTTTCATTCCTCTATTGACTCAATGCTGTAGGGAACTCTCAACTTAAAGATTCAGCTTGAGTATCATCTCATCTCCTCCATGAAGCTTTTGTTAGTCCTCCCAGGAGTATTCTTCCTCCTTAATTCTGTAATACACTGCTTTATCATGGAAATTTTACACTACATTTTAATTAAACAAGTCCATCCCTCCTACTAATTGTGAGCCCCTCAAGCAAAGGCAAGGATTATACTACATTCATTGTGTATCCCTTGTTTCTACTCTGGAGTGTAAAACATAAGTTTTCATTCAGTGTTTGTTCACTGAATGAATGACTGTATAGGTAACAAATTCCTAATGTCTTTTTGCAAATTAAAAAATGTTCAGCTATAAGATCTTCAAATAGCCAGGCGCGGTGGCTCACACCTGTAATCCCAGCACTTTGGGAGGCTGAGGTGGGCGGATCACCTGAGGTCAGGAGTTCGAGACCAGCCTGACCAACATGGTGAAACCCCATCTCTACTAAAATACTAAAATTAGCCAGGCGTAGTGGCGGGTGCCTGTAATCTCAACTACTTGGGAGGTTGAGGTGGGAGAATCGCTTGAAACCTGGAGGCAGAGGTTGCAGTGAGCCGAGATTGCGCCATTGCACTCCAGCGTGGCAACAGAACGAGACTGTCAAAAAAAAAAAAAAAAAAAACTTCAAATATTGTTTCTCCACTCTCCCCTCCAATCTCGTTTTATGGAATTTCTATTAAATGCAATTTAGAGTTTATTGATCCTTCCTTTGTATCCTACCTACTCTTTTATATTTTGCCTCTTTGACTCTATGTGAGTTATACTAGGTTAATTCTTCAGCACTCCATTTCATTCCCTGACTTGTTTTAGACTGTGTTCAGTCTAAAATCCAACCCATCTATTTTTTTTGTTTTCAATTTAAGTGACTATATTTTTACTTTTGAGAGTTCTAATTGGCCAGGTGCAGTGGCTAATACCTGTAATCCCACCACTATGGAAGGCTGAGGTGGGAGGATCACTAGAGCCCAGGAGTTCGAGACCAGCCTGGGCAACTTGGCGAAATCCTGTTTCTACAGAAAAAAAAAAAAAATACAAAAATTAGTCAGGAGTGGTGGCACACAACAGTAATCCCAGCTACTCAGGAGGCTGAGGTGGGAAGATCACTTGGGCAAGGGATGTCAAGACAGCAGTGAGCCATGATTGTGCCACTGCACTCCAGCCTGGGTGACAGAGTGAGACCATGCCTCAAAAACAAAAAAAAAGATTTCAAATTGTTTCTTCTTCTCATCCATTTTTATTTTAGATCTTTCTGTTTGTGTCTTATAATTTAACATATTTATGGATACTATGTCTTCATTTATTTATGAGCATCTTAAACATACCAATTTTAAATACTTTGTCAAATGTTTCTATGAAATCAGTATTATCTGATTTAAATTCATGTTCTAATTATTGATCATGTTTGTCATCCTTTTTTTAAACTTTATTTTATAATTAATAGAGACGATGTCTCGCCATGTTGCCCAGGCTGATCTTGAACTCCTGGGCTCAAGCAATCCTCCCATCTTGGCCACCCAAAGTGCTGGGGTTACAGGCGTGAGCCACTGCACTGGCCTGTCATCTTTCTTAGCATTCATTTTATCTATATACTTTGGAATGCTGGTCTTAAGCTCACTGTAAATGAAATATTTTGGTTTTGGTTCTTTACTCCCTCTCTCTCTTATCTTTACTTCTCACAGTCTAGAAATTTTTCCATTAACTCTAACCCTGTCTTCAACCTGAAACTCAGTCCAGAACAAGATGTTCCAGTATTCCTGGAAGTGATATTGATGACAGCATAGATCCCATCAGCAATTCAATCAGCAGCTTAGGAGAGATCTTGTCAGGAGGTGATGTCTATGAAGGCAGAGTCCCAACATGACTCCTGATTTAAGCGCTAAGCCTGGATTTTGGCTCTGGTCTTATGTAAAACACTTTTAGTTCCTATTTTGGTAGAAAAGGTGAGCTCACAGTCACCATTGCCTACTTCTAGTCCTGGAGCAGAGAAGGTGGATGGCTTGAACCTGACTACCATTTTGCATTTATATTTCCTTTATGTTCCAAAGAGATTTCATTTTCTTTGTAAGGCCATCTATCTTTATTTTGTTTTCCTCTCTTTATATTTATTCTATAATTTCATTATGTTTAAAGTAAATGGGATGTCAGAACCTGAGCTTATAAAATATTTTTTTAATGCATATGTGTCACTAATGGATAATCAGATTCTTAGAAGAGGATTGTACCCTAAATTATTGCCCAGCCTCACTCTACTAATCCAAATGCCTGGTGGGATGGCAGGAGGGATACTTAAGACTTGTGGATGAAATAAGCAAAGGCCAACCTGTTAGAGCCTGCCTCTAATCCTCTTTTTTTTTCCCCTTCCAAAATGATTCATCTTGAGGCAATATGTTGATGATATAGAAACACCAAGAATTAGGGAAAACAAGATGAGAAATCAGGTATTCCCCCACACTGGGAGAAGACCATCAGCACGTTTGCTGTCTAGCCACTGAGCTGAAATTCCTGAAAAGTATCTTGATGACATTATATTTTAAAATAACTTCTTCCCAAGTACATGTGAATATAGCCATCTCCAAGTTTAAGGTGGCTTCCAATATTACCTATGCCTTGGTGTCTCTAAATCTGCTTCTTTTCCCAAATGGTTTTCCTGAGCTCCGGTTCCATACATCCAGTTGCTGACTGAGTATCTCTGATTGGATGCTCAACAGACACCTCCAACTCCTCACCCCACTCCCAAACTACTTGTTCTGTGCTCCCTATTGGGATAAATGGCCCCACCATTCACCCAGTTGCCTGAGACAGTAACCTGGCCATTACCCTCTGCTCCTCCCCCTCTCTCAATCCCCACATTCAATTTGTTCCCAAATCCTGCCAAACCTACCCCTTAAATATCTCCTAATTCCATCTCCCCTCTCTTGGTATTCTAGTGTCACTGTCTTAGTTCAGACTCATCATTCATTGTCTGAATTGTTTACCAATTATTTATTTAATTGGTCTTCCTACCTTTAGCATTAGTCACCCTGTAATAAACCAGTCTTCCATATGCTCTTAGACTGATCTCTTTATACAACAAATATAATGATACATCTCCACTTAAAAAACAACTCTCTACTGACCTTAGGATAGAATTTTTTTTTTTTTTTTTGAGACAGAGCCTCGCTGTGTCACCTAGGCTGGCATGCGGTGGCATGATCTTGGCTCACTACAACCTCTGCTTCCTGGGTTCAAATGATTATCCTGAACCAGCCTCCCAAGTAACTGGGATTACAGGCACACACCACCGCACCTGGGTAATTTGTGTGTGTGTGTGTGTGTGTGTGTGTGTGTGTGTGTGTGTGTATTTTGAGTAGAGATGGGGTTTCACCATGTTGGCCAGGCTGATCTTGAACTCCTGACCTCAAGTGATCTGCCTGCCTCAGCCTCCCAAAGTGCTGGGATTACAGGTGTGAGCCACCAGGCCTGGCCAGGATAGAATTTTAATTTAGTATGTTTGCGTATGAGGCCCTTCAGCATAGAGCTCTTCTCATATTCAGCCTCATCTCTTACCATCTCTTCTCCCATCCTCTAATCAGGGCATAATTAGTAACTATAAACCTGAACCAACCTCACCCACTTTCCCTCTCTCTGGAATAGTTTCTCCAGCCTGCTTTGCATGGCTACCTCTTTCTGATCCATTAGAGTCATCACTTCCTCCAGAAAACCTCCCCAGACCCTTCATTCTATGTTCCCTTAGTACTCTGTGTCTTCATTCATCCATTTACTTAAGGCACAATGTTCTACAACTGTGAACAAGACAGCCAAGGTCCCCGCAGACCAGGCTAGTTTAATTTGTGTAATTGTACTTAGTGGTGTAGCAGCACTGTCCAGTAGAAATAAAATGTGATTGAAAATTTTTAGTAGTCATGTTTAAAAAAAAAAAGTATAATTAATTTTAATCATACACTTCATTTATCCAAAATATTATCATTTGAACATGTAATCTACATAAAATTACTGAGATGTTTTACATGTGTTGTACTGTCTTTGAAAGTCCAATGTTTATTTTACATGTACAGCACAACTCAAGTTGCACTAGCCATATTTCAACTGCTCAGTGGCTACCTGTGGCTAGTGGCTGCTGTATTGGACACCACAGTAATAACCTAGAGCAATGGTTTCAAATGATATTTTAGCAGTGGCCACCTTCCTCAGATAAAATCTGAGGCTGAATCCTATTAGGTAAACCAATCCAGGCAGAGCTGCTCAGGTGGGAGCAGAGGAGCCACCCCAGAACCCCATCTGATGCCTCTCCATGCTCCCCTCACCACCCACCATTCCCAGGAAGCCCCTAAAGCAACTCCATAAAAACTCTACCATATCATGGTTCCCAGTCTGTGCCCATTCACAATTGACTCCAGCACATGAAAGAATTAGCCTTCCAAACAAACTGCATTAACTACTCATTAATCTGTTATCGCTTTTTCATTCCAGAGACATATATGGTTACCACTTAAAACTTCTAACTGGAATTAGATAACAGATGAGAAAATACACTGAATTGGGGGTGGGATGGGAGTGGTGGAAAGCTGATATTATCATTGGCCATATGGTGGTAAATATTGGCTTTCTATTTGGTTTTTTGAAAAGTTGAACTTACCTCTGTTACCATCATTACTGGATGTGTGGGACCTTTATTCCAACTAGGGTTGTCTGATAAAATACTGTATTTGATTTGCGAAATCTGACGACCCTAATTCCAGCCCACTAGTGTTGTGCAGTGGGCGGCGCAGTGCAGTGGGGGCACTTGGGTCCTAATTAACATTAGACAATCATCATTAGGTAAGCTAATGTCTCTTACCGTCAACCAATCAAAACAGGACGACACCAGCCTTTGAAGATGATTGCGGGGATTAGATAAATGATTCGTGATATTGTAAGCACAGTTTGAAAAACAACAAATTTTTTTCAACTTTTATTTTAGAATTGGGGGTATATGTGCAGGTTTGTTACAAAGGTATAGTGCATGATGCTGAAGTTTGGAGTATAAATAACTGTCACCCAAGTAGTGAGAGTAGTACCCAATAAGTAGTTTTTCAACCCTTGCCCCACTCCTTCTCTCCCTGCTCTTGTATTTCCCAGTGTCTATTGTTCCCTTATTTTATTTTATTATTTTATTTTATTTTATTTTATTTTATTTTACTTTATTTTATTTTTGCAACAGAGTCTTACTCTGTCGCCCAGGCTAAAGTTCTGTCACCCAGGCTAAAGTGCAGTGATGCAATCTTGGCTCACCGCAGTTTCCGCCTGCCGGGTTCAAGGGATATTCATGCCTCAGCCTCTCAAGTAACTGAAACTAGAGGTGCATGCTACCACCCCTGGCTTATTTTCGTATTCTTTGTTTGTTTGTTTATTTGTTTTTTGAGACGGAGTCTCACTCTGTCGCCCAGGCTGGAGTGCAGTGGCGCAATCTTGGTTTACGGCAAGCTCTGCCTCCCGGGTTCACGCTATTCTCCTGACTCAGCCTCCTGAGTAGCTG